>NC_000016.10:83880682-84505682 GCF_000001405.40 Homo sapiens | reverse complement strand
GCTGGAAAACCAGCAGGCCGTGCAGGGGAGAGAACTGGTACCATGGACATGCGGGAGCTGAATCTGCAGGAAGGTGGACCCCAGGGAGGATGCGTGGGGTGGAGAGAGTAGGGAGAAGTCGAGAAACTCCAGGGCAGAAGCCAGAAGGGCCCAGGGAAGACCACCAGGGACAGCGAGCGAGCCAGGGCCAGGAATGGGCGCCGGGGTGCCCAAGAGAGAGGTCTGATGAGAGCACGATCACCAAGCGCCAAATGCTGCCTGCGAGGACCCAAAGCGCACCTCGGATGTAGTGAGCAGGCCCCCGGGACCAGGTTTCGGTGGGTTTGAGAAGGAACGAGCTGAAGAAGTGGGGTGACAGGTTCAGACGTCTTGGAGTGAACGGGAACCGGCTGAAGAGGCGCACGTGGGGTGGAGGGAGTCTGTTTAGCCAGGCTGTGGAGCTGGCGCCTGATGGCTGCCGGGAAGGACCTGGTGCCAGGGAAGAGCGAGGCAGGGGCAGCTGGCAGAGGGAGGCCCGAGGGGAGGCGGACCCGAGGCTCTAGGCCAGGACCAGCAGGCCGGGGAGTCAGGGGAGAGTTGCCTGGGGCCCAGGAGGCTGCACTGCAGAGGCCTCTGCATGGGCTCCACATGGGCCACTCTCCTCCCCCGGGTGTCTTCACCCCCAAGCTCAGCCTCTCCCCCAGGATCTCCCACACCCTGGCTACTCCGCTCCAGCGCCCAGCCCAGACACCCCTTCTCCCCAGGTACCACTGCTGGCCTGGCCTGGCCTGAGTCATTGGCCGCCCTCTCCAGGCGCCTCCTTGGTACGCACGCAGCCGGGCCGGATTCCCGGGCCTGCAGCCGCTCCTCCCGCAGACCGCGGCCCCGCCCCGAGCCGCACCCACCGGGTTCGGCTCACTCCCTGTGAGGCGCGTCACCATTGGCTGACTCCTCTCTTGGGTTCCGCCCCACACCTCCGCTTCCACGATTGGACCAAATGACTGCCCCTCAGCAATGTTGCCTGGCAACAGGGAAGGGGCGGCTCTCGAGAGGAGCCCGTGGGCTGCTGGACCGGACCGGACAGCACCAGGAAGCCCGGCAGGGTAGGTACCTGGGCTGAGGTTCGCAGTGAGCTGACCCAGAGGCGCAGGCCCAGCTGAGTCGGGGGACTGGAGCAGACGGGTCCAGAGTAGGCCTGGGCCCTGCCCCTCCCTGGCCTCCCACGCCTCTTCAGGCCCTCGGGTCGGGGGAGGGAGAGGTGAAGGCTGCGGGGAGGTGAGGGGTGGGGACAGCGGGGCGGGATGGAGGGAGGGTCTCCTGGGGGGGATCAGAATCATCCTGCACCTCCCGCTGTTTATGTGGTCAAGGTAAGAGGGTGGCGAGGTGCTTCCCCCAGGGCCAAGGCCAGCCGTGTTGAAGGGGGATTCAGAGCCTGTGTAGACGCGGAAAGGGAGGGGTGCCTCCACGGAGGAGGCGAGTCTGGGGTAGACACTGAAGTGTGTGTGGAGGGGGTTTTCCTTCTTGTATTCTGACCACACCCATCTGGGCTTTTCCAGGACAGTGAGCTGATAACTGTTCCCAGGCCATGTAGGTGGCCAGCACAGGACAGGTCACCTTCTGGCCCACAGGAACTTCTTGCCCAGGCTCAAGCTGCCCCTTCGCACAAGGGCCTCTGGGCTCTGAGACACAGACAGGACTTCGAAGCCTGTCCAGATGAGGCAGTTGGAATCTCCCCAGCTTGTGGGGGTACGGAGGGACCCTTGTGTGGCTCTAGGGATGCGGGGCCCTTGGAGTAGAGAGTTGGAGCTTGGCAGCCAGGGTGGGAAGCAGCCATGTAACAGCCTGTTGGAGAAGCTCTGAGCAGGAGGTGACTAAGCCATTCCTAGGATACTAGTGGGAACCTTGGGGGCCATCCTGCAGACAATCGGTCCCTGTCCACCCCTCCATCACGGAGGCAGAGCAACCTTCCGTTTCTTCCAAGCAGGGCAGTTTCTCTTGTTCTAAGACAAGATCCCAAGGAGCCATTCTCTGTTGTCTTGGGCCCATTATTCTGTCTCTGACCTCCAGTAAGCAGATCAAATGCCCTGGGTTACCTTATTTAATCTTCTCAACCTTATGTTAAAGAAATTAATTAATGATGCTTATTAAAAGCACATTAATTATTGAAGACCATTGCAATGGGTATAGGGACCACAGCAATGGGATTTTGTAGTAAAGGAGAGAGATTGGGCTCAACTCTGATTATAGCATGGGCAAGTGGGAAGCCAGGAAGCAGGGTGGGGATCAGTGGATGGAAGATGACTGAGGAAACATCAGGGCGCTAGGGTGGATTCTGGGTAAGCTTACCTAGCAGTTTGTTACTGAAGGCAGGCCAGGGTGATCAGACATCACCTAGGGCAAGCTCGTCCAACCCGTGGGCCATATGTGGCCTAAGGCGGCTTTGAATGACATCCAACACAAATTCATAAGCTTTCTTAAAACATGAGATTTTTTTTTTACCATATATGTAGATATATGCACTTATCAGTTATTGTTAGTGGGTTTTATGTGTGGCCCAAGACAGTTCTTCCAGTGTGGCCCAGGGAAACTGAAAGATTGGATATCCCTAACCTAAGCATTAAACCTGGTTAGATAGCAAGTGAACAGATAATGGTGATCAAATATCAAGGATGAGTGGTTTTGTGGGTTTTTTTGTTTGTTTGTTTTTTGTTTTGCTAAAACCAGATTTTACAAAGAGGTACACAGATGGGCCCAGGAGCCTGACTAAAGTCTGGTCAAGCAAAACATCTTGGTCACTTATTATGGGCTGCTGGAACTTTTGTTTGTGTTTTTATGAGACAGAGTCTTGCTCTGTCACCCAGGCTGGAGTGCACTGTTGTGATCTTGGCTCACTGCGACCTCTGCCTCCTGGTTCAAGCGATCTTCCCACCTCAGCCTCCTGAATAGCTGGAACTATAGTCACACGCCACCACACCCGGCTGAGGTTTGTATTTTTGGCAGAGACGAAGTCTCACTATGTTGCCCAGGCTGGTCTCAAACTCCTGGCCTCAAATGATCCTCCCAAAGTTCTGGGATTATAGGCTTGATGATGGAAAGCTTTCAGTCCCTGGCAAGTTTTCTCGGTGTCATGGGACTTTCACAGTACACCTGGGTACATGGGGTGGCCTCTTCTCTGCAAAGCTGTGCATAACACAACCCTACATTGGCCTCGAGACTTCTGTGGGTTCCCTTGTATCAAGTTCCGCTTCCATTTTGTTCCGCTGCCCTACATCCTCAGAAGCCAGGTTTTCTCACCTTCAGCCCTACCGATGTCTGGGACGGACACTTCCTCGTCGTAAGGCCATCCTGTGCACTGTAGGATTTTTAGCAGTATCCCTGGCCTCTGCCTGCTAGATGCCAACGGCACTCCCCTCCCCCAGTTGTGGCAACCACACACTTTTCCAGTCATTGCCAAATGCCCCTGGGGGACGAAACTGCTCCAGTCGAGCTCCACTGGTACAAGCAACCTTGATGTGCGCTGTCAGCACCAGCACCAGCGTGCATTGTCTTTTTTTTTTTTGAGACCGAGTTTCACTCTTGTTGCCCAGGCTGGAGTGCAATGGCATGATCTTGGCTCATTGCAACCTCCGCCCCCTGGGTTCAAGCAATTCTCCTGCCTCAGCCTCTCAAGTAGCTGGGATTACAGGCATGCACCACCACACCCGGTTAATTTTGTATTTTTAGTAGAGACAGGGTTTCTCCATGTTGGTCCAGCTAGTCTCGAACTCCCGACCTCAGGAGATCCACCCGCCTCGGCCTCCCAAAGTGCTGGGATTACAGGCGTGAGCCACCACACCATTGCCATTTCTTTATCTTGCCTGGCACGGGGCTCTCAAAGGAGACGGGCTGTCCTTGAGCCGTTCTGAGACGTGTCCCTTCACCAGCACTCTGCAGGTACTAAGAATGGCAGTGCTGTGGACAGCGCTGTGTTCTTAGGGGCTGCCCACCTTCCCACCTCACTGGCACCAGCCCTGGGGTTCCTACTGGGGCCTCCCATGCAACCTCCTCTCTCCTGCTTGAAAAAGTGGCGTTGCCAGCCTGGCTCTGCGTCCAAGCCTTTCCTGTCATCTCCTGGGCCTGCCCTGGTCTGCGCCGCTTCTGTGCATTTCTGGGTTCCTGTCCTGCCTGTTGGCACTTGCCCAGCCCTGCACCTTTCTCCCGGCTGTCTGGGGTTGGTGAGGGCTGGCCAGGCTGCACCCTGCTGCTGTTCTCCGACCACAGTGGGGGAGCCTGTTTCTGGCAGAAAGTGGGAGTTGGGGTGGGATGGAAGTGAGGGGCTGGGTGGAGTCAGGCCTGGGCCCCCTTCTGCTGCAGCCCTCTGCTGCCCTCCCCCACGTGCCCTGAGTTCCACCCTTGCCTCGCTGATCCCAACGCTCTTGCTTATGCCCCGTGCGTGCTGTTCCCACTTCCTGGTGAATCACCTGTGAGTCTCTGAAGACTCAGCTGGAATGTGACCTTTGGGACCTTTTCCACTCTTCACTCTTCTTGTTACACCCCCAGGCCACACCCATCCCCATGCCCTTGTCTCTGTTTCCCCTCTTTTTTTTTTTTTTTTTTTTCTTTTTTTTTTTGAGACGAGTCTAACTCTGTTGCCCAGGCTGGAGTGTAGTGGCGTGGTCTCGGCTCACTGCGACTTCCGCTGTCCGTGTTCAACCAATTCTTCTGCCTCAGCCTCCCAAGTAGCTGGGATTACAGGTGCACAGCACCATGCCTGGCTAATTTTTTTGTATTTTTAGTAGAGATGGGGTTTCATGTCGTTGGCCAACCTAGTTTCGAACTCCTGACCTCAGGAGATGGTGTGGCCCACCTTGCAGGCTCTTCGAGTTGATGCAGAGGGTGGGTCTGCTTTGTTTTGGCTGCTTGGGCTGTGTCCCTGCAGCACCCAGACTCAGCCGGTGCAGCCCCTCTGTTTCAGAGCTGGGGACAGCCGCCTGCCGCTGGACATTGAGTCCAGGCTGGAGGTTTTCCTTCTGGGCTCTTCTGCTGCTGCGAAACGTGAGGAGTGGAAGCGGTGAGATCAGATGGGGCGTGGGTGAGCACCCAAACGGGGTCGGGTAAGCCCTCGTTTCCAGCCTGTCTGTGTAAAGTGCACCCCCATCCCCTTCCAAGGAGCCCCCCAGTGGAGACTTCCTGTGCAGAGGGGCACATTAGCAGTGAGGCCTGTTAAAGGCCCATCCGCTGCGAAGATGGGTGTCATATAAAAGGCGGAGAAATAACTCGCTTTAGTGGGGGTGTGGATAGATGGAAGCTCATGCTTTACTGATGGGATTATAGAGTGGAGAGCACTTGGCGGCCCCTCAGAATGTTAAACAGAATTACCATGTGACCCAGCAAGTCCACTCCTAGGTGTCGACACTGGAAATTGGAACAGGGGGACTCAGGTACTCAGATGTTCATTGCAGCACTATTCATGATAGCCGGAAGGTGGAAACAGCCCCAGTGTCCTTCAGCTAATGATGGATAAGCAAAAGGTGGTCCATCCATACAACAAAATACTAATCAGCCATAAAAAGGAGTGGAATGCTGACCCGCGCTACAACATAGGTGGGCCTCAAAAACACGATGCTAAATGAAAAGAGACAATCACAAAAGGCCACACATCATATAATTCCATTTATTATTTTTTTAGAGACGGGGTCTTGCCCTTTTACCCAGGCTGGAGTGCAGTGGCACGATCATAGCTCACTGCAGCCTTGACGTCCTGTGCTCACGCGATCCTCCCGCCTCAGCCTTTGGAGCAGCTAGGACTGTAAGCACATACCACCGTGCCTGGCGAATTTTTACGTTTTTAGTAGAGATGAGGTCTTGCTACGTTGCTGTGGCTGGTCTCAAACTCCTGGGCTCGAGTGATTCTCCTGCCTTGGCCTCCCAAAGTGCTCGGATGACAGGTGTGAGCCACCACGCCTGGCCATATAATTGCATTTATATGAAATGCCCAGAATACAGAAATGCATCAGGACAGAAAGTAGACGGGTGATGGCCAGGGCATGTGGGAGGGAGGAATGAGAGGAGATTGCTCGTGTACAGGGTTTTCTCCGAGGGTGATGAACATGTTTTGGATCTGTGAGGGTTGCACCGTATTGTGAAGGTCCTAAATGCCACTGTACACTTTAAAATGGTTAATTTTATGTGAATCTCATCGCAATGAAGAGAAAGATCCTGATTACCCTGTTACCCCTTGAGGGTTTGAGTTGTCATGGCTTGGTGCGGACCATGACTCATGCCCCACCCTAGTAGCATGGCCTTTCCCCCTTGGCTAAATACCTTGGGGGAAAGTTTACTGCTGCAGTGACTTTGTTTATCAAGGTGCCTGTGTGGGAGAAGGTCGTTTTCTCTCCAGCAGTCTCATTGACACTGGGTTTCCGGAAAAAGTCCAGGGCCAGGAATTAACAGTCACAGCACCTTACCTCTTGAGAGATTTTTTGTTTGTTTTCATTTCCAACCATGCTTTTTTGTTTGAATCCCCCGATTGCTTGACACTTGTCTTTTCCTATAATGAGGTTTGTGACAGTGAACAAGGCCCCAGGTCACCTGCTCTTGGTGCCAGTCTCTGTTAACGCTACCCCAGCGCCTCAAACAGATGAGGCTCACGGGCCGGGATCATACAGGCACGGTCAGTGCCAGGCAGGTCTTGGCCCTTTGCTTTGGTTGACTTGGTTGATAATCACGGCAATCTTCTGAGGCTGGGCTGTGACTCCTCTTGCTTTACAAATGGGGAAATTGAGGCAGAGAGCGTTTTAGTAGCTTGCCCAAGACTACACAGCTAGGAGGAGGCAGAGCCAGGATCACAAAGGAAAAACTTCCCAACTAGTGTGTAGCAGTATTCTCAAGGTGAGTTTATTCAAATACAGGTGATTGTTCAGCCTTTGATTTATATTTTCTAACTCTGGTTTTAAAGAATGAATATTTAGATTGATTAAAATACAGATTTTTTTGTCCTGCCTTTGATTATATTAGCTTGGGCACTATGTTCTCAAACCCAGACTTTGTGACAATTATGGGTGTGTTTCAGTAGGTCATGGGCGTCACGATGGGCTTTTCCAGCTTTGTTTGTATCAGCTATTGATTTCTGTCACATCAAAACAATATTAGCTAGTCACGGTGGTTCACATCTCTAATCCCAACACTTTGGGAGGCTGAGGCAGGAGAATCACTTAAGGCCAGAAGCTGGAGACCAGCCTGGGCAACATAGCAAGACCCCATCTCTACAGAAGACAAAAAAAAAAAAATTAGCCAGGCATCCTGGTGTGGTCCTGTAGTCCCAGCTACTCAGGAGGCTGAGTGGGGAGGATTGCCCGAGCCCAGGAGGTTGAGGCTGCAGGGAGCTGTGATGGCACCACTGCACTCCAGCCTGGTCAGCAGAGTGAGATCCCACCTCAGCAACACAAAACAAAAACAAAACCCAAAACCCAGTATTATGTAGCTCTGATGTGTTTTAGCTACATTTTGTGGCTATATCAGTATATATTAACTTGACCATATAATTCTCAACATTTATTTTCTGTGATTATTAAATTTTGATTTTTCTAATGTTGTGTCTTTTCCTTCTGCAGAGAATTCTGCCAGATATCAGGACAGATGGGGAACAGCAGAAGCCGTGTGGGGCGGAGCTTTTGTTCACAGTTTCTTCCTGAGGAACAGGCAGAGATTGATCAATTGTTTGATGCTCTGTCATCAGATAAAAACAGCCCGAATGTCTCATCCAAATCCTTCTCTCTGAAGGCACTACAGGCAAGAGTAACAACCCGTGGTTCATGTTTAGTTGGGAGCAGGGGTCTGCAAACTGTGGCTTTCAGGCCAGAATCTGCTTTCGTGTTTTTGTAATGGGATGGATGGCAACACTGAAAAGTTGGTTTTCTGTAAAGGGCCAGATGTGACCTAGTTTTGGCTTTGTGAGCTATGCGGTCTCTGTTGTAGCTCCTCTGCTCTGCCGTTACTGTGTGAAAATAGCCATAGACAGTGTCTAAACGCATCCCTCCCCGTTTTTGAAATCAATAGTCTCTTATCTGTACTACAGAAAGGAACCTGGAGTAGATAATGAATGATTCACACGACATTTGGGGACATTTCTAACTTGAGATGAACATCAGAGGAGAGAGATAGCCTGCCTCGTGTGTCTCTTGAACCACGTCCCTCCTGACTGCCCTCCCAGAGATGGGGAGACAGACGCGGTGATGGGTCTGCCCTCCTGGACTCGTCGGTCCAGGAACCATGACGTGTCAGGTGCACCGTTGCCTCTAGAATGTGTATGTGTTTGATGGCTAGGAATTTCATGATATTCCTAACAAAATAATCACATTTTAGATTCAAGGCTCATCTTGCAGGGAGTTAAAACTGCCCATTTGCCCATGTTTTTCCCCGTTCCATGGGGCTCTCAGCTGCAGGTTTGAGTGCTCGGACTGAGGCAAGACACTGACAAGGAGATGCCGTCAGCTCATCTTCCTGGGAGTCCAGGCAGCCATCCTAGCAGCCTCCTCCCTCTTCTAGAATGTGCAGCATGGGAGCAGATGAGGAAACTGGCCAGGGGGTTACATCCAGTGAGCTGTGATTGAGCCACCACACTCCATCCTGGGTGACAGAGGGAGACCCTGTCTCAAACAAACAAACAAACAAAAAACCAAAAAAAACCTAAATTTAAATAAAAATGAATGAAAAATACATGCTGAGCCCAAGGAACATGGACAGGAAGTAAAAGCTGGTATATTTGGAAACCCCTAACGTAGAGACGAAATTAGCTGTACACAGACATATGTTACATGTGTTAATAAATTCCGACATGCAAATGGCAGCTGCTAGAATCTAGAATGAAGATGATGTTCAAAGTAGAGTGAAGCTCAGATGGTGGCCAGAGGCAGGAATGACAAGACAGGAGAGTTTGGAGGCAGGATGGGAGCAGATTGTGGGAGAGTCTGATGGCCAAAGTGAGCTACACCCAGGACGCTTAGGTGGTGTGAGGCCCTTCGGTGAGAGAACGTCCTGCATCCTGGTGATGCAGGAGCATTTGGGAGCTGACAGCAGCATTGTGAAGTGGCCGAGGTTGGTCTGGGCCCCCTACTTATTTTCCTGTGATACTACTGATACGGCTCACGATGAGTGGAAGAACACCAGGGTTCTTGGTCCTTATGCCAGTTTAGATAAAATGACATGGACACACGTGGAGTGGCTTTAAGGAGCGGAGAGTTTAATAGGCAAGAAGGAAGGAGAAGGCGGAAGGAAGAGGCTCCCCTGTACAGAGACGGAGGGAGGGGTAGCTCCAAAGCCAAAAGAAGAGGTCCTCAAGTGCGGTGGACACCAGCCAGGTATATATGCAGAGGCTGGAGGAGGCGATGTCTGATTTGCACAGGGCTCTGGATTGGTTTGACCAGGTATGTCATTCACGTAGCCCATGAAAAAGCTGGCCCTCCCACCCTAGCCTTTTAATAAGTAAATGCAGGGCACCATGGATGTTCTATACACGTGGGGATATGTGGAGGCGGCCATGTTGCCAGGAACATGTGGGGAAAGGGCAAGAAAGCCATGGGAATCACCTTGGTGGGTGGACCCAGTTTCTAATGGCCGGCATTTGCATATCAAAGTTTCCGGCCTGGCTCTAAGAGACGGGGCTTTACAAGAAACTTTTTCAGAGATGCTTTAAAAAACGAAAACTTCCCAAGGACCCCTTTTCCTCTCTATCTGCCTAAAATAATAACTCCTAGTAACCAAGTTCAACTTGTGCACTGTCTAACCATATTTTTCTGCTTGTCCCCGGCAGAACCACGTCGGGGAAGCTCTTCCCCCAGAGATGGTCACCAGGCTGTATGATGGCATGCGGAGGGTCGACCTGACAGGGAAGGCGAAGGGACCCAGTGAGAACGTGTCCCAGGAGCAGTTCACAGCATCCATGTCCCACCTGTTGAAAGGAAACTCCGAGGAGAAGAGTCTCATGATTATGAAAATGATTTCTGCCACAGAAGGTCCCGTGAAGGCCAGAGAAGTCCAAAAGGTAGTGAGGCCGCGAGGTCCTTTGCAGCCTCCTCAGCAGTCTTGGTGACCATCGGTGGGGGGATGGAGGCCAGTTACATGGCACATGGAGGAGTAAACCAAAAAGTATTTGAGCTGGGTTTCAATTAATCGGAGTTTATTTTGCCAAGGTTAAGGGCATGTCTGGGAGAGAGGCCTGTGCCTTTCTCCAAAGATGATTTTGAGGGCTTCAGGACTTAAAGCGGAAAAGCAGACTGCAGGGGAAGGAGGGAGGGTCTGGTCCCATTACTGAATCCATATTTTGTTAAGAGGAAGGGAGCAGGTAGGGAAATAGTCAATGTGTGTTTGTCTTGCACTCAGTAAATCAGCACTTTACATATGATCAGGTGAGCATAGTCACTACCTGTGGAGATTTTATTTTATTTATTTATTTTTTGAAATGGAGTCTTGATCTGTCACCCAGGCTGGAGTTGAGTGGCGCGATCTTGACTCACTGCAACCTCTGCCTCTCAGGTTCAAGTGGTTCTCCTGCCTCAGCCTCCTGAGTAGCTGGGGCTACAGGCACACACCACCGTGCCTGGCCGATTTTTGTATTTTTAGTAGAAACGGGGTTTCACCACGTTGGCCAGGCTGGTCTCCAACTCCTGAGCTTAGGTGGTCCGCCTGCCTTGGCCTCCCAAAGTGGTAGGATTATAGGCATGAGCCACCACGCTGGCCAGCTGTGGAGATTTTAAACCTTTTATCTGTAGCTGTCTGCTTAGGAACAAAGGGAAAGGCAGTTTCTTGCAAGACTCAGCTTTTAGCTTAATTTTTCCTTTTGGCAGAGTGAATTGGAGTCCTGAGTTTTTATTTTTTCCTGCTTTGTCTTTCAGAAATCTTTTGGAGAAAGGATTTTAGAGGAAAATGAGTCTCAGGGCTTGGGTTTTGTCTGATCTGTCATGTCCAGAATGGTTTATTCCTAGTCAGATATGTTTTTAGGTAAGCTCATTTTTACCAGGTTGTGAAGTCTCATGTCCCGTGAAGAAAAAATAGTGGGGGAGGAAGAGAGAAAAACAACAAACAAAAAAGGGAAGACAACACTGGAAAACTCATATAGGCCATATTACTCTGAAGTCCATATATCAGCAGGCAGGTACGAAAATGGTTCTGTATATAAATAGGTCGCTGTTACTCCAGAGTTTAAGTTGTCTAGCTTTAGTTCTCAGAGCTTTAAGAAGAGCACAGCTTATTTTTTAATGATTTCAAATCAGAAAAATGGGGGGAAAAAAAGGAATAGAAGGAAGGAGAAAGATTGAAATGTTATTTTAAAGACTTGTAGCCAGGAAAAAATTCTAGGGTTCAGTCCAAATTGTAGAAAATAATAAAAATTGACACTGGTCAAAGCTAGAATCCAATAACCAGTGTACTATGGTTTATTTTGAAACATTTTTCTCTCTTCAGTTCCCCACTTTCATTAAAGACAAAATCATAGTAGGACCAACTTATTTGTAAAATAAGTTGTAGTCTAATTATACTTAGCTTGATTATTTTGCATAAAGTGCAGCAACAGTGATAATTTGCCATATAGACACTGACTCTCTTTGAATTATCTTTGCTAGAACTTTTCCTTAAGGAGTCTGAGATTAGACATTTTTATTTATTTTATTTTATTTTATTTCATTTTTTTAGATTAGACCTTTCTAAAAGCTCCAAGCCTAGCCAAGAATTTATCTGTGCCTGTAGATACCCATGTGACTTGGGTGAATTCCTCTCTCTTTGAGGTCCCAAGAAAACTTGGAGTATTTGGGCCTGTCAGAAAGTGACATCCTTTACTTACAGATCAGGACCCTGTAAAGGACAGTGTGAGGCCAGTTTGTCCAGTGGCTTTTATCAGCTCTACAGGTCAGCTTCATTTTCTCAAGGTAATCTGAAAATGCTGTTCCAGTCAAAGCCTTCATGAAATAACCAGTGTTTCCAATTATGTCCTGTTATAAAAGAAAACAGATTCTTATTGAATGTATGCAAATAATTATATTGCCATAAATTAAGAATACTCACAAATAGTTTCCAAATTTTAGAGAAATTAGGTAGACAGAAAGGGATTATGTTTTAAATTTTGCTCACTAGAGTATATTTTAATTGTTAAAAGCTGTAAATAGCTTAAAAGAGAAAGTTTTCTTGACTCTGGAAAAAAAACAGCTAATGTTGTAAACAAAATGTCATAAAAGATTATTTCGGTCATCTGTTAGTTCGGTCCACGCAATTAACTTCTTGCTTGCTTGATATTGGATCGGCAATCCTCATGAATACGTCAGCCCCCTATGAGTCCTAGAAGTTTTCCTTTCTATTCCAACAGCACAATCTCTGAAGTTATCGGAACCGATATTTAAGAGTACTCTTCAGAGTTCTATAGCTGACTATAAACTGCCCTATAAAAGGATCAAAGTAAAACAATTGTGGATGTCAAAAGTCTTAGAACAGCCATGGTTAAAGACACAATTGACAAGGAAATTTGGGTACTTCTCTGGCATACAACAACTTTACATAATAGTAATTACTACTGATAACATATACTAAGACACATCAGAATCACAGGAATCTCATAGAATTTTGGAACACATACTAATAACACACTTACATAAATGTGGTCCAAAGATGGTTAAACACCATTTCATATTTGACAGTGCTTCCTGTATGATTGTATTATACCAAGTAAGCCCAATATGTCTCCCTTGGAGCTCAAGGGACCTAATATCAAAACAATAATTGAGGTCAAAAGGACTGAATTTTGAATTTGATTCTGGAAAGTTTGTCAAATATCAGAAGTTTAAAACACTTGATATAGGCTGGGCGTAGTGGCTGACGCCTGTAATGCCAGCACTTTGGGAGGCCAAGGTGGGTGGATTATCTGAGGTCAAGAGTTCAAGACCAGCCTCGCTAACATGGTGAAACCCTGTCTCTACCAAAAATACAAAAATTGGCCAGGCGTGGTGGCACACACCTGTAGTCCCAGCTACTCGGGAGGCCAAGGCAGGAGAATCGCTTGAACTCGAGAGGTGGAGGTTGCAGTGAGCCAAGATTGTGCCACTGCACTCTAGCCTGGGTGACAGAGTCAGACTTCATCTCCAAAAATAAATAAATAAATAAATAAATAAAATAAAACACTTGATATCACAAAATAAGATCACAGGTCATTGTAAAATAAGTCATTTAGCCAAAGTGCTAACTCAAAGGTTTTGAAAAAAAGGGTAAAAACCTTTATTTTTTTGAGAGAGGAGACTTAATTTCCCAAACAATAAGCCCTAATAAAGACAGTATGAGGCCACTTAAATCTCTGTGAAGTCTTATAAACAAATCTATTAAATTTTAATCATCTTGACCATAAGATGTAATTTGTATAAACCTTTTTATAACCTTTTATAATTCTTTAAATGAAAAGGTGGGTTATGCTCCAAGAAAACCTTGTTAATCTGACACAAGGACCCAGATGCTGGTGTTGGATCAGTGTATGTTTGATATTAATATTTAATTTACAGAGAACCTCTGAACTAATTTTCTCTCTCAAAATCGGCCCTTACAATCTCATACATCCACCTCTTCCACAATAGTCCCTGGGCCTAGAGGGGTTAAATATTTTAAATTTCAGGCCCTGTGTCTCGTGAACACAGTTTGATTGCCATCTTTTCCTGGGTCTCAAAATGAGGCTTTAATTGTTTTCAGTGTTGAAGATTTAGCAGGATTCAAGTCTCTTTTAGCCCTAGGAATCACAGCCCTGTAACTTAACAGCAAAAGGACTTTAAAAACAATACAAAATGTTACATGGATATGATAACCTTAATTTAAAAAAATTTAAATCTGTTTTCTTTTTTCTTTTCTTTTTTTTTTTTTTGAGACGGAGTCTTGCGCCTTCACCGAGGCTGGAGTGCAGTGGCGCGATCTCAGTCACTGCAAGCTCCGCCTCCTGGGTTCACGTCATTCTCCTGCCTTAGCTTCCCAAGTGGCTGGGACTACAGGTGCACGCCACCACGCCCAGGTAATTTTTTGTACTTTTAGTAGAGATGGGGTTTCACCATGTTAGCCAGTATGGCCTTGATCTCCTGACCTCGTGATCCACCTGCCTCGGCCTCCCAAAGTGCTGGGATTATAGGCGTGAGTCACCGTGCCCAGACGTTTTTTTTTTTTTTTTTAAGACAGGGTCTCGCTCCGTTGCCCAGTCTGGAGTGCAGTGGCACAACCTCAGCTCACTACAACCTCTGCCTCCCAGGCTCAAGCGATTCTCCTGCCTCAGCATCCCAAGTAGGTAGGATTACAGGTGTGTGTCACCATACCTGGTTAATTTTTGTATTTTTAGTAGAGACGGGGGTCTCATCATGTTGGCCAGGCTGGTCGCGACCTCCTAACCTCAAATGATCTGCCCACCTTGGCCTCCCAAAGTTAATTTTTGTATTTTTAGAGATACAGTTTCACCACGTTGGCCAGACTGGTCTCGAACTCCTGACCTCAAGTAATCCACTCGCCTTGGCCTCCCAAAGTGGAGGGATTACAGGCGTGAGCCACCACGCCCAGCCCCCTACTTCTGTTTTTGATTTAAATAATTTGAATTGTCTCCCTTTTTTCTGTCAGTGTAGCTAAAGATTCTTCATATTTTTGTTGATCTTTTCAATGAACCAACTTTTGGTTTCATTAAAGAGTAGCTGTGTAGTAATAACTTTTTTAGACAAAAATCAGGTAACACAGTAGAAAAGCAGCTTAAGAGCTGAGAGGAACTGGTCTGTTTATAACTTTGGGGTTCTGTAAAGAAACAAATTTCTCTCAGAAACGAGTGTGGCACCTTCTCTGTTTTCTTTAAGGAATCCCAGACTCTTAGACATTATTTTAGGTCCTTCATACAGCGGAGGGTAGCAAGAGGAAGGAGAGACACGCAGAAGCAAATGGAGAAAAAAATTCAGTTGATTGAGAAGGAAATAAATCTTCTTTTTTCTAAAAACAAGACCCTAGGAGAGACAAAAAGGCATTATGTCCCTTTAAATACACACACACACACACACACACACACACACACACACACACATCTTGATTAGCTTTTAATTAAGCTGACTTTAACCATTGAGCTCTTTAAAAAAATCATTTTAAATCTTTTACTACCGTATTTTACCTGGGACAAAAATGACTGGTATTTCAAAAGTAACACAAATATCAAACCAGAAAGGATTTTGATGTAGGAACCAAACTCAGGCTGTTGAGGTAAAAAAAAAAAAAAAAAAAAAAAAAAAAAAAAAAAAGGCGGGGCAGAAACTTAGCCGCCCAGCGAGAGTGTGGGCCGCTGCCCTGGGTCTTTTAGTTTGGGCCTGGCTAGTAAAGGTTATGGAAATAAAGCCCCTCAAGGCAGTCAAAATGTTTTTTTCCTTTTGGTGGCCTTGCTCTTTCCTTCTTTTTTTTTTTTTTCCCCCAGCTATGGGAATTTAGCCAATTCAGAGGCCTTGTTTCCCTATAATTTGGAACGTTCCCTCGGATTTGACCAAGTCAGGTAGAGTTGATCAAACCAAGTGGGAAAAAGACTGAAACAATAAAAACAGAAGCCACAAATAAAAACAGTTCAGCAAAACAAACACACGCTCACACAGTTTGTACAATTACTGAGTGCTCTAATGGTAAGGAGAAGACCATTGGTAAATGAAGACCAGTTGGTTGTTTAAGTTTTAGTCATCAGGAGAATTTTTAAGACAAAACCCCAATTCATCTACTTTCCTAGGAGTGGGGCCCAGGCTGCAGACTGCCCTCTGCCATCTTAGAAGCAGGAAAACCTCCAATTCCCCTTCCCTGTTGGAAGCGAGCTGCAACTCCAGAAAGCAGTTGCTTGCCCTCTATCATTATGGAAACAGGAAGACTTGCCTTCCTTTTTGGAAGCAAGTAAAACTCAGCAAAATAAACCTTAGATCTCAACCAAATTTGGGGAGATCAGGGATTTTCTGGAGGGGGTAGCTCCTGGGCCTCAGCAAATCATCCTGTTGGTTTGAGCAATGAAGACAGCAGGCATTGTGGAGCTGTCCATCCTCGGGGAGTCCTAAACCCCAATACTGTTGGGATGAGGTCAGAACTCCTGGACAAAGGCTTTGGGAAAAGTTCTAGGCCAGCCAAGTGCATCATTAGAAAAACGAGTAACTACATACATTGCATGACCTTTCCCCACATTGTGGCCCATCATAGTTGGTGTTAAAGAAAATTGCCCTTCTCCATGTGGGCATGACATAGGTCTCAGGATATGGTGGAACTGTTTTTAATGGTAAAATTGTGATCTTACAGTTTACAGAGGATCTGGTTGGCTCTGTGGTGCACGTGCTAAGCCACAGACAGGAGCTGAGAGGCTGGACTGGGAAGGAAGCCCCAGGGCCCAACCCCCGGGTGCAGGTGCTGGCTGCTCAGCTGCTCTCTGACATGAAGCTGCAAGGCAAGTGTGCGTGGACGCGGTGATGCAGGTCTTTTGCTGTAGAGCGGTACCTGCTGTCTCCATTACTGTAGCTGTGTAGTAAAGCTTTGAAACCAGAATGCGTGAGCCCTCGAACCTTCTTCTAGGTTTTCTAGTTTGTTGGCATATTTTAAAATAATCCTTATTTTCCCAAAAGCAATAGGGATGTCCCCACTTCCATTACTGATTTAAATAATTTGTCTCTTGTCCCTTTTTCCTCTTAGTCTAGCTAAAGGGTTTTCACATTTTTGTCGGTACTTTTTGAAGAACCAGCTTTTAGTTTCATTAATTTTCTGTTGTCTTTCTAGTTTCTATTTATTTTCCTCTAGCTTTTATTTTCTTCCTTCTGTTTGCTTTAAATTTGTTTGGTCTTCTTTTCCTAGTTTCTTAAGATAGAATACTAGGTTATTGATTCGAGATCTTCTTTTTCAAATAAGCATTTACACTTGCACATTTCCCTTTCAGCACTGCCTTCGCTGCATGCCATAAGTTTTGATAGGTTATGTTTTTATTTTCATTGATCTCAATATTTTCTAATGTCCCTTAGGATTTTTTCATTTGGCCTACTGGCTATGTAACAGTGTGTTATTTAATTTCTCCATGCCTGTGAATTCCTCAAATTGCCTTTTAGTACTGATTTTTGATTATATTTCATTATGTTTAGAGAAGATACTTTGTATTATTTGAATCCTTTAAAATTTGTTGATGCATCATTTATGGCCTATAGTATGGTCACTTCTGGATAATGTTTAAAGCACATTTGAGAAGAATGTGTATTCTGTTGTTGGGTGAGAAGCAGTATATATTTAAATTTAATTGGGATTAAAAAAAAAAACCTTGTGGCAAATCACTTTGCAAAGCAGACTTACTTTATAAATATGTTGCCCTTTTGTTTTAAAGCCAGATTTTAAAGTACAGCTTGAAAATAGGTTATATTTCAGAAGTTAGTTTAGATGAGGTATTTGGAACTTGGAAAGAATTTTACAAGTAAGTATCAGTAATTCGTCTTATGGGTAAACTGTTCATCCATCTAGAATCAGTATGTTTTAAAAGAAGAATCATGAAAATAAAAATTAAAGTTTTCAGTGAAGTAGAAAAGGTAATTCAGACGATTAAAATTATCCTTAAGATTTCAAGTAATATATAGGTAATGAGAAATGAAACTGTTTGAAAAATAAATAGAAATGATAGGAATTTTGAATTATCAGAAGTTGGGAGTACTTTTACATTTCCTGCTTAATAAAATGGGCCTGAGTTACACAAAATATTTCAGCTTAGTCAAATTTTCGCTAGGTTGGGAATTATAATCTCTGTAAATGGGGCCTTTGTGTCAGCAAGAGCTTAAGACGTAAAAGCTCCTCTGTTCCTTGTAATAACCGAGCGGGGCAGGTTCTGGCCTTACCTCCATTTTATACCTGAGGAAACTGAGGCACAGAGGTCCAGACCTTGGCAAGGTCATGCTGTTCCTGAGCTCGGGTTTGAAGCCAGCTGTTCGAGTCCCAGGTGTGTGCTCCCACGCTCTTACTGTCACCTCCACTCTTAGTGGGTGAGGGATGGAAAATAGGGCTCCAAGTGCTGTATGATTAAGCCTGATTAGTGGCGAATGAAACCCGCACTTCCCAGATAAACTGCAGGAGTCCCAGGAAGTGCCCTACCAGCCCCTTGACTGGCTGGGAACATTCCCCTTCCAGTGACCTTGGCAGGACCGACGCCCTTGGATGAGCGGCTCCAGGTGTAGCTCAGGCATTTATTCCAGCCCCATTGCCAGGGCACTGCCATCTCGAGGGGTTCTGAAATGCTGCTTGGAGAGGAGAGAAAAGTGTTGAAGTCGGATTGTTTAGATCAGTGCTGGCCAATAGACAAAGCAAGCCCCATGTGAAATTTTCCCTTTTCTAGGGACCATGTTAAAAGAGTAAAGAGAAACAGGGGAAAACTGATTCTAATAATATGTCCTAAATACAATTTTGAAATGTAATGAATATTTAAAAATTGAGATATTTTACATTCTTTTTTCATACCAAATCTTTGAAATCAAGTGTGCCTTTTACACTGACGGCACCTCTCAATTCACACGAGCCCTGTTTTCTGTGCTCAGTAATTGCATGTGACTCGTGGCTCCCACACTGATCAGTGTGGGTTTAGATAGTAGCTAAATGGTGACATAACAGCCCCACTAATGCTGACCATCCCCTTCCCCTAGATGGCAAGAGACTTCTGGGGCCCCAGTGGCTGGACTATGACTGTGACCGAGCTGTGATCGAGGACTGGGTGTTCAGGGTCCCCCATGTGGCCATATTCCTGAGTGTGGTCATTTGCAAGGGCTTTCTCATCCTGTGCTCGTCTCTTGATCTGACTACCCTGGTCCCTGAGCGTCAAGTGGACCAGGGCAGGGGTTTTGAGAGCATCCTGGATGTCCTCTCTGTCATGTACATCAACGCCCAGCTGCCTCGGGAGCAGCGGCACCGCTGGTGCCTGCTCTTTTCGTCTGAGCTCCATGGACACAGCTTCTCCCAGCTCTGTGGCCACATCACTCACCGGGGACCCTGTGTGGCTGTCCTCGAGGACCATGACAAGCATGTGTTCGGTGGGTTTGCCTCTTGCTCTTGGGAGGTGAAGCCTCAGTTTCAAGGTAAGACTTGGTGTCCTGAACCTTGACGAGTGGCACAGCACGGGCAAAGAGCTCTGGAGAAAGGGAGAGGGTGGGGGTGCTAAATAGGGCTCTCCCATCTTCTCCAAGTGTTTCTCTAGACGCAGTCGGGGCGATAGGAAAATGTGATGCTGCTCTATGGTGTTTATCACATCAGAGTTCTTCAGGACAGGCCGTGTGACCCCCAGTTTTCAGGCGAGGACACGGGCCCAGTTATTACACGGTGCCGGGTCTATGGGGCGTGGGAGAAGTCAAGCCACAGATGCCTCCGAGGGGACCAGGAGATGGTAATTGGTTCAGATCGGACATTTTCCTTCCCTGGGCCTTCCTGCCCCTGCCCCCACCGCCACGCGTTTGCTTGTTGGAATTTGGAAGCTTTGTGCATGACCTTGAATGCACTGGATGAAAGGTTCTAAGTAAATTCTTTTCCTTCCCTCAAGGAAGAATACTCTGATGAAAAGAGTCCTTTAAAAATATTTAAAACACAGGCCAGGTGCAGTGGCTCACACCTGGAATCCCAGCATTTTGGGAGGCTGAGGCAGGAGGATCACTTGAACCCAGGAGTTTGAGACCAGCATGGGCAACATAGTGAGACCTTGCCTCTATCTTAAAAAAAAAAAAAAAATAATAAGGCTGGGCGTGGTGGCTCAAGCCTGTAATCCCAGCACTTTGGGAGTCCGAGGCAGGTGGATCACTTGAGGTCAGGCATTTGAGACCAGCCTGGTGAACGTGGTGAAACCACGTCTCTACTGAAAGTACACAAATTAGATGGGTGTGGTGGCGCATGCCTGTAATCCCAGCTACGTGGGAGGCTGAGGCATGAGAATTGCTTGAACCTCGGAAGCAGAGTTGCAGTGAGCCGAGATCATACCACCGCACTCCAGCCTGAGCAACAGAGCGAGACTCCATCTCTAGATAGATAGATAGATAGATAGATAGGTAGATAGATGGATGGATGGATGGATGGATGGATAGATAGATAGTTTTTGAAATGTTTACAGATGCGTCGCCCATCAGTGGGCTGTCCTCTGTACTTGAGAGTGGGCCACCATCCCCAGGGTTTGCCTTTGGCATTCCCCGGTACATCCTGTATCTTACCCCGCACCTCTGGAATCGTCATTTCTCCACCAGGCAGAGGTTCTGAAGGCCGGGAACTGTGTCCAGGTGGAGTTGCCCTTGCAGGAGAGCTTTCAGCAGAGGCTAGGTGGCATCTGGCTGGAATAGGTAGCAGGGGTCACCAGGTTGAGGGTTGGGCACCTCTATCTCCTAGATTGCATTGTTTCTAGGGTTTGATTTATATCTAGGTTTCAGGATGTTCTAGATCTTTATCTTAGTTCTGGGAATGGTGGGAATTCTCCCCAAATCAAAGTTTCCAGGTGCCAGCCCAGGGCCGGCCCTGCAGGTGGGCCTTTCTAGAGACAGCAGCCTCAGCCTTGCCACGGCCACTCTCTTCTGCACACCCACCTTGCCCTGCCTCCATGTCACAGGCATAGGGCATGTGCCCACCAGCCCAGCCTCGGGCTCCGGGGAAATTACACATTGCTCTGCCTCACTGCATGGCTGAAGGCTCGGCTTTAGGATATGAAGAGACCCTGAGCATCATGATCAGGGTAAAGCTGCTGCTCCCTCCAGAGCCTTTAATGTTAATTTCAGATGGACTCTGCTGGCTCTTTATGTTTTATTAACAAGCAGACTTAATCTTGCTGAAGCATGTGGGAAAAATGCAGTGGCCAAGTTTTCAAACCCGAGTTCATTCTGTTGCAGTACGTGTCCATACTCACGAAACAACAGCAGAGGGCAGCCTCACACCACGCATGGTACAAATCCGTGGACTGTGGGTCAAGTTCGGAGAGCGTGCTGTCCGCTTGTCCTGGAAATAATGACCTCTAATATCTGAGACTTTAAGTGATTTAATAGCTGTGGGACAAACAATGAAGGCAAATGCTGGGGAGGGTGGCCACCTCCTTGAGTACAGAGGATATTTCCCTGCGGGGTAATGTGGCTTCGTAAACCTTTTTAAAGGACTGTTTTCATCAGAGTGTTTTTGCTTGAGGAAAGAAGAACTGATTATACTTAGAGCCTTTTGGCTTGTGTTTTCTGTGCAATCATTGAAAAGGCCCAAGGCTTTGGATTGAACACAGGATTTTGAGTCCCAGCTCTAGCCCTGGGCAAGGTGATTGATTCATTTTCTGGGCCTCAGCTCCTCAGAATTACACGAAACCATGCTGTGTGGGCAGGCAGCTCCTCGGCGGCCGAGCGTCAGGTGCTGGTGGCCGCACGCTTGGGTATTGTTTTATGGGAATGAGATAAGGAGTCCTCGTTGTTGGTGTCACTTTTTTCCACAGATAATCATAACTCATCAGGTCCTTGCCCTGTATTCTGGGAATGATGCTTCCCCCTCCTGGCTTTCCCTATGGAGAACAGCCCTTGGGGGTGGACTAGGATCTGGGCCTATCGCAGCTGAGGCCTGAACTCTGTGGCCCTGCGACCTTGCTCCGCAGCAAGACGGGCTCAGGATTGCAAAGCAAAGGGCCGCTTACCTGAAGTCCAGTCGGGGAGAGCGGGGCGGGGGCAGTGCAGACGGGTGTGACCCAGCTGTTCATGGCGGCGTCTAAACCTGCCCTCAAGCCTCTGGGGCTGCTGAAACCCAGTGAAGCAAGCCTGAGTCTGTAGCCCAGAGTAAAGCCCTTCACTTAGCTGGTTCCAGTGGAACTTTCTAGCCTAACTATCCTCCTTCCTCCACCCGATGCTCTCAAGCCCCACTGTTCCGTACCTGTCCCACACCTTGTCCTCATGGGATCCCTTCTCCATGGGGACTCTTGCCCCAGCCAGCTCTGTTTCAGGGCCTCCCTCTTGACCTCGGAAGCTGCCTCCCAGAAGCCTCCCAGACCCTGATGGCAGAGGCCCCCCAGCGATCTTTCTAGATTGGAGCCTTGGGCGGTGTCAGCCCACACTCTACAGACTGAGCCCTGTTGGCTTGCTCGGGGCCATCGTCCTCTTCCAGCCTCCTGGTCTTGGTGCCCCCTTCTTATCTGCGTTCCATCATGGTGCCCCCAATTTGCTTCCTGTGACTTCTTTCCCACCTGATGAATAGCCCAACCCCAAATTCCCATGAGCTTGTTTCTCTGCAGCCTTCCAGCTTGTTGTGACAGTTGTGTATGCTGGTGTCGAGGCGGGCAGCCCTTCCGGCCAAGTCCTCAGAACATGGTGGGAAGTGTCCCTCGCTGGGAGCTCCGAGGACGAGGCCTGGCCTACGGCCCTGTCCCCAGTGCTGAGGTGCTTATGGAGTGGAGGAGTCTCTGAGACTGGGGACCCATAGTTTCCAGAGTTTTGACTGGTACCTTTCTTTTAATGGCCTGTGTGCCCACCCCATGCCTTTGGGCGAGGGTAAACTACTTCCTTTCGTAGGCCGTGCCCCTGGGGACAGCTCTGCAGCTGCAGGTTTTCTCTCTCTGCATGGTACGTTCTTTCAGGCCGGGGTCAGCACTACGCAGCGTCACTTGCCTGCTCAGGTAGGCTGTGCTGGAGGCCTCAGTCTCTGCGGAGTGACCACCTGCCCCGTGCTCATAAGCTAAAGGAAGCCTGCTCTTTCTGGCTCGGATGTGCTTGGCCAGCCTGAACTGATTCCAGCAGACAGTGGGCAGAGTTCTGATCTCTGCTCCCCTGGCCAGAGCTAAAAGATGTCCCATTCCTTATTAGCTGTCCCTCTAATCCCTGCATCCCCAGCTCATCCACCTGGGTCCCTAGCAGCTTGTCCCAAACCCTGATCTGCCGACACCTGGACATGGGTGAGAAGGGTCTTGGCCCTGTTGCTTCCTGAGCTGCAGCTTACCGGCATTTCCGGCCCTGTGGGACCGGCTCAGACACCGACCCTGTTTGTTTTGTTCTCTGGCTACTTTCAGGGGACAACAGATGCTTCCTGTTCTCCATCTGCCCCAGCATGGCTGTGTACACACACACGGGCTACAACGACCACTACATGTACTTGAACCATGGACAGCAGACGATCCCGAACGGACTGGTGAGCCCGGGCAGAGCGTGGTGGTCTTGCCTTGGTGATGTCCCCCAGCAAAGGTGTCAACCCCGAGGCTCAGCTCCACAGATCAGGGCAGGGCGCGTGGCATTCAGTTCCTCACGCACGCCATGTCCAGTTCCTTCTGTTTCCAGGGCCGGTGCTGGGGGCAGTGACAGCTGGGCCAGGGTTTCCCTTAGAGAAGGATGTGGCCTCTGCTGGGGCTTCTCAGTGGTTTGTGTGCAGATGGCACACTTGGCCCATTTTTCTGGCCCTCAGATGATTGGTTTGTAGCCTTTGTGGCTAGGGATGGTGTCAGCGCCAGACCTGTCCCTGCGCGTCGCTGGCCTGCCTCATACGTGGGAGTGCTGGACCAAGGGGAATGGACGGCCGGCAGCTCATGAGACAGCATGTGGGGCCCCAGTTGGGGTGACCGTGGCTCCTGTCCAGCCCTCGCTTCAGCTTGGTGACATGGCACAGGAAGCAGGGGGAAGCGGGGGAGGCCTAGGCCGGGTGCAGGGAGTGGGTGGGCACGGGTCCAGGCAGGCCCGAGGGCAGGAGTTGGGGCAGCATCCACGCCGAAGCTCAGCTTGCTCCTGCCAGCTCCCCTGCTGATTTCTTTCCTCTGCTGCTTGACAGAAAGCTCTTTTCTTTTCTTTTTTTTCTTTTTGAGATGGAGTCCACTCTTGTCCAGGCTGGAGTGCAGTGGCGCGATCTCGGCTCACTGCAAGCTCCGCCTCCCAGGTTCACGCCATTCTCCTGCCTCAGCCTCCCAAGTAGCTGGGACCACAGGCACCCGCTATCACGCCTGGCTAATTTTTTTGTATTTTTAGTAGAGACGGGGTTTCACCATGTTAGCCAGGATGGTCTCCATCTCCTGACCTCGTGATCCACCCGCCTTGGCCTCCTAAAGTGCTGGGATTACAGGCGTGAGCCACTGCGCCCAGCTGACAGAAAGCTCTTATTGGGAAAATCCAGCCCTGTTTCTGCAGAGCTGAGGGCAGAGAAGGCTGGTCCGATATAGGGACCAGCGTCCTTCCCAGGCTTACCACACTGCTGCCCTGGAGAGAGGGAGGGGCGTGGCCAGGCCACCTAGAACACCTGGCACCTTCTGGAAAGGGCGGTCTGGTGGCGGCAGGAGTGAGGGTGCCAGCCTCACAGGCAGCACCCGGCAGGCCCCGGTCATCGCTCGTCATTGGCCCTGAGAGAGCGGCTCCGCGTGTCAACTCTGGGCAGTGTGCTCGGGTCTCTGGTTGCCCAAGGTCAGAACTAGGGCGTGCCAGGTGTTACAGGCCTACCAGGGACCAGAGGAGGTTCTCTGCAGGGTGAGATTGAACAGCTCAGAGCCCAGCCATGTGACTGAGGGTGGAAGGCACAGGGGTTCGCATCCGCCTCCGGGTCTGCCTCCGCATCCTGTAAGCCACACACTCGGAGCTGAGTTTCCCAGCCTGTCTTGGGGTGAGGATCGCTGCCCGGAAGCGGGGCACTGGGGCCCCAACACAGGGGGTTTGCAGTGTCAGCTTCTGTGTTCACCTCTCCCCTTATCTTAACTGGGCGGGGCCCTGGGCCCTGGAGGTCTCTTTCTCTATATATATTTAACATTTTTAATTCTCTGATGTCACTTGTGCTTTCAGCCAGCAAATCTTCTTGAGAAAGAGCCATGGGGTGGGTGTCTGGAGACATAGATGACTGTTCTAGTAACTTGGCATGGGATGCTTAAATGGCAGTAATTGATATATTTCACAGTTAAGGAAAACAAGATGATGGCATTCACCACTCACCCGCCCCTGTCTCAGGCTGGTACTTAAGGCGAGAGGCTGGCTTGTGGTATTTGATGTCCACAGACCCTGAGGAGTTGCTGATGCTATTCTCTGTCCTGGCTTCCTTTGCAGGGTATGGGGGGGCAGCACAATTACTTTGGGCTTTGGGTGGATGTTGATTTTGGGAAAGGACACAGCAGAGCCAAGCCCACGTGCACCACGTACAACAGCCCGCAGCTGTCGGCTCAGGAGAACTTCCAGTTTGATAAGATGGAGGTGTGGGCGGTTGGAGACCCCTCAGAGGAGCAGTTGGTGAGTGGAGCTGTCCTCTGCATCCCAGGATGGCCCCTTGAGCCTGGGGGCCTTTCTGCATTTTCTTACCATTACCCCTTTACTCTTCTGTCTGCAGATAGTTTATCCCAAATTTGATCCTGGTAGCTGATGCTGGCTTGGATGCCAGGAGATGCATGGCTGGAAGTCTTGTCTGGGATTTGTGGGTGGTTTAGTAGAGCAGCCCTGGGAAGGGGGGTTCCCCAAGTGCGAGCCCAGGTGGCCCTTCATTCTCTCTGCCCACCTGCAAGAGGAGGAATGTCTAGGGTTCCTTCCGCTTCCCTGGTTCTGCACCTGAGTTGCTGTTGGCCCCTGAACCTCCTGTAATACCTCCTACCCACCCAGCCACTGAATCCCAGAGTGGGAGGGGCCTTAGGGGGAACCGGAGCCTGATTCCACCCAAGAAGGCTGGAAAACTAGCAGGAAGCTGCTGCCTCTTGTTGGGCCATCATGGAACACACCCACCCTTTCTTCTCTTCTCAAGGCCAAGGGCAACAAGAGCATCCTGGATGCGGACCCTGAGGCCCAGGCCCTGCTGGAGATCAGTGGGCATTCGCGCCACAGCGAAGGGCTCCGGGAAGTCCCGGACGATGAATGAGGAGCCGCCTGAGCCTTCCTGGAGCCAGGACCTGGATTCCTCTGGGTAGAGGGCAACGCCTGCAGCCCCTCTTCCCTCCCACATGGTTTAACTGTAATAGCGTACCGCACGGGTCACAGCCTGGTAGTCCCACATGTGCCAAGAAGACGCCCTCTGAAGCCATGTCCTGACTCATGGGTGGATCTCCCAGAAATAGATGTTTTTTAAGTTTTCTTTTTTTCCCTACAGGGTCACCCTCAGGATCTCTCCAAGAAATCTTGTGTCAAATTAGTAACTCAGTCTTATACTTTGTTCTTTTTTACCAACGAAATCCTAAGCAGCTGAGACCTTTCAGACCCCCGCTGGCATTAGGGAATTCCGCTGGCATTAGGGAATTCCGCTGGCATTAGGGAATTCCGCTGGCATTAGGGAATTCCGCTGGCATTAGGGAATTCCGCTGGCATTAGGGAATTCCGCTGGCATTAGGGAATTCCGCTGGCATTAGGGAATTCCGCTGGCATTAGGGAATTCCGCTGGCATTAGCATTGCTGGGATCTCAACTTCTCTATTGAGGAGGGGGTTCCTCCCGCTGGGGTTCATATGGCCTCACTCAGGCCATCCCTGTTAGAAGGTGGTACCTGATGGTCTGTTCTGACGGGTGAGGGACAGAGGCATCTGGATGAAAATCTCGACGCTTTCTGGGAACAGCTTCCAATGGCATGGGAGTTCTGTATTTAAAAGCATGAACTGTGTATAAAATGGGGAAATGGAGGCAGGAGACTTTGAGGTAACATGGTCTGGTGGTGGCATGAGTCCTCAGAAGGTATTTGTAATAAGGTTCCACACCCAGCTCTCTCAGCTGTTTTTAAATGAATGTGTGTGAGGAACAGATGGGAAAGTTGGGAGATCTGTCTACAGAGAAGCAAAGTTGTGGTTCTCTTGCTAACTTCAAGGTGAGGGACATTGGGCACCCTAAGTTTGGGAACTTGGTTGATAAATACGTATATGGTCCATTCCATAAATCAGTGGTGAGTGACTGGCCTGGGTTCTAGACCTCTGGGAACCAGCACCTGAGTCACAGCTGTCTAGGCCTCGGTGCTGGCCTGGGTTCTAGATCTCTGGGAACCAGTGCCTGAGTCACAGCTGTCAGTGCAGCCATTTGCCCAGGGCTGCTCCCGAGGGGGATGATGGGAAATTCAGCAGTGTAGACTGACTTTAAACAAGCTCCGGTGATCCTGAAATGCTGAAGATCGTGTAGGTGGGTTGTGGGGTCAGCAGAGCTGCCATCTGCCCACGTCTGGAAAACAACACACGGTGAGTCACCGGTTGGCCATGAGATCTCCCCACTTAAAGGTGCTGTGAGCTTGTCTCTAAGATATATACCTCTTCCTTTTGTCTTTTGCTGTAAGCTTTGACCTTTTGCAGATCTGATGAAAATACAACCTCTTATTGTATAGTTTGCCTTGATTATAAGCCATAGTAAATCGAGCTGTTCGCATTTTTGCAGGCCTTGCATTTTCTACTGGGAGGTTCATCAAACCTTCCACTTAGCAATAGCCCTGACTCAGGCAGAATGCCTCATAAATTAGCCTTCGAAAGAAAAGTGCACGCTCAGACAGTGTGTGGAGGGGCAGGAGCGTGATGCAGACAAGGACTTAGTCATGACTGATTTTCCTTAGCCAGTTTGTAATGGCTTATGGGGAACATTGTGAGCTTCCTACCTGACATGTTGGCAGAAGTAGAATATTAGGATCCTCAAGCATCTCTACCGTAAGTCCAAAGAATTTAGGTCCCTATTGTCACTTTGTTTTGCAATGTTTTTTATAAAAATGCAATTAAATACCTCACTATTAAACTGCCATGATGCCTCAGTTAAAAAAAAAATTAAATGTCCGTCAGTGTCTGTGCCTTGGTGACCATTGATTGCTGCTTCTGCCCAGGCCGCTGCAAAGGTTAGGACTTTGTCCACTCACATGCTTTCCACCCTGAGCTTGTTCTAAGGAGAGTGCAGATCACGAATGCACCTGCTTCCAGGCAGTGCACTTAGAGAAAGGTCACTGGCCCGGGCTTGGGAGCCTGGGGGATGCAGCTCTCTCTGTGGGCTTCTCTTGGTGCACGGTTCTGCCTCTGGACACTCAAACCTTTTTAGGGCGTGTGCAGGGCTGGGGCCAGTGGACCTGACAGTACCTTACCTGGCTCTGAGAAACTCGCAATCCTAGTTTGCACAAATGAATAGTTTGTTCTTTTGTGAAACCAGAATGAGAATTCAGGTTCTAAGGACTAGAGGTCTCCCTACAAATGAAGACTTATCAGGGCCCTAGAAAGTGCTAGGAGGAAGGGGTTAAAAAAAAAATTTGTCCGCGTTGCAAACTATTATAAATGATTGCCACATTGCAAGCTATTATTTTCTCCCACCATATTTTTTAATTAAAAAAAAGTCTGGGGCCGGGTGCGGTGGCTCACGCCTGTAATCCCAGCACTTTGGGAGGCCGAGGTAGGCGGATCACCTGAGGTCGGAAGTTCGAGACCAGCCTGACCAACATGGAGAAACCCCATCTCTACTAAAAATACAAAATTAGCTGGGCATGGTGGCACATGCCTGTAATCTCAGCTACTCAGGAGGCTGAGGTAGTAGAATTGCTTGAACCAGGGAGGCAGAGGTTGTGGTGAGCCGAGATCGTGCCATTGCACTCTAGCCTGGGCAACAAGAGTGAAACTCCGTTTCAAGAAAAAAAAAAAGGCTGGGTGTGATGGCTCACGCCTGTAATCCCAGCATTTTGGGAGCTTGAGGCAGGCCGATTGCTTGAGCCCAGGAGTTCAAGACCAGCCTGGGCAACATGGCGAAAACCCATCTCTACAAAAAAAAATACGAAAATTAACCAGGCATGGTAACACATGCCTGTGGTCCTAGCTACTTGGGAGGCTGAGGTGTGAGGATCATTTAGGCCTGGAAGGTTGAGGCTGCTATAAGCTGTGATTGTGCCACTGCACTCCAGCCTGGGCAACACAGCAAGACCCTATGTTTAAAAAAAATTGTGTACCTGGTTTAGAAAAAAAAGATAAAAGGATACAACTTAAAGTCAGTCATCTTCCTGCCTCTTCTCCAGCTATTTTCCCTCCTGACAGGCAAAGGCACTGATGCAAAAATCACTCAGGTCTCCTCCCTGTGACTTGGTGCACACCTGGGCATCACTGTCTTTTACACACTGATGTGTCCCTCGCTTTCTTTTTTAAAGGGAGGTCCGTAACCACCCACCTGCCTCCCTCTTGTCTTTATGGACTGCGTGATGTCCCACCATATGGATGCTCTCGGGCCTAGCGTTCCACCGTCTGCAGCTGGGGAACATTTTGTTTGCAGCTAATCATTGTCATGAATATCGTTTATGTGTGCCTTGCTGTGATGGTGTCTGTGGGATAAACTCTTAGAATTGGAATTGTTGGATTGAGAGGTATATGCCTTTTATTTAGATATAGATGAATTAAAAAAACCTCTTGAGCTCAATTTATACTCAATATACCGGGGTGCCTGTTTGCCATGTTTTCAGCAAAACTGTATTAAAATATGTTTTTTTAACCTGATAGACAAAAACTATATTTTGTTGATATAATATTTACATACTTATGGGGTACATGTATTTGCTACATGTGTAGACTGTGTAATGATCAAGTGAGGGTATTTAGGGGTGTCCGTCAACTTGAGTATCCTTTCCACATTCCAAGCATTGCAAGTCTTCCCTTATGTCTACTGTGAAATACACAGTGCATTGTTGCCGACTCTGGTCACCCAGTGCTGCTATAGAACATGAGAACTTATCTCTTCTAACTGTATGTTTGTACCCCCTTGTGGGGCACCCGGTTCTGTTGCTGTTTGGGGTGCAACTAAGTAATCCTCATGGACCTAGGGGGACCGAACAAAGGGGGCGAACATGGGAATAAAAGACAAGAGACAAAAGAGTATGTTTGGAAGAAGGGGTCAGGGGGCACCTTGCCTCTAGTGGACAAGGGCCCTGAACTTTACACAGCCCTCCGTATTTGTTATGCAAAAGACATAGTGAGAAGGGGGGTGGAAGAAGGGGTCAGCTGCTCAGTCCGGAGTAGGCTTGCAAGACTGCATTCCTCAAACAACAGGCTCTAGATGTCGCAGTAGATAACCTTGGTGACAGGGAGTGATGGCCTCCAGCAAACCTGTTGGCAGGAGCAGTCATGAGTTTGCCCACATCCTGCATTCATGATAAACAGTTTGCTGTTTGATCACACAGCCTCCAGTGGAATGCTGAGTTGGTCACGTCCCACGGGCCTTCGGCTCCCTGCACCCACTAGCCGACATCTCTTGCTCCCTCCCTCCCACTCATATATCCTTCCCATCCTCTAGTATCTATCGTTCTTTTCTCTACCTCCATGAGATCCACTTTTTTTTTTTTTTAGCTGACATACATCAGTGAGAACATGCAGAATTTGTCTTTCTGTGTCTGCCTTTTTCACTGAACATAATGACCTCCAGTACCATCCATGTTGTTGCAAATGACATGATTTCACTTTTTATGGCCAAATAATATTCCATCGTGTATATATACTCTTCCTTTTTTAAAAAATTAAGTTCCAGGGTACATGTGCAGGATGTGCAGATTTGTTACATAGGTAAATGTGTGCCATGGTGGTTTGCTGAACCTATCAACCCATCACCTACGTATTAAGCCCAGCATGCGTTAGCTATTTTTCCTAATCCTCTCCCTCCCGCAGCCCTACCACCAACAGGCCCCAGTCTGTGTTTTTCCCCTCCCTGCATCCATGTGTTCTTACTGTTCAGCTTCCACTTATAAGTGAGAACATGCAGTGTTTGGTTTTCTCTTCCTGTGCCAGTTTGCTGAGGGTAATGGCTCCCAGCTCCATCCATGTTCCTGCAAAGGACATGATCTCATTCTTTTTGATGGCTACTTAGTATTCCATGGTATATATGTGCCACATTTTTAAAATCCAGTCTATCACTAATGGGCATTTGGGTTGATACCATGTCTTTGTTATTGTGAATAGCGCTGCCGTGAACATATGTGTGCATGTATCTTTGTAACATATGATTTATATTCCTTTGGGTATGTACCTAGTAATGGGATTGCTGCGTCCAGTGGTATTTCTGATTCTAGATCTTTGAGGAATCGCCACACTGTCTTCCACAATGGTTGAACTAATTTACATTACCACCAACAGTGGAAGAGCGTTCCTGTTTTTTCTTTTTTTTTTTTTTTTTTCTTGAGACGGAGTCTCACTCTGTTGCCCAGGCTGGAGTGCAGTGGCGTGACCTCCGCTCACTGCAAGCTCCACCTCCCCGGTTCACGCCATTCTCCTGCCTCAGCCTCCCGAGTAGCTGGGACTACAGGCGCCCGCCACCACGCCCGGCTAATTTTTTTGTATTTTTAGTAGGGACAGAGTTTCACCGTGTTAGCCAGGATGGTCTCGATCTCCTGACCTTGTGATCCGTCCACCTCAGCCTCCCAAAATGCTGGGATTACAGGCGTGAGCCACTGCGCCCAGCCGCGTTCCTGTTTTTCTACGATCTCATCAGCATCTATTGTTTCTTGACATTTTAATAATTGCCATGCTGACTGGCATGAGAGGGTATATACCGCGTTTTCTTTATCCGTTCATCCATTGGTGGATGTTTAGGTTGTGTCTACATCTTTGCTATTGCGAATAGTGCTGCAGTAAATGTCGGCATGCAGATATCCCTTGGACACACTGATTCTTTTCCTTTGAATAAATACTCAGTAGTGGGATTGCTGGATTGGATGATAGTTAGTGATGTTGAGCTCTTTTTTTTTTTTTCTTATAGCTGTTGGCCATTATATGTCTTCTTTTGAGAAATGTCTATTCATGTCCTTTGTCTACTTTTTAATGGGATTGTTTATTTTTAAATTGTTGGGTTCGTGAATTGTTTTCCCTGTTTTCTTCTAGTAGTTTTATAGTTTTGGGTCTTACATTTAAATCTTTAATTCGTCTTCATCTGGTTTTTGTAGATGGTGAGAGGTAGGGTTTCATTCTTCTGCATATGGATATCCAATTATCCCAGCACCATTTATTGAAGACACTGTCCTTACCCCAGTGTATGTTTTTGGCAACTTTGTTGAACATAAGTTGGCTATAGATATGTAGACTTATTTCTGGTTTCTCTATTCTGTTCCATTGGTCCATGTGTCTCTTTTTAAATTTTTTTTAAAGCAATACCATGCTATTTTGGTTACTATAGCCCTGTAATAGATTTTGAAGTGAGGTGGTATGCTGCCTGCAACCTTGTTCTTTTTGCTCAGGATTGCTTAGGCTACTTGGGCTCTCTTTTGGTTCCATATGAACTTTAGGATTTGTTTTTAATTTTGTGAAAAATGACATATTTTGATAGGGATGGCATTGAATCTCTAGATGGCTTTGGGCAGTACGGTCATTTTAATGGTATTAGTTCTGATCCATGAGCATGGGATGTTTTCCATTTGTTTGTGTCCTCTTCAATGTCTTTCATTAGTGCTTTGTAGTTTTCCTTGTATAGATCTTTTACTTCTTGGTTAAATTTATTCCTAGGTTTTTTTTTTTTTTTTTTGTAGTAATTGTCAATGGGGTTATTGTCTTGAATTATTTCTCAGATATTCCATTATCTGTATGTAGAAACACTACTGATTTCTGTATGTTGATTTTGTATCCTGTAACTTTACTGAATTTATGAGATCTAATAGTTTTTTGATGGAGTCTTTCTAGATACAGGATCATATCATCAGCAAAAAGGGACAATTTGAGTTCCTCTTTGCCAGTTGGGATGCTTTTTATTTCTTTCTCTTGCCTGATTGCTCTGGCCAGGACTTCCAATATTATGTTGCATAGGAGTGGTAAAAGTGGGCATCCTTGTCTTGTTCCAGTTCTTAGAGGAAAGGCTTTCAGCTTTTCCCCATTCAGGATGATGTCAGCTGTGGGTTTGTCATATATGGTCTTGATTATGTTGAGGTATGTCCCTTCTGTCTGGTTTGTTGACAGTTTTTTTTCAGGAAGGAATGTCGTGTTTTATCAAATGCTTTTTCTGCATCAGTTTACTAATTGCTTATATCTGATCATATGGTTTTTGTCCTTCATTCTATTAATGTGATGTATCACATTTATTGATTTCTGTATGTTGAACCATCCTTGCATAAGTGGGATAAATCTCACTTTATTGTGGTGTATTATTTTTGTTTTGTTTTGCTTTTTGAGATGGAATATTGCTTTGTCGCTCAGGCTGGAGTGCAGTGGCAGAATGTCGACTCACTGCAACCTCTGCCTGCTATGTTCAAGCAATTCTCCTGCCTCAGCCTCCCAAGTAGTGGGGATTACAGGCACCCACCCCCACACCTGGCTAATATTTGTATTTTTACTAGAGACAGGGTTTCACCATGTTGGCCAGGCTGGTCTCGAACTCCAGGCTTCAAGTGATCCACCCGCCTTGACCTCCCAAAGTGCTGGGATTACAGGCGTGAGCTACCACACCCGGCCTGTTTTCTTTTTTTCTTTTTTTCTTTTTTTTTTTTGATGTGCTGTTGGATTCAGTTTGCTAGTGTTTTGTTGAGGATAGCTTGCTTGGATGCTAAATGGCAGCAGTGGGCCAGGTGGCTGGGCTCTTGGGCCCCTGGGCAGCCAGTGTGGCATAGGAGATGGTAGTGGCAGTGGCAATGGCAGGGTAACCCTCTGGGTCCCTAGTAGTGTACCTGGTAGTGGTGGTGGCTGTGATGAGCTGGGTGGGCCAGTCTCCAGGCCCACAGGTGGCACGTGCATGTAGATGCCAACTAGTGCAGGTAGTGGCAGGGTGGGTGAACCCACCCTCAGCAGTCTGAGAGGAGTGCTCAGGTACCAATAGTGGTGGCCTCGGCTGGGCCGTCCCCAGTCATCTAGACTGTGTGTTCCAGCATAGGGTGTGTGTATTAGTCCGTTCTCATATGCTGCTAATAAAGACATATCTGAGCCTGGATAATTTCTAAAGGAAAGACGTTTAATTGGCTCACAGTTCAGCATGGCTAGGGAGGCCTCAGGAAACTTACAATCATGGCGGAAGGGGAAGCAAACATGTCCTTCTTCACATGATGGTAGGAAGGAGAAGTGCAGAGCAAAGCAGGAGCAAAGCCCCTTATAAAACCATCAGATCGTGTCAGAACTCACTATCATGAAAACAGCATGGAGGTAACTACCCCCATGATTCAATTACCTCCCCCACCCGGCTCCCTCCCATGACACGTGGAGATTATGGGAAGTACAAGATGAGATTTGGGTGGGGTCACAGCCAAGCCATATCAGCATGTGCGGCAAAGCCAGGCTGGGCGGGCTTGTCTGAGGTCCCTCCATGGCATACGCAGGCATTTTCTGTGGTAGCTGGGGAGGGGGCAGTCCCCAGGCCTCTGGTGGAATGCTTGGGTGGGAGGTAACAGCAGTTGTGCTGTGACCTTGCCACTGGGGAGGGTGAGGCTGCTTTCAGTGGCAGCAGCCCATGCCAGTGAGTGGGAACACGCACCCCACTTGCACCTTGGCAGTGGCAGCCCGCACTTTGCTGTGCCTCTGCCCTGGTGCTGCTGAGCCCCAGGCTGGTGTGCAGTCTCTTGTGGGCTGGGCTCCCATATGGTGTCTTGCTCAAAACTGTACTGTTTAAATTTTTCTACCAAGTGACAGTGAACAGCCTCATTTTTCAAAAGCTTTCTGTATCATATCTTTTTCTTGGTTTTCTAGGGTGTCGGTCTTTTTCTTATCGATTTGTAACAGTGCTTTTAAAAAATAAAATAGAAATGAGGTCTCAATATGTTGCCCAAGCTGGTCTTGAACTCCTGAACTCAAGGGATCCTCCTGCCTCAGCCTCCGAAAGTGCTGGGATTACAGGTGCAAGCCACCACACCCGGCCAACAGTGCTTTTTATGAATGAAGTAGCATTTCCCATGTATGGTCAATGTTTTCTACGGTTTATTTGACTTCGTTTGTGGCGTTTTTCTGCCCATAAATTTTACAGTTTCTGTCATATTTCCCAGCATTTCTGCTTAAGGGTCTTTGGATTTGCCGTTTGTTTAGGCAGTCTGTCTCTACTCTGAGTATTAAAAATCATTTTCTTCTACTGTGGTTTCTGTTTTTACCTCTTAAATCTTTTATCTATTCAAAAGGCTTTTATATATATATATGTGTGTGTGTGTGTATATATATATATTTTTATGTGTGTGTATATATATAAATTATATATGTGTGTGTGTGTATGCATATATATATATATATATATATTTTTTTTTTACTTTTTGAGATGGAGTCTCACTCTGTCACCCAGGTGGAGTGCAGTGGTGTGATCTCAGCTGACTGCAACCTCCGCCTCCTAGGTTCAAGACATTAGCCTGCCTCAGCCTCCCGAGTAGCTGGGATTACAGGTGCTTGCCATCACACCTGGCTAATTTTTGTATTTTTAGTAGAGATGGGGTTTCACCATGTTGGCCAGGCTGGTCTCGAACTCCTGACCTCAGGTGATCCTCCCATTTTAGCCTCCCAAAGTGCTGGGATTACAGGCATGAGCCACCGTGCCTGGCCTTCAAAAGGCATTTAAACATATAGTCCTATCTTAGCCCAAAATAAAGTCCCATTACCTTGTATATTAAGTGGTTTGTCTTTTCCCATTGACTTCTAATGATACTTTGTCATCAGCTGAGTTTCTGTATGAATTGAGGTCTCTCTCATGTTTTAATTGCTGGAATTTGGTGATAAAAATATGTAAGAGCCGTTTTTCTCTTACTACTGTTTTTTGGAATTTTTCGGCAAATGCTTGGCTGCTTATTTTCTCCGACCTTTGCACTGTGACCACTTCTAAAAAATAGGATAGTACTTTCCAAATGGTTCTGCCTATGTTAATGTATATTTAATGCTGACATTTGGCTAACGTTGATGCTTCTATCCAAGAACAGGGACATCTAGCTTCTTAGGTAAATTTTTATTGTCATTTCTGGGACTGTCAGTGGACATTTTTTCCTAAGTGATGGTTATTTTAACATAGGAAGCTCTTGATTTTTGTAGTTTTTATTCCCAGTTACCTTACTGAATTCTTTTTTTTTTTTTTTTCTTTTTGAGATGGAATCTTGCTCTGTCATCCAGGCTGGAGTGCAGTAGCGTGATCTTGGCTCACTGCAATCTCCGCGTCCTGGGTTCAAGCAGTTCTCCTGCCTCAGCCTTCCGAGTGGCTGGGACTACAGGTGTGCAACCACCATGCCTGGCTGATGTTTTGTATTTTAGTAGAGATGAGGTTTCACCATGTTGGCCAGGATGGTCTCAATCTCCTGACCTTGTGATCTACCCACCTCAACCTCCCAAAGTGCCAGGATTACAGGCGTGAGACACCGTGCCGGTTTTTTTTTTTGTTTGTTTTTTTTTTTTGAGACAGGGTCTTGCTCTATTATCCAGGCTGGAATGCAGTGACATGACCTCAACTCATTTCAGCCTCTGCCTCCAGAGTCAAGCAATCCTCCCACCTCAGCCTCCCGAGTAGCTGGGACTACAGATGCACACCACCACTCCCAGCTAAATTTCGTGTTTTTTGTAGAGGTGGTTTCGCCATGTTGCCCAGGTTGGTCTCAAACCCCTGAGCTCAAGCAATCCACCCACCACAGCCTCCCAAAGTGCTGGGATTCCAGGCATGAACCACCGTTCCAGGCCTCTTACTGACCTCTTTTATCCAGTAGTTCTCCCCGCTTGAGCATGCATCAGATTTGCCTAGAGAGCTTCTTAAAATGCATATTGCAGGTCTGCATTCCTGCTTCTGATGATGTAGGTGAGGATGGGATTAACTCTTGACAACCTTATCCATTTCTTTTACCATTGGATTGTTTTAAATCTCTGCTGGAAGTCTTCAAATTACTTTATGTAATATTGACCCCAAAGTATTGAAACTCTTTTGTAGTTATGTTTTTTTTCCTTTTCTTGTGTTTTCATTTTCCTAGATTGGATTCAGTTACTAATTTTGCTTTTATATTATTCCTGCTTTTCTTCAGTTTTTTTTTTTCAGTTTTTTGAGTTATTTTACTAAATAAAAAATAATGGAAGTAGATGAATACATAAAGCTATTACTTTTTTCTTGGGCCCTGAGTTATTTTGCAGTATTGTATAGATAGGTGTGTGTTGATCATAAGCTTCTAGATTTTCTGTGGCCTTCATTTTGATTTTCTCTTGTACCCAAGAGTTTTTAAATTTTGCTGTGCTAGAGAATTTCCCCTAGTCCTGTCACTCGTCTTTAAATTAGATTGCATAGTGATTAGAGATGTCATCTGTATTATTATTTTTTTAAGACAGAGCCTCACTTCATTGCCCAGGCTGGAGTGCCATGGTGTGATCTCAGCTCACTGCTACCTCTGCCTCCCAGGTTCAAGCGATTCTCCTGCCTCAGCCTCCCGAGTAGCCTGGGATTACAGGCGCCCACCACCATGCCCAGCTAATTTTTGTATTTTTAGTAGAGATGGGGTTTCGCTATGTTGCCCAGGCTGGTCTCAAACTCCTTACCTCAAGTGATCCAACCGCCTCGGCCTCCCAAAGTTCTGGGATTACAGGTCTGAGCCACCATGCCCGACCAAGAAGTCATCTATATTAGATCTACTCTTTGGAATCACTGAGGTTTTGTGTCCTTTCATGTGGTAAGTTAATATAATGAATTTTCTGTATCCTTTGCCTGAATTTCCCATACTGTTTCCTCTTTAAATTTGAATGTTGTGTTGGTACATAGTCTGGCCTATGGATTTTTCAGTGGTGATTATATCTTGTTAAATTTCCTTCTTGGTCTCCTTTAATGCTTTTGGCCTTTCTTTTAATCTTGTCTGATTAGACTGTGTCACCTTGGTCTTGTGTGTTGTTTGTCTTTACCTGGTGTATTTTTGCCCTATGAGTATATCTTATCTTCTTACACACTTTGAAATAATTTTAGATTCATATAGACTTCCAAAAATTGTACAGGAGTTTCTGTCACTCCATGAGTGAGTGGATAAAGAAATTGTGGTACATCCATGCAGTGGAATACTAGTCAGCCATGAAGAAGAACACACATAAAACAACTTGAAGGGACCTTACAGGTATTATGCTTAGTGACAAAAGCCAGTCTTAAAAGGTTCTATACCATGATTCCATTTATGTAACAGTATTGAAGGAACAACATTATGGTGATGAAGAAGGGATTAGAGGTTGCTGGGATTAGGAGGGTGTTACTATAAAAAGTAAGGAGGAGTTTTTCAGGGGCGATGGAAGTTTTGCCTCCTCATTGTAGCAGTGGTTACCTGAATTGATGTGTGTCATACAATTTCATAGAACTTGTGTTGTGGGGGGCAGGAAACCACTCTCAGACCCAGTGATTGGCTAGAAAGACTCAGGACTCAGAAACTGTTGAGCTCAGAGGGAGAGGGTGACCAGTCTCTGCAGTTGCAGCCCTGGGGCTGTTCTAATCTGTATCTTTTCCTGGTAATAGACATGGCTGTGAGCATGACAGGTGTCAGTGAGCTCTGTGTGCCTCATCAACGAATCATCCAACCTGAAGGTGGTTGTGGGAAACTCTTGGACCTGCAGTCAGTATCAGAAGGCCTGGGCAGACTTGGCCAGCCACCTGGAGCACTGTGCCCTTAAACTCAGGTTTGCCTAACATCAGATACTATGTAAAAACCAGTGAAATTGAAATAGGTCTGCTGATAACAATATCATACCAAGCTTGTTAGAACAAGTTTATCTGTGTCTTAAAAAAAAACAAAAACAAAAAAACCCTGGGATTTTGATGGTAATTGTGTTAAACCTAATACAACAATCTCGGGAGAATTGATACTTTTTTTTGAGACAGACAAATAGTATTCAATTTTAAATTTCAGTTTCCAGTTGTTCATTGCTAATATATAGAAATACGACTGCTTTTTGTGTGTTAACCTTGTATCTTGTGGCTTTACTAAACTCGTTGATTCTACGAGGGTTTTTCTTTTTTAAAAAGATTTGTTGGGATTTTCTGTGTGGACAATTACGTTATCTGTGATTTTCTCCTTTCCAGGCTCTTTGCTAATGCCTTTTAACTTTTCTTGCCATATTACACTGGCTAGGACTTCTAATACTGTGCTGAATAGGAGTGGTGAGGCTGGTCACCCTTGGACCTTATCCTGTGGGGAAAGAATTCAGTTTTTCATCATTAAGTATGATGTTAGCTATAGGTTTTTTGTAGATGTTCTTTATCAGGTTGAAGAAGTTTCCTTCAATTCCTAGTTTGAGAGTTTTTATTACAAATGGAGATTGAATTTTATCAAATGCCTTTTCTGCATTAATTGATATAACCATGTGTTTTTCCTTCTTCAGACTATTAATATAGTGAGTTATATTGGTTTTTGAATGTTGAACTTTTCAGTTATATTGGTTTTGAATGTTGAACTTTGGAATGCTTGAATTCCATTCCTCAATTAACCCCACTTCGTCCTGGTGTCTTATATTCTTCGTACCTGGCTAGATCTGATTTCCTCATATTTTGTTGAGGATTTTCGTGCATATATTCATAAGGGATGTTGGTCTCTAGTATTTTTCTCTAGTTTTGGTATCAGAGTGATTGTTGACCTTATAAAATGAGAAGTGCTCGGTCCCCTTTTATTTTTGGAATTCAGTGTATCGAATTGCCATTTCTTTACAAGTTTAGTAAAATTCACCAGTGAAATCATCTGGCTTCAGAAACTGCCTTTTTTGGAAGGGTTTCAACTTCAGCTTATCTATTTAATCTTCAGTGAGTTTTGGTAGTTTTTGGTTTTCAAGCAATTGGTTTATTTCATCCAATTGATTGAATTTAGGTACATAAAGATGTACATAGTATTATTTATTATTATTGTTGGAATATCTTGAAGGGTTTGTGGTGATATACTTTTTCATTCCTGACATTGGTCATTTCTCTTCCCTTTTTTCTTTGATAAGCTTATTGCAAGACTGATAGTTTTATTGATCTCTTCGAAAAACTAGGTTTTGATTGATTTTCCTCTATTTTTGCTTTTTCGTTTGATTTCTGCTCTTTATTTTGGTGACTGTTTCTATGCTACTCGTGAATGGGGTGTTCTACAAGTGTAAATCAAGCTAAGTTGCTTAATGGTGGTGTTCAAGTCTACTGTGTCCTTAATGAAAAGAAGGTCTTAGTTTTAATGTAGTCTAATTTATATTTTATTGTTAGCATTTTGTGTCTTACTACAGTTTTATCCCTAAAGTTTACATAAGCAAGAGTTCAGAGTAATCGACCCTGGTATTTTGATTACTTAATTTTAAATGGGAAGTAAATGTCTCGGGCCAGCAGTGTGCCCAAGGATCCTGAAAAGTAGAGCAAGAATTGTCCCTGACTCAGGGGGAGGCACTCCTTAGCAGACTGTGGAAGTGGCACACTTCAGCCTTGACCTCTTAGTGGTTCCAGGGGTTGGCAGCTTCTAGGAAGACAGCCCCACAGCTCAAAAGGTTTCTTCTCCAGCCAGCCCTGTGTCTGTGTCTCACTAGGAATGGCCCATCGCTGCATCTCCTCCTGTGGCCCTGGTGTCACAGGTTGTAGCCAGAGAGGGGCTTCTTCCCAGGCTGTGAATCCTACTATGGAGGACTTTGGACTCTGCCTGGAACCCTGGCAGGGGTCCACTCTGACCTTCCTTATCTTCGTCTGACCCAGCTGTTACCACCCCTGGTAGCCCTTTTCATAGCTACCGTGGCTGGGTGCAACGGGTACTTTTATCTGACAACTTGGCCAGGCCAAGTTGATTTTCGTCAAACAAACACTGGTCTAGATGGCGCTGTGTAACTAACATGTAAGCCCGTAGACTTGAAGTAAAACAAACAGTTTATCCTTCATAACGTGAGTGGGCCTCATCCGATCAGTTGAGGACTATAAGAGGAAAAGGCTGAACTCCCTTGAGGAGGAGGAAATTCTGCCTCCAGCCTGCATCCCCAGCTCTTCCCTGGGTCTCCAGGATGCTGGCCTGCCCTCAAGATGTTAGACTTGCCAGCCCCCAACATCCTATGAGCCAGTTCCTTAAAACAAATCTCTGCATCTCCCTCCATCCTGTTGGTTCTGTTTCTCTAGTGAGGCCTGACTAGTAAATGGGGGGTTCTAGCTCTGGCCTTATTTCCTGAGAGATGGGGACGGAGTTCCCCTTCTGGTTCCCTTTGGTGGTTCTGGCGTGGCTTCAGGCAGAAGAACAGCATGGAGACCTCTCTCCTCTGCCATCTGTCACGTGGAAGAGCAGATCGGTTTTTGGAAGTCTTTGGGGCAGTGGGAAATCAAGCTTGTCTGCAGGCAGCAGGAGATACTACAGTTCCTGGTTCCGGAGAGAAGGGCCACTTTCTGAGAGAGACTCTTGCTTTGTTGCCCATGCTGCAGTGCAGTGGTACAATCTCCACCTCCTGGACTCAAGCCATTCTCCTGCCTCAGCCTCCCGAGTAGCTGGGATTAACAGGTGTGCATCATCACGCCTGGCAACTGTTTTTTTTTTTTTTTTTAAACTTTTAGTAGAGACAGACAGGGTTTTGCTGTGTTGGCCAGGCTGGCCTCAAGTGATCTGCCTGCCTTGGCCTTGCAAAGTGCTGGGATTACAGGCGTGAGCCACCATGCCCAGCCCTACTCTTTATGTCCAAAAGCCGAGGCCTTCCTGTAGGCCATTCATGATGGATTGCTGCTCACCCCACGTGGCCATTAACACATGGCTGTGGGTTTCCAACCTGGCCCCTTGTATGAAAAACCCTAGGTAAACACATCAAAATAATTATCCCCCGGCATAGCACTTTATTTAAAAGTCCCTCATTTTATGATGAGGAAATGGGGCCTCCAGGAGGGCAATGGGCAGAGTGTGACCATCCTACCCACTGCCTCTCAGGAGCCCCTTGTATCTGCCACGAGTGGCCTGCCTCACTGCAAGCTGTGGCACAGATACGTAGTTAGACATGGTTAATAAAAATCATTGTGATTTAATAAACAGTGTGGTGTTTCTGTACAGGCCCCTCCCTGTCTGTCCCACAGCCAGCGGGAACGCTGGATGGATGTGGGCCTGGGTCCCTGGAGCCCACGAGGTTCCTGCAGCTTTCCTAAGAGGAAAAACTGATCCGGTGATGGAAGGCTGCGGCCTCCTAAAAGTCTCCCCTGACGAGGAGACACGGCAGGGGCCACAGTCACAACCAGATCGAGATGATTAGGGAAGGTGCCGCGGAGTGCGGTCCACTACACATCTTCAGGGTGCATCTGGACTCTCTTGGGGCTGCAACAGTATTTTTCACATAGTTTGAGGAGCTCTGACAAAATGAAGACGGATGAGGCCAATCCAGTTAAAAACAGCAAATCTGCCAAGGGAGAAAACAGAAAAGATTCAGGACGGGCTGCAGCTCTGTTGCGCCGGCAGGAAGCGCCTTCCCTGCCAGTCCTCCTGATAAAGTGAGAGGTGCGGAGGACCAGCCCTTTTCATTCCCCTGAAGGCAGGGAGATCTTCCTAACCCAGAATCCAAAATGCTGCAGTTCCAGAAGGGCCTGCCTGTGGTTCCAGGCAAACACCAGGCAGCTCCAGAGCACAGGGTGGGTCTGGCAGGCAGCTGGGAGCATGTTATGGACTCGGGCTGGAAGGGGAATGAGTTTCCTTTCCCTACAGCAGCTGTCCCAGTGCCCTGCTGCTTGCAAATGTCCTGAGTGACCAGTCTGGGCTCCCTGTCCAGTGCACCCCGACATGTTCCCTGGGATGAATTCCCAGCGACATGTTCCCTGGGATGAATTCCCAGCGTCTCCCTCTGCTCCTGTCACATGCTGTTTTGAGGAACCATCCCTGGCTCCCTGTTGATGATTCCTGATGTACGGGCTGCCCAAGCACAACCCCTTCAGGCGTGGGAAGCCGACTTCCTTCCCGGCGGGTGGAAACAGCCAGTGAGCAGAGTGTTTTGGGGGGTCCTCTTGTCTGTTCCTACAGGGCATTCACTGGTGACCCACACTGACACTGCTTTTTGGAGGACAAGGCAGAGTTGACCATCCCAGTCTTGCCTGGAGGTCATAGGACCGTTGTCACTGCAGCCTCAGGTCTGATGCATAATCCCATGACCCTCCAGATCTGAGCCATGACCCACTCTGGGCCCTGCCGGCGGGGAGGCGGTGGGCCCATGGGGGCTGCCTCACTGGCCTCCCTCGTCCTCTATTCCGGGTTGGGGTTGGCTCTCAGCACACTGGGGAAAAGGGTGGGGTCGATGACTTGTCCCTGGCTCCCTCCCCTTGCCCCATGCCTGCCATAACCGCAGCTTCAGAGAAAGGTGCCACACTCGCTTGGCTGACAATGTCGGGGAGTCCCCTGGGCTCCACACCAGGGCGTGTGCCCTTGGAAAACCACGGTGACTGAATCATGTCCCTTTCAGCCAAAACTGGAAGACAGCCCAGCTCCCTGCCTTCAGGTGACCAGATCTCTAAGTCACATTACTGGCCCCAGGGTCAAGTCCAGGCTCCCCAGCTGGGGTACCTCCCAGGCTGAGTACAGGCCTTGCTCCCTCCTTCCTCCCTGCACGTGCTCTGAGCCTCCAGCCCGACGCCTGGGATGCCGGTGCCCCTTGGGCCCCAGACCCTACTACTCTTGAGTGACAGGCCTCTTCCTAGGGGTTTCTGTGCATCCGTCACATCACCCACGTTAGAGTCCCTTCCTGTGAGGACAGAAGGGCCCTGAAGACAGAGCCGGCCCCTGGTGAGCTCTGCTTTCCCGCACTGACCCCTCCTGGGCTGCAGCTCCCCACCTGGCAGCTGCCGCCCCCCATGGCCCTGGTCGAGGTCACCTGTCGTTCCCGTCCCCACCACTCACCAAGCGCTCCCAGGTTCTCCGTCTGGAAGACCCTCTGCAGCGGGGGGATGTAAATGACCGCCAGCTGCCCCAGGATGGACCCCAGGACGGAGTAGAGGAACATGTGGTTCCTGAGAAAGCCGATCTCAAATATCAGCTTGGTCTGCAGGGAGAAGGTCACACGGGGGATTGTGTGCTGTCCACACCCCAGGTACAGGCAGGGGAGCTCTGACTGCCCACGCTGAGCCAGAGCCGCTCAATGCTGCGGGCAGGGTCGGGGCGCTGCTGTCGAGAACACACAGCAGCTCTGCAGCGAGGAGGGTCAGCCCGGGTCTCACCTGAGAGCGGCAGGTCAAGGCGTTGAAGAGATCGAAAAACACAAAACAAGTGAACGTCATCGTCGTGGTGCGGGGAGTGCTTGCTCTGTCTTCAGGCATCTGGAAGGTGAGCACAAAGGTGAGAGGTTAGGCGGGAAGAGACAACCTCCATCCTGAACCAAAGGGCACAGGCCTGCCTCACTGCTCCTGGGGCATGGCTGGGAGCCACTTACAAGCTCATGAATCGGTCACACAGCTTCCTCCAGGTGTGAGGTCAGTGGCTGCTACCCCAGGGTCTCCCCAGCACATGCTGATTTGCTGCCACCATGAGGATGGGGGCAGGGCACCTATGGGTGGAGGAAACACCACTTCCTCCAGGAAGTAACTGTCTCCCTGGGAGGTGATGCCACTCCAGTTAAACCCAGAGTGAAGGTCATTTCCTACAAGGAAGGCTGAAGGATGGCCGTCAGTAGTAGAGGGAGAGCTGGAGGGAAAATGGAGGCAGGGTACCCGGCCAGGGTCCCCTCCCGCTTCCTGCACATGGGCAATCTGTGGTGTGGTCACATGGGTCACCTGCCTCATTTCCCACCTAGATCGTGGCCCGTCCTGGCATAGAGCTCCCTGAACCTGCAGGCCATGAAAAGGTGACCCAGGCCTAGATCCAAAGCAAACAATCACCTCTAGAGTGTAACACAGGAGGATATTTAGCAGATTTCAAATTGTTTCCTGGTGACAAGGGAACAGGGGGCAGCCTGTCCTCATGTACATTTCAACTCCCGTCTCGGCAAAGTCATCTCCACCCCGCTGGCCTCTGTAGTTCCCAGGCACACACCTGGCGACCTCCCTTCTTTCAAGGGTCACCCAGTCCCTTTGCCTCATGCACCCCACGCCTCTGATGGCATCACATTGTCCGGTGTGTGTACATGTTTGCCTCTCCCAGATGTGAGCTGTGGCAGGAGGGCAGGGACTGCAGTCCCCAGCGTCTGCACCGCACCAGGGCTTGGAGAACAGGCCGGGGTGACCCTCGCTCACCTCCTTCCAGAAGATAAAGAGGGTCCCGCTGATGATGATGGCCGCGGACATGAGGATCTTCAGGATGAGGGCTCTGCTGAGGATGGTGTCCCGCACACTCCGTGGTGGCTGCCTGAAGGCGTCTTTGTCAACGGGCTCTACCCCCAAGCTGCTCCGAACAAGACACAGACACTTTGAAATGAACCAGGAATGAAATAAAGGACCCTTGAAACAGCTGTGCCTGAGCCTCCCAGGCCAAGTTGGCACAGGGGGCAGGGCCAGGCATTTGCTGAACGCCCCCAGGCATCGCACCTGCCCTCCTCGGCACCTTCCAGAAGCCCCAGAGCCTGGGTCCATGGGCAGCTGTGCCCCTCCATCTGTCCCGCAGACAGTGAAGGAAGACCACCCCGTAAGGCCAACCACACACAGTTCCATACACCCAGATGATCTCCATCACCCCGAGGGGACCCCCCCCAACGTTGCGCCTGGAGAAACAGGCTCCAGGCTCCGCCCTCCGCAGAGCCCCTCATCAGCTGAGAGAGACCAGCCTCCAGCCAACTCCACACAGCAGGGTTGAGGCTAGACCCGCAGCAGGCGGTATGGTGGGAGTGGCCGGGTGAGGCCCTGCCGCTCAGACACAGCTGAGGCCAGCTTCCTGGTCCCACTTCTGCTCCCAGGGAGGGCTGGCAGGAGAGGTAACCCTCACACTTGGCTTTGGGGACACAAATGAGGACTCTCTTTCCCTTGGCAGCTATCACTGGTGATAACAGCAGCACTGAGCTCCAGCGGAAGCACTGGCTCTGTGCTCATACGGTTACGCACACGTGGCCAGATGGGTCCCCTGACTCCAAAGCGCATTCCTTCCCCCACACCACTTGGCCAGCTTGTTGAAGGGGATATTAAGTGGCGGAGCGGGTGGACTCCTGAGCACCTACTGAGTGGCAAGCCCTTTATCTCTAGACATCAGGGATGAAACACAAACTCCGCCTCCATGAAACTGATGTTCTAAAGGGGAGACAGATCACAATCAGATCCATAAGGAAAAGTGTGTCTGTGTGTATCTTCCTCTCTAGGGAAAAATACAGCAGGGTGAGGGGATTGAGTGGGAGTGCAATCAGGGAAGACTTCCTGAAGGCAGTGACTGGTGACTGGAATGAAGCATGAGAATGAGCCATGCAGGTTGCCCAGAGAGAGCATCCAGGCAGAGGGAGCAGAAAGTTCCATCCTCACCCAGCTCTGCCGGCCCAGGTACTTTCTCCTCTGCCTTCTACTCCCAGTCTCACTGCAGTGCAACACACTTCAGTTTTCTGGGAACTCCTGATGGAAAGTGGCTGTATTTGTTCATCCCTATAGCCTTGGGGCACAGCCAGCAGCCCCTGGAGGAAGCCCCGCAGGTGGGTAAAGAGACACAGGGCTCCCAGCCGGCCCTGCCTCACCTCTGCGCCGGTGGCCCATCCATGATGATGTTGATCCATAGGATCTGCATGGCGTTGAGGGGGCTGGGCAGGTTGAACACGGTGGACAGAGTGATGAGACTCAGGGCGGAGATGCTCCTGCGGGGCACACGCAGCCAGTCAGCGGCCGCCCGCCAGGCGTGGTGCTTAATGACACTCGGAATGCTGGCCTCTACTTACGTGCTCAGCTGGAATCGGACAAAGTTTTTGATGTTGTAAAAAATACCCTTGCCTTCCTCCACTGCATTCCTGCAAGAGAAGAGAGCCATTTACTCACGGAGCGGGCCTGCGTGAGGGCTGGACCAGTGCATCGGTTGCTGCAAGGGGCAGTGGTGACTCGCCCAGATTGATGTTATACTTGGGCCCCTGCTGGTTCCCCTTGCTGGCATTCTTGGGGACACATTTGTAGGAGACGGTGGTGTTCTAACAGGTGCCCCTCGGCCACTGGGAACTGATCCTTGAGCCATGTTCGCCCTTCTGTGCCAAGGGTACACCTGATGCCTCCAATCAGACCATGAATTACTCTCCGGCCGAGCCCAGGGGGCCCCATCCCTGCCCAGACTCCCGAAGTGCGCCGTGCATCTCCGCGATTTACCAAAGAGGAGAGAGAGACGCAGCAAAACCAGTTCGGCCTAAAAATGAGGTCCGGAGGACGGTAAGGAGGGAGGGATGGGGAGGCTGAAGGACATCGCCTGCTTCTGTCTTTAGAAGGCTCTTCGCGGAAGCCCTTTTAAACCTTGACCTGGGGTCACTAATGTAGAAAAACAATTACGCACCGTGGGTGCCCCCACCGCCAGATTTTACTAAAATATTTTGAAAAGAACTATAGAGCTGATATTATGACTTTTTTTTTATTTAAATTTTTTTTTTTTTATTATACTCTAAGTTTTAGGGTACATGTGCACATTGTGCAGGTTAGTTACATATGTATACATGTGCCATGCTGGTGCGCTGCACCCACTAACGTGTCATCTAGCATTAGGTATATCTCCCGATGCTATCCCTCCCCCCCTCCCCCGACCCCACCACAGTCCCCAGAGTGTGATATTCCCCTTCCTGTGTCCATGTGATCTCATTGTTCAATTCCCACCTATGAGTGAGAATATGTGGTGTTTGGTTTTTTGTTCTTGCAATAGTTTACTGAGAATGATGGTTTCCAATTTCATCCATGTCCCTACAAAGGACATGAACTCATCATTTTTTATGGCTGCATAGTATTCCATGGTGTATATGTGCCACATTTTCTTAATCCAGTCTATCATTGTTGGACATTTGGGTTGGTTCCAAGTCTTTGCTATTGTGAATAGTGCCGCAATAAACATACGTGTGCATGTGTCTTTATAGCAGCATGATTTATAGTCCTTTGGGTATATACCCAGTAATGGGATGGCTGGGTCAAATGGTATTTCTAGTTCTAGATCCCTGAGGAATCGCCACACTGACTTCCACAATGGTTGAACTAGTTTACAGTCCCACCAACAGTGTAAAAGTGTTCCTATTTCTCCACATCCTCTCCAGCACCTGTTGTTTCCTGACTTTTTAATGATTGCCATTCTAACTGGTGTGAGATGATATCTCATAGTGGTTTTGATTTGCATTTCTCTGATGGCCAGTGATGATGAGCATTTTTTCATGTGTTTTTTGGCTGCATAAATGTCTTCTTTTGAGAAGTGTCTGTTCATGTCCTTCGCCCACTTTTTGATGGGGTTGTTTGTTTTTTTCTTGTAAATTTGTTTGAGTTCATTGTAGATTCTGGATATTAGCCCTTTGTCAGATGAGTAGGTTGTGAAAATTTTCTCCCATGTTGTAGGTTGCCTGTTCACTCTGATGGTAGTTTCTTTTGCTGTGCAGAAGCTCTTTAGTTTAATTAGATCCCATTTGTCAATTTTGGCTTTTGTTGCCATTGCTTTTGGTGTTTTGGACATGAAGTCCTTGCCCATGCCTATGTCCTGAATGGTAATGCCTAGGTTTTCTTCTAGGGTTTTTATGGTTTTAGGTCTAACGTTTAAATCTTTAATCCATCTTGAATTGATTTTTGTATAAGGTGTAAGGAAGGGATCCAGTTTCAGCTTTCTACATATGGCTAGCCAGTTTTCCCAGCACCATTTATTAAATAGGGAATCCTTTCCCCATTGCTTGTTTTTCTCAGGTTTGTCAAAGATCAGATAGTTGTAGATATGCGGCATTATTTCTGAGGGCTCTGTTCTGTTCCATTGATCTATATCTCTGTTTTGGTACCAGTACCATGCTGTTTTGGTTACTGTAGCCTTGTAGTATAGTTTGAAGTCAGGTAGTGTGATGCCTCCAGCTTTGTTCTTTTGGCTTAGGATTGACTTGGCGATGCGGGCTCTTTTTTGCTTCCATATGAACTTTAAAGTAGTTTTTTCCAATTCTGTGAAGAAAGTCATTGGTAGCTTGATGGGGATGGCATTGAATCTGTAAATTACCTTGGGCAGTATGGCCATTTTCACGATATTGATTCTTCCTACCCATGAGCATGGAATGTTCTTCCATTTGTTTGTGTCCTCTTTTATTTCCTTGAGCAGTGGTTTGTAGTTCTCCTTGAAGAGGTCCTTCACATCCCTTGTAAGTTGGATTCCTAGGTATTTTATTCTCTTTGAAGCAATTGTGAATGGGAGTTCACTCATGATTTGGCTCTCTGTTTGTCTGTTGTTGGTGTATAAGAATGCTTGTGATTTTTGTACATTGATTTTGTATCCTGAGACTTTGCTGAAGTTGCTTATCAGCTTAAGGAGATTTTGGGCTGAGACCATGGGGTTTTCTAGATAAACAATCATGTCGTCTGCAAACAGGGACAATTTGACTTCCTCTTTTCCTAATTGAATACCCTTTATTTCCTTCTCCTGCCTGATTGCCCTGGCCAGAACTTCCAACACTATGTTGAATAGGAGCGGTGAGAGAGGGCATCCCTGTCTTGTGCCAGTTTTCAAAGGGAATGCTTCCAGTTTTTGCCCATTCAGTATGATATTGGCTGTGGACACATACACTCTCCCAAGACTAAACCAGGAAGAAGTTGAATCTCTGAATAGACCAATAACAGGCTCTGAAATTGTGACAATAATCAATAGTTTACCAACCAAAAAGAGTCCAGGACCAGATGGATTCACAGCCGAATTCTACCAGAGGTACAAGGAGGAACTGGTACCATTCCTTCTGAAACTATTCCAATCAATAGAAAAAGAGGGAATCCTCCCTAACTCATTTTATGAGGCCAGCATCATTCTGATACCAAAGCCGGGCAGAGACACAACCAAAAAAGAGAATTTTAGACCAATATCCTTGATGAACATTGATGCAAAAATCCTCAATAAAATACTGGCAAACCGAATCCAGCAGCACATCAAAAAGCTTATCCACCATGATCAAGTGGGCTTCATCCCTGGGATGCAAGGCTGGTTCAATATACGCAAATCAATAAATGTAATCCAGCATATAAACAGAGCCAAAGACAAAAACCACATGATTATCTCAATAGATGCAGAAAAAGCCTTTGACAAAATTCAACAACCCTTCATGCTAAAAACTCTCAATAAATTAGGTATTGATGGGACGTATTTCAAAATAATAAGAGCTATCTATGACTTTTTTTTTTTTTTCTAAGTGTGTTAAGGCTTCCTATGGCGAATCAACTGTGGAGACACCTTTGTAAAGTGCACGATCCACCTAGCCTCAATATTTGTTTATTTGGATTTTTTGTATCAGGCTTAAAAAGTTTTCCCTCACCCCCAACTAACCACTGCGATTAGCTTATGAGGAGAGTCTCAGAACTAATTAAAATTAGGAAGGTAAATGTATTAAGAAAAAAATACAGAAAAGTGAAACAGAACAAATAGTTTTGTGCAAGCCCCAGAACCTAGAGAGCACCTCCGTGGTCAGCGATGGGGGTGTTTCTGCCCAGGTCTCTTTGCAATGCCTGAGATATATGTATCAACACGCAGGCCTCAAACGGAAGATGTTCATTTTAATCCTTTCTCACCCCACACTCAAGTGTGAGCACGTATTTGGCCACAGGTTTTCCTTACATATTCAGCTGCTGCCCACCAGCCTGAGCCAGGCGGGCATTCCCAGTACCACATGAAATGCACCCACAGGCAGCAAATCCCATCTCTGCTTCATATCCGTAACATTCCCCTGGGGGCAGCATGTGACTAGCCCCAGGCATCATGGACCCCATGACCCTGCTATGAGAGGCTGTTGGTACTTGGGGTTGGGGGCACCTGCCACACTGACGAGCCCCGAGATTCAGCTCTCCCTGGGGACTCCGCGAGACCCCCCCCTCTATCTCCACAGTAGCAGGTTCCAGGGAGAAGCTGGTGACCCCAGGCATTTTTGCAACTGAAAAACAACCAGAAGGGCAGCTTACATGATGGCTGAGAAGTCATCATCCACCAGGATCATGTTGGCGGCCTCTTTGCTGACGTCCGTCCCTGTCTGCCCCATGGCGATCCCAATGTCTGCAGACTTCAGGGCCACTGCGTCGTTCACCCCATCCCCAGTCATGGCCACGATCGCCCCTGACTCCTGCAGAGCCTTTGGAAAGAGCAGGCAATGAAGGCCTGCAGCCTGACGACCACCTCCCAGTGCCCGGCCATGCACACCCTGTGGCCAGCCACAGACACCTCTGTCTGGAGGGCACCCGGAATTCGAATCCCAGCTTCACCCACATTAGCTGTGGGAATTGGGCGAGCCCTTGACCCTCTTGACCTCAGTTTCCCTATCTGCAAAGTGGGAGCAACAGTTTCTTCTTCCCAGGGCTGTTGTGAGGCCCAAACTGAGATGACGGATGTGACGGTGCCCAGCACGGTCAGTAAAGGCTCATAAAGGTTATCCAGTCCCAGTAATAAACAGTAATCAACAGTGCGGCCCTGGAAACCATGGGGTACCTGGTAAGTATTACTACCTTCTTTGAGGAGTAACTCACATAGGGATTTACTCTGTAGAGCTAAAAATAACATGAAAGAAGAAAGCCCGTCTACTAAAAGAGCTCAAGAGCAAACTTTCAGAGCACAGGCGAGAAAACCAAGCACATTTTCTACCTTTTTTTGGTATTCAGAGTCAGAAAAATCACATCAGCTCTTTATTGGGCTCCTGCTGTGTGCCAAGAGATTCATGGGCCTGGCTTTGTTTAATTCTCTACCAACCCTGTGAATCAGCTGACGGCATTAATAGTTCCCCCATTTTACAGATGAGGAAACGGAGGCACGGAGTTGAGTAAAAGGAATAAAGCCAAAAAGCACCCAGCACTTTGGGAGGCGAAGATAGGCGGATCACCTGAGGTCAGGAGTTTGAGACCAGCCTGGCCAACATGGCGAAACCCTGCCTCTACTAAAATTACAAACATTAGCCGGGTGTGCTGGTGCACACCGCAATCCCAGCTACTTGGGGAGACTGAGGCAGGAGAATCGCTTAACCCTGGGAGGCAGAGGTTGAAGTAAGCCGAGATTGTGCCACTGCACTGCAGCCTAGGTGACAGAGCAAGACTCCGTACCTACAACCCCACCCCCAGAAAAAAAAAAGATAGCTTCTCTTTTAGTTTTTCCCTCTACGTTATCCAATTACAGCTCCCAGTTTTCACTGTATGTAGCAAAGGTCCCCCAGTTCTCCCATCTTCTTTAAAATTATCCCCAGGTTTGGTGGGGCTCGTGTCCGCCCAGCTACAGATGACACTTCCCAGCATCCCCTGCAGCTAAACCTGGGCCCGTGACTGTGTTCTGGCCAAGGGGCTGTCAGCGCAAGTGTTGCTGGCAACTTCAGAGCCTCGTCCTCTCCAAGGGAGCTGCCCACGCGCCCCTGCTCAACCTCCTCCCCTCCCCCTGGCTATGAAAAGGTAACTCCCGGGGCAGCTGCCCTGGACCTAGAGAAGGAAGCCACGGTCGGGCCCTGCACTGTCACCCGACGGACGCATGAGCTCCTCGAGCCACAGTGTCTCTGGCCCGGCCCCAGCAGCGCAGCCTGTGCCTGCCTTGCCCAGCGAACCTTGATGATTTTGAGCTTGTGCTTTGGGCTGGTCCTGAAGAACACGGACACCTGGACACGGAGACGGGGAAGACGAAGAATCAGATTTCAAAGCTGTGACCCAGCCCCACTGCCAGCCAAGCCTCCGGGGACCCACCTTCCCCACGCGGTCGGCCAGCTCGCCCTTCTCCACGCTGTCCACCTCCTCCCCGGACATGGCTTGCAGCTTCCCGTTGCACAGGCCGATGTTTCTTCCTTCAGAAGAACCTGTTCTGAGGGCCTGCTCTGAGGCCCGCGTCCCCACCCCTCACTCCCGGCCCCACCTCGGCCATGGGGAACACCAAGAATAAAACCATGCTGGAGACGGTTTACTGAGGACCTACCATGCTGCACGGCCTCGGTTCTATCCACAGGATTAACTTACACCAAACGCCTCATTATCCCCACTTTAAAGATGGGGAAACAGAAGTGACTTTGCCGAGGACACACAGCTGGTAAGGAGTAACACTGGAACCTGACACGGCTCTGATTCCAAAGCCCGTGAACCTTTTCCCAGCACCAGGCTGAGACCACCCATATAATAGTAACTAGAGGGGCTGGGCGCAGTGGCTCATGCCTGTAATCCCAGCACTTTGTGAGGCCGAGGTGGGCAGATTCCCTGAGTTCAGGAGTTCAAGACCAGCCTGGGCAACACAGTGAAACCCCGTCTCTACTAAAATACAAAAAATTAGCTGGGCGCGGTGGTGGGTGCCTGTAGTCCCAGCTACTCAGGAGGCTGAGGCAGGAGAATTGCTTGAACCCAGGAGGTGGAGGTTGCAGTGAGCCAAGATTGCACTACTGCACTCCAGCCCAGGCAACAGAACAAGACTCCATCTCAAAAAAAAAAAAAAAAAAAGTAACTAGAGGAGAAGGGCTGCTAGCCCTCTATTGATGAAGAGACTGAGGGTCAGAGTGGTTCAATGGTTTGCCAAGGGTACACAGCTAGAGGCAGAAGGCAGACTGAAACTGTACATGGCCATGATGCTGCCTGTGAAGACAGCGGATGAAAAGCCCCTGACACACAGTAGGTCCTCAGTATCCATGAGAACTTCCCTTTTGCAGAACCTGCCAACATTTCAGAAACGAGAACACCTCAGAAATTGGAATGCTGGCACACGAATACTCAGCGTCTTTTCTAAGCCTGTAGGGCTAGGCGTGAGCACTCCTGACCGAGTTTGCGGAGGCTTCCCTTTGGTAGCAGCCCCCCATCGTAAAGGATGGATGGGTCCTTTCGTCCTCACCCCCGACCCTGTCCCAGTTACCTATGGCCAAGGCCGTCTCCAGGGCATCCCCCGTTATCATCTTCACAGACACACCAGACTCGGAGAGAACCTGGACTGCTTCCTTCACGCCAACTCTCGGGGGGTCAATGATGCCCACAAGACCGAGAAACGTCAGCCGCCCCAGCTCGGGCCCAGAAGCCAGGGCCAGCACTGAGGAGAGAGGGGGAGTAAGGAGGGGTCACCGGGGGCTTAGGGGCCGTCGTTTTTTGTTGTTGGTTGTTGTTGTTGTTTTTTAAGAGAGTTTTGTTCTTATCGCCCAGGTTGGAGTGCAGTGGTGTAATGTTGGCTCACTGCAGCCTCTGCCTCCTGGGTTCAAACCGTTCTCCTGCCTCAGCCTCTTGAGTAGCTGGGATTACGGGCATGCGCCTCCAGGCCCAGCTAATTTTTGTATTTTTAGTAGAGACAGGATTTCACCATGTTGGCCAGGCTGGTCTCAAACTCCTGACCTCAGGTGATCTGCCCACCTCAGCCTCCCCAAGTGCTGGGATTACAGGTGTGAGGCAACGTGCGCAGCCCTTTGTTAGCCAGCCCCCACCATGGCCCAGATCCTCCTCGGTCTGCAGAGGGCTCAGGCAACAAGTCCCTAGCCTGAAAGGGAGGGCAGAGATGCCTCCAGCGGCTCTCAGGCCTGCGCAGGTGCACAACAGATGGAGAAGGAAGCCAGAAACAGCTGCATAGCAGAAAATACCACTGCTGTCTGCTTGATATGGTTTGGCTGTGTCCCCACCCAAATCTCATCTTGAACTGTAGCTCCCATAATTCCCACGTGTTGTGGGAGGGACCCAGTGGGAGATAATTGAATCATGGGGTGGTTTTCCCCACAATGCTCTGTGGTAGTGAATACATCTCAGGAGAGCTGATGGTTTTATGAGGGGTTTCCCCTTAGGCTTGGCTCTCATTCTCTCTTGCCGGCTGCCATGTAAGACGTGCCTTTCACCTTCTGCCATGATTGCAAGGCCTCCCCAGCCACGTGGAACTGAGTCCATTCAACCTCTTTTTCTTTGTAAATTACCTAGTCTCAGGTCTGTCTTTATCAGTAGCATGAAAATAAACTAATACACCACTCATGGTATAAGACCCACCCCACTTCCCAACAAAAGTGGCTGCAGAAACCTGTGAGCTGGCCCAGAATGGGACATGTGAGGTGGAGCAGGATGGGACGTTTCTAACAGTTCTTGCCCTCATTTGCTCTGTGCTAACTCATCTTGTCATCTCCAGCAGTCTTGGGGGCGCGGTACAGAGGTTAAGAAAAATTGACAGGGGAGCAACCCAGCTGAGGGGACTCTTGCTGTGAGCTTGCCCTGGGCCTTGACTCTGTTTCTGTGGCACAGAAGCCAGGCCCAGCTCCTGCCCCTGGGTGATCTGAGAGGGGGTGGTGTAAGAACATCCTTGCCCCCTCACTGACACCAAAGATGGGGCTGGCATGCCTCCTACACAGTCATGACACTGCGCCAATGACGCTGGCGCCCTTCCTCCCCTTTTCCAATGGTCCCCTCCCCTCCCTGAACCTGGGCTTTGCCAACCCAGGAGCATCCCCTGCTTCTAGTGGCCACCTAGTAGCGCTCTATCCCAAGAGGATACTCCTGCCTCCGTGCTCCCCTCACCCCAACTCTCCTTCCCTCTCCGTGGGGTTTTTCATCTTCCCCTGGATGCATGTGGGGTGGGGGGTCTCAAAGCCCAAGCCACTCCAGGGGATCTAGCAGGTTGGGGGCCTCTCTAAGTCACTCGGGCACTGTCCCAGGCCTGCCAGGCAGCAGGCATCAGTCCACGGTCACCTGCTGAGGAATAACATCCCAGACTAAACACAGATTGGAAAAACGCACAGGCCTTCTCTAAGGCCAGTTCCCAGGTTGTAGTTTTCCCAGCCACAGGTGGAAGACAAGTCCATTTGTAAACAAAAAAGGACCTGCGTGTACACTGGGGGAAGACAGGAAAAGGTCTCACTGCTCCTCCGCCACTGACCCGTTCTCATTACGCTCTCCCGCAAGGCCTGGAGCAAGTCCCTGGAACGCGTCATTACGCTCCGCAGCAGACATCCGGGCGAAGGCGCTGGCTGCACTAGGCAGGGCTGTGTCACCTGGGCCGGCTCCTCTGCCCGGTGGGGATTCAGGGCGTGGCCTCACACAGGCACTTAACCTGGTGCCCAGCACACAAGTGGGGCCCAAGTGCCAGGTGCAGATTTAGAGGCCAGTGCCACGTGGGATGTTTACTTACTAACGTGTCCACTCTTAAGTGAGCCATTTCGTCAGCAGAGGCGTGATGTGACAAGAACAGGGAGCTACTGAATGGCTTGGTCGTATCAACCATGACAAAAGCAGCTGCCACCCACGTGCCAGATTGTCTCCCAATCTCTCCACTGTGCAGGAGGGACGCCACAGCCCCGTCGCTGGTGTCAGCGAGGTGAAAAGGACCTTCTTATACCAGCCCCTCTCAGATCACCTGGCTCGCAGAAGCTGGGCCTGGCTTCTCTGCCACCGAAACAGAGTCAAGGCTCAGGGCAAGCTAAGATGGGATTCACCGTCTCTTCCAATCCTCACAGCAATCAATGAAGTCACTGCTCTCCTGCCTTCCTTAGGCATATGGGGAAACTGAGGCACAGTATTTACCTGTAAGCCTATTGTAGACCCAGCGCAACACAAACCATTTGGGGGGGCAAAGTGCCAATGCTTTGGGGAACGCTCCCCTCACTCGGGAAGAGGGGACACGTGCTCGGCGCTGGCTTCACTGTGCCCCAGAAAGCCGCAAGGGTCTCGCCCCGTACACCTCTGAGCAAGCCTGCCAGCAACCTACAAACTCTGTTCCCCGAAGGGGAAAACCAAGGCTCCTGAGCCAGTAAGGCCAACCCAAAGCCTCTCACTTTCCCCCAAGGGAATACCAGTGCTCAGGAGCACTTCTAAACGCTTCCTCTGTAACTGGCCAGGGTGACAAATGACACCAAGGGAAATGTGAGATTTAATGTTCAGTTCAGCCCATCAGGGATGGCACTGGCTCTGCTGCAGAAAATTGAAAATGGCTAAGGGAAAAAATATGTTCCTTGACTGAAAAGAACTTCGGGTTTTCCTGACAAGAGGCAATGAGCAAAAAGACCTATTGGGAAAATCAATGTTTGGGGTGCAGCCCATTCACCTGCCTTAGGAAACTCAGCAAGGGAGGGTACCCTCTTCTCTGGATTAATGGGGGTCACTAAGGAACTGGGATGAGGTGGGGACCTCTGTGCCTTTCATGTGACCATCAGGTTCCAAGCACACATTATTGCCGTCAGCATGCTGCCTGACTCCTTGGGACGGGTGACCTCCTTGACTAGGGACCCTGCTTGAATGCACTTAAAAGTCAATGTTACATGCAAGCTTAAAGCTCTGGGCCGGGACCACAGGCACTGACCCCGCAAACCGAGCGACCCCATCCTCTTCTCTTCCTGCAGGCAGAATGACCTCTGCTGGGGCGTCAGCGGCAGGGGGATGCCCCCGTTGTTGTACATGGTGCAGTAGCGGATCACCTCTTCCAAGGCCCCTTTCATGAAGTAAATGTCTTCCTGATCCTTAGAAAAGACAAAGGGAAGAAATCCACTATCACTGGAAGCCTTGGTTCATACTGACCATCACCCCACTCTGCACAAGGTTACAAAGACACACACGGGGATCTTTGCAGCGGAGTTATTTATCATAGGCTGGTGCTGTTCACAGGTGCTGGACAGGTTCGCGAAGTTCTAGAATCCATCCATGGAACGTTTTGCAGTCCAGAGAAAGAACAAGGCCAATCTTCAACCTGTACTACCCTTGTTCTTTTTTCAGTTCCCTTGTTATGGTCACTCAGAGCGTCTTGTATGTTTCATGCACGGGAGGTATCATCCCAGCTGGGACTGTGCCTTTGGGGGTGTGATTAACTGGGAATATTTCCATTAGACTGTTGCCTCCCTAGGGCAGCACCAAGTCTATTTTGTACCCACCCCCAGCACTTGGCTTGTAATAGTGAAGCCACATGAGTAGCTGATCATTTTTCCTGTGTTTTTCTTAAGCTCTGTCATGACAAACATGTAGACTATGAACTCCACGGGGGGAGGCCCTGGGTCAGTGAGAGTCACACTGTACCCCTAGCCTCAATACCGGACATACCTGGCTCACGTGGGTGCACAGTGTGAATGTAACACTGTTATAAGATAATATAATATTAATTATATATGTTATTAATATGTAATTAACATATTAATGTTATTAATAAATATAATATTAATTACAGATGTTAATACATTAATTATAGTACATATGTATTGTATATTATTTATATGTATTATATTACATTATATTATTTATATGTATATTATATATTATATATAACTAATATATTCTTATACAATTATAATATATATTACATAATATATATTAAATAATATATGTAATATATGTAATATATATTACATATTATATAATTAATATGTTAATATAACAAGCTTATATTAACCAACACAGACATCTAAGACATAATATTAAAAGAAAATCTTAGGGGGAAAAAGCAAATTACACACACTATAAATAGTGACCTTGTTTTGAAAATACCATCCAGATGTTGTCGTTTGCATATTTAAAATCTGCAATGCTCCATCCCAGACTTAAAATAGAATTACCTCTGGGTGGGTGGTGGGGAGGGAGGGAAGAAGGGTGGAATGAAAGAAGCTTTCATTTTTATGTCATATTTCTATACTTTTTCAATGAGAATATATTACCATTGCCTTGCAAGGGAAAAGATTTAAAGGTCTAAAAGTTTTTTGAAAATCTATAATCCCTTCTAAGCCCCTGAAATGTACATGTGTCCATCCATGCACAGGAAGGGCCTGGCATGAGCTGGCTGAGCTGCCCACAGCCCTGAGTGGGAGCTGAGCAGTCTGCGTGGGCAGACATGATAGATTCTAGAAAGAGTGGGAGGGAAGAGGAGGGGTGGAGAAAACGGTAGAAGGCAACAAAAACTTTAAAAAATAGCTTTTAAGGAAAATCTGAAAAGCCACAACAAATCTGAAAAGAAAATTTTAAAAATCAGCTGTAATGTCCACCCGGGGTGGCCATAGCTTGGTATGTGTTCCTCTAGCCAGGGACAACACGTGTGCACACGCTGATGCACCACACAGACACGCCTTCCGTACTGAAGGATTTGCTCCCCAGTATGACGGGGAGATGAGCTAAGAAGTATAAAAAACTTAGCACAGGGCTGCAAAGAGAGGACTGGCAAGTTGGCGACTGGTGTTAGCAGCAGGGCCTCAGTCACTGGATTACAGGCTGGTCGATCTCAACATTTGCACCTGCATCAGAATCTGCAGAAAATGAAGGTTACTGGGTCCCACCCCTGGACCCTTCGACTCAGGAGGTCTGGCATGGAACCTGAGATTCTGCATTTCTAATAAAGTCTCGCGTGGTAACAACCGCTGCTACTCCAGGGACCCTGCTTTAAGAACTTCTGTTTTAAACAAAAAGCCAGAAGCAGACCCAAGAGAATCAAAGGTATGATGGTGATTAAGTTTTTCCATGTATTTGGAACGTCACAGAAGCAGCCAGGAACTTTCAAATTATCCTTGAAGTCTGCATTTTGCTTTATCTCTGGGTGGGGGCCCGGGCAGAAAGAGAGAAGAGGTTGAAGATTGAAAGGTCTCACCTCAGTCTTCAGACTGCATTTCACCGCCATCCACTTCTGCTCTGAACTGAATGGAATCTCTTTTTTTCTTATATATGAATTTTTAATATCACTTAAGTCCATCTAGCATAATAAAATGACACATTTTTAGTGAGTCATCCGAAGCCAATCTCTATACAAAGCTCAGTCCATTTAAATTATTCATTGTTCAAACCACCTCTGGCAGATAAGAAATCCAAGCATTTAGCACATAGAAAAAAGGCCATTTCTCTTGGAATGTCCCACCTAGAAAAAAAAAAAAAAGTCTCTTCTCTTGGCTGAAGGGCAGACAAGACGGTCTTTGCAACAGCTTCTATCTGAAATCTGCTTAGAAACAAACCTGCAGTGTTTCTGCCGGGAGGAATGTTTCAGACTTGAAGGTGTAGCAATTTCTCAGACGGAACCCCCTGAGTCAGTGAGACAGCCCTGCGTCCAGAACATGGGGTCCTTGCCAGCCCCCCGTCCACAGCCTGGGGTCCTTGCCAGCCTGGCCCTTTGTTGCTCTTTGGTGGCTTTTGGATCAGTGATGTGACAACTCAGAATCTCAGTTTCCCCAGGTGTAAACCAGTCATGACCCATGCATCCCACTGTCCCACAGGGGGTGAAAATGCGGTGCAGCAGGGGCACAAAAAACTACTCCTTTTACGTAGAAAGTGCAGATATGCGTACAATACAGTGTATCTACCATATTAAATTTCATGGGGAGGGAGTGGGGTGATTAGGGAAGAAATGCCTAAACCATCTCCTTAGTGGGGTTGAATTGTACCCCACAAAAGATATGTTGAAGTCCTAACCTCGGAACCTCTGAATGTGACCTGATTTGGAATAGCGCCTTTGCAGATATCGTCAATTTGAGGCTATTAGGGTTGGCCCTAAGCCAACATGACTGGATATAAGAGGAGGAAGGCCGGGCATGGTGGCTCATGCCTGTAATCCCAGGACTTTGGGCAGCCGAGGCGGGTGGATCACGGGGTGAGGAGATCAAGACCATCCTGACTAACATGGTGAAACCCTGTCTCTACTAAAAATACAAAAAGTTAGCCAGGCGTGGTGGCAGGCGCCTGTAGTCCCAGCTACTTGGGAGGCTGAGGCAGGAGAATCGCTTGAACCTGGGAGGCGGAGGTTGCAGTGAGCGGAGATCAAGCCAGTGCACTCCAGCCTGGGCAACAGAGCGAGACTCCGTCTCAAAAAAAAAAAAAAAAGAGGAAAACGCTGCGCAGAGGCGTGGCGGGGAGCACCTCGTGACAGAGACAGAGCTTGGTGTGAGAGACCAAGGCAGGGATGCGTCTGCGAGTCAAGGAACGCCCGGGGCTGCCAGTAACACCCAGAAACTGGGAGACGGAGCCTGGCCCTGCTCACACCTTGATTTCAACTTCTGGCCACAGAGCTGTGTTTCAGTGTGTTTTGGTTACACTAAATCACCAGCCAGTGGTGTTTTATTTCAGTAACCCCAAGACCCTAATCCAGGAGCAATAATGGAAGAAAAGCCCGGGAACCACTGGCCTGGCCTCAGTGCCATTTAGAGCAGGTGAGACAGGTAAGAACCACAAAGTGCTTGCCCCATGCCTGTCACACAGGCAGCACTTCCTACATGCCAGCCAGTGTTTGTTCTGTATTCCAAAATCTTAAGCCAGGCCCCAGGAAAAAGGAAAATTATAACACATCAAGGAAATCTCTTCTGGGTGCTGGAACCTCTCTCCTCTCTAGGCTGCAGGGACGGCTGGTGGCGGAAGCAAGGTGACACATGGGTGTCATTCCTGCCAGGCGGTCAGGCCGGCACCTTCCCTTCTGGGCGGCGAGGAGTTGTTGAATGGGGCAGACTCAGCACTATTTTAAAACGGGAAATGAGCTCCATTCACTATTACAGACATTGCAGAGAGAATTCTCTTCTGTGAATGGAAGAAAAATAATACGATGTCATGATTTCTGTTTGTTTTTTTGAGACGGAGTCTTGCTCTGTCACCCAGGCTGGAGTGCAATGGTACGATCTCGGCTCACTGTAACCTCCGCCTCCTGGGTTCAAGCAATTCTCCTGCCTCAGCCTCCCGAGTAGCTGGGATTACAGGTGTGCACCACCATGCCCAGCTAATTTTTATATTTTTAGTAGAGATGAGGTTTCACCATGTTGGCCAGGCTGGTCTTGAACTCCTGACCTCAGGTGATCCACCTGCCTCGGTCTCCCAAAGTGTTGCGATTACAGGTGTGAGCCACTGTGCCCAATCTTTTTGTTTTTTTTTTTTTTTTTTTTTTGAGGCAGGATCTCTCTCATCTAGACTGGAGTGCAGTGGTGTGATCATAGCTCATTGCAGCCTCAGACTCCTGGGCTCAAGGGATCCTCCTGCCTCAGCCTCCTGAGTAGCTGGGACCACAGGCATGCACCACCATGCCCAGCTAATTTTTATATTTTTTGTAGAGATGGGTTTTCGCTATGTTGCCCAGGCTGGTCTCAAACTCTTGGCCTCAAATGATCCTCCCGCCTTAGCCTCTTAAAGTGCTGGGATTTGAGCCACTGCACTCAGCCTGTAATGACTTTCCAATGTTCTTACACTGGGGAAAAGCACCTGATCTACCAACACGGGGGCTTATGAGAGGGCGACCACCTCTCCCCCGCCCAGCACCAGCTTTGGGAAGGCAGTGGTGTGGGAGGTTGGAGTCTTGCACTGGAGGGAGGGACAGGTAAGCTGATAACAGAAGGCAGTGAAGTGAGCCCTGGTGCTCAGTGATGGGACAGGTAAGCTGAAAATACAAGGCAGTGAAGTGAGCCCGGGATGAGGAGAGGTGTCTGCTGGGGTGGAAACTGGAGTGAACTTGAAGAGAAAGTCGGCACTCGCCAGTGAGAACAGGCAGGAGTGGTCAAAGTCCAGGAGGAAGCAGGAAGGGAGGGTGAGTGCAGGGGCCAGGCTCGGCGGCAGCGAGGGGTCCGTGCTGGGGGATGAGCACCCTGAGTCGGGCTTTTCCCTTGACCTTGATGGAGAGGGTTCTGATCACACCCGAGTCAGAGACAAGTCACACAGCAGAAAGCACGGAGCGGGTCGGGGAAAGGAGCTCCCACAGTGTCCAGGGGAGCCCCAGCTCTGGCTGAAGAGGAGGGACCCAGGCCAAGTGGCCATGGAAACAGACGTGGGAGCTGACCGGGGCCACCTTCTTCCTTCCTTTGCTCCCTCCTCTTAACCTCTGCCGGCCCCTCCTTTCCCATGTCCTTTGTCCTCTCTTCTCCTTGCTTTCCTGTCACCTGCATTCCCAGCCCATGTTTTCTGCCTCTCCTTCTTCTAACTTGTCCTCTGAGCACAGAATGCAGCAGGCCCCCATCAGCTCCCACCCATCCCCTCCACACTGCAAGCAGCCACTTGGTACCTGGTGCTGGGTACAGAATGGCCTGGGGCAACCCTGCACAGCCACAGAGCTCAGGGTCTAACACTGAACCCCGGAGTCAATCGAATACATTCCCAGGAACCAGCCCCTCCCAGTGGTGCCTCGGTGAGCACAGGGTCGTGTTGGGTGCATAGGGAGTCTCGTTCCACTGTCTGTCGCCTCAACACCTGACCAGGGCCTGAACCACAGGGAAGCTCATAGGATTCTTTTGGAATCGCTGGTGGAGGGATTAGAGACCTGCAGAACTTGCTGAAGTCCCGTGGAATCTCAGAGCTCACCTCCTCCACCACCAACAGATGGCCCAAGGCCAGTGTGGGCCATTTTCTTCCATGATTACCTAACGTCCCCACTCCTGTTAGCTCAGACAGGAGCTGGCTTTCTACCAATGAATCCAGCCCCGAGCGAAAGAATTCCCCGCAGAGCCACCCCAGGACCTCCTACCTTCATCGCCAGGGCCATCAATGCACCCTCGGTGGGCTGCCCCATCACGGCGTTCTTTCTGATGACCGCATTGTTGGCAACACAGCCCGCCTAAAAGGGGATTGTCCGGACATCTGTAGTTAGTACTGGGCTCATGAAAAAGTTAGACATTGTGGGCCTGTCCCATTTTTACAGCTGGGGTTGTGGGGACAAGACTTGCTCTTTAAAACAACTCAGCGTCCCGGCTTTTTAAAAGAAACATCGTGACTATTTCTTGGCTGTGCTGAATGTTGGTTCCCATAAAGTTATCATGAGGGAACCCAGCAGGGAGGCAGGTGCACGGGTGGTGACGAGTGTGGGGTAACGGGGAGCGACCGATAATGGGGATGATGGCATTTCCACTTGGGGTGACAAAGTATTCTAGACAGTGGTGAAGTTTGCACAACTTGTGAACAAATTGAAACCACTGAATTGTGCACTTTAACGGGGTGAATTCATGGTAGATGACTTCTACCTCAATTTATACATAAATATTTAAAAAATGAAAAAGAGACAAGCAAAAAGAGTGGGATTCCCAGCGCTCTTCCTTCCCGGCCTGGTGAGCCTGGACACTCGCATTACTTCTCTGCCCATTTCTTTTCTTTTCTTTTTTATTATTACTAGTTTTGCATATTTTTGTTTCATTCATTCATTCATTCGAGATGGAGTCTCATTCTATTACCCAGGGTGGAGTGCAGTGGCATGACCTCAGCTCACTGCAACCTCTGCCTCCCTGGTTCAAGGCAATTCTCCTGTCTCAGGCTCCTGAGTAGCTGGGACTACAGGTGTGTGCCACCATGCCCAGCTAATTTTTATATTTTTTAGTAGAGATGGGGTTTCACCACGTGGGCCAGGCTGGTCTTGAACTCCTGAACTCAGGTGATCCACCCGCCTTGGCCTCCCAAAGTGCTGGGATTATAGGCATGAGCCACCACGCCTGGTCATATTTTTGATTTTTAATCTGCAAAACCAAGACAGCGTTTGCTGTGATAGTGAAGTGGCCCCTGGAGGCAGGTCCTTTGCAAGTGGCGCTCACTGAACTGTACAGAGGAAGAAGGGTGCCTGCTACATGGGGAGGAGGGAGCCCCTGTGAAAGGGTGAGTACAGCTCGGACCGCAGGACTCATCACAGCAACAGGGGAACATCATCACAGGCTCACTAATAACAATAGGGGAAATTCATCACAGGCTCACTTTTTACCATTCATCGGGCACGTCTCTGGGCAGGAGTCTCCTTAGAGCCTTCCCAGTGGGCAGTGATGAGTACAGAGGCTTCTAGCTCTTCTTTTTAAATAATTTTTTTAAAAAAAATAATAGAAACAGGGTCTCACTACGTTGCTCAGGCTGGTCTCGAACTCCTGGCCTCAAGTGATTCTCCTGCCTTGGCCTCCCAAAGTGCTGGGATAACGGGCATTAGCCACTGTGCCCAGCCTAGCTGTCGTCTTACTTCTGATGTCTCCATCACTTTTGAGGCCATTTTTTCAGTGCTGTGCCAGCCTCACCCCTGGATGGGCCAGTCATTGTCAAGAACCAGTAGGTTCAATGGCTGTTTCCCTTTTCAGAGAGGAGCCCCAGAAGCCTCAATGTAAATGCCTATTTCCCTCATGGCGCTTTTGACACCTACCTCCACTAACTTTCCCACTGAGACATTGGAAAATTCCTTAATGACTTCCTTGGATGGTAGAAGACACACAGTCCCTTGACCGTCATACCCAACTCCGCTGACCTGCAGGGCGAGGCAGAAGAAAGGGTTTCGCCAAGAGTCAAAAACATGCTCCCCCAGTTGGCCCACAATCTCTGTCCTGGGGATCCATTCCAGGGACACAATCCTAAACGTGGACAGGGCTTTCAGTATGAAGATGTTCTCTGAAAGATTATTGATTAATTGGATACGTCATGGATGGACACAGTACCAGGCATGAGTAAGTTGCAGCAAGTTGACTCAGTGGGATACTCTGCAGCCAGTACAAGTGATGGTTAAGAAAACTAAGAACTAGCATAGAAGAGTGCTTCTATTCCAAGAACAGCGCTGGGTAAACGTGTTAGCCTTTGCAGCCCATACCACCTTTGTCGTGGCTACTCAGCTCTGCCGTTGCGGCACACTGAGGCATGAAAGCAGCCATTGGCAATATGTACACAAATGGGTGTGGTGGTACACCAAGGAAACTTTATTTTCAAACAAGCACTGGCCCATGGACCATCACCTGTTCACCCCTTGGTTTGGCCAGTTTTGTAGAAAAAATATCAGGATAAAAAAATTGCACATTCAGAGAGCTTCCAATTACGCCAAGCACGCAGAGGACACTGAAAAACACGCAAGGACTTGGGAGGCTGAGGTGGGAGGATCCCTTGAGCCCAGAAGTTAGAGGCTGCAGTGAGCCATGATTGCACCACTGCACTGCAACCTGGGCGACACAGCAAGACCCTGGCTTAAAAAATAAAACAGGCTGGGCGTGGTGGCTCACGCCTGTAATCCCAGCACTCTGGGAGGCCAAGGCGGGCGGATCACCTGAGGTCAGGAGTTTGAGACCAGCCTGGCCAACATATAGTGATACCCCGTCTCTACTAGAAAATACAAAAATAAGCTCGGCGTATTAGGGCATGCCTGTAGTCCCAGCTACTTGGGAAGCTGAGGCAGGAGAGTCGCTTGAACCCGAGAAGTGAAGGTTACAGTGAGCAGAGATCAGCCACTGCATTCCAGCCTGGGTGACGGAGCAAGACTCTGTCTCTCACAAACAAACAAACAAACCACAAATGGACTAATCACGGTTAGTTTATCGTGGAAGGTATGGAAGATTTTTTCTAGCTTTTAAATTTTGCAATGTGCTTATAATTAATAAGTAACTAAAAAAGGAGGCTACCTTAAATTGGTCATATCTATTAAAAGGAAGTATGGGATGATTAAAAACAAAATCAGTCATGTTAGCAAGGAGATTATAAGATGACCCCAATTTATTTCTTCCTTATTGTGTTCTAGAAGACATTGTGTGCTTAGTTTAGAAAGGAGACAGCCTGGCTGGGTGCATCCTTAAGGCTTGTAAATTCCTTTGGCACTCACCTCGGCACGAAGCCCATCTGACGTTACAAGCTGGGTCACTGTCATTTCATTGGCAGTCAGAGTCCCCGTCTTGTCAGAACAGAGAACGCTGCAGCAACCTGGTACAACAAACACCAGTTTATAGAAGAGAAGTTGCCATCCTCAGGCTTGTGAAACCCCCAGGCTGGATTGCCCTGACAGCCAAGCCCCCATTCAATTCCACGTGTAAGGATTCCACCAGCTGGAGTCCCTCACCTAAAGTCTCCACGATGGGTAACTTCTTCACGATGACCCGCTTCTTGGCCATCCGCAGCACTCCCAGGACCAGCGTCACCATGACGACGATGGGCAGACCCTCTGGAATGGCCGCCACAGCCAGGCTGGATCGAAAGGTCAAATGAGTCCCCTCTAACACATTTAAGGAGTGTGTGACTCTCAGCTGGGGCTGGCAATGCTTTTGGCTGGTGAAGCTTGTCTTAGGTGTCCCCAGTGTCCTGGTTCTAGTCTCCATTCCCAATCCTAAGGTGCACCTGCCTCCTTCTGCAGCACCCACTGTCCTGAGCCCTCCCCTGCAGACCCCGCTCTTGGGAAGGGACCTCTCCTGTCAGTCATCCACACCTTAATGTGAATTAGTCTGTCAGCTGTTTTGCCTCTTTAAAAGTATTTTGCATTGACATTATTCTCATTTATTAGAGAGAAAAGGCTTTGGGTTCCATAAAAGGAATTCCCAAAATCAGACAGTAAGTGGGATTAAGAGTTTTTGGTTCCAGGGGTCCTCGTGAGTCCCTTGAATTTCACTTTTCATGAGTGTAGTGGTGTAGACACTTCCTATGAGGAAGCCAGACAAGGAAGTCCAGGTCAGGGCAGGTGAAGGGCCACAGCGACACACTTGCCTGCTGCGTGGATCTGTTTCGGGGTGTCTGCTCACTTCTTTCTTACCCCTCCAACTCTCCCTGTACGGTGCGACCCCACTCTCTCATAACCAGGGTTGGCTGGATTCGAGGAGAGCGTGTGACCCAAGCTGAGCTGGTGAGATGCTCTCTTGGAAATGAGACTGGGGCTGCAGCACATGATACCCCTTCTCTGGGTGTGTCAACAGGTGAGAGCATGTGTAGAGGGGGCTCTTTCTATCCCTTTTGGCTGAGACTCCACAACATCGGGGCTGACTGGCCCCACATTCCACACTCCTGAAGTGGTGGAAAGGTATGATGCCTGGTGCCTGGTGTCCAGTTTGACATAGCCAGGGGTGGGCTGTAGAAAGGGCAAGAGTGTTTGCAAGTGGGCCACTGCTGAAGCTGGGTAGTGGCTACACAGGTGTTCACTTTATCATCCTCTCTGCTTTTGTACAGGCTTGAAATTTTCCTTTAAAAAATGTAAAAACAAACATGAAGAAACTATGACAACCCAAATGTCCATCAGTGAACAAATGGATGAGCCAAATGTGGTCTATCTATACAGCAGAATACACTTTAGCCAAAGAAAGGAACAAGGCACTGGCACATGCCACCATGTGGATGAGCCTGGAAAACATGCTGCTGAGTGGAAGAAGCCAGACATAGAAGGCCACTCAGAGCACGAGTCCATTCATAAGGGATGTTCAGAATGGGGAAATCTACACAAGAAAGAAAGATGAGCGATTGCTTAGGGCTGGGATGTGGGCATAGGTGGGAATGTAGAGTGATAGCTAAAGGGCACAGGGTTTCTTTTTGAGGCGATAAGAAAATGTTCTAGGCAGGGGGTGGTGGCTCACGCCTGTAATCCCAGCACTTTGGGAGGCCCAGGTGGGCAGATCACCTGAGGTCAGGAGTTTGAGACCAACCTGGACAACGTGGTGAAACCCCATCTCTACTAAAAATACAAAAATTAGCCAGGTGTGGTGGCATGCACCTGTAATCCCAGGTACTCAGGAGGCTGAGGCAGGAGAATTGCTTGAACCTGAGAGGCGGAGGTTGCAGTGAACCGAGACTGCGCCACTGCGCTCCAGCCTGGTGACAGAGTGAGACTCCATCTCAAAAGAAAAAAGAAAATGTTCTAAGGCCAGGCACAGTAGCTCACACCTATAATACCAGCACTTTGGGAGGATCACACTGGCAGATCATTTGAGCTCAAGAGTTCAAGACTAGCCTGGGCAACATTTTTTTATTTCTACAAAAAAAAAAATTATATATACATATGTATATATAAATTAGCTGGGTGTGGCAGTGTGCACCTATAATCCCAGCTACTGAGGAGGCTGAGGTAGGAGGATCACTTGAGCCTGGGAGGTCAAGGCTGAGGCTGCAGTGGGCCATGATCATGTCACTGTGCTACAGCCTATGTAGCAGAGTGAGACCCTGTCTCAAATAAAATAAAATATTCTAAAATGGACTGTGGTGACGGCTGTGTATATCTCTGAATACACTAAAAACCATTAAATTGTATGCTTTAAATGGATGAATTATATATGTGAATTATATCTCAATAAAGCTGTTTAAGAAAGAAAAAGGCCGGGTGTGGCGGCTCATGCCTGTAATCCCAGCACTTTGGGAGGCTGAGGCGCCTCGATCACCTGAGGTCGGGAGTTCGACACCAGCCTGGCCAACATGGAGAAACCCCGTCTCTCCTAAAAATACAAAATTAGCCAGGCGTGGTGGCGCATGCCTGTAATCCCAGCTACTCGGGAGGCTGAGGCAGGAGAATCGCTTGAACCTGGGAGGTGGAGGTTGTGGTGAGCTGAGATGGTGCCATTGCACTCCAGCCTGGGCAACAAGAGTGAAAGTCTGTCTCAAAAAAAAAAAAAAAACAGCCTTCGCTGGCGATGGGGAGGGGGAGGAGAGATTTTGAGCAGGTGAGGGAGGTTGGCCGGATCCTCCCCACCAAACCTCCACCCGAGGCCAGGCTGAGGAGGGGGGAAGATGTGACTTCAGTGGAGCTCCAAGTGCTGTCACCGCATGGATCCACTCTGTACAATTTCTAGAAAGAGACTATTTAGGGGACTAGAAGTGATGAGGAGTTTCTGTTATCTGAGATACCAGAAACATCCTGGGAGAAGGGGGCCACTGTCTCTCACCACACCTGCAACCCACCCACAGCCACTGCCAGGGACCCTGCAGAAGCCCCTCGAGACACGCCCGGTCCAGGCCCTGGGGCCAGGCTGCCCAGGAAATACGTGAAATCGGCCAGGGCGAGCAAGCCCACGTGGCGATCCCAGAGCCCAGGCCCTCCTCTAAACAAAGAGCCACCACCAAGTCACCAGGGACCACAGCAATGCACAGTGCTGCCGGGCCTCCCATGCTCCCAAGAGAAGCTGGAAATCCAGTATCTTTTTCATGCAAACTCCCAATTTTTAAACGTTGGCAACAAATTCCAATGAAAAAGATACAGTTCAAACAAAACACATTTTCTGGCTATATCACACAAGGGTGGCTGGGTTTGTTTGAGATGGAGTCTCACTCTGTCACCCAGGCTGGAGTGCAGTGGTGCAGTCTCAGCTCACTGCAACATCCACCCCCCAGCTTCATGCAATTCTCCTGCCTCAGCCTCCCGCGTAGCTGGAATTACAGGCATGTGCCACCACACCTGGCTAATTTTTGAATTTTTAGTAGAGATGAGGTTTCACCATGTTGGCCAGGCTGGTCTTGAACTCCTGGCCTCAAGTGATCCACCTGCCTCGGCCTCCCAAAGTGGTGGGATCACAGGCGTGATCCTCTGTGCCTTGCCTGTTTTTTATTTTTTTTTTTGAGGCAGGTTCTTGCTCTGTCGCCCAGGCTGGAGTGCAGTGTCACCATCAAGGCTCACCGCAGCCTTGACCTCCTGGACTCAAGCAATCCTCCAGCCTCTGCCTCCCTGGTAGCCGGGACATAGGCATGCACCACTATTTACTCCCTAATTTAAAAAAGGATTTGTAGAGACAAGGTCTCACTCTGTTACCCAGGCTGGTCTTGAACTTCTGGGCTCAAGTGATCCTCCCTCCTCAGCATTCCCAAGTGCTGGGATTACAGGCATGAGCCTCCAAGCTTGGCCAGGTGGCTGTTTTTATCCTCTGCATTAGAAAATCCAGCAAAGCAAGGAGGTATACAGTAAATATTTGCTGCATGAAGAAGGGGGTATAACAATGCTTAGGCCTGCGCTGGCCTAGCACACAGTGAGCACTCCACCTGGGTTGGCTGAACACCTGGTGAGAATCCATTCAACCAGGATCACACAGAGAGACCACATTTCATCAGAGCTAAGACAGTTGATTGTGAAGGGCACCATTATTTTGGGCAGAGCTCAGAAAAGAATAAACACTGCCAATTAATCAGTAACACCATGTTTTCTAATTACATCACTTATTAGAAGTGATCTGATTTCAGAGGAGTTGAAATGTGAAAAAGAATGTACATCTCACAATCAAAGAAATATGGTACATTAAATGTTGGCAACAAATTCCAATTACAAAACAGGCAGTTTGAATAGAATGGTTGTGAATGGTGACCTTTCACCCAGGGACAATACAACAGGCATGGACAAGTTATATAAACCAAGATTACAGAATCTGATCAAGGGGCTGTGCCCGGTTTCTACAGTGACAGCCAGAAGGCTTCGTTGGTTTTATGGCACAGGCTGTGAAGACCAGCTAAGCAAACATTTGTGGAGGGTTACGACGGGGACTTTCATCCCATATGGCAGGGGAAGGGCATCTTTGTATTACTTGGATGAATTCATAATAATAAAGAATTAATCCACAGACTAATAAAGATTAGAATGGGCCGGGTGTGGTGGCTCACACCTGCATTCCCAGCACTTTGAAACGCAGAAACGGATGGAACACTTGAGGTCAGGGGTTTGAGACTAGCCTGGCCAACGTGTTGAAACCCCGTCTCTACCAAAATACAAAAATTAGCCGGGTGTGGTAGCGAGCACCTGTAGTCCCAGCTACTTGGGGAGGCTGAGGCAGGAGAATCACTTGAACCCAGGAGGCGGAGCTTGCAGTGAGCCGAGATCACATCACTGCACTCCAGCCTGGGTGACAGAGAGAGACTCCATCTCAAAAAAACAAAAGCAAAACAAAAATTGATTAGAATGGACCAGGAAAAGCAAGTGCCTTGTATCATCTTGAATGTCACTTAACATATAGGGAATTTTTTTGTTTGTTTGTTTTTTGTTTTTTGAGATGGAGTCTTGCTCTGTCACCAGGCTGGAGTGCAGCGGTGCAATCTCGGCTCACCGCAACCTCCGCCTCCAGGGTTCAAGTGATTCTCCTCCCTCAGCCTCCCGAGTAGCTGGGACTACAGGCGCCCACCACCACACCTGGCTAATTTTTGTATTTTTAGTAGAGACGGGGTTTCACAATGTGGGCCGGGATGATCTCTATCTCTTGACCTCATGATCCACGCGCCTCGGCCTCCCAAAGTGCTGGGGTTACAGGCATGAGCCACCGTGCCCGACCCAGGAATTCGTTTTAAAAAAGTTCTTAAAGTTTTAAAAAAATGATTCTCTCATTTTACTTATTTTGGAAAATCTCCGCTGGCTAAGCTGCCATCTCCACCTTCTGACTCAGTGGCTTTCAGCGGCTTTAATCTGGCACTAAAACTGAAAAACCTCGCCCTTTCAAAATGACAAATGAGAGGGGGAAAGTGTCTCCCACGTGCAAGTCCACTCGCATGGATCAAGCGGGATGCCCGTGCTGCAAGGGAGGTTAGGACAAGAAACCGGAAGTGACCATAGCACTGGGTGGGGAGAGAATTGGGGTATTTGGGGCTTGAGCACAGAAGCCTTTTTTGCTTTTTCTTCTGGAAATATTTAATCGTCTTTCTTGCCTCATGAAGCTTCTCATGGCTTATAAGACAGGGATTGGATGCACCATTATTGGCAGGAGGGTGTGTGTGTGTGTGTGTGTGTTTTGTTGTTGTTGTTTGTTTTGTTTTGTTTTTGAGACGGAGTCTTGCTCTGTTCCCTAGGCTGGAGTGCAGTGGTGCGATCTCGGCTCGCCACAACCTCCACCTCCCGGGTTCAAGAGATTCTCCTGCCTCAGCCCCTGAGTAGCTGGGACTACAGGCATACGCCACCATGCCCGGCTAATTTTTGTATTTTTAGTAGAGACGAGGTTTCACTGTTTTGGCCAGGCTGGTCTCAAACTCCTGAACTCATGATCTGCAGGAGATTTTTTTGGTTTTTTGGTTTTCTTTTGTTTTTGTTTTTTAAGATAGGGTCTTGCTGTGTTGCCCAGGTTGGAGTGCAGTGGCAAGATCATGGCTCACTGAAACCTTGACTTCCCAGGCTCAAGCAATCCTCCCGCCTCAGCCTCCCAAGTAGCTGGGGCTACAAGCGTGCACCACCATACCTGGCTAATAACAAAACATTTGTTTTTGTACAGACAGTCTCACTATGTTGTCTAGGCTGGTCTCAAACTCCTGGGCTCAAGGGATCCTCTTGCCTCAGCCTCCCAAAGTGCTAGGATTACAGGTGTGAGCCACTGTGCCCAGCCTACTTGGGGAAGATTTTAAGCATTCTGTCTTCTGAGAGTCCTGTGTTCTCTGGCAGCCTCCTTGAGGCTCAAATGTCTCCCTCCCTGCCGCCACCCCTGCCTCCAAAGGCTCAGTCACCTGAGAATGCTGTTCGGGTGTCTTGGCCTCTTTCCTGGTCCTGTTCTTGCTGGAGCCCGCTCTCAGGGGACAGTGTCGAATCACAGCCTCACGCTCAGAGGGTGCTCCCTGGACCACCTGTGTTAGCACCCTTGAGAGCTTGTTAGAAATATGAGTCTCAGCCAGGCGCAGTGGCTCACACCTGTAATCCCAGCACTTTGGAAGGCAGAGGCAGGCAGATCACCTGAGGTCAGGAGTTCGAGATGAGCCTGGCCAACATAGTGAAACCCCATCTCTATTAAAAATACAAAAATTAGCTGGGTGTGGTGGCAGGCACCTGTAATCTCAGCTACTTGGGAGGCTGAGGCAGGAGAATAGTTTGAACCCAGGAGATGGAGGTGGCAGTGGGCCAAGATCACGCCACTGCACTCCAGCCTGGACAGAGCAAGACTCCATCTCAAAAACAAGCAAGCAAACACGGCATGTTCTCACTCCTAAGTGGGAGTTGAACAATGAGAATACATGGACACAGGGAGGGGGACATCCACACCCAGGCCTGTCGGGGGGTTCGGGGGAGAGCATTAGGCCAAATGCCTAATGCATGTGGGGCTTAAAACCTAGATGACGGGTTGGTAGGTGCAGCAAACCACCATGGCACGTGTATACCTATGTAACAAACCTGCACATTCTGCACATGTATCCTAGAACTTAAAGAAAAATTTAAAAATAAAAAAGCAAACAAAAGAAATGTGAGTCTCAACACATTGGGTACAGTGTACACTGCTCAGGTGATGGGTGCATGAAAATCTCAGAAATCACCACTAAATAGCTTATTCACGTAACGAAACACCACCTGTTCCCGAAAAGCCTACTGAAATAATAAAAAGAAAGAAAGAAATGTGAGTCTCGGGCCCCACCCAGCCCCGAGTTGGGGGAGCGGCCATCCAGGTTTGCCATCTCTCTCAGGGACCCTCCCGTTCTTCAGCTCGGCGGGAGACCTCAGCTCTCCAGTGCCTGCCTCTGCAGGTGCTCTTCCAATGCCCCAAACCCCACTGTCCCCAGCACAGCTCGGCGTCCTGCTCCAGTGCCCCCTTCCTCCCAGCCCCCGCTTCTGTAATAAGCTGGGGCTCCCACCTCCCACTTCCTTCGGCCTCTAAATCAAGGGTGGCCAACACTTTTCATCTCTCTGCTTCCAAAGTGTCACAGAGACAGCCTGGCGTGGCGTATTGGGAAAGGCTCTGATGATGAGGTTAGGAATAGGAGAAGGGGCCATGAGTTTCCCCATGATCTAAGCAACTCCATCATCTCATTCTGCTCACAGAGCTCAGCTGTGGTCCCCCCCAAGTGACCCTCGGATATGTTCCCACCCCCAAACCTTTGCCTGTGCTGTTCCCCCTGCCTGAACACCCTTCCTGCTCATCTCCTGACTCCTCAACTCTCTACCCATAACCCTCCCTGGCCACCTCTTCCAGTCCATCCCCTTCTACCTCCCTTTTTTTCGTCTTGAGACAGAGTTTTGCTCTGTTGCCCAGGTTGGGGTGCAGTGGTGAGATGTCGGCTCACTGCAACCTCTGCCTCCCAAGTTCAAGCGATTCTCCTGCCTCAGCCTCCCTGAGTAGCTGGGATTACAGGTACACACCACCATGCCCGGCTAATTTTGTATTTTTGGTAGAGATGCAACACCACATTGGCCAGGCTGTTCTTGAACTCCTGATCTCAAGTGATCTGCCCACCTCAGAGTCCCAAAGTGCTGTGATTACAGGTGTGAGCCACCATGCCCAGCTGGTTTCTACCTCCCTTTTAATCTCTTTCTCGGCAGTTATTCCTTTGTAGCACTCATAAGTTGTAATTATTTTTATTAATGTGTGCTTAAATTGTTAACATTCACTTTTTTCCCCAGCCAGAAAACTCCAGGAGGGCAGAGATCTACCTGATCCAGCTGGATCAGCACTTTTGATGTAAACAGAGAGTCAACAGATGCCCAATACATATTCATGGGGCAAACAAACTCGAGCCCATTGCCAATGGCCGCCAAGGATAGGGAGTGAGGGGCAGTGGCTGGCAGCAGAGTCCCCATCCTGCTGAGGTGGGGGGGTTGGGTTGCTGACAAGGAGCCCGGCTTTGGATCAGGCTTCAGTGGTTTGAAGTCTGTCTCTTCCATGCCCTGATCCCATAAGTTGTGCTAGTGTAAGCCTGTTTCCCAATCTGTAAAAAGGAGGCCAGACTTACCCCATGGGCTGTGTAAGGGTGAACTGGGATCACATGTTCTACTCCTGCTCCTTCTCCAGCACCAAAAGACCCTGGTCCCTCCCTCTTCAATTCCTTGAAGATTCTAGAACTGACTTTTTTTTTTTTTTTTTTGAGATGGTGTCTCACTCTGCTGCCCAGGCTGGAGGGCAGTAGTGTGATCTCAGCTCACTACAACCTCTGCCTCCCGGGTTCAAGCAATTCTCTTGCCTCTGCCCCCCAGTAGCTGGGATTATAGGCACGTGCCACCACGCCTAGCTGATTTTTGTATTTTTAGTACAGATGGGGTTTCACCATGTTGGCCAACCTGGTCTTAAACTCCTAACCTCAAGTGATCCGTCTGCCTCAGTGTCCAAAAGTGCTGGGATTACAGACGTGAGCCACCGCACCCGGCCCAGAACTGACTTTACTCTGTCCACCTGCAGGCTGCTCTTGGCAACTTTGCCGTTCGCGTAGACGGGTCTTCCCAGCCCTGGCTCAGGCCTCCTTGTCCTCATCTCCTTCAACGAGCTTGTTGTCCATCCACCCCCTTCTCCCGGCAGCCCAGTGCCTGCTGCTAAGGGGTTGAATTGTGTCCCTCCAATAAAATATGTTCACATCCTAACTCCTGGTACACGTGAATGTGACCTTATGTGCAAACAGGGCCTTTGCAGACATCATCAAATAAAAATGGGGTCATTAGAGTATCCACCCTAGTCCAATACAACTGGCGTCCTTATAAAAAGAAGAGAAGAGACGCAGAGACAGAGGAGGAGACCATGTGACAGACAGAGACTAGAGGCAAGATATCTATGTGCTCAGGACTGCCTGTGACACCAGAAGCTGAGAAGCATTTGGCTGATTCTCCCCCTAGGGTCTTCAAGAACAGCATGCTCCTGCCACACCTGGACCTCGGACTTCTGGCCTCTAGAATGGTGAGAATAAGCTTCTGTTTCCAGCCCTGCAGCCTGTGGTGCTTTGTTTTGACAGCCACAGGAATATGCACACCCAGTCTCCTCCAAGGCCTCATCACATCAGCCACAGCTCCTCCAGATCTCAGCTTCACGCTCCCTCTCCCACCTGCCTCTGCCTCTCTTCCCAGCTCTCTTCCTCTAGCCCTTGATTCCCATCGATTCTCCATCCCCACTGAGACCTACAATCTTTGAAGGTGGGAACCATGACTGTCTTGTTCACAACCTCCCCCAATCCCAACACTACATGAACATGAAAGGGATTCAATGAAAGTGATACGAACAGATCACGCAGTCACGTGCTATACACAGTAACACCGAAGGATAAATGCTCCTCAAAAGCTCCACGAAGGCTGGAAGCACTGGCTCACACCTGTAATCCCAGCACTTTGGGAGGCTGAGGCAGGTGGATCACCTGAGGTCAGGAGTTCAAGACCAGCCTAGCCAACATGGTGAAATCCCATCTCTACTTAAAATTTAAAAAATTAGCTGGGTGTGGTGGTGCGCCCCTATAATCCCAGCTACTTGGGAGGCTGAGGCAGGAGAATTGCATGAACCTGGGAGATGGAGATTGCAGTGAGCCAAGATCGTGCCATTGCACTCCAGCCTGGGCGACAAGAGTGAAACTCTGTCTGAAAACAAACAAACAAACAAACAAAAAAAACAACGCCATGAAGATCGTTCTGTTCAGGATATTAAGCCAGAAAGCCCCAATTCACTAGAGATCAAGACCATCCTACATTCAATAGACCCCCTTGGGTTTCATTATCCAGAGCCTAAGATGCCCTTTCGCAGGGCCATTAGTAAAACAAACCGAGAACCTGGGCATATATTCAGGGAAAAAGGGCTGCAACCCAGCAAAGACACCTGTACAGCACCACTGCATCATTTTCATGGTTCCAAACAGGTCTAGGGGGAAAGTCCAACCCCTGGCATACATCTCCGCTCATTTATAGGTTGTTTAAAGCTAAAACCTAAAGACTATTATCTATGAGTACAGCTTTTTTTCTTGTTCTTCTTTTCCTATTGAAAACTATCATTTAAGGGTATTCTGATGTGGTTTGAATGTCTTGTGTGTCTCATTACAGGATTTTTTTTTCTTTAAGGGAAGAGATGAACTTATTATGACTTAGAATTTATCTGGGATGGGGTTTTCCAAGTGTCTGTCATTTGTATTTTGCTTTTAGGATTTTTATCACATCTGTGTGCCCACATCATCACATAATATTCCAGCTCCTCTTTTCCATGTTTTTTTTGTGTGCTCTCAGCATTTGGTGTTACTAAGATTTTGTTTGTTAAATACACTGAGTGACAAAGTATCCAAAGCCAGACACAGTATTTCCAATTCCCATTAACTCAAAAAACAGTTATTGAATGCTTTTGTCATAGGACACACAGCTGCCCACATGTTGATTTTACCACCTGCCCCTCAATTAATGCACACCATGCAGTGTCGTTGAAAAAATAAGGCATTTGGAATCTCTTCTACTACTAATTACCAGATAATCGTGTACATTCATGTATACACAGGCAAGCCTGACTATGCACCAGAGCCATGTACACCTGATACTAGGTACCTGATACCATGTACCAGACCCAGTACACTCAACCCTTAAAGCAAGATTCTCTTGCCCACACTGGCCAGCAGGACAAACCTCTGTGTCCCAGCACACACTGGGATGCCTCAATCCACCAGGAGTTTGTCTGCTGTAATTCACTGTAATGATCATTACAGCACACATTTGCAATAATGGTTTACTCTTCATATATAAATTAGAAAGGCTCCGAGGACCCTCTCAATAACAGCATTCTTAGTTGCCTGTTCTATACCTTTCTGGTTTCTCTATTGATATATAATTTGTATATAATAAAATTCACTCCTTTAACATATATAATTGAATGGTGGTTAGTGTATGCAGAGTCGTGCACCTATCCGCACAATCAATTTTGGAACATTTTCTTCACCCCCGAAGGAAACCCCATAACTGTTAGGAGTCACTACACACTCCCCAACCCCAGGCCCTGGCAAACACTAACCTACTTTCTGTTTCTATGAAGTGACCTATGTTTTGGTTTGTTTCTTTTTTCAGACAGTCTCTTGCTCTGTCACCCAGGCTGGAGGGCAGTGGCGCAATCTCGGCTCACTGCAAACTCCACCTCCCGGGCTCAAGCGATTCTTCTGCCTCAGCCTCCCGAGTAGCTGGGATTTTAGGTGCCTGCCACCACACCCAGTTAATTTTTGTATTTTTAGTAGAGACAGGGTTTCACCATGTTGGCCAGACTGGTCTAGAACTCCTGACCTTAGGTGATCGTCTGCCTTGGCCTCCCAAAGCGCTAGGATTACAGGTATGAGCCACCGCGCCTGGCCGAGTGACCTATTTTTGAATATTTTATATAAATAAAATCATATAACATGTGCAACTGGCTTCTTTCACCTAGGAAAATGGCTTCAACATTAATCCATGTTGCAGTATGAATCAGTACTTCATTCCTTTCTGTGGCTGAAAAATATTCCACTGTACCTAAGTTGTTTATTCTTTAATGAGCTGATGGACATCTAAGTTTGTTTACATCATGGGTTTGATGTATTAATTACATATATATACATATGAACAGACACTAGAATGATTTTCCACACATCACCTAAAAACACGTTGCAGACAGCAGCTGCGTGTGCGTTACTGTCTGGGAACCAATGGGCCTGACATGAGCCTAGACATGGGTTGGTTCCTCCGTGTCCTGGCACAGCCCCTAGGCTCCCTTCCAATGGGACATACCCAGTTAGTGACAATCCCCGGCCTCTGCTTCCCTTGCTCTTGGCAAATAGCCACAGAAGAACTACTGACAAAGTCAAACCGCTGCACGATGCTGGGCTGCCCGTGCCTCTCCCTGTCTCGGCCACCAGGACCCAGGGGCTTGGGATGACTTATGAATCACTACGTAGAAGAAGGGCGGGTCCCCTCGGCTTAGCATCATCAAGTGATGATGACTCCCAGCCCTGCTGTCCGCGTGTGGCCTTGGGCTCTACATCCATTGCCGCTCTGATAGCCTCCTCTGTAAGACAAGGGCTTGGATAGAGTTGTAAACCAGTATTAAGAGCCAACACTCACTCTGCACTGTGTATCATGTGGGTGCTTGCACAGACTAACTCCTTTAATCCAGACAGTCGCCCTAGGAGAGGGTATATGAGCATTCCCATTTTTCAGAGGAGGAAACTGGGGCACAGAGAGCTAAGAAACTTGCTGGAGGTCACAGAACCTCCAGTTTTGTGGCAAGCGTAGAATTTAAACAGAGGCAGGCTGGCTCTGGGGTCCTTGCTCTTAGCCAGAAAGACCCAAACCCACAGGCAAAGAGTGACAAGAAAGCTGATACAGTTTGAATGTGTGTCCCAACTCAAACCTCAAGTTGAAACATAAGCCCCAGTGTTGGAGGTGGGAGGAGATTGGACGATGGGGTGGATCCCTCATGAATGGATTAGCGCCATCTCCTTCGAGCCGTTCTTGCTGGAGTGAGTTCCTGAGAGATCTAATTGTTTCAAAGCATGTGGCATCTCCCCTTCCTCCCTCTCCTGCCCCTGCTCTTGCCATGTGACATGCCTGCTCCCCCTTCCCCTTCCGCCTTGATTGGAAACTTCCTGGAGCCTCCCCAGAAGCTGAGCAGACACCATGCTTCCTGTACGGCCTGTAGAACCATAGGCCAATTAAACTATTTTCTTAATAAATTACCAAGCCTCAGGTATTTTTTTTTTTTTTAGCAATGCAAGAACAGCCTAATACAAAAGGGACACCCTGGATCATTTGCTGTCATTCATTTTGCAAGCATTCGCCGGGCACTCTGTACCTGTCGGAGAACATGCTATTGGGAGGCTGGAGTTTGGGTGACGGGGCTGCACCTTCCCAACCCTTCCTATTCTGCAGCCTCCCCACCTTCTCTTGCGGCAGGGAAGGGCTCAGAGCCCATTGACCACCCTGGCAAGGCAAGGGGCGGCCATAGCACTCTTACCTGACCCCGATCGTGAACATACTCAGGAGTTGTTTCCCTTGCGACCAGCCAATGAGCATGATGAGACCTGGGGAAGAGACAAAAACATCCTTATCTCCATATGCACTACACACGCTGATGCCTGGAGGGATTCAAACTCACTTCCTTAAAGAGTTTACAGGAATGCATGCACAGAGGAACGCCTGATAACCTCAACCACTTTCAACCCGTCTCTTCTCTTTTCTAAGGGAGATACGTTTATACCTACAAAAACCCGATTTTACTTTCTTAGGAAAGGTCCAAGCCAAATTTAAGTAAAAGGCTCAATCAGTCTATTTTGGACTGTTCGCAAGCATTTACATCTTATTCCCAAAGTTTACCGTCGGCTGCGTGTATCCAGAACATCCCCCCATGTGGTGTTTGTTGTGGCAAATGCAACTGCTCCTGTGATGGGCAGATAGGTCACTGTTTTTTCAAATTATTTTACTCTGTGGTACTCATGATTAAATATACTCCATTTCCATTTTCCTTCATTAATAATTTACCAAATACGTACTGCACACCAGTTACTGCACTAGGTGTACGAGACACGGAGGTGTGAGTAGGGACTGGGAAGGTGGGTGGTGTTGCCAGGTGACACCCTTGGAGAGCTTGCTAAAGAACGTTAGCTTTGCTTTGCAGGGGCCAGGGGGCCAGGGATGTTTTCTGATGGATGGTAGCGGGGTGTGTGTGTGTATGTATTGAGGGGGGCAGCTGCCACAGTATCTGTTAGTTTTGTTTTGGGCATTCTACTATTGGCTACTAAACTCAGTCATCAGCTGAAATCTTAGCTAGAACCCAAATGAACTCAAATGAAATAGATTAGCAAGGGGAGCTCTATTGGAAATAGGGGTGAGGCAGTGAGCCTAGAGCCACCCCCACTAGGTACTCACTCCACCCTTGTGGCATTCCCATAGTAGAAGGCTGGAGACTCCTCACAGGAGCTCACAAGAATCAACTAGGTACATCTCTTCCGAAATCCATGTTCTGTGTCTATACATTAGTAGCTTGAAAACGGCCACACTGAGAGTATTTGCACCATGGGAATTGGCAAATGCTACTTTCCTCTAGAAGCGCTGACCAGCATGGTGTTGCTTCCCTGCACCTGCCCCTTGGGCCTTCTAGGGGGTCCATGGGACTGAGTGTCAAAACTCTCCATCTGCTAGAGCAGTTCCCAAAATGTTAAAAAAAAAAAAAAAAAAAAAAAGCCCAGTGCGGTGGCTCATGCCTGTAATCCTAGCACTTTGGGAGGCCAAGGCGGGCAGATCACTTGAGACCAGGAGTTTGAGACCAGCCTGGCCAACATGACAAAACCCTGTCTCTACCAAAAATACAAAAATCAGCTGGGCGTGATGGTGCATGCCTGTAATCCCAGAGATTCAGGAGGCTGAGGCAGGAGAATTGGTTAACCCAGGAGGCAGAGGGTGCAGTGAGCTGAGATCACGCCACTGCTCTCCAGTCTGGGCAACAGAGTGAGACTCCATTCCTGCCCCCTCAAAAAAAATGTCTGAATGATATCATGGGTCTTGCTGTGGACATGTCAATTTAAGTTCTAATTTAACTTAAGAAACATGGGCTTACATAAGCTGTTTCTCTCAAGACTGTTCTCTGGCTTCGCAGTTTTGGCTACACTCACCAGCACCCCCCTCATCACTAGATGTGCTATAGGCAGTGGCTTGTTGGTTTATTCCTTGATTAAATGTTTTACTCAACAAATATTTACTGAGAATCTATTAGGGGCCAGGCATGGGTTGATCCTAAAGGCTGGAATAAAGGACACAGAAGTAAGGCCAGATATGGAAAGAACAGGAAGAAGCCCCAGAAGGGACTGGGGCAGCACTATGGGGATGTCAAGCCTTAAGATCTAGATTCAGAACCGCAGCATCATGTCAATGCTGTTTGTTGTGTTACCAAAGGTCAGGAAGTCCCAGTCCAGGAACAGCCTGCTTAGAAGCATAGAAATATGTTTGGGTGCACAGATAAACTACATTTCCCAGTCTCCTTTGCAGTTATGTAGGCCATGTGACTCCATTCTGGCCAATAAAAGATGGTCAAATTGATGATTCCACTTCCTGGTCTATGCCTTAAAAATGTCCTCCACAAGCCTCCATGTTTCCTCTTTCACCATCTGCTGGCTGAACAGAAACATGGCCTCCAAGGACCCAGAGGAAGATAGAGCAGCAATGTAACAGGGGCCTGGGCCCAAGTCACTGTTTGTAGGCGAGCTATCCAGGAGAGCCACTGGACCAGGAATACACCCACGGACTTTGGACTGCGGTGTGAGCAAGGAACAAGCGTTTACTCTGTTAAGCCAAGAAAATGTAGTGGCTGCTTGTTACAGCAGCCAGCCTGGTCCAACTATACAGAAAGCTCTTGTTGCTTGTGGAGAGCCTCTGATCCCAATCCCCAAGCCTTATGCAGCTGAGTAGCAAGATATTTGAGAAACGGCCATGGCAACCCCCCTATGATGGCTCCCCTCCATCTGCAGAACAAACCCAGTATGGAAACTGCTTCACTCACCGATTATGCCAAAGGAGAAGAGTGTCAGTTGCTTTCCTAGCCTGTCCATGCTTTTCTGCAAAGGAGTTTTAGGTGTCTGAAAGGGTGAGCACAATGGGTTAGTTGGACAAGATCCTAGCTTCTGCCTGCCTTTGTTCAAAATGTCTTCACCTTGCCATCCTACAGCTTCAGTGATGATTACACAGGGGTACACATATGTCAACATTCATTGACTTTTGCACTGAAGACCTGTGCGTATTACTGTCTGAAAGCTGTATCTTTATCAAAATGCTAACAAATGTCTTACGTGTTTGAAAAGAGGCCAGGTGTGGTGGCTTATGCCTGTAATCCTGGCACTTTGGGAGGCTGAGGCAGACAGATTGCTTGAGCTCAGGAGTTTGAGACCAGCCTGGGCAACATGGCGAAACCCTGTCTCTATTAAAAAAAAAAATTAAATGTTTAAAAAGTATACTCATATGAACCACATGCCACTCATTCCTAAGGAGTAGGCAAGGCTGGTATTATTTGCCTATAATAATCTCAAACTCCAGCTTACAAAAGTCCCGAAGCCCCCTCCTGCCCCTTACCTCTTCAGCCTGCATCATCTTAAACACTTCTCCGAACTGAGAGCTTTCCCCTGTTCCAATCACGACCCCCTGTGTCCAGGAGAGAGAGAAGTATGAAATCTAAGGGCTGGGAGCCTGTGGGTTACGGGAGCCCAAGGCCTCGGTGTCCCAGGGCTTACCTGGCCCCTCCCATACTGCACCAGGGTCCCCATGAAGACGATGTTGCTGAGGGTGGTGAGGTCCCCACCGCCTGTCAAGGGGCTGTCTGTTTTACTACATGGCTCGGCTTCCCCGGTGAAACTGGATTCATCCACCAAGAGGTCCGTGACCTAGGAGAGCAAGGGGAAAAGGCTGTGGAATCTCTCTGTCACCCCGAGAATTGGTGTTAAAAGCACAAAATGGTACCAGCACCTTCATGGACATGAACTCAAGAACACAGTGAACCTACAGAATGAGTGTCACAACGACGGCCTCTGAGGCCTCCAGGATCAGAAAAGCTTTGAATGAGCGGCCTCTCTTAAAAACATAAAAGTCTCATATCTTTGCTTAATGTTGTTCGAAATTTTGATACAATCTAAAAAAAAAATGAAGGTGATGGCTATTTTAGGATATACCTTTCAAAACACCTGTGTGAGTCCCCACATACGCAGCCCACTCTTTACCTTGGAGATGCCTGTACAATCTGTATGGTTCCCACACAATCCCACACAATAACCGAGCCAGGTTATTCAGTCAGAATCTAAGGCAACAGTAACACCAGAAACACAGACAGGGACACAGAGACACTCACACACCCTGGCAAAGGGAAGGGAGATACTGACATTTGCAGAACACTGACTACACACCAGGCCCTGTGCGCAGCTCCCCACAAGGCTTAGCCCTCAGAACTCACCACCCCCAATGGAAGACTCTACTATCTTCCCCATTTTGCATATGGGGAAACTGAAGCATGGAAGAATTAAGTAATTTGTTCAAGTTTCCGTAGCTAGTTAGTGGCAAAACAGAGATTTGAACCGAAGCTCTGGTTCCAGAAACGATACTCTTAACCATCTTGCAAAACCGCAACTTGACCCCAGACTTAACACATCTCACTCCCGAGGTGAGGCTCCCAGGGCCAGAACCGTGCCAGACACCTCTGAGTTCATAAAGCGGGGCTGGGTGGGCCTATCCCTAGGGACCTGGTCATGTAAGCATGTAACACCAAGCTAGAGAGAAGCCATCTTCCACAAACCACCAGAGAACCACAGCTAGATCAATGATTCTCAAACAGGGACCTGCGACTTCTCTATAATTTAAAACTATTTAAATTTAGTAGTCATCTTTTAAAAATATGTGCACTGCCATAGCATCTCAGTCCCCAAGAACGACAGTGGCCGCCTGTCACCCAGGTAATGCCCGTCTCCCCACTTCCTTCCCAGTGGACCCCACAGCGTCAGGGAGGCGAGGCCTCCGGCTGCGCAGTCACATTCCCACCTCCCTGTGGCTCCCGCGGCTCCAGCTCTGGACAATGAAGCATAAGAAGTCACTGAGCGATGCTGAGGAAAGTCTTTGAAGGAGGCTCAAAGAACATTCTGGAAAATACCTGGCTGGGGCTCCTCAAAACTGTCAAGGACGGCCGGGCATGGTGGCTAACACCTGTAATCCCAGCACTTTGGGAGGCCGAGGCAGGCAGATCACTTGAAGTCAGGAGTTCGAGACCAGCCTGGCCAACACAGTGAAACCCTGTCTCTACTAAAAATACAAGAATTAGCCGGGTATGGGGGCAGGCGCCTGTAATCCCAGCTACTCAGGAGGCTGAGGCAGGAGAATCTCTTGAACCCAGGAGGCGGAGGTTGCAGTGAGCCGAGATTGCCCCACTGCACTCCAGCCTGGGTGACAGAGAGAGACTCTGCTCAAAACAAAAACAAAACCGAAACTGTCAAGGTCAAGGTCAAAAACAAGGAACATCAGAAACTGTCACAGCCAACAAGAACCTCAGGAGACATGACCACTAAATGTCAGGTAGGATCCTGGAGCAGAAAAAGGACATTAGGGAAATCTATGGGGATCTGAAAGTGTCACAGACTCAAGGTAACAAGAAGGCATCAATATGGGTTCCTTAGTTGTGACCGATGTACCCAAGTAAGCTAAGGCATTAAAAACAGGAGGGGATCCCGGGTGAGGGGTAGATGGGAACCCTGAGCTGAATTTTCCCACAAATCTAAAACATTTCTAAACAATGAAGTCCTTTAAAAAAAAAAAAAAAAGAAAGAAAGGGAGAGATCAAAGATGACCCCCACCCCGGGAAGAAAACTACGAAGAGAAGGAGGAAGGAGGAGAAGGCGTTTGGAAGAGAGGAGGCACATGGGGTGGGGAGTGAGTGTGGGTTTGGACTGATGGGAAACCTGACCATCCATATCCTCCGATAGGCCAGAGACTCCTCTGGGCACTGGGAATACCGCAGTGAATGGGGTACAATTTCTGCCTCAGGAAGATGATACTCCATGGAGGAGGTGGGGGAAATGACGATAAACAAGCACTGGATCCAACACCAGGGTGTACAGAGCAGGGAGGGAGGCCCCTGAGAAGAGGTGGCTGGGGAAAGGCCTGGGAGGAGGGACAGGGAGCAGAGACCTCCGGGATGAGATAGGTTAAGTCACATGTGCTGGGGGAGGGTTTTAGGTGCCCCCATGGCAGTTGAAAGCGAAAACTTATCAGGCTTTTTGGTCAGCATGAGACAAGTAGCTTGGGCCTCCTTTGCCTAAAACGGCTGTTTTGCGCCAAAAGCTGCTATCTCCAGGAAGCCCTCCCTGAGTGCACCAGGCCAGGCAAGTCTCTCCCATTTGGGAAATCCAGGATTCCCAGTACTTCCACTCATGGGTCCCTTAGCAGTCCTGGAACAGTACTTGTCACGAGTAGATTTAAGTCAGTCTGTCACTCTGGGCTATAAACTCACGAGCACAGGGACCAGGTCTGCTTCCTGCACGGTGTCCTCGGTACCCAGCCCAGGGCCTCATACGTAGTAGGTGCTCAGGAAACACTTGTTGAATGAATGAGCGATGTGGATGGGGAGTGGGGTCGGGGGCCCCAAGGGAAGGGAGGAGGGAGGAGACCTGGAAAAGGGCTGCAGTGTGGCCTGCTGAGTAACGTCCCCCTGCCCCCAGCTTTCCCATGATGTCCGCATCCTAATCCTCAACTTGGGAATGTGTTCTCTGATGTGGTGACAGAGACTATGCAGACGTGACTAACTGAAGGACCTTGGCGTGGGGAGAATATGGTCTGCGTGACCGGGGTGGGCCCCGTGAGATCACGAGGGTCCTCATAAGGGAGGGGAGGACGGAGGGTTGGAGATGTGTCTGATGTCAGGGAGATGTAACAGAAGCAGTGGTGCGGGAACATGGAGCCATGAGCCAAGGAATGCAGGCGGCTTCTAGAAGCTGGGAAAGGCCAGGAAACAGCTTCTCCCCTGGAGCCTCTGCAGGAGCATGGCCCCAGTAGCACTTTTTTTTTTTTTTTTTTTTTTTTTTTTTTAAAGATGGGGTCTCACTCTGTCACCCAGGCTACAGTGCAGTGGTGCAATCTCGGCTCACTAAAACCCCACCTCCCAGGTTCAAGCAATTCTCCTGCCTCAGTCTCCTGAGTAGCTGGGACTACAGGTGCACGCCACCACGCCTGGCTAATTTTTTTATTTTTAGTAGAGACAGGGTTTTGCCATGTTGGCCAGGCTGGTCTCCAACTCCTGACCTCAGGTGATCCACCCACCTCAGCCTCCCAAAGTGCTGGGATTACAGGAGTGAGCCACCGCGCCTGGACCCTGTTAGCACTGTTGATTTCCACCCAGTGAAAACGATTTCAATTTTGACCTCCAGAAGGTCAGACCATATCTTCACCTTGTTTTAAGCCCCTAAGTAAGCGGTCATCTGCCACAGCAGCCATGGGCAACGGATACATGGAGGAAACTCAGGGGGAGAGGCAGTGCCAGGAAGAGTCTGAACAGCTGCTCACAGGGAGAGAGAGAACGTCCTGGGGGTAAGGACATGGGCTGCGGAGCTAGAGGCCCGGGGTCATGTCCCCCTCCACCGCCCACTGCCGTGTGACTGCGCAGGGCCACGCAACCTCTGCGGGCTGCTGTGTCCGTGTAGTAAAATAACGCAGAGGAAAAATAACAGTGCTGGTCTCTTAAGGGTGTTGGGAGAACAAATGAAACAATTTTCATACGGTGGTTAGCATAGACCTGTTATACTGAAAAATATTCGTTGTCTTCATATGACAAAAATAAAGGCAGGTAGAAGATCAGGTGGCACCTCCGGACCAAGAAGGAGTGAAGGTGGTTGTGTGTGGGTTCAGCAGGTGGGCAGGAGGGGCTTCTGGTGACCTCCCAGGCTCCCAGGGCACAATCTCAGGTAAGGGGCAAGGAGGGGTGAGGGGCGAAAATAGAGTCGGGGGAACAGAACCCATAGCCACCAAGGAGGCGGCAGGCCGAGCCTGAAGACAGAGGCACAATCGCGGGCTCACCTCCTATCTCCCACACACAGGGCTCATGCCCACCCGGTGCCCCCACCTCCAAGACGAAGCGTCACTTGGAGTCCCATCACCTCCGACCCAATTCCCTTTTTCTTTTAGACATGGTAGGGGAGAAAGTGTGACCCAGGCTTGCTGGCTGTACCAGCTCAGCCTCTGACTGAGGGCTTCCTCTGTTTTAACTCCAGGAAAGGGAAAATAATGTTCTGGGACCCCCATATACTGTGCAAAAAGGTCTATTACTTTAAGAGCTTTCTTGAACTTGCTGCTTCCTGCTGAACCTGCTAGACCAAAATGGTTTTAAAATGTACACTTGAAGTACTCCTGGATCTCAGAGCTTAATAGCTGATAAGCATTTTCCACTGAATAGGCAAAGCTATTGATTGTTTAATGGAATTGCAGAATACCACCAGGAAAATCCATAGAGTGTTCACAGCCAGTAGCCTTAAAATAACCTTCGTGGTATCAATACACAGGTACAATAGTTTTTGTACAGATGGAGTGTCACTATGTTGCCCAGGCTGGTCTTGAACTCCTGGGCTCAAGCAATCCACTCGCCTTGGCTGCCCAAAGTATTGGGATGACAGGTATGAGCCACTGTGCCCAGCCACAGTTTAATTTAACATAAGCAGGGCAGAGAGAAAGCCAGCTGAAGCAGTAAGGAAGTTACCTGGGGTCTAAAAAGTTGTTTCAAAGAACCGTTGTATAGAACGATAATGATAAAAAATAAAAGCAATCACAAGTATCTGGTGACTGTTTACCCCACAAAAGGCATGTGCTAAGCACAGCATGGGTCATAGCTTGTTTCATCTTCACAATAACCCTGTGAAATGGAAACCAACATCAGCCCCTTTTAGAGATGAGGAGATCGAAGCTCAGAGAGGTGAATTCCTTCCCCGAGTCACGCCCTAGGAGCTATGGGGCCTGGGGTTCTCTGACTTCCAACACACACTGCAGTACGGCAGCCCCCACACCTGCCTCTCACTCACCTGTGCCAGGCACCGTTCTGAGCACTTTTGGCATCTCTGAAGATCTGTAATCCTCCCAAGTACCCTATGGGCATCACCACCCCCCATTTTGCAGATGAGAAAACTGAGGCACAGAGAGGTTAACTAACTTGCTCAAGGTTCACAAGGCTTTGAATGATGGTCCCAGGGCTCAAGCCCAGGCTAATGCCCAACCCCAGGTCATTGGCCACCTCTCATACGGCCTCTCTCTGCCTCTGCACCAGCCCTTGTGGCGGACCTGTGTCCTTCTCACAAGCTGCCTGGCATCTGGAGCATCCCCTGTTAGGACCCCCCTTCTCGGGAGAAGGAAAACGTGGAAAATGTGAGCCCAGCTTCCCCAGTCCTCCTTGTAGGCGGGGATTGGCCACAGACAGCCGTTCCTCTGACCGGATCCATGCACCCCAGACTTGGGGTCAGACGCTGACTGCTGGAGCTGAACACGGGGAGAGGCGGGGGCCACAGAGGATCTGTATCTGGTGCTACAGAGGGCACCAGCCTGAGCCCGAGGGCGAACCCTCCCTCACTTTGGTAACTGAACATCTCCCACCCTTATCCCTGCCCTGCCTGGAAATCTGAAGGTCACGGCAGAGAGGATCAATGTCCGAGTGGCCACACATAAGCCCTGGCCCCTGCCTCCTATTTCACAGACAGGCTAGGAATGTTGTAAACCCAGGTCCCAGGGGGTAGCTTCCAACCCTTTGTGCTCTTCTCCATCCGCTTCCCTGATGCTGCCCTCTTAATAGCGGGTCCTTGATCCTACAGTTCCTGAGAATGCATCCCATCAGTAAATAAATCAGGCAGATAATCTGTGTCTAATTCTTCATCATGCAAAGCTTTGAACAGTCCTTACACATTCTTGGAAAGATTCTTGAAATAGATTACTCCCATCAACAAATCATGGTGAACTTGATGTAACCTCTTGGGAACCCAGGATAATCTCAGCAGAGTGCCTCAGGCATGGCTCTGTGAAGCTGTGACACCCAGAGACCCACGAAGCTTGCCCCACAGCCAATGTCCCCAAACCTCACTACTCTAAAAGCGTGTGCTTCTCGCTCTGTTGCCCAGGCTAGAGTGCAGTGGCGTGGTCTCGGCTCACTGCAACCTCCGCCTCCCGGGTTCAAGTGATTTTCCTGCCTCAGCCTCCTGAGTAGCTGGGACTACAGGCACATGCCACCATGCCTAGCTAATTATTGTATTTTTAGTAGAGAGTTTCACCATGTTGGCCAGGGTGGTCTTGAACTCCTGACCTTAAGTGATCCACCCGCCTCTAATATCACTTCTTTCTAACACTTGTGTGTCTGTTTTGAGAGGCAACTCTCACATCATTCCCCAAGCCCACCTTGGTTTAATTTGTTATTGCAGCCTGCTTTAAACTGGAAAATCGTATAGCCAAAGGTTGTCAGGCTTAAAGTGAGGATGACAATTTATGAAATATGGTTTGAGGGGCTCTATGCGTAGAACACGCTTGTCTGCTAACTTCCTGTCTTGTGTGTATGCATGTGCATGTATGTTTGAGCATGTGTGTATGAGAGAGACTATACATGCCTACAATTAGCTAAGTGTCTGCTCCTTGACCAGCTCCATCAAATACCCCATTGACAAGGGTTTGGAACCACTCACCTCAGTGAGTCGGATGTCTGCAGGGATCCGGTCTCCGATCGAGAGAGATACGACATCACCAGGAACCAGTTCTCGAGCAAGCAGGTGCTGGAGTTTTCCTTCTCTTAGGCTGCATTTGACATGGTAAAAAGCAAAAGCATCCATGCTGACATTTGTTTTTATGCACCTTGATACATTTGAACAAGGAGAATAGAAACACACTTTTCTCTTTTAATATACACCAACCCTGTGCCTTTGGGGTGTTATTATTTTGAAATTAACATATCCTATAAGACTTTAGAGAAAGTATGTGGTTTCTGGGCATCCCTGGGCCACATCTGAAAGATGAGGCCATTGCTGTTTACCCTGCCTGGAAACCACGTGGGCCACATGCCCCAGGGAGGCTCCTGGGGCCAAGGTCAGCAGTTCTAAAGCCTCCAAATGCAGCCGGCAGAGTTTTGTCCTCAGAGCACACAGCACTCAGGGTGCAGGGTCTGTCTCAGGAAGTCAGGGATGGCAGAGCCTTATCACAGCTGGGAGGAAGCCCAGGACCTCCATTCCCGCAGGGCCATGACCAGCTGCCCTCAGACTACGGATATGCTTCCGTACAGGCTCCAAATGGAATCCCCCACACCACCGCCGCTTGCCCGTCCCAGCTGACTCTGACCTCCGACCTGGCCCCTTCAACCCATCCTGCATATGGCAGCTGGAGCGCTCTTAGAACCCCAAACCAGATCCCAACCCCCTCCTGCTCCAAACCCTCCGATGGCTTTCCCATGACCCTGGTACCAAACTCAAAGATCTCCTCCACGGCCAGCCAGCCTCCTGCAGCTCCCATCTCATTCCATCCAGCCCCCTTAAACGCACAGGCTCCTTCTGGCCTCAGGGGCTTTGCAGACCTCAAATGCAGGAGCAGAAATTCCCCTCTTCCTTGTTAATGGAATTTGATCTTGTTGAGGTATCCACCCTCTCCCCACAGCCACGTGCTCTGGGGAGTGGGTCATGCCTGGCTAAGACCCCTGCCCTTGATTGGCTTAGGTATCAGCACATCATGCAACACTGGCCCGAGAGACATGAGTGGATGTTTGCTGGGGGCTTGTGGGAAAAGATTTCCTTACTGTACACGCGCGTGCACGCACACACACACACCCTTCTTCTATAGGGCCTTTGCGTGTTTGGCTGTGATGCAAGGAGCTGTGGCAGCCATCTGGGATCATGAGGAGAGCCAGCCAAGAACCAATGCAACCCCAGTGGGCACAAGGTGGCAGGGTAAGGAGGTGAAAGAACCACGCCCTGGGTGCTCTCCTGAATTAACTAACCCCACGGCTCCCACCTCAGATCCCTGGCTATGAGACAATATACTTTTCTTGGCGTTTGTGCAACTGGACTTTCTGTTCCTTGTAGCCAAGAGCACCTGCCAGAGATATACCTGTTGCTCCCTCAGCTCCTCCCATGGCAGGCTCCTCTTCCTCAGGCCTCAGCTTAAATGTCACCTCCTCTCTAAATGTCAGCCTGATCGACAGCTATTTAGGGTTGTCCTCACCCTTCTACCAGTCACTATTACATCTCAGTGGGGTTTTTTATTTGTTTTGGTGGCCTCCAGTATTTTTTGGCTTTTGTGTACCTGGACAATTCCAAGGTCATCTTGTTCTTCACTGGCTTATTATGTACTCCCTTGGTAGGAATGTGAGGTCCCCAAAGGCCGAGGCCTCCCCATTTCTTCCACTTGTATAACCTCAGTGCCCTTTCTCCAGGCATACAGTAGGTGCTCAATAAATATTTGATGCCTGCACCAGGGATGGAGTAACACAGGGAGGGGGTCCCGCACAGCAGGGTTTCCCCTGAGTTGGAAATGGGTCTCAGAGACTCAAAGGGTGGGCTTCACCTCTTCAGCGCTCTTTCAACTCTACTGGGCTGCCCGACACCGCTGCTTTTGTACATAAAACCGTCTTTTAGAAGTGACCTCCCGGGAGACATCAATAATGCACGCTATTCACCTGAAAGGCCAAGACTCGATATTTAAGCTTAAGATCGGATCATCAAATCACATAAATCATTTATGCTTCCGTTTGCTCAGTTAATGATGTCACATGTCTGGATTTCTGACAGCACTGTTCATCCGACCAGCGAGCCCAGACATTTCTACTGCTCCCGCGGCCCTTCTACAATTGACTCACCCTCTGTGATGTGGGTCAATTCTGTATCATCCTCTTCTTGTCCCTATTTGGTCCTTCGTCATTCTCCGCCTTGTATTATACACACACGCCCCTTGAATGCTGACTCTTTGAGACGCGGGACCGTATCTCACTACGGCTTTCTACCCTAGCCCCATGGCTCAGTTGCACAACATGTGCCTGGGATATATACTAAAGCTCTCCCTGAAAATTATCCTTCAGAAAATACGGAGTTGCCGTATGTTTGCCAAATGTTGGAAATGGGTCTTGGAGACTCAGAGGGTGGGCTGAGTTGTTCCCAGACACCCCAGACCATGAGATACTTTTTTTTTTTTTTTTTGAGACAGAGTTTCGCTCTTATCGCACAGGCTGGAGTACAATGGAGCACTCTTGGCTCACTGCAACCTCCATCTCTGGGTTCAGGCAATTCTCCTGCCTCAGCCTCCCAAGTAGCTGGGATTACAGACACCCACCACCATGCCCAGCTAATTTTTTTTTAATTTTTAGTAGAGACAGAGTTTCACCATGTTGGCCAGGCTGGTCTTGAACTCCTGACCTCAGGTGAGCTGCCTACCTCGGCCTCCCAAAGTGCTGGGATTACAGGTGTGAGCCACCGCGCCCGGCTGATCACAGGATACCTTCTATCACTTTGAGCAGCCAGGTATGTTCGGGAAAGACAGATCAGCCTGACAGGACCTCAACCAATGTTAGCAGGGGTGGGGAGAAGACTTTGGCCTTTTTTGAAATCATTTCATTTTCTACTAGGAGAACGAGCTTATGGACCACTGCTATGCTAAAAGTTAAGCTTAGAATGAGCTGTTTTCCCAGACTGAGCAACATAGTGAAACCCCATCTCCACACACACACATACACACACACACACACACACACGCATACACACACAGACACATGCACACACAGACACACACAGACACATATACACACATGCACACATACACATGCACAGACACACACACGGAGACACAGACACACACATGCATACACACACGCACACACATACACAGACACATGCACAGACACACACAGACACATATACACACACGCACACACACATGCACACACGCACGCAGACACACGCATACAGACACACACGCACACACACGTGCAGACATGCTCACACACACACATACGTGCACACACGTACACACATACATACACACACATACACAATCAGGTTTAAAAAATAAAAATGCAAAAAATGCAGTAACTTTTGTAGCAGCTGATACAAAAAAGTAGTCAGGTGTGGTGGCATGGCATGCACCTGTATTCCCAGCTACTTGGGAAAGTAAGGCAGGAGGATCACTTGAGCCCTGGAGGCAGGCACAGGTTGCAGTGAGCCGAGATCCTGCCACTGCACTCTAGCCTAGGCAACAGAGCCAGACCCTGTCTCAACAACAACAACAACAAAAAGAAAAAGAAAGAAAGGAAGAAAGGAAAAGAAAGAAGAGAAAGGAAAGAAAGAAAAGAAAGAAAAGAAAAGAAAGGAAAGAAAGAAAAGAAAAAGGAAAAAGCTGTTTTCCCTCCTGGGCCTGTCAGCTTCCTCCACCAATGGCAGCTGTTCCTAGAAGGGCCCCCGCAGATGTTCTAAGCTGAGCTGCCCAATATGGTAGCCACTAGGTCCATGTGCATATTTAAATAAAAATTAAAATTAAATAACATTAAGAATTTAGTTTGTCGGCCGGGCACGGTGGCTCACACCTGTAATCCCACTACTTTAGGAGGCTGAGGCAGGCAGATCATCTGAGGTCAGGAGGTCGAGACGAGCCTAGCCAACGTGGCGAAACCCCACCTCTACTAAAAATATAAAAATTAGCCAGGTGTAGTGGTGCATGCCTGTAGTCCCAGCTATTTGGGAGGCTGAGGCAGGAGAACTGCTTGAACCCAGGAGGCGGAGGTTGCAGCGAACTGAGATTGTGCCACTGCACTCCAGCCTGGGCGACAGAGCAAGACTCTATCTTAAAAAACAACAAAAAAAGAATTGTCAGATGCCATATTGGACAGGGCAGATGATATTAATAGAACATTTCCTGCAAGTTCTATCACACAGGGCTACGCTAAGCAGAAAGGGCCATGTGGTACTGGCAGACATTTTAGTCTTGTCTCTTTCCTTGTTAAACATCTTTGGTAAGAGCCGTGCAGTAACCAATGGAAAACTGTGGGCAGGAAAGAGGCTGTTGCAGCTGCTGAGTAGTTACTCAAGTTCACTCTTCCTATACCCTATGCTGCAGCCAATGTTCTGATGGCTCTGCTTGTTAAAGACCTGGATCTCACTCTCCTGAGACCATTCATTGAGAATTCAAATAAACCTCCAGACCCTCTCCCTAGAAAAAATGCACACAGTTCTGCACATTATTTCACAGGCTTTGTGGGCTACCCTCTTCCCAGAGTCACTCCTGCTACCTGTGGTCCTCAGGCTAGGCACCCTGATTTAGACACTGATGATGGAGCTGAGGCCCAGAGAGGTTGAGTGACATGCCCGAGGACACACAGCGACCTATTGGCAGGCGGAGACCAGGCCTTAGAACTCCCAGTGAGATGTGGTTCTCTTGTCCGACACTACCAAGGATACAACTTTCAGCAAACATTTGCCAAACTCTCCAGCTCCCTGGCTCCTCCAGTGAACCAAAAAGTCCCAGGGAGGCTCTGACTTACCAGTTACATTCTGGAGGAACCAGCTTGGTCAGCTCTTCCAGAGATTTCTCCGACCTGTACTCCTGGCAGGAAGCACATCAGATGTGCTGTTTAAAGGTGGGGACTCCATGAAGCTCCTGTCCCGCCCAGCTTACCCTGACTGGGACCTCAGGAAATACTCACCTGGATGAAGGCGACAGTGACCACGACAAGCACTGCCTAGACAGCAAACGGAGGAGGGTGTCAGTACCAGAGGCTCAGTGGGAGGGGGGACAGGGCGTGGCAGGCTAGGGGCTTGTCTTTAATGATTGATTTCCTTTCTTCTTGCAAAACATGTGCACAGTACAGAAATTTAGAAAATATACTAGCCAAAAGAGCAGGAAAAAATTGACACTATCTTTTACCACCCAGACGTGCACATTTCAGAGTACCCATCTAGATTTTTCTGCGTAGACACACTTAAGGCACCGCATCTTATAATCTGGACATATTCTTTTATAAACTGCCATTTTCACTGAACATGCTGCAAACACCCTTCTCCATAGCAGATGTGGAACTTACCCCAGCCTTTTTTCTTCTGAAATGGAATCTTGCTCTGCCACCAGGCTGGAGTGCAGTGGTGTGATCTTGGCTCACTGCAACCTCCGCCTCCCGGTTTCAAGCGATTCTCCTGCCTCGGCCTCCCAAGTAGCTGGGACCACAGGCACATGCCACCATGCCCTGCTAATTTTTTTGTATTTTTTGTAGAGACGGGCTTTCACCATGTGGGCCAGGATGGTCTCGATCTCCTGACCTCGTGATCCACCCCCCAGGCCTCCCAAAGTGCTGGGATTACAGGCATGAGCCACCGCACCCGGCCTACTCCAGCCTTTTAATTGGAAGTAGGAAATTCCATCGTGTGGAATGAGTCTGTGTTTGTATTTTAAAATACCGGCTGGAACAAACGGAAAGAAGTGGGGAATGACAGCCATCAAAAGGTGCTCAGGCCAGGCACAGTGGCTCACGCCTACAATCCCAGCTATTTGGGAGACCAAGGGAGGCGGATCACCTGAGGTCAAGAGGTCGACATCAGCCTGGCCAACACAGGGAAACCTCATCTCTACTAAAAATATAAAAATTAGCAAAAATTAACCAGGAGTGGTGGCGGGCACCTGTAATCCCAGCTGCTCAGAAGGCTGAGGCAGGAGAAGCAGAGGTTGTACTGAGCTGAGATCACGGCACTGCTGTCCAGCCTGGACGACACAGCAAGACTCTGTCTCAAAAAAAGAAAAAAAAATGTGCTCAGGAGAAGCCAGATACAAAAGGTCATGTATTGTCTGAATCCATTTTTTTTTCTTGTTATACTTTAAGTTCTAGGGTACATGTGCACAACGTGCAGGTTTGTTACATAGGTATACATATGCCACGCTGGTTTGCTGCACCCATCAACTCGTCATTTACATTAGGTATTTCTCCTAATGCTATCCCTCCCCCAGCCCCCTGACCCTATGAAAGGCCCGAGTGTGTGATGTTCCCCACCCTGTGTCCATGTGTTCTCATTGTTCAACTCCCACCTATGAGTGAGATCATGCAGTGTTTAGTTTTCTGTCCTTGTGATAGTTTGCTTAGAATGATGGTTTCCAGCTTCATCCATGTCCCTGCAAAGGACATGAACTCATCCGTCTGAATCCATTTCAGTGACATATCCAGAATAGGTCATTCAACCCACAGAGATAGAAAAAGATTGGTGGTTGCCAAGGGCTGGTAGGAGCGGGGACAGGAAGTGACTGTCTGGTGAGCACAGGGTTTCCTTCTGGGTGATGAAAATGTTTTGGAACTAGGCAGAGGTGGTGGTGGCACCATATCATGAATGTACTCAATTTCACTGAATTGTTCACTGTGAAATAGTCAATATTTTATTATGTGAATTTCATCTAAATAAAAAAAAAATGAGTGCTCAGTGGTTACCTCTCGGTAATGGATCAAAGGTGTTGTTCTTCGGAAGGCAAATGTGCACAGCCCAGGCTCTATTCCCCTCATCCCAGGGTCACGGGAAAGGAATTCCCTGCAACACTGCTCTAGCAAAGACCCAGAAGCACCTGTGTGTCCAGCAAGCAAGCAGTGGCCGAATAAACCAGGGCACCTTGATATTAGGGTAAAGAAGGATGTGGATTTGCTTTCCTTTCTTTCTTCTGTATGCTCCTTTTTCCCCCCTACAGCAAACTCTTTTTTTTCTTTATATACAATAACAAGCAGAGACTCAGCAGACCTGTGGCTGCCCGCCCGGGAGCCGAGCGCTGTCAGGGAACTCACCGTGGCGATGCTGACGGCGTCCTCATACTCCTTGGTGAGGACACTCACCAGGGCAGAGCCCAGCAGCAGCAGGATCAGGGGGTTCTTAAACTGAAGAGGAAATAACAGGGTGGGGCACGTTCTTTAGTCTCAGGGACCAGAATGGGTTTCTTACTGTGCAGAAGTTTGTGTGACAGGGGTCTCAGTTCAGGGCCAGGCTTCCAGGTCAACACCATGGTGACCGAGGGCTGGGGAGACCACCCCCATGCAGTGGTCCTCCTCTGCCTGGAACTCCACCCAATTGACCCTCCCAGGTCCCAGTACTGACCCCCTGAAGACACCGGCCTCAGCCCTGCCTTTGAGTTCTTGGTCTCGCCTCTCCACATCTCCATGACGCTCCAGGCCGGGACTTTCGGCAAGATGCCAGTCCTGGCTCAGGACGGCCAAGGATCCTCTCTCACCACACCAGCTCCCCAAATCCTGCACATCCCAGTCACCAAACTCAGTAACAGCCTGCTCCTGTAACAGCCTCTAGGGACTCCAATGATGTCCCTCTCTAAAACAGCCGTTCCCAAAACTTCCTGAGAAGATTTTTACTTTATTTTATATATCTGCCCTTTCATTTCAGAGACATCTCATGGTAGCTCATGTTACAGAGGATTGAAAAGAAATGCAAACACATAAAACCGGATTCAGAAGGCAGACCAAAGATCAGGATAAGGAAGAGAGTTACAATATCAACAAGGGCTGGGTGCAGAGGCTCACACTGTAATCCCAGCCCTTTGGGAGGCAGAAATGGGAGGACTGCTTGAGCCCAGGAGTTTCAGTCCAGCCTGGGAAACACAGCAAAATCCCATCTTTACAAAAAAATGAAAAAATGAGCTGGGCATGGTGAGGTGCACCTGTGGTCCCAACTACTCAGAAGGCTAAGGCAGGAGGATCACTGGGGCCTGGGAAGTTGAGGCTGCAGTCAGCCGTGTTTATGCCGCTGCACTCCTGCTTGGACACCAGAGAAACCCTATCCCAGAATATAACAATAATAATAATGCACCTGGTCTGGGCACCTTGATTCCCAGGCTGCCAGGCTCCTGTCCCCTCAGGGACTCTGCACCCTGCCCTCCAGCGACGCCCTCCATCCACATCCTCACATGGCTTTCCGTCTCATTTCACTCAGATCTCTGCCCAGATGCCACCTCCTCAGAGCACCAGCCTAGTGCCTCCCTGCCATCCCGTCCAGAGCCTTACGCCGTGCTAAGGTAGAATTCCTAATGGTGAGACTCCTGAGACAGAGGAACAGGGCTGCCTTGTGAGGTGATGAGTTCCCTGTCACTGGGGGAAAGATAGGAGAATCACAACACTTGGCATGCAGGAGGAACTCAACACATGTAAGGAATTAATAAGGGAGAGCAGACAGAACCCGTATACGCAAGGGCAGGAAAACCCAGCCGTCAGGAGCTCCCGTCCAGTCCTACAAGGATTCCCACAGATGCATTGCTGAACCGACAAGCTATAAGATGAATGAGCAGGTCCTCTGCTCTCAAGAAATTTAAGAGATTTCATTTTGGGGAACACCCTGGCTGGAGGCTGGAGGAGGATCCTTGGTGAGAAGGAAGATGTTCACGGTGGGTTTCGACAGAGCAGAGGGGAACGAGGAAGGAGGATAACCAGGGGAAGTGGGGGAGCGGGTCCTAGTGGAAGGGGTGCCAGGGCAGAGCAAAGAGATCTCCAGCCGCAGAGGGGAGCTCCTCCCTCACAGCCCATGTCTCGGCCTCCTTCCCTGAACCCCAACTTCCGGGAGCCTCCACTGCCTCTTCTCAGCCCTGCAGTTTTAGGAAGCTTCTGGGCTAGCCAGAACCACCTACATACCCAGAAGCCTATTTTGCTGCCAAAACGCATCGATGAATAACATTCCCAGAACACTGAGAACTGAGCCTTGATCAGGGAGGGGACCTCAAGGAGAGTGGAGACAGAGGATGCTGCCCAGGGGACTGTGATTGGTTCCGGAATCGACCAATGGAGGAAGCTGTAAACACAGAGCCAATAGGAAGGCGGTTGAAGCCTGGGGCAGCCCAGGGGCCAGAGAATGAAGAAGGGGATGTCAGGGATGGGGCCAAGAGCATGCAAAAGGCTGGAAAAGGGGATCTAAGGCCATCTAAATGCCCTCAGGCACCTGGAAAATTCTGCCTGTTCACTGAGCCTTTCTGAACTGGTCCTGCAAAGGTGGCAGGGACTGCCGACTTCTAGAATGGAACTTGGAGCCATGTCAATTGCAGTTTTTTCTTTCCCCTTCTTAGTGGCTTCCAGGCATTTGATTGTGTGCCATTCATTCAGCACCGCGCCAGCACCGATGGCAGCAGCTAGCAAGGGAAGGGGCTCTGGGTGCAGCTCCCTGGCTGCACTGCTCTGCACTGCTCCTCACAGCTATGTGACTTTGGGCTCAGGTTACAGTAGGACACCCAGTAAAATCTAAATTTCAGAAAAACAAGGAACTTTTTGTTTTTAGTATAAGCACGTCCACTGTATTGGGACACACTTATACTAGAAATTGCTTCTTGTTTATCTATCTGAAATTCACTTTGGTTTTGTTGTTGTTGTGGAGACAAGGTCTCACTCTGTTGTCCAGGCTGGAGCACAGTGGCACAATCTCAGTTCACTGCAGCCTCCACCTCCTGGGTTCCAACAATCCTCCCACCTCAGCCTCCTCAGTAGCTGGGATTACAGGCATCCACTACCACATCCGGCTAATTTTTATATTTTTAGAAGAGACGGGGTTTCGCCATGTTGGCCGGGCTGGTCTTGAACTCCTGGGCTCAAGTGATCCACCCGCTTCAGCCGCCCAAAGTGCTTGGATTACAGGCACGAGCCACCACGCCCAGCCTGAAATTGAAATTTAACAGGGCATCCTATATTGTTATTTGCTAAACCTGGCAACTCTGGGGAAATCTTTCAACCTCTGCACTTCTCCTTCCTCATGTGCAAAGGCGGGATTAGGAGGAGGATTAGTAAGCGCATGCTTACTTATTCACTTACTCATATAGCGTGGGGCCCGGGGCCTGCTCAACTGTCTACGAAAGTGATCACTGTTTTTCCTGATCGCGGTTGCCTGGGAGTTGGTGATTTGCTCATGACTGATGCTCAGGCTGGCTGGGGCAGCGTGAAAGGGGCGGGAGCTGTCCAAGGATGCCTTCCATCAACATTGAAAGATGGAATGGCTGCCCCACCCTCGCTGGCTTATGCATGTTAATGCAAAGAATGACACCTCTGGTCCTACCTGATCCAGGTATTTCTTCCACACAGGTTCGCTGTTGTCAGCAACAAACTCATTCCAGCCATGGGCCAGCCGGCGCTGCGTCACCGAGAACTCCGACAGCCCAGTGTGTAAGTCCACCTGGAAGGAGAGGTCAGGCACAAGCTCACTCATGGGCGCAGCAAGGAATGAGGCAACAGGGTACAGACTCCCACTCTGAAAGGCAGCGGCTTCCATGATGGGCCAGGGACACAGGCTTGTCCACCAAGGTGCTGGGACTTGTTCAAAGACCCCGTGCAGATGGGGCAGAGAGAGGAGGAAAAGGCACAAGCCAGTGACCATTATAATTACAGCAGAAAAGACGACTCTGGTCTTAAATTTCAACAAATGGAAATGCAGCATAGACTTCCAGAAATGCAGAAACACATCTTTTCTTCTTAAAAAAAAAAAAAAAAAAAAGGTCTTGGGAATGTAAAATGGTGCAGCTGTTATGGAAACTGTGTGGCGATTCCTCAAAAAATTAAAAAGGGAGCTACCAGATCCAGCAATTCCACTTTGGGGTATATACCCAAAGGAACTGCTAGTGGGGCTCCAAGAGATGTTTGTACAACCATGTTCGTAGCACTGTTCACAAAAGCAAAAAGGAGGAAACAACCCACCAATCTTTCAAGGGATGAATGAATGCATGAAACATGGTGTACACACACAATGAAATACTATTTAGCCTGAGAACGAAAGAAAATGCTGACACGTGCTACAACATGGATACACCTTTAAGTTGAACCTTGAGGATGAAGTTAAGTGAAATAAACCAGTCACAAAAAGACAAATTCTGTTGATTCCACATATGAATTACATAGACTAGTCAAATTCATAGAGACAGAAAGTAGAATGGTGGGTGTCAGAGGCTGGAGGGAGAGGGAATGGGGAGTGAGTGTTTAATGGAGACAGATTCAGTTTTACAAGATGAAAAGAATACTGGAGATGCTAATGTAACCCGCTTTGCTGACTGTGGGTCTTAAGACCCTCCCATGAGAGGGTCCCACCCTATAATCTGGGGGAAGGAATGATGTCATGAAGCTTCCCTAAAAACCCAAAGATAGGATTCAGTGAGTTTTCACGTACCTGAACGTGGGGATATTCCTGGAGAGTGGCATCCAGGGAGATGTTTGAACAACCATGTTCATAGCAGCATTGGGCATGGAAGCCCTGCGCCCCTTCCCCCATTACCTGCCCTATGCGTCTCTTCATCGGTATCCTTTGCCTTTATAATAAACTGGTAGGGCTTGGTGGCTCAGGCTTGTAATCCCAGCGCTTTGGGAGGCCAAGGCAGGCAGATCACCTGAGGTCGGGAGTTCGAGAGCAGCCTTGTCAACATGGCAAAAGCCCGTCTCTACTAAAAATACAAGAATTAGCCGGGCGTGGTGGCATGTGCCTGTAATCCCAGCCACTCAGGAGGCTGAGGCAGGAGAATCGCTTGAAGCTGGGAGGCGGAGGTTGCAGTGAGCTGAGATCGCGCCATTGCACTCCAGCCTGGGCAACAAGAAGGAAACTCCATCTCAAGAAAAAAAAAAAGAATTCTGGAGATAGAGAATGGCGATGGTTGTGCAACAGTGTGACTATACTTAATGCAACTACAATGTACACTTCAAAATGGTTAAGGCCAGGCACAGTGACTCATACCTGTAATCCCAAAACTTCAGGAGGTTGAGGTGGGGAGATTGCTTGAACCCAGGAGTTCAAGGCTAGTCTGGGCAATATAGCATGATCTTGGCTCTACAAAAAAATTTTAAAAATTAGCCCATTGTGGTGGCAGACTCCTGTAGTCTCAGCTACTCAGGAGGCTGAGGCAGGACGATTGCTTAAGCCCAGGAGGTGGAGGCTGCACTGGCCCTTGATTGCAGCACTGGACTCGAGCCTGGGCAACAGAATGAGACCATGTCTTGGAAAAAATAACAAGGTTAAGATGGTAAATTTTATGTTGTGTATTTACCACATATCAGACATTTTTTTAAATAGGCCTGTCTTAAGAAACAAGAGTATTTTTTTTTAAAGGTAAACAAAACTGACAAACCTTTAGCCAGGCTAAGAAAAAAAGAGAGAAGAACCAAATAAATACAAACAGAAATGAAAAAGGAAACTTCACAAATTATATCACAGAAAGTCAAAGGGCCATTAGTGGCTACCAGGAGCAACTATATGCCAATAAATTGGAAAATATAGAAGAAATGGATAAATTCCTAGACACACAGAACCTACCAAGATGGAACCATGAAGAAATCCAAAAGCTGAATAGACCAATAACAAGTAATAAGATCAAAGCCATAATAAAAAGTCTTCCGGTTAGGAAAAGCCCAGGACCCAGTGGCTTCACTGCTGAATTCTACCAAACACTCGAAGAAGCGATACCAATCCTACTAAATAATTCCAAAAAACAGATGAGTAGGGAATACTTTCATTCTACGAGGCCAGTATTACCCTGATACCAAAACCAGACAAAGACACATTTAAAAAAGAAAACTACTGGCCAATATCACTGATGACTATTGATGCAAAAATCCTCAGCAAAATACAAGCAAATTGAATGCAATAACACATTAAAATGAAAATTCATCATGACCAAAAGGAATTTATCCCAAGGGTGCAAGGATGGTTCACCATACACAAATTAATGTGACACATCAACAGAATGAAAGACAAAAACCATATGATCATTTCAATTAATGCTGAAAAAACGTGACAGAATTCAACATCTCTTCATAATAAAAACCCTAAAAAAACTAGGTATAGAAGGAACATGTCTCAATGTAATAAAAGCCATATATGACAGACCCAGGGCTAGTGTCATATTGAATGATGAAAAACTGAAAGCTTTTCCCGTAGGATACCCACTTTTACCACTACTATTCAACAGAATACTGTAAGTTCTAGCTAGAGCAATCAGACAAGAGTAAAAAATAAAGGGCATCCAAATTGGAAAGGAAGAAGTCAAATTATTCTTGTTTGCAGATGATATGATCTTATATCTGAAAAAACCTAAAGACTCCACCTAAAGCTATTAGAACTCATAAACAAAATCAGTAAAGTTAGAGGATACAAACTCAAATGATAAAGATCAGTAGCATTGCTATATGCTAAGAGAAAGCAATCTGCAAAAGAAATCAATTAAGTAATCCCATTTACCACAGCTGCAAATTAAATATCTAGGAATTAACTTAAAGAAGTAAAAGATCTCTACAATGAAAACTATAAAACATTGATGCAAGAAACTGAAGAAGACACAGAAAAATGGAAAGATATTCCATGTTCATGGGTTGGAAAAATCAATATTGTTAAAATGTCCATACTACCCAAAGCAATCTATAGATTTAATCGAATCCCTATTAAAATAACAATGACATTCTTAACAGAAATAGAAAAAACAATTTAAAAATTTATATGGAACCACAAAAGACCCAGAATAGCCAAAGCTATCTTAAGGAAAAAGAACAACACTGGAGGAATCATATTACCTGACTTTAAATTATACTGCAGAGCTTTAGTAACCAAAACAGCATGGTACTGTCATAAAAACAGACACAGAGATCAGTGAAACAGAATAGAGAACCCAGATATAAATCCATACATCTACAGTGAACTCGTTTTCGACAAAGATGTCAAGAACATCCACTGGGGAAAGGGCAATCTCTTTAATAAATGGTACCAGGAAAACAAAATCTCCATATGCAGGAGAGTGAAATTTCACCCCATCTCTCATTATCAATAAAAATCAAATAAAAATGAATTAAAGATGAGGTGGACAGATTACCTGAGGTCAGGAGTTCGAGATCAGCCTGGTCAACATGGCAAAACCCCAGCTCTACCAAGAATACAAAAATTAGCTGGATGTGGTTGTGCATGCCTGTAATCCCAGCTACTACAGGAGGCTGAGGCAGGAGAATTGCTTGAACCCAGGAGGCAGAGGTTGCAGTGAGCTGAGATAGCGCCACCGCACTCCAGCCTGGGCAACAGAGTGAGACCCTGTCTCAAAAAAAAAAAAAAAAAAAGATTAAAGACTTCAATCTAAGATCACAGACTATGAAACTATCAAGAGAACATCGGGGAAACTCTCCAGGACATTGAACTGGGCAAAGATTTCTTGAGTAATATACTACAAGCACAGGCAACCAAAGCAAAAATGGATAAATGGAATCACATCAAGTTAAAAGGCTTCTGCACAGCAAAGGAAATCATCAACAAAGTGAAGAGACAACCCACAGAATGGAAGAAAATATTTGCAAACTACCCATCTGACACGGGATTAATAACCAGAATGTATAAAGAGCTCAAACAACTCTATAGGAGAAAACCTAATAATCTGTTTTTAAAATGGGCCAAAGATCTGGATAGACATTCCTCAAAAGAAGACATATGAATGGCAAACAGGTACATGAAAAGGTGCTCACCATCTGTGATCAGAGAAATGCAAATCAAAACTACAATGAGGTATCATCTCATCACAGTTAAAATGGCTTTTATCCAAAAGTCAGGCAATAACAAATCCTGGATATGAAGAAAAGGGAACCCTTGTACACTGTTGGTAGGAATGTAAATTAGTATGACTGGTGAACAGTTTGGAGGGTTCCTCAAAAAACTAAAAATACGCTGGGCGCGGTGGCTCATGCCTGTAATCCCAGCACTTTGGGAGGCTGAGGCAGGCAGATCATGAGGTCAGGAGATCGAGACCATCCTGGCTAACACGGTGAAACCCCGTCTCTACTAAAAATACAAAAAAATTAGCCAGGCATGGTGGCAGGCGCCTGTAGTCCCAGCTACTCAGGAGGCTGAGACAGAAGAATGGCGTGAACCCAGGAGGCGGAGCTTGCAGTGAGCAGAGATCGCGCCACCGCACTCCAGCTTGGGTGACAGAGTGAGACTCCATCTCAAAAAAAAAAAACAACAAAAAACTAAAAATACAACTATTATATGATCCCCAGTCCCACTCCTAGATACATAACCAAAAGAAAGGAAATCAGAATATTGAAGAGATATCTGCACTCCCATGTTTATCGCAGGAGTATTCACAATAGCCAAGGTTTGGAAGGAGCCTAAGTATCCATCAACAGACAAATGAATAAAGAAAATGTGGTACATATACACAATGGAGTACTATGCACCCATAAAAAAGAATGAGATCCTGTCATTTGCAACAACATGGATGGAACTGGAGGTCATTATATTAAGTCAAATAACATAGTGACCTCCAGACACAGAAAGGCAAACTTTGCAGGTTCTCGCTGATTAGTGGAAGCTAAAAATTAAAATAACTGAACTCATGGAGATAGTAGGATGGTTACCAGGGCCTGGAAAGGGTAGTTGGGAGAAAGTGGAGAGGGCTATGGGTACAAAAAATATAGTCAGAAAGAATAAATAAGACCTAGTATTTGCTGGCATGACAGGGCGACTGTTGTCAAAAATAATTTAATTGTACATTTTAAAATAACTCAAAGAGTGTAAGTGGATGACTTGTAACACAAAGGATAAATGCTTGAGGTAATGGAGACCCCGTTTGCCCTGATGTGATTATTATAGCGTATGCCTGTATCAAAGTATCTCTGGAACCCATAAATATGCACCTACTATGTACCCACAAAAATTAAAAATAAAAAAGAAACAGTAGCTAAAACAATTATATTGTGCCCAACTCCATTCAAGCTCTTTCTGTAAACAAATTCGTTAAATACAGCTAATTTATGAGTCAGTCATAATGGAAGGAAACTTTGTTGTTCTGGTCGCAACAAAAGTGTCCTTGTTTTTAAAAAGCCAATAACAAGAAAACTGTACTTGCTGGTAGAGGAAACGGGGAGAACAGAATTGATTTCTAGATTCTTTTGAATAGTGAAAGAAAATCTAGCTCATTTTCTAGCTAGGGATAATATGCAGGCAGAGAAGAAATACTTCCTCCCCCTCTCCAAATACTAATACACAGGACTTGAATTGAAACAGACTTGAGTTATTCTCAAGAAAAGACACTAGCTTCCAACTTCCTGAAATTGTAGTATGTGCCCTTTTCCTGGGGGCTTTTTATTTGCTTTCCCAAAATGTAGTGGTTCTGAGTATGCACGTGCACGCACGTGTGCACACACACACACTTGTGTGCAATGCAAATGTTTGTCTTGCACTGGCCAGGAATTAATTCAAACTCACTTGAGAAACTTGGGAGAATTTGGTTTTAGTACCTGGCAACTCCACGGATTATAAAAGACGACGGTGGGAATACCGGATGACCAAGAGTTTGGGCTTTCATGTGAAACAGCTGGACTCCACGCTGGGCTGTGCTACCTCTAACACTGGACTGTGCTACTTTCTGTGTCTCAACTTCATCTTCCATCCCTTTATGTTTTTGCCAAGAAATGTGAGGCTGAAGAGAAGCAGCGTACACAGAGTGTCTCAAAGGACGCCGTCTTCCGGTAAGGGCCTGGTGAAGACGAGCTCTACTGACAAGTACTGATATTCTACCTGTGGAATCTGAACCATTCAACATCAACAATATTTTCCAACCTTGATGATAAAATTGATAATAACACAGAATTTCAAAGCACTGTTCAGGGCTTTGTGTTGCTTTCTTTTAAACATAAAACCTTATCACAATTAGCTCCAGATGCAAATTCAATTCTTACACAAAACGCTCTGGCCAAATCCTCTTTCTGGCATTTGCACGCTTCCTTGGGGGGCAGGGCTGTCACCTTCTTCTCTTTCTCGATGGCTTTCAGCTCACTCTGTTCATCAATCTGTGAAAAGAGCAGGGTTGCTGTTTAGCGGATTGAACTTTTGTACTGATTAATTTTTAAATTTATTTTTTATTTTTATTAGTTTATTTTTTTGAGATGGAGTCTCACTCTGTCACCCAGGCTGGAGTGCAGTGTCATGATCTCAGCTCACCACAACCTCCACTTACCGGGTTCAAGAGATTCTTCTGTCTCAGCCTCCCGAGTAGCTGGGATTACAGGTACGCATCACCACACCCCACTAAATTTTTTTGGTATTTTTAGTAGAGACGAGGTTTCACCATGTTGGCCAGGTTGGTCTCAAACTCCTGACCTCAGGTGATCCGCTTGCCTCGGCCTCCCAAAGTGCTGGGATTAAAGGTGGAGCCACTGCGCCCGGCCACATGTGTTTTTTTTAAAGCATAAAACACACACACACAGTGTGCATATGTGTACAGCTCACAAACTAACCCTTATAACCAGCCCCCAAATTAAGAAACAGATATGACTGGTCCCCTGATGCTCCCTTGGCCAACCTACCTACCTGAGGGGTAACTGCTGTCATGGTTTCAATCCTCATAGATTAGGTTGGCCAGGGTTTGAACTTTATGGAAATGGTGCCATGCAGTATACACTCATACATGCTTTCTTGTCTGATTTCTTTCACTCAACATTGTTAGTGAGATTTATACAAGTGAGAATGCATGTAGCAACAGTACGCTAATTTTCACAGCAGCTTAGTATTCCACTGTATGAGTAGATCACATTGTATTTGTTCTCCTGTTGATGAATATCTGGGTTCCAGTTGTTAGTTGTTGGCTAATACTGATGCATCTATTTTTAAGCAAGTTTTTTTTTTTTTTTTTTGTCACCCAGGCTGGAGTGCAGTGGTGCAATCATAGCTCACTGCAGCCTCAACCTCCCAGGCTCAGGTGATCCTCCTGCTTCAGCCTCCTGAATAGCAGGACCACAGGTGCATGCTATTGTGCCTGGCTAATTTTTTAATATTTTGTAGGGACAGGGTCTCCCTATGTTGCCCAGGCTGAGCGAACTTATTTTACAGAATTGAAACTTGTAAGTGGACAGAGTAGGGCAACAATATACATATGTAGAATCCTGAACCTCGAACTTCCAGGATTCTCCATCAAGTATGCACCATATTGCAGAGAGTGCCTCCTACTGATGATAGGTGGTATCACAGCCTGGTTCTATGGGACATTTTAAATAACCAAAGAAAAGGGGAGGGGAAACACAACCAAGTTCTGGAAGTCCCAGCACTCTGTGTTGAGACCTGCGGGCCTGGAAAGAAGCCACGTGAAACACCTGGAGGCTTCGGGAGGCTTTGCTAATACAAAGGAGACCTCAGAAGCGGAAAAGTGTGAGGTATTTTTGCAAAACCATTCCTAGCATCCTGATACCCAGGATGTGATAATCATCTTTTCCTTTTCCACCAGGTTACTGGAAACTGGGAAAAAGGAAGCAGGAGAGGTATTGAGTAACTTCCTCCTTTAGCTGTAATAGAGATTGCAAATCCCACTCTTCCTTCTTGACAGCCGCCCTCCCCAACCCCAAACCATCTCCTCCCAAATGCCTATTTGCTTAGAAAAGCTGTGCTACCCACCTCGGTTTCATGCGGCTGCTTCTCACTCATGCCCAGTGCCCAGGAGCACAGCAGCGATTACGCAGATCTTTAAGCAGGCTTAGCCATCCATTGGGAGCCCTCCTTAAGTCAACATTGCATTCTTTGTAGAGTTACTTCAAAGAAAAATGTGGATTGCACAAGACTTTTCCCCCCATTCTCAAGATCTGCTCCCGTCGTACCAAATAAAGTGCTTGATTCTTGCGCACACCACAGGTGGAGGCAGGCTGGGCACTCCCCCCATCCCCCACACTCACTCAGCTGCCCTCAGCCTTGCCATTTGTGACTCACTACACCGAATTCACTTTTCCTTTTTTTTTTTTTTTTTTTTTTTGAGATAGAGCCTCACTCTGTCACCCAGGCTGGAGTGCAGTGGTGCGACCTCGGCTCACTACAACCTCCTCCTCCCGGGTTCAAGCGAGTCTCCTGCCTCACCCTCCCCAGTAGCTGGGACTACAGGCACGCACCGCCACGCCTCACTAATTTGTTTTTGTATTTTTAGTAGAGACGGGTTTTCACCAGGTTGGCCAGGCTGGTCTCAAATTTCTGACCTCAGGTGATCTGCCTGCCTCAGCCTCCAAAAGTGCTGAGATTACAGGCGTGAGCCACTGCACCTGGCTCGAAACACATAAATCCCATCTCACACACACACACACACACGCCCGATGCTTGAAAACACTTGCAGAGATTCCAGTGCTCTCAGGATAAGAGCCCAATTACCTTCAATGTGACTGCCCAAAACCCACACATGCTACAACATGGATGAACCTTGAAGATGTTATGCCTGGTGAAATAAGCCAGACCCGAAAGGACAAATCCTATAGGACTCCAGTTACAGGAGGTCCCTAAAATAGTCAAACTCACAGAGACAGAAAGGAGAGCAGAGGTAACCGGGCTGGGGAGTTAGTGTTTAATGACTACAGAGTCTCTTTGGGAAAGATGAGAGTTTTGGAGGCAAATATTGGTGATGGTTGCATAACAATGGGAATATACTTAATGCCAGAGAGCCATACCCTTAAAAATGGTTAAAATGGTGAATTTTATGTTATGTATATTTTACCACAATAAAAATCCAGAAGAAAAGGGCCAGACACAGTGGCTCATACCTATAATCCCAGCACTTTGGGAAGCTGAGGCAGGCAGATCATCTAAAGTCAGGAGTTCGAGACCAGCCTGGCCAACATGGTATTTTGTAAAAATACAAAAATTAGCCAGGCATGGTGGCAGGCATCTGTAATCTCAGCGACTCTGGAGGCTGAGTCAGGGAGAATTGCTTGAACCTGGAAGGCGGAGGTTGCAATGAGCCAGAGTCAGGGAGAATTGCTTGAACCTGGAAGGCGGAGGTTGCAATGAGCCAAGATCATGCCACTGCACTCCAGCCTGGGCAACAGAGTGAGACTCTGTCTCAAAAAAAAAAAAAAGATCAAAGGCACCAATTCCCCTGCCTTTGAGGGCAGGACTAGCATGTGCCCCCAACCTTTGTCACGTGCTCTGGACATCTGAAGGCCCAGGGCTGTCCACCCACATGTCCCTGGGGAATGAGCTAGGTGGATTGAGGAAGTCATGGGGTGACAGGGTGCCATGCTGCAGTGACACTGGAGGGGAGAGGGGGTTGGATGCAGAGACCTCCCTCACTCCCCTGTGTTTTGTGACTGCAGGGGCAGAGTCCAGAGCCCAAAGGAGAGAGGACCCAGCCTCCGACTTCCCTCTGTGAGTAAAAGCCACCTACACACTCCCAGCTCTGTAACCAAGGGTACTGGAAACAGGGACTCTGCTCACAGCAGCACAGTTCACGAGACCCAAAAGTCAGACACTGCCCGATGCCCATCCACGGATTATGGAGAAGCAAAATGTGGTCCATCCAGACAGTGGAGCATCAACTCAGCCTCAAACAGGAATGCAATACTGACGCACGTGAATGTTGTTAAACTGTGGCCTCTGCAAAACCATTCTTTGAAAGCCTAACACCTGGTACACCAGAATGTGACTTTATCTGGAGGGCATCTTTACAGAAATGATCAAGGTCAGATGAGGTCAAATATGAGCGATGTTCTTGCAAAAAGGAGAATTTTGCAGAGATAAACATGCACACAGGGAAGTCCATGTGGAGACACAGGAGAAAACCCTGTGATGATGGAGGCAGAGGCTGGAGTGACGTGTCCATCGGTCAATGAATGCTGGGGATTGCTGGCCATGATGGAAGCTTGAAGAGAAGCGTGGAACAGATCCTCCCCTGGAGCCTCCAGAGAGAGCACAGCCCTCCTGACTCCTTGAGTTTTGACTTCTGGCTTCTAGAACTGTGAGACAATACATTTAAATTTAAGCCACCACATTTTTGGTACTCGGTGACCATAGCCCTGGGAAACACACTTGCTACAACACAGATGAACCTGGAAGACATCACACTAAGCGGAAGAAGCCAGACACAAAAGGCCACACGGTATGTGAGTCCACTCATAGGAAAGGCCCGGGACAGGCAAATTCGTAGGAGCAGAAAGCAGACTGGGACTGGGGAAGGGGGAATGGGGAGAAACTGCTAATGGGTACAGGGTTTCTTTCAAATGTTTCAGAACTGAATAGAAGTGGTGGTCACACGACATTGTGAGTGTACTAGATCCCATTACAATGTTTACTGTGAGATGGTTGATTTTGTTATGTGAATTTCACCTCAATAAAATAAGAATTTTGTTTTTCGTTTTTGAGGCAGAGTCTTGCTCTGTTGCTCAGGCTGGAGTGCAGTGGTGTGATCTTGGTGCACTGCAACCTCCGCCTCCCAGGCTCAAGCAATTTGATTCTCCCACCTCAGCCTCCTGAGAAGCTAGGACTACAGGTGTGTGTCATCACACCAGGCCTTTTTATTTTTTATTTTTTTATTTTTTTTGGTATTTTTAATTGAGACAAGGTTTTGCCATGTTGCCCAGGCTGGTCTTGAACCCCTGGACTCAAGTGATCCACCTGCCTCGGCCCCCTACAGTGCTAAGATTACAGGTGTGAGCCACCATGCCTAGCCTTTTTGTTTTTTTAAAGCCATTTACAAGCTACAGGCAGGAACTCCGTCCACCACTTAGAAACCGTCCTCCTGACTCTCTCCTGGGTCCCACCTGTGTCGGTCACAGCCCCCTCCACCCCCACTCCCCCCACACCCATAGCCTCCCATCCACTGGCCTCCCATCCTCTATCCTCCTCCCCTCTTTGCTGGCTCCTCCCATAAACATCTCAGCATGGGTTTCCACTTTAAACATAACCTCTTTTCTGGGCCTTGCATTGGAAATACACCTGCTCCTTCCTCATTTGCCAACATCGAGCTTTTAGAAGGAGTGTCTATACTTGCTGTCTCTATCTTTTCATTTCCTATCCACTTCTCAACCGACTTCAGCCAGATCTCCAGGTCATTTCGGTGTTTCAAGGCCACCGGGACATAGCCCTGGACCCAATACATTGTAAGTGAGGGCTTGCTCTGCCTCAGTCCAGTCTCGTGACAGTCAGGAAACAGAGTCCCTGGGTTGGTGACTGAGCTCGTGGACGCTGCCACTCCTCGCCCTGCATTTGGGAGACTCCTACCTGGGATGCTTACCTGGGCACCCCCCTCATCTCCTTAAGAATGCATAGGGGCCCGGGGGCCTAATCTGCCCCGGGTTGATTCCAATCACACAGCTCCATAATCTAAATGGCACTTAATGTATCCTTTGTTGAAAACAGGATTGTCCACTCTGTTTCCAGAAACTACAGACTCTGGTACGGCCCCCATCCCTCTACCCAACCCCAAACACACACTCACTTCTTCTCTCCAAGTGGGCCCGTGCCCGCTGCTGATCAGGACATTGCCATGACCCAGAATGGCCCACCTTGAAGCTGAGGCACTCAAAAACTGGAAACAAACTCAGGGTAAATCGTGAGGAAGGTTGATCAGCCATGATGCACCTACGCTGTCAGGCAGCCAAACACATCTCCTGAGTTGCACCAAGCCTCCATTCTAGGCCCACCCACCAGTTGACAGGAAATACTGGAGATAATAGACACGTTGAATGACACCATGGGGACATGATCACTAGACTGTGGGAACTGTAGGACACACAGCCCGGCCTCCCCAGCATGTAAACTACAACAAAAACACAAGAATGGGCCGGGCGCAGTGGCTCACGCCCGTAATCCCAGCACTTTGAGAGGCCAAGGCAGGCAGATCACCTGAAGTCAGCAGTTCGAGACCAGCCTTGTCAACATGGTGAAAGCCCATCTCTACTAAAAATATAAGAATTAGCCGGGCGTGGTGGCGGGCACCTGTAATCCCAGCTACTCAGGAGGCTAAGGTAGGAGAATCACTTGAACTCAGGAGGCAGAGGTTGCAGTGAGCTGAGATCACGCCACTGCACTCCAGCCTGGGCAACAAGAGCAGAATTCCATCTCAAAACGAAAAACACAAGGATGAAACGTGCAGACGCAGAGAACCATCAGAGACCCCAGCCAAGTGCAGGCTGGGACCTCACTTGAGTCCTGATTTGAATAAACCAGCGTGAAGCAGTGTTTAGGAGCCCAAGGGAACCTCAATATTGGCCAATATTTGATTTTCTCTAATTGTTAATATTTTATGATATGATAATGGTAATTGTGATATTTTAAAGAGTTCTTCTCTTTAGCCATAGATATGCAGAAATATTTATAGATGAAATGCTAGGAAGCCTGAGATTTGTGTCAAAACAATCTGGGGTAGACAGGAGTCAAGATTGGCTCCCCTCATTGGCACTGGGTAACAGAGTCATGTGGGCTCATTCCATTATTCTGTCTATTTCTGCATATGATTGGAATTCTCCAATACAAAATACAAAATTAAATAGTATAAAATTAAAGAGAAAAGAGGTGTTATATGATTTGACCTAAGGAGACGTCACTGATATGTCATCAAATTAAAAAAAAAACCTTTTGCAGAACAATCGTCGTAATATAATCCTAGTTTTGTTTTAAAAAAAAAAAGAGGAAGGAAGGAAAGATGAAGGGAGGGGAGGGAACGGGAGTCACATAAAAGAACTTGGAAACAGTTTCAATTCAACTTTGTGTGTGAGTTTCCCATGGCTGCTTGGTCTCCACGGCTGTAACAAACAACCAACACAAACTCGGTGGCTTAAAACAACCGAAATTTGTTCTCTCAGTTCTGGAAGCTAAAACTCTGAAACCAAGATGCTGGCAGGGCCACGTTCCCATTGAACCCTGCAGGCAAGATCTTTTCTTCCTCTCCCAGTTTCTGGCGGTGGCTGACAATCTTCCGCGTTCTTGGCATGTGTACGTATCACAGCAGTCTCTGCCTCTGCCAGCACATGGCTATATTCCCAAGCGTCTCTGTCTGCTTTTCTTATAAAGACCCCAGTCATTGGGTTAGGGCCCACACAACTCCAGTGTGACCTCATTTTAATTTGACTGCATGGATAAAGACCCTATTTGCAAATAAGGTTGCATTCACAGGTACCAGGGGTTAGGGCTTCAACATGTTTTTGGGAGGACACGCCTTGACCATAACAGCATGTATGTGCGTCCACAGAAGATGCGAGAGATGGCAGTAGCTGCCCCGGGGCTGTGGGGCTGAAGGGTCCGAGGCTGTAGCTTCTTGTTACTTTGTAGACATCAGTCCACTGTGAATCGCAAGTGTTCCTTTTGTAATGAGAGTGGCGCATCCTGGTAAAGGTCAGAGAGTGTCCCTAATTCTCCCTCTCCATCACAGGTGATTTAGGCAGAACCAAACCTTCCCTTCTTCTTCTTCTTTTTTTTTTTTTTTTTTTTTGAGTCTGAGTCTCACTCTGTCACCCAGGCTGGAGTGCAGCAGTGTGATCTCGGCTCACTGCAACCTCTGCCCCCAGGGCTCAAGCCATTCTCCTGCCTCACCCACTCGAGTAGCTGGGATTACAGGTGCCCACCACCACGCCGGGCTAATTTTTGTATTTTTAGTAGAGACGGGGTTTGAACATGTTGGCCGGGCTGGTCTCAAACTCCTGACCTCAGGTGATCCGCCCACCTCGGCCTCCCAAAGTACTGGGATTACAGGCGTGAGCCACCGCGCCCGGCCCCCTTTTCTTTTGTGTTTCCCTTTTTAAAGCTTTTTATAAGATGAAATCCACATAACAAAAAATTAACTGTTTTAGAGCATGCAGTTCAGTGCATCTAGTACCTTTGCAATGTTGTGCAGGCACCACGTGGAGCTCATCCCCAAACACTTTCACCGCCCGCCAGAGGAAAATCCTGTGCCCAGGAAGCAGGCACTCCCCACGCCCTTTCCAGCCTCCGGAACGACTCATCTGCTTCCTGTCTCTATGGACGTCACGGTCCCGCCTACTTCACATCCATCTTCTGTGTCTGTGCCTCCTTTGGAACCCCCAAGATGTTATTTGCCTGCTGCAGATAGACCCACGCGGGCGACGGTGAGCGCAGCCTCCCTAGCCCCAAGGAAACGGCCTAGAAGAGAAAGGTTTCCAAGAGAAGCTGCACCCAACAAGCGCAGCTCAGGACTGACGTTTAACCTACCAGAGGCTCCCGAGGGGACCACGAAGTGCACGTATGGCCCTTGCTGAAAGGTGAGTTGGAGCTGTGAGCTCACTCCAGAGCAAGGGAGCCAGCGGCACCTCCGGGCGAACAGCCTCCCTCAGTCCAGCCCCGCTGTGGCGCCCTCCCGTCCAGCCCCGGGATTCGGTTCATTGCGAACTTGGACTGCGTTAGACCCTAATGATCTTCCCTGTTAGAGGGCTTATGCAGACATGCATTGCTTCAACATATTTGACCAAAGCCTAGCCCGTGCCTCAGTTTCCTCCCCTGGAATGTGGGGGGCTAAGGGTATAACAGCCGGGGTCCACAGGGCTGCCGTGGGATAAAGGAAAGTGAGACTGGACATGGTGGCTCAGGCCTGTAATCCCAGCACTTTGGGAGACTGAGGTGGGTGGATCATTAGAGGTCAGGAGTTCGAAAGCAGCCTGGCCAACATGGTGAAACCCTGTCTCTACTAAAAATACAAAAAAGTTAGCCAAACGTGATAGCACATGCCTGTAGTCCCAGCTACTCGGGAGGCTGAGGCAGGAGAACTGCTTGGACCCAGGAGGCAGAGGTTGAAGTGAGCGGAGATAGCGCCACCGTACTCCAGCCTGGGTGACAGAGCTAAACTCCATCTCAAAAAAAAAAAAAAAAAAGGAAACAGTGAGAGTGAAGTTCCCAGCACAGAGCCCAGCACCAGGGAGCACTGAGGGCCTTAGGGTGACAGCGGTGACCAGAGGTGGGGACAGCAGGAGTCCTCGTCCTTAGAGGACACCAAGGGGCCCGAAGAGGGCTGCCGCGTTTAAGAAACGAAAATACAGATGCCAGTTACCTTTGCACTCCAGATAAACACCAGATGATTTTCCAGTATACACGAGTACCGCATGGGACAAGCGTGCACTTATTGTTTGAAATTCAACCATGACTGTGTGTCATGTGTAAATCTGACGACACCAGAGGCATGAACAAGCCGAGAGATGCTCAAAACTCGCGTGGTGGTCACGCCCTCCTGGGGTGCAGCTAACAACGAAGGAGATGGGCGGGCCCCAGTGCAGATCGCGGGGAATCTAGAAAGGCACCCAGGAATTGTGAGAAAGCAGTTGAGAGAGGTACTGGAATGAGGGGCCTTCTGGGCTGAGGGAAGAACAGGCATGAAGGTGCTGAGAAGAACAAGAAAACGGCTCATGTGGGAATCCCAAATGCCTTAGGTTGTGGAAAGCACTTGGCCCCTGGGGGTTTCAGAGAAAGAGAAGAGGCAGAGAAAGAACCCTGGGCCTAGTGAATCCTCCAGCCCCAATCCTTCAAGAATTTCACAATATAGGCCGGGCGCGGTGGCTCATGCCTGTAATCCCAGCACTTTGGGTGGATCACGAGGTCAAGAGATTGAGACCATCCTGGGTAACATGGTGAAACCCCATCTCTACTAAAAATACAAAAATTAGCCGAGCATGGTGGCGCCCACCTGTAGCCCCAGCTACTCAGGAGGCTGAGGCAGGAGAATCGCTTGAACCCAGGAGGCGGAGGTAGCAGTGAGCCAAGATTGCACCACTGCACTCTAGCCTGGCAACAGAGCGAGACTCCATCTCAAAAAACAAAAACAGAAATAAAACAAAACAAAAAAAGAATTTCACAATATAGGGCACGTAATTATTGGGATCGATGCCTTTGGAGAGAATCAATGCAAGAGTCAGAATGACACAAGAACAAAACAATCGAGTGGGCTTCCTGACAAGGGTGACATTGGAGACACACACCCAAATAAGCCACACTCAGGCAGATGCTTCCTTCTTTCCAAGGCTTCTCTATCCTTCTCTCCCAAGGCACAGATCTGGGTATTCTCTAGTTTTATCTTATTCCAGGATTCTCAGAGTATGGGCCTCAGGCCAGCATCACCTGGAAATTGTTAGAAATGCAGAAACTCAGGCCCTACCCTGGGCCTACTACCTCAGAAGCCCTAGGGGTGGGCAGACAGTCTGTGTTCCAGCAAGTTCTGTAGAGGACTCTGACTGATGTGTTCAAAGGTTGATACTAGTTTTTCTTTCTTTTTTTTTTGAGACAGAGTCTCGCTCTTTCACCCAGGCTGCAGTGCAGTGGCGTGATCTCGGCTCACTGCAACCTCTGCCTCCCGGGTTCAAGCCATTCTCTTGCCTCAGTCTCCCGAGTAGCTAGAGTTACAGGTACCTGCCACCATGCCCAGCTAATTTTTGTATTTTTAGTAGAGACAGGATTTCACCATTTGGCCAGGCTGGTCTCCTGACCTCAGGTGATCTACCCACCTCGGCCTCCCAAAGTGCTGGGATGACAGGCGTGAGCCACTGCACCTGCCTGGCCAAAAGTTGCTGCTGGTTCTTACAAAAACACACCTGCTGTGGGCTCACCCGAGACCAGCAGATGAGTGAGGCCATCAGGGCTCCACAAGCCCCCAGGTGCTTCTATTAAAAAAAAAAAAATAGGCATGGGATCTCACTATGTCACCCAGGCTGGCTGGCCTTGGACTCCTGGGCTCAAGCAATCCTACCACCTCAGCTTCCCAAAGTGCTGGGATTACAGGCATCAGCCACCACACCCAGTCCCCCAGGCGATTCTAATATTCTAAAATGTACCCAGAGCTGTCTGAGAAGGGCTGTCTTGGGAGACGCACTCAAGGGCCAACCCAGCAAAGTCTTATTCTTGAGGGGCCGCAACCTTGGAGAAGTGAATAGGCTGTGAGCTTCACTGGTGCATTTCCATGAATAACTGCCACTCATTCTCTTTTGTTGCTCTATAGTATTCTAAGTACGCTGCTTCATGGCTATGCCACAGTTTATTTAAGTACGTGCACATGGCTGGCATTTTGTGTCCAGTTTGATCTTTCTTGTTTTTTTTGAGACAGAGTCTCACTCTGTCGCCCAGGCTGGAGTGCAATGGCGCAATCTCGGCTCACTGCAACCTCCGCCTCCCTGGTTCAAGTGATTCTCCTGCCTCAGCCTCCTGAGTGGCTGGGATTACAGGCACCTGCCATCATGCCTGGCTAATTTTTGTAGAGACGGGTTTCACCATGTTGGTCAGGCTGGTCTTGAATTCCTGAGTTTAGGTGATCCACTCGCCTGGGCCTCCCAACGCGCTGGGATTACAGGCACGAGCCACCGCACCTGGCCCAGTTTGGGCTTTTATATAGGACACTGCTGTGACCATTCACATGCAAGCCCTCCAGGAGATACGAGTGCCCAAATGTGCTCAGAAGTGGAACTCAGTCTGGGGTTATCGCAGTCTCAGGTTCTCAGAGCGCGGCATGCTTGTTCAGTGATAGTCGTCACTGCCAAACAGTTTTTCCCTCAGATCTGCACCCCCAACCCCACTGCCCACAGGTGAGTGGCGACAATCAAGCTTAAGACAGTGTGGGAAAATGGGGAAGAACATTGCAAAAGAACTCAGAAGGGCCTGCCTGAATATTTTTTAATGTTAGGGACCAAAACAAACAAACAAACAAACAAAAACCCTAAATGCAGCCAACAGGGTAGAGGAGGCATCACCAGGCCCAGACTCGGCCTGGTCTAGCTACCCCCACCTACGCTGTGTGACCCTCAGCAAGCCGCTTGACTTTTCTGAGTCACAGTTTCCTCCTCTTTAAAATGGGAATGATGATACCTCGCACCTAGCATTGATGTGAGGAAGGGCTTCTGAAATTTCAGCCTCAGGTCAAGAGGGGCTTCAGAGATGTTTTCCAGCCCCTGAAGTCCTTTCTAGGTAGTACCTGTGTGCGTCTGTGTGTGCATACGCAGTGGGAGTGTGACACCAGCGAGCAAGGAGCTAGCAACAGGACAAAGTGAGATACTTGGAGCATGAACCTTGCTCAAGGGTGGCCAGTGCATTCGGGCCAAGAGGAGACGGCTAGGCAGAGTGGTGGCCAGTGCAATTGTTGGCAAGGTGAGGAGATGGGTTACATACAGGGAAATTGTGCAGTAAGGAAATATGCTAATGGTAATGGTAGCCAGTGTTCTTACTGTTGGTGAAAAGAGTTAAAAATATACAAAGAACTGGCACAAACCCTGTGGTATTTATTGGACTGGAATATATGGAGATACAGAGAGAGACAGATATAAAACTAAATATAGATCTCGCAGCATATGCACACTTACACCCCCTCCACTGAGAGGGCCCAGGAGCCATGGCACCCAGTAACAATGAACACATACTACCAGATCTTGCTTTCTAAATATAATTCTTCCGGTAAAAACAGCCAAGGATACTGGGAGAAATGGCTTTTTCCAGGGCCAAGGTACAGAAAGTACAAAATGAAGCTGAAGTTTCTCATTATGCCAGAAAGGGAAGTGCTCAAAGGATAACGTAAAAAATGTCAAGAGGGCATGGCAGTCACCTTGAAAGGGTTCCCGTTGGCCAAATTAAGACAATGAAGCATCAAAATAAATATTGATAGTAACAAATCATAGCATATTTAATCAACTAGGACTCTGATATGGCCTGGCTCTGTGTCCCCACCCAAATCTCATTTGGAATTGTAATCTGAAGTGTAATCCCCGCATGTTGGGGAAGGGACCTCATGGGAGGTGATTAGATGGCGGGAGTGGTTCCCCCATGCTCATGATAGTGAGTGAGTTCTCACAAGATCTGATGGTTTCATATGGGGCTTCCCCCTTTGCTCAGCATTCATTCTCTCTCCTGCCGCTCTGTGAAGAGGTGCCTTCCGCCATGACTGTAAGTTTCCTGAGGCCTCCCCAGACATGCGGAACTGTGAGTCAATGAAACCTCTTTTCTTTGTAAATTACTCAGTCTCAGATATTTCTTCATAGCAGCATGAGAGTGGACTAATACAGAGTCCTTGCATTCCTACTGATATCAATGAATAAACGACCAAGTTAACAGGGAGAAGAGAAAGCTCTTCCTTACAGGAGACGTTAAATGAGAGAGAATGATGATGATGGTGATATGGTTTGGATCTGTGTTCACCCCCAAATCTCATGTCCAATTCTATTCTCTAATGTTGGAGGTGGGCCTGGTGGGAGGTGACTGCATCATGGGGAAGGATATCTCATGAATAGTTGAGCACTATCCCCTTAGTACTGTCCTCGCGAATGTGAGTTCTCGTGAGATCTCGTCATTTAAAAGCATGGGACACCGTCCCCTGCTCTCTCTCTTGCTCCTGTTCCCACCATGTAAGACACTTCACTCCTCCTTTGCCTTCCACCATGATTGGAAACCTCCTGAGGTCTTCCCAGAAGAAGCCACTGTGCTTCCTGTACAGCCTGCAGAACCGTGAGCCCATCAAACCTCTTTTCCCTATAAATCACACAGTCTCAGGTATTTCTTCTTTTTATGTGTGTGTTTTTTGAGACAGAGTCTCACTCTGTCACCTAGGCTGGAGTGCAGTGCTACAATCTTAGCTCACTGCAACCTCCGCCTCCTGGGTTCAAACTATACTCCTGCCTCAGCCTCCTAGGTAGCTGGGATTACAGGCATGCATCACCAAGCCCGGCTAATTTTGTATTTTTATTAGAGACCAGGTTTCACCATGTTGGCCAGGCTGCTCTTGAACTTCTGACCTGAAGTGATCCACCCACCTTGGCCTTCCAAAGTGCTGGGATTACAGGCATGAGCCACCATGCCCGGCTTCAGGTATTTCTTTATAGCAGTGTGAGAAGGGACTAATGTAGATGGAATTAGAAAATCACCATTCAGCAAACGTTGTGATAGTAATCCATTCAGCCAAGCATCGTCCATGCATGCCGAACTTAATGAGCGAAAATAAAACGAGAATCAGATACTGACACAGTCTCAACATGTCTCTCGGTAAAATACTTAATCATTACAAGGGAGAAAGTAATAGCTTTAATTAAGGGAAACCTGGCAGACGCTGTCTTAACCAAGGGGCAAAAGTTACTCCCACCAGTAACGAGACAAACAGCTGGGTGGGCCTCCCAATACCATGTACTAAGGAGGACACAGTATCGTGCCACAGGGCTTTCTCCAGAAGCGCGTAACCTGAGCCAAATCCCGAGGAAACATTAGACAAACTCAAATCAAGAGACATCCTATGACGTCCCCGAGCCTGGAATCTGAGCCCGGAATCTCTAAAAAGGTCGAGAATACAGAAGACAAGGAAAATCCACAGGAGTATTCCACACAGAAGGAGAAACAGAGGGACGTGGCAACTAAGAGCCACATCCTTTCCCTGTTACCAGGACAACGCTGATGGGAACTTGTGGACTGGATGGTCATGTTGTGTAGATGTTCATTTCCTGATTTTTGGACTCTGTTGTGATTAATGAAGACTGTCACTTAAAGAAAATAGGCTGGGCACAGTGGCTGACACCTATAATCCCAGCACTTTGGGAGGCTGAGGTGGGAGGATTGCTTGAGCTCAGGAGTTTGAGACCAGCCTGGACAACAGCGTGAAACCCAGTCTCTACAACAATACAAAAATTAGCTGGGCGTGGTGGCACATGCCTGTAGTCCCAGCTACTGGGGAGGCTGAGGTTGGAGGATCGCTTGAGCCTGAGAGTTGGATGCTGCAGTGAGCCGAGATTGCGCTACTGCTCTCAGCCGGGTGAAAAGAGTAAGACGCTGTCTCAAAAAAAAAAAAAAAAAAAAACCAACAAAACCAACACCCCCACCCCCAACACACACATACACACACACACACAGATGTATTCAGAAATAATACAGCATCATGTCTGCAATTTATGTCTAAATGGGGGCGGTGAGGCTGAGGACAATGCAGCCAGTGTCGAAATGTACTGACGATGCTGAGAGACCCTGGAGGAAGGATGTGCTATAGTGTTTGTGCTATCATCTTCTTACAACTTTTCTGTCCATTTGAAATTATTTCCAGACAATAAATGAAGAAATGATTCCAGAATAACGGTATGGCTGGGAAGAAACAGGTTCATTCCTATATTCAGGTTCAACCCGCATTGGCTGAGCACATACTACGGACCAGACATGGCTGCTTATCATCACGCGCACCTTCACTCCTCTATCTCACCAAAAGTTCAAGTTGGCAGGCGCTGTGCCCATTTTGTTGGATGGGCAAACCAAGGCCCTGGATTTGAGAGCTTTGCCCAAGGTCACGGCAGGTGAGTGTGGAGTGAGGGTTTGATGCAGGCTTTCCTGCCAGCCCACCTGTCTGCCTCTAGACACACAGCTGGGCCTCCCTGGCACTGATTCACACTCAGTTTTGGGACAGTGAGGCTGGTTCCTAGTGGACCTGCTTGCGGCCTCAGTAGCAGAAAGCAGTAGGCCACTGAGCTGTGCCCAAGATGACAAGGACAGTGGCTCCCAGGAACCCACTAGCTTTGCTCCAGGGCAGGCCCAGCGCTGGATCCCAGCATGTCCCTGGGAGAGGAGGCACACTTCTGTCTCCAGCTGTAGACTCTTGCCTGTCTCTTCTGAGGCTGCTTTTGCCTGGATGGTCCAGGAAGAGGGGCAGCTCTTCCTCCTGGCTTGGCCATTTCTTTCTTTACTTTTTTTTTTTTTTTTTTTTTTAGATGGAGTCTTGCTCTGTCGCCCACGCTGGAATGCAGTGAAAAGATCTCAGCTCACTGCAACCTCCGCCTCCTGGGTTCAAGCGATTCTGGTGCCTGAGCCTCCCAAGTAGCTGGGATTACAGGCACCCGCCACCATGCCTGGCTAAATGTTTTGCATTTTTAGTAGAGACGGGGTTTTGCCACGTTGGCCAGGCTGGTCTCAAACTTTTGACCTCAAGTGATCCTCTCGCCTTAGCCTCCCAAAGTGCTAGGATTACAGGTGTGAGCCACCACATGTGGCCATGGCTTGGCCATGTCTATGGTCAGCCTTTGAGCCCTGGCTGCAATGGTGTTGAGCTGAACAGATCAGCCCCCATGCCAGGAGGAACCTGGCTGCCCATCCTGCCCCAGGACTGACCCTGAGAGATGGCAAAAGGCAGGGGATTGGGAGGCATGAGTCAAGTCAATGCAACTGTTCTTAAAAGGGGGTGGGGAGGTTTCTGTGAAGAATGTATTTGAAGCCCATCAGTGATAGACTGGATAAAGAAAATGTAGCACATGTACACCATGGAATACTACGCAGCCATAAAAAAGGATGAGTTCGTGTCCTTTGCAGGGACATGGATGAAGCTGGAAACCATCATTCTCAGCAAACTAACACAGGAACAGAAAACCAAACACCGTATGTTCTCACTCATAAGTGGGAGTTGAACAATGAGAACGCATGGACACAGGGACGGGAACATCACACACCGGGGCCTGTCAGGGGGTGTGGGGAGAGGGGAGGGATAGCATTAGGAGAAATAACTAATGTAGATGATGGGTTGATGGGTGCAGCAAACCACCATGGCACGTGGATACCTATGTAACAAACCTGTACGTTCTGCACATGTATCCCAGAACTTTAAGAAAAAAAGAAAGCATTTGAAGCAGAGGTATTCCTAACACTGACAAGGAGTCCAGGGGACTCGAGCTTAGAATTCAGGCCGCCCTGGGCCCAATTCCATGAAGAGCTGTGTGACCCTGGGCAAGTTACTTCATTTTCTAAGCCTCAGATTTCTACAGGGATTTTTGTAAGGATTCAAAACAATGTGGTATATCCATAGATGTTCATTATAACATTGTTCTAAAAATCAAAAAAGGAAACCAACTAACTGTCGGCAGGAAACGGGTTAAATACGAATGCCTACACCGCCATTGAAGATGTGTTGACCCACATACACTGCAGGAATATGGAAGCATGGAGTGGGCAGAATAGTGTGCCCAGCATGAATCTATGAGGGAAAAGACACTTATGTAGTTGTATAATTTTTTTTTAAATATTTTTTCTTTTTTTCAGGACAGAGTCTTGCTCTGTCGTCCAGGCTGGAGTGCAGTGGCATGATCTCGGCTCACTGCAACCTCTGCTTCCCAGGTTCAAGCAATTCTCCTGCCTCAGCCTCCTGAGTAGCTGGGATTACAGGCTCATGTCACCACAAGCAGCTAATTTTTGTATTTTTAGTAGAGATGAGGTTTCACTGTCAGGCCTCTGAGCCCAAGCCAAGCCATCACATCCCCTGTGACTTGCACGTATACATCCAGATGGCCTGAAGTAACTGAAGATCCACAAAAGAAGTAAAAATAGCCTTAACTGATGACACTCCACCATTGTGATTTGTTTCTGCCGCACTCTAACTGATCAATGTACTTTGTAATCTCCCCCACCCTTAAGAAGGTACTCTGAAAGATCCACCCCTGCACGCAAAACGTAACTTCACCGCCTATCCCCAAACCTATAATAACTAATGATAATCCACCACCCTTTGCCGACTCTCTTTTCGGACTCAGCCCGCCTGCACCCAGGTGAAATAAACAGCCATGTTGCTCACACAAAGCCTGTTTGGTGGTCTCTTCACACGGACGCGCATGAAATTCACTACGTTGGCCGGGCTGATCTCAAACTCCTGACCTCATGATCCGCCCGCCTCGGCCTCTCAAAGTGCTGGGATTACAGGCGTGAGCCACCACGCCCAGCCTGTAGTTGTATAATAATAATTACTTATAATTAAATAATTATTGCTAATAAAAATCACCATGATCAGGTGCTACCTTACATGCTTGATGTGTATTAAATGACTCCATTCCACAACAGACCCCCCGATGTATGTACACTTAGTTACTACCCCATTGTACAGAAGAACAAACAGAGGCAGGGAAAAGTTAAGTTTGCCCGAGGTCTCACAGCTGGCGAGTGGCAGAACTAGAATTTGCATCCAGGCAGCCTGGGCTGTAGACTTCCGTGCTCTTAACCACAATCCTGCAGCCTCTCTAGACTTGCGCAGAAAAGGGGCCAAGAACACCCAAGCAAACAGTGACCTGATTACCGCAAACTGATCAGAAACAAACAGGACCTTCCTCCCTCCGCCTCCCCCAACCCCAAGTCACGGGGGAAAATAGGATCCATAAAGTGGGGGAGTGAAGGAGGAACTTTAAATTGTGCCAATTTTTATTTATGGTTTATGAGAAAAACTTAAGACAAGTTTAGACAGGAAAAGAAGGAAGGAAAAAGGGAAAGAAGAAAAAAAACATACAATTCCCGGTTCACACAAGATAGTAGATAAACAGCAACTACTATTAGGAGAATTCAATAATAAGTGAAGGCAAAACTGTCACTCAAATTTCAATATGCTGATATCTGGGGGAGGGGGTAGAAGGAGGAGAAGGCCTGGTGAGATAGGTGTTGCTGAAGGAGACTGGCTATTTATAGACTTTCCCTGGGGAACAGGCACCTCCCAGATCACAGGGGAGGGAGGCCAGCTTATCTTTCCTGAAATCTACTGCAGGTCAGGCTGTAGGCTCCAGGGTGTACCAAATGTGGCTGATATAAAAAATGAAAATAATAAATGCAGGAGCACGTGTAGCCCAAATGCAAGGCTTAGTTCTCTGAGTTCCTGCCACCTCCTCCAGGAAGTCTTCCCAGATGGCACTGGACTTTAACAGTAGCATTCCCACCCATCCCCCACACCCAGGCCATACCTACCTTCTTTCTTACAGGCTCTGCTTTCCTTCCTGGGGTTTATCTCAGTGTGTAATTATATACTCACTGGAGGAATTATTTGATAGACATCTTCCTTCCCTACCAGAACATGAGCCCCACCCAGTAGGATCAGCGCTTTGCTCACTCTTTTGTCTCTAGTATCTGCAAGAGGGCCTGGCAAACAGGAGGATGGATCTGAGACACGCAGAGAAGCTAATCACCCAGAGCAGCAGTACTCAAACTCCAGGGAGCCTCAGAACCCCCCGGCGAGGCTTGCTGAGTCTCAGATTGCTGGGACCCCGCCCAGAGTTTCTGATTCTGTAGTTCCAGGGTGGAACCTGAGATTCTGCATTTCTGGCAAGCTCCCAGGTGATGCTCACACTGTTGGTCCCCAGCCCACACTTGGAGGACATGTCATCAAAAGAAAGGATCAGCCAGGCACAGTGGCTCACGCCTGTAATCCCAACACTTTGGGAGACCGCGGTGGACAGATCTCTTGAGCCCAGGAGTTCAAGACCAGCCTAGGCAACTTAGCAAAACCCCATCTGTTCAAAAATTAGCCAAGCATGGTTGTGTGCTTGTATTCCCAGCTATTCGGGAGGTGGGAGGATCACTTCAGCCCAGAAAGATTGAGACTGCAGTGAGCCATGATTGCGCCACTGCACTCCAGCCTGGATGGCAGAGTAAGACCCTATCAGGAAAGGAAAGGAAACGACAGGAGAGGGGAGGGTAGGAGAGGGGAGGGGAAAGGAGGGGAAGAGAGGGGAAAGGAGGGGAAGAGAGGGGAAGAGAGTGAAATGGATGCTGGGCGTAATTCCTGGGTGATGGGATGATCTGTGCAGTAGATCACCATGGCACATGTTTACCTATGTAACAAACCTGCACATCCTGCATGTGTACCCTGCACCCTGAAACTTAAAATAGAAGTTGAAAAAAAAAAGTAGGTGAGGGCCAGAGGAGTGGCTGGAGTAGAGGCTGAAAAAGAGAACCCCAAACAGCAAGAGCTTGCTGGTGTCTCCAGCCAGGGACCTCGCGACGGTGAGCCCACCAGGCCCGGCTCCACGTTCATGGCTTCGTGTGTCCACGGCAGCCTGCACTTTGCTCAATCTCTGCTGCCGCCTTCTTGAGATTCTTAGTCATTTTTCAAGGAGGGGGCCGTTTTGCAGTGAGCCTGACAATCACGTAGTCGGCCCTGCCCCCACCACTGAGCGCTTTCTATGGACACAGCGCCTAGCACATGACCCAAGGTCAAAGCAAGACAGGGCTTGATTCTGAAAAACAAGATCATCTTGTGAACAAGGCATTGTGCAGAGAGTTTTAAACACCTTCCCTCACTTACTCTTTTTTGATTACTAACATTCACTGAGGGAGGCGTAGTGAGGGGAACTTTGTGGAATGCTTAGATCTGTTACCCAACACAGCTTCCACAAAAAGCCAGGGAGAGGAGGAATCTAGCAGTCAGAAGGGGAATCCAATGCTGCCCTCCATTCTTGCACCCAACACCTCCACTTTCACACCAGGACACATGAATGTGGAGAGATTACACCTGCCTAAATCCATGTGGCCGGCGACGGAGGGGCCCTGTCTGCCCTACACCAATGGCTCCTGGTTAAGAGTGGCCACTCAGACCAACACTCCTTCCCCTACGCCCAGAGCCCCCAGATTCGGTCCAGCTGGAGAGGCAAAGACAGGGAGCGTCCTGAGAAGTGCATGGGGGTGAAATAAGCAGTTCTAGTTAGCCTGGGAGTTGGCGTCCTTGGTTTGGCTTAGGAAAGTGAGGTGCAGTGCCTGCCTGTCATCTCTTCCCTCTGGGTCTCTGGAATCGCAGATCTTGGGCCCCTCTCTTCCCTGTCTCTGTTTGCACTTGAGTTTCAAGGTGGGCCAAACAACACATCCTCTGCTGAGCTCTCTTCTCTCCAATAGGCCACAGGGAGGTCTTAGGGAAGGTCATAGGAATATGGCCCAGCTAGTGGGGCACCATGCCCGCTTCTCCTGAGGACTTGGGGCAGACGGCAGAGGTGATAAACATTTCCAGAGGGGCTGCAGCCTCAAGACACAATTACAAATTTTCTCCTGGTGGCCCACAGCTCCTCAAAGAAAAAAATACCTTTCAAGTCAATTTCTACACAGAACATGGTGTTGGACTGAGTTGTCCAACCCCCCCACCATTCCCAGGCTAAAGCCCTAAACCCCACACCCCATATCCTCAGAAAGTGACTATATTTAAAGCTGGGGCCTTTAAAGAGGTCATTACAGCTAAATGATGTCATTGGTGGGGCCTTAATCCAATACGACTGGTGTCCAAGTAAAAGGAGGAGATTAGGACACAGCCATGCACAGAGGACAACCGTATGAAGACACAGGGAAGGCAGCCATGTGCAAACCAAGCAGAGAGGCCTCCGGAGGAACCAACCCTGCTGGCACTTTGCTCTTGGAGTTCTGGCCTCCAGAACTGAGACAATAAATGAGCTGTGAGGAAGTGGAGTCTCCAGCAAGGGCAGCTGGCTGGACACCTTTGGGATTCATATTCATTGACAACAAAGATGCCTGTCCGGCCCACTCCACCTTCCAGGCAGGGAGAGGGAAGACAGGTGATTGGATTGAAAGCTCCCACCAGCTCCCGCTTACCATATGATTTCCACTACTTGCTAAGACTTAGCACATGACTTCCACTACTACTAGGACTTAGCACACAACTTCCACTACTAAGACTTAGCACACGGCTTCCACTACTAAGACTTAGCACACGGCTTCCACTACTCGCTGAGACTTAGCACACGGCTTCCACTACTCACTCAGTCTTAGCACACGACTTCCACTACTAAATTTCCCATGTTCTTATCACCATCATGTGAGATGCCTTAGAGACCAGAGGTACTGGGATTATTAGCCTCTGAAGCGTCCACAGATCCAGATTAACCCCATGACAATTCAGAAGAATCACTGACAGTCCACAGGGGAGGTATCGATTGGATGTTTCCTCTCCGACAAGAACCCTTCAGCAGGGCCAGCCTCACTGGCATGAGGCCAGTGCAATTGCACAGAGATCCCCGTGCAGGACAGGTGTTGGCCTTGAGGCTTCATGCTCCACAGCTGCCATCTTGGAATGCGTAATCATTGGATCTGAATGTGTATGTGGAAATTTAGCCCCATGGGATGATGTGTGCCCGGGGCTTGGCATCTCCCCTCCTCCACCCAGCGGCCATGACTGTCCTCCCCGATGGGGGATACCTGGCAGGGTCTACACAAGGGGTGTCCAATCTTTTGGCTTCCCTGGGCCACATTGGAAGAAGAATTGTCTTGGGCCACACATAAAATACACTAATACCAATGATAGCTGATGAGCTAAAAAAAAAAAAAAATTGCCAAAAAAAATCTCATAATGTGTTAAGAAAGTTGACAAATTTGTGTTGGGCTGCATTCAAAGCTATCTTGGGCTGCAGGTTGAACACACTTGGTCTACACTCACCCAGTAGTAATCCCTTGTGTGGTGGAGACCAATAATCTATATCAAGTGGAACTCACCAGGACACTCGAGGGAGAGATCACAGAAGACAGAAGCAAGTGTCTTCCTGCTATTGGCAGTCTGCCCCACGAATTCTGTAGCCAGTCCTGCCCTCATGGCAACCTCATCGCCTCACCTGCCTTCCTTGAACCAGAGACCTTTCCTCCCTGCCCTTGGTCATTCCAAACTCCCCTGTGGAAGTTTCAAATGTGCTGACCCAAACTACTTATCTCTGTGTTGGGAAGCCGCAAGGGGTCGCAGGAGCCCCCAAATGGTCACGTACAGACCCCTGTCCCATCCACCTCTTTCTCCCACTGGCGCCCAAAGCTCTGGGCTGGCACCGCTCATACACCGCCACCCCTGGGGATCTGGATTCTTGCCTAATAATGCTGTTTACAGTACCACTCCCACCCAGCTACACCCACCCAGCTACCCCCACCGAGCCCAGAAAGGCAACACAGACCTAAAAACCCACAATCCTTTCTCTCCCCTTCTTTTGTTCAGACTTCCTCTTTATTTTTCACATCTCCTTTTTTTCTGTCTACAAAATTAAACCATATTTGTGGCTGGAAATTTGGAAAATGCACAAGATTACAAAGAAGAAAATTTGTCATCCCAAGATAAAAATACTGCTCAAAATGATCTTTCTCCAGATTGTATTCTCTGCACATTGTAAAAGTATGTTTTTTTCCAAAAGAAATTACGACCACCTGTTTCCACTGAATGATACATCATGAGGGGCAAAGATGGCAAAAGAATCGTGGAATCCACGTGGGTGAGCAGACAGCTGTCTAGTCCTTCTGTTTTTCTGTATGTTTGACATTTTTCTTTCTTTCTTTTTTTTTTTTTTTTGAGACAGAGTCTTGCTCTGTCACCCAGGCTGAAGTGCAGGGACATGATCTTGGCTCACTGCAACATGTGCCTCCCCGATTCAAGTGATTCTTCTGCCTCAGCCTCCCAAGTAGATGGGATTACAGGCACATGCCACCACACCCGGCCAATTTTGTATTTTTAGTAGAGACGAGGTTTCACCACGTTGGTCAGGCTGGTCTCGAACTCCTGACCTCAAGTGATCCACGCACCTGGGACTCCCAAAGTGCTGGGATTACAGGCGTGACCCACTGCGCCGGGCCGTGTTTGACGTTTTTCATGTTAAAAACATTAGAATCATAGCCGTCCACTGTGTCATTACATATGCTTCTACAGCATCTGTTTCAGTGTCTGTGAGAATTCTGCTATCTAGATATCCCAGAATATCTGTAAACAAACCTCTACTCATGGCCATTTTTTAATATTTTGAATATCTCATTTCATGTTTTAAAGTATTTGTTTTCATTGTATCTGATATGAGACAAGTCCTTCTTACCAGGTGTCTATATTAACCCTCAAACAACCATCCGAATACCATCCTTCTCAACATCTGACTTGGACAGGTTCATCTAAATACTCTATATGATTTTTGAAGTCCCTGAATAAGCTTTCTGCTAATTCCCTTTCTCTCCTTTTTGATAGATTATTAGGTGGGGTGGCAATAAAACCCAAACTCTCGGGTCTTTCATAACTGTATTTCTTTGTCCCCGAAAGAGAAATAGCAGCTGAATGTCAACCCTTGAAGATATAGCAGCTGCCTGTGTTCTCATCCAGATGGCCTCTGCTTTAGGAGAAATACCAAATCTACAAACAATTTGTGTGCACACAAATGAAAACCAAAGGACCCCCCATCAGCTCCCAGTCCCACCCCTAATATGATGGCCACCAAGCAGCAACCATTTAACACACTGGAAGTTCCTTCTAGTTGGGACTCTGGGATTCTTTACCCTTATTAAAAAAAAGCTTGTGACATTTGGATTGGGGGCAGGGTTTCCGGGATGCCATCTTCAGACGTATTCTCAGGAGCCTTCAAGTTTTCTGAGAACTTATTAACCTTGAATGTGTTTCAATGACTGTCTGATCAACACAGACCTTTCGGGGTGGGGGGCAACTTACAACTCAGGACTGTGACATAACACCAGTGTGCATATTTGCATCCATGACAACCATCACAGCACACACTGTAGCATCCCAGTGAAGGCTGACACACACTGAAAGCTTCAATGGCTCAGAGAGAAAGGTTAGCAGAAGAATTGAGTCATCACACAGCGCACAATTGTGGATTCGGTGAGAAAAGCCTAAGATACCTAAATATTGAGAAGTGTAGTCACGTCACAAGCAGGTGCCTTACATGAATCCAGTCTTTGTACGTAGCAGCTGGCACCGTCAATGAGCACTAAGTGTAGTAGTACATACAAATAGATACCAAATGAAGAAATATTCTTTCAACAACGCCCAACACTAACATTATCTTCAAGTGAACGAGCCAGTTCTACGGTTATCAGATGACAGCCTTAAAATTGGCATTCGTAGGCTGCTTGCTGGCAGTTGGACTTGAGTTTGAGTCTGATTATCCTAAACTAGCAAACAAAGTCCTGACAAATGTAAATGTCATTTTGTACATACACACATTAGCAGACATTCTTAGCATCAGTATTTTCAAAATCAAAAGTTCAAAAGAGTTTAAAGAACAGAACTTACGATGAATGAAAACACTAACAAAACTAGATAAGTAGTGAGCAGATGACATGTCAGATGTGGTTCTAGGATTTTTTTTAACGTGAATGACGTCATTGAAGGAAATATTTCTTTCTACTATTCCAATGGGCAGCCTTTAAGGCAGTCCCCAGCCATCACTCCCTCCCAGTACCCATGGCCTGTGTAACCCCTTCCCTTTGAGTGTAGACTGGACCTAGACTTGCATCAAACGAATAGAATATGGCAGAAGTTATGAGACCTCATTTCAAAATGAGATTCAAAAAAGGCTTTGGTTTCCAGTCTCTTTTTTTGTTGTTGTTGTTTTGAGATGGAGTCTCGCTCTGTCACCCAGGCTGGAGTGTAGTGGCGCAATCTTGGCTCACTGCAACTTCCACCTCCTGCATTCAAGCGTTTCTTCTGCCTCAGCCTTCTGAGTAGCCGGGGTTACAGGCACCCACCACCACACCCAGCTAATTTTTGTATTTTTAGTAGAGATGGGGTTTTGCCATGTTGGCCAGGCTGGTCTCGAACTCGTAACCTCAGGTGATCCGCCTGCCTCGGCTTTCCAAAGTGCTGGGATTACAGGCGTAAGCCACCATGCCCAGCCTGATTGAGTTTTAATAGACATCACCAATATATCAAAATAAGGCTGTTCTATTTGTACTTTATAATTTTATTATAAATTTGACTTTTTTTTTTTTTTTTGAGAGGGAGTCTCGCTCTGTCTTCCAGGCTGGAGTGCAGTTTCGTGATCTCAGCTCTCTGCAACCTCCGCCTCCTGGGTTCAAAGGATTTTCCTGCCTCAGCCTCCGCAGTAGCTGGGATTACAGGTGCCTGCCACCTCGCCTGGCTAATTTTTGTATTTTTAGTAGAGAGGGGTTTCACCATATTGGCCAGGTTGGTCTTGAACTCCTGAACTCAAGTGATCTGCACGCCTCAGCCTCCCAAAGTGCTGGGAAAACAGGAGTGAGTCACCGCAACAGGCCTAAATTGAACCTGATTTTATAGTTGAGTTATAAGCAAACAGTTATGTTTATTACAAGTTTTATGCTTATACTTACTTGATATCACACTTTTGTACAAATCATTTAAGACAACACTGGCCAGGTGCGGTGGCTCACGCCTGTAATCCCAGCACTTTGGGAGGCTGAGGCAGGCGGATCATGAGGTCAGGAGTTCGAGACCAGCCTGGCCAACATGGTGAAACCCCCATCTCTACTAAAAGTACAAAAATTAGCTGGGTGTGGTGGCGGGTGCCTGTAATCCCAGCTACTCGGGAAGCTGAGGCAGGAGAATCTGGGAGGCAGAGGTTGCAGTGAGCCAAGACCATGCCATTGCACTCCAGCCTGGGTGACAGGGCGAGACACTGTCTCGAAAGAAAAAACACTGTGGGGTTGCAGTACATTTCTTTAAGAAGATGCCCACATGTTGCTGAATTCTGAGAAACACTAATGATCTGTGAGTTTGGGCAAGCCTTGGGTTAAAGTTGTGTGTGCATGAGCCTCAGAATTCCCACACACATACTCTTTTCCAGTAACTGAGTGTAATCTCTTAAAAACACAAATCTGACTGTGCCTGTTTTATCACAGTTCTAATGTTTGGCCCATCTGGGAATAAATGAGTGACTATCATGTCCTGACTTAAAACCCTTCAACGATCCCCCACTGCTCCAGGGATAAAGCCCACACTCTGACAAGGCTCCGTACGACCCTCCTCTGCAGCCTCATCCTACCAACCCCAACGCCTCTACCTCTTCTGTCTAGAACTCGCTGTCAATCCCTGCCCTTCATCCAGCTCACCCTTTGCCACTCCTATTCATCTTAAACATCACGTCTTTCTCCCAGCTCTGACACGTTGGCATTAAACAGTGAACTGTGACCAGTTGCTGGGTGCCTGTCTCTGCCTCCTGGTTGGGATACCTGAGGGTAGAGAACTGTGCATCCTTATCAGCCCCAACTCCAGCTGGTAGCACTCACTTGACACACAGAGGGAGCCCCCTCCGTGAATCTAGGTTGAATGGATGGGTGGTCACTACATTCGTCTGTTGGGATCCAAGCCTCACCCTGGAGAGCCCAGAAGGATGCATCTGCTCACCAGCCAGGAAGGCAGTGGGCTGGGGCTATACCTGCCTCACTTAAGAGATGGGAGCCCTGAGGGGCAGAGACAGCTTCCCCCGGAGTTGGCGCTGAGTCACCTGGGAAGCAGGAATTTCTGCTCCAATCTCTTCCTTACCCTAATGTTCAGGTCAGCAGTGAGAAGCTTTTTCTAGTAACTAAATTAAGGAGGCCTCTCAAAGACCTTTTTGTTGTTGTTTTGTTTTGAGACAGGGTCTCACTCTGTTGCCCAGGCTGGAGCACAGTGGCATGATCACAACTCACTGCAGCCTTGACCTCCCAGGTGCAAGCAATCCTCCTGCTTCAGCTTGGTGAGTAGCTAGGACCACAGGTGCACACCACCACGCCTAATTTTTTGCAGAGATGGCATCTGGCTATGTTGCCCAGGCTGATCTTGAACTCTGGGGTTCAAGTGACCCTCCTGCCTCAGTCTTCCAAAGTGTGGGGATGACAGGCATGAGCCACTGCGCCCGGCTCAAACACCTTTCTTTCCATTCCTGGAAATGCTGAAATCCAGTCTCCAGTGCTTCTAACATGGGGTCGTCTCCAGTTCCCCTCTCAACCACCAGTCCTCTGTCTGGTCCTCTACTCTTTGATTCTCCAGTGCACCTGAGACCACTGGGTCTCAAATAAAGCATCTCCCAGTTTCTCAGCTGACCATTGGCCTCCTTTATGAACTTTGTTTTGTACACATCTGTATCCTCAGCGCCTAGCAAAACTGGCTGTCAGGAAATGCTCACTGAGCAAACAAACGTGGCCCCACTAGGAGCCTCACATCCTCATTGATCACATGACGAGAGTAAAATTTACCTTGGAGGTAAGAGGCCCAAGAGAAGACACAGCAAGTTCTCAGTAACAATCACTATTAGAACTGGGGTAACTGGTCAAAGTGGCTGGGGGAGGGGAGGGCTTAGAGGCCTCCTACAGGCATCCTGGATGTGGCATGTAATTAGTGCTCATAAAAGACGGTTCTATTGAGGAGTGAAAATGGAACCCCTAAATAAACTAGTATGAAATAACGCAAAAAAAAAAAAAGACAATTCCAACTATTGTAGAAGTGATCACCTCAACACACATCGCCTCCTTTCCAAACCCTGGGAGAAAGGAGTTCCAACGAGAGGACATGAGTATGACAGCAAAGGAGGTGTTCAGGTCTGAGCCAACCTGGCAGGAAGTGAGTGCCTCGCCCAGCCACCCGGCCTCCCCACCTCCCTCCCTCCTCACACTTCCCATCGATCTTCATTGCCATTTCCTGGGTTTGCACATTTCCTGGGTTTGCACAAGGCTGCCTCTGGAGACAGCATGGCTTCTTTCTCAGCTGGCCTTTGGTGTCAGTGCTGGTATCACCCGCCTCCTGGCGCTGCACACTGCCCATCATCACGCACCCAGGGCCTCAGGATGCTGCTGAGAGCACCCCGGTCCACAGCCAGGTGGGAGAGCACACTGACAGACCGGCTGAACACCTGTCAGACCTCTGAGAACTCTCCTGCAAAGCTTTGGAGGGACGAGTCCACCTGGCACAGAGATCAAACTCTCCCAGCATCTCCCTTGAGGTTACATCATCCATGCACCTGCATTCCTGGACATCCTGTGAAACCTGATGGTAACCAACTACACACCAGGAGAGTTTGAAAAATACCTGGCCTGATGCAAGAATCAAAAGATGGAAAGGAAAAAACAGGAATGGCAACATAGGAAAGGCAACCTGTGATGGCAAATAAACTTCAAACTCCTTTAGCAGAATGTATCGCAGAAGCAGAGAAATGGATCACAGCCAATTAATTGAACTCTATATCCTATCAATATTAACATGCCACTTCAGAAAAATCGAGATTGCTCAAAAACTGCTAGTTACGTGGTCCTGTGGCCTACCACCCTAAGACCAGAATTCTTACATCAACAGGGATGTATAAAACACTATTTTTAAAAAAGCACAAAACACTATTTTTAAAAAAGCACGAATACTTAATCTCACAAACAAAATGTTTTGACCATTAGTATTCTTTGGGAGAAAAAAATAAAATTTTAAGTCAAATATTTTTTCAGCTAATTTCTTTTTTTAATTAAAAGGTAAGTTTACCTTTGAAGTTTCCTTTCACTGGTCAAAAGGCCATCGCCAAGTCATATTTCTAATTAGCAACCCAGGGGACTCGTTCAGAAATGTTACTTTTGAACGACTGCTTAAGCGTAAATGAAAAAAAAAAAAGTGCAACGACCCTCTGGCGTGCAGAGAAACGCTTCTGCAGAAATTCAGTGCCCCCCTGACCTTAAAGCATGCAACGAGTTCTGTTTGCGAAGCTAAAAAGAAGGGTGTTGGGTCACCCTCAAGCCTGGCTTCACCCCTGGCTTCCAAGAATCCAAGGAACAGGAGGGGCTTTATTTGACAGCTTTGCCACTTCGTTCCCTCATGAACCGCCCTGCCCTGGCACCCTGCTGCTTTATCCCAGAGGGTCCCTGAAGGTTGCAAAGCAGGCATACAGCTCTGAGTGACTTTCTAAAAGTACCTGACTGTAGGAAGTGAGGCTGGGAGGTCCCTCAGCTCCAACTTTGCTTTCTATTATTGCTACAACATTTCAGCAATCTTTTGTTTTTTGCATCCCTCTAATTTTATTTTCCAATTTAAGTTTTAAAAATCCATAAAGCAGCCCAAGTCTGGAGACCCAGGAATTTTAATTCTCTGGAGTCAGAGAAACCTAGGTTAAGTTCCCAGCCAGGTCACTTCCTAGCTCCGTGCCCCTTAGGGAATATACTTAACCACTCTCGGCCTCAGTTTCTCAACCACAAAATGGGTTCACGTGAGGGTTCCATGCTGAGCTCCCCGCGCCAGAGCGCAGATGAGAGCGCGGTTGCTGTGAGGACAGCTTCTTTCCAGAGCCAGGGGAGGAGGGCGAGTTCGCGGATCGCAGCGCGAACGCGGGGTCTCGGGCCGGGGACGGTTACGACGGAGGGGATGGGGGGTCGGGTCGCACGCCCGGCGCGGAGTCGCGGGGACTCACCAAGGCTTCCTCTTCGTCCTTCTCCAGCGCCTGGTACTGGCGGCCCCCGCCCGAGAAGCCGAGTTTCTTCAGGAACTCGGAGACGCGTCCCTCGACCATGGTGAGCGGGCGCAGGCGTTGCCTGCGTCCCTAGGTCCCCGGCGAGGCCCGGGATGGCTGCGCGCGCCCAAGCCTCCTGGGCCGGACCCGGTTACCAGGTAGCTGTCTACCTGCCCGCGGCAGGTGAGGCCCCGCCCCTGGGGCGGGGCTGCGCACAGGGAGGTGCCGGCTCACCCGGCCCCGCCCCGCGAGCTCGCCTGGGACCCCAGGGGCTCTGGGGACAGCGCCGGCTGGCCATGAAAGGCCCAGGGAGAGGCTGCGTCGCCTCAGGGCTTGGGCTGTTTCCCAAACTTACAGATCCTAAGAATCACCTGGAGTGGGGGAGGTGGAGGAGCAAATGCTGGTTTAAAATCCGGATTCCCAGACCCCTCCCTGCCCAGTCACGGTTTGGAGCCGCCGGGAGCTGGGTTTTTAACGAGCCCCAGGTGATCCTCTTGAGGAACCCAGGGTGGGCGGCTCTAAGGCGCCGGGAGCGAGGTGGCTGGAGCTCAGTCAGACTCACACCTGCGGCTGTGCACTCTGGACGGGTCACGTGGCCTTTCTGAGCCTCGGCAACCTAGCCTGTCATTGAGCGGGGAGCAGCAGAAGGCTAAGACCCCCACCTCCAGGGCCCTGGGAGTGAGTCCAGGAACAGGAGCGACTGAGAGCCCTGCTGCCTTTGGCGCCTGCATGGTCTCGGATGGTCAGGGCCCCTGTCCTCGTCTGCAGGATGAGCGCCGCTCTTGCTCGTCGTGGGACCTGAGCAGGTTTCTTATATTTTTAGCGCCTTGGTTTACTGCTCTGCAGAATGGCCACCACGATAGCGCCTCCTTCACAGTGACATGGAGAGGCCCCAGCGGACAGTGCTGTACAGGAAGGTCTCGAGCAGGGCTTGGAGTAGAGAATGTGCTGGTGTCCCCATGACACCATCCTCCTCCTCTTCATCATCAGAAGGTGCTGGGCTCAAATGGCTCCCAAAGTATGTGAGTCCATACGCAGTGTAGACAGTTGCCAGCAGCCAAGTGGGTGCTTTGAAGTTCCAGGGCTTTCTTTGGCTTCAGGTAGGACTAGATCCGTAACTAGACCCACCACTTAGCAGAGGGGGAGCTCTGGGGAAGTCCGTGCCACCCGCCTTTCCGCTGGCTTCCTCATCTCTACAGGGAAGTTACTCACGGGCTACAGGAGGTGCCCTCTGCATTTGTCCACGAAATTCAGCCACCCCTTTTGAGCAAATATTTGCCACCTACCTCAATTGCTCCCGAGGGTTGACTCCAGGCCACGAAAACCTGCAGGGCAGTTCCAGTGCCCCTTCTTGTATCTCCTGCATCTTCCTCTTTCAAGGAAACAAAGGCTACGGTATCAGCCTGGCCCCACTCCCCAGTTTCAACAAAGGTGCAGGAATAATGGTAACAGCAAACCTCTGATGTGAGTGAGTCCAGATTTGAATCCCAGGAATGTTCCTTTCCGACCTTGGGCAATTTTCTTCACCTCTCTCCACCTCAGTTTACTCATCCATAAAATGGGGATGTCACTACCTACCCGTAGGAGTCAGGGTCCCAGTAGGAAATAGTAATTTGAGGAGAGTTTGAGAAACAGACTTTTTACAAAGCTGTGGGGAAGACGTAGAGAAACCAGAAGTGCTTGTGTCATTAACGAAGACTAGCAAAGAGTGAGAAGTGGCTTTGGTCCCACCCAAGGCCTGAAGGGCCAGACGAGAGAGGAGTTACCTGGAGGGGGAGCTCTGGGGCACTGATAACTTCTGCAGAGGGCAACTGCTTAGATCAAAAGCCAGAAAGCAACAGAGCGCCAAGGATGCAGCCTCCTGGGCAGAGAATCCAAAGAAGGGTGGAGAGTGGTGTAGAGGAGGCTGGGCAAGGTGGCTCACACCTCTAATCCCAGCACTTTGAGAGGCCAAGGTGGGCGGATCACCTGAGGTCAGGAGTTCGAGTCCAGCCTGGCCAACATGGGGAAACCCTGTCACTAGTAAAAATAGAAAAATTAGCCAGGTGTGCTGGCATGCGCCTGTAATCCCAGCTACTTCGGAGGCTGAGGCAGGAGAATCGCTTGAACCCGGAAGGTGGAGGTTGCAGGGAGCCAAGATTGTGCCACTGCACTCCAGCCTGGGCAGTAGAGCAAGACTTCATGTCAAACAAACAAAAAAAAAAGAGTGTTGTAGAGGAACAAGGAGGAGACATCCCGCAGCCAACCTCAGCATCCTGTGGTTCAGGCTGAGTGAATGCTTGCACAGGTATGATGTAGTAGTACGATGTCGTGGTACCCGACATTGCAGGCTCTCAGGCGCTTCTATATTATTAATATAAAAGAACATATGGGAACTTGGCTCAGTTATTTCTCAGGTCCTTCCCAAGTGGCATTCTGTGATTTTAAAATGATGTTGGATCCAGGGAAGAAGAACGCCTTGTTGGCATCTTCATGTTTTTCCAAGCTGTTAACCAGATGTCATCTCTCCAGGCAGATCAGCATCCCCGGAGCAGAGGATTTGAAAGCCCAGCCTTTCGGATCCTATCACCATGGCTTCCGCTCCAGCCCAGAGATGTCAAGGCTGGAATTCCTGGGCTAGGTTCGAAAATGCCCAGGGCATTCCAGAAGGAAACTCTAGGTGGTGGATATATGCATGTACATTTTAGAGACAAGGTCTCACTCTGTAGTCCAGGCTGGAGGGCACTGGCGCGATCATAGTTCACTGTAGGCTTGAACTCCTGGGTTCAAGCAATACTCCCTCCTGAGTAGCTGGGACTACAGGTGCACAGAACCACACCCAGCTAATTTTCTAATTTTTATTTTTATGTAGAGATGGGGTCTTTGCTCTGTTGCCCAGGCCTATAAATTAGATTTGTGGTGTGTAAAATTAGGTAAATTAGGCTCCACCAGTGTTGGTTATGGTAAATGATGTGCCTGAAACATGGCAAATACTCCAAAAAATTTTTGAATATGTCTCCCATAAACAGCAGATCATTCAAATTTATATTTAACAGAACTTTCATATGAACGATTTGCTTTATAATAGGGAAATGTAGGCCGGGCGCAGTGGCTCATGCCTGTAATCCCAGCACTTTGGGAGGCTGAGGCAGGCGGATCATGAGGTCAGGAGATTGACACCATCCTGGCAAACACGGTGAAACCTCGTCTCTATTAAAAATACAAAAAATTAGCCAGGCGTGGTGGCGGGCGCCTGTAGTCCCAGCTACTCGGGAGGCTGAGGCAGGAGAATGGCGTGAACCCGGGAGGCGGAGCTTGCAGTGAGCCGAGATCGCGCCACTGCACTCCAGCCCGGGGAACACAGCGAGACTCCGTCTCAAAAAAAAAAAAAAAAAAAAATAGGGAAATGTATTGTGTTTACATTGTTATAGTTGTCATTGTTAGATTGACTTCTGTCATCCTCTTTCATGTTTCATTTCTGTGCCTTTTGAGGCAAGCACTCAATTTGCTGTCAATTTTTACTTTGGTTTTGGAATAAACATCTCATTGAAAGTTCTATTGGGAGCTACCTGAAAACACTTCAGAAATACAGATGAGTATTTACAGTCTCTTTTGGTTTCCTTTTCCAGATTTAAAGAAATTTTCCAACTTTAATTTTTGTTTTTCTAACCTCTGCATCCTTTTATATTCTAAGTAAGTTAATTATCCAAACTCTCTCTTTTTTTTTTTTTTTTTTTTTTGAGACAGAGTCTTGCTCTATTGCCCAGGCTGGAGTACAGTGGCACCATCTCGGCTTGCTGCAACCTCCACCTTCTGGGTTCAAGCGATTCTCGTGCCTCAGCCTCCAGATTAGCTGGGACTACAGGCATGCGCCACCATGCCTAGCTAATTTTTTTTTTTTTTTTTTTTTTTTTTAGTAGAGACAGGGTTTTGCCATGTTGACCAGGCTGGTCTTGAACTTCTGACCTCAAGTGATCTATCGGCCTGCCTCAGCCTCCCAAAGTGCTGGGATTACAGGTTTGAGCCACCGTGCCCGGCCCAAGCTCTTACCTTCTGAGTTGGTTGTTGTTGTTGTTGTTGTGTGTTGTTGTTTCCCCGTCAGTTACACCTGCTATTTATGTTTGCCTTAAACGACCTTTCTGAGCTCTGTCTGTCACTTTGTTTGGATTCCGTGGTCATCCCCACAGACTTCAAGATTCTGTTTTTTCAAGTTTTTTGTTTATTTTTTCTGCCTTCAGCCTGTAAAATGCTAGAGCCCACTTGCAAAGAATCTAACAAGGCAGTTGGCTGGAGAACTTTCTGGGGTTTGCGGCTCAACGCCTCAGAGTGATTCTGCCCTATTGGCCAACGATGAACGCCAAGGGTGGGACCCAACCAGAGGCATCCAGCCTTTCTCAAAATGTCTGCTCTGGGCACCTTGAACAATGAGGTCATGCTCTGCAACTCCCATTCACTCTCTATGTCAGAGTCGTGTCTTTTCACTGCCCACAAATTATCCCCAGCAATGCGCCCTGCTGGGAGCCAGGATGCAACCTCAAGACACCTGTATTTTGTTTGGTAACAAACTTCACTCAAAAGTTCTCTAAGCGTGGCACTGAAGACATCCTTTTTGGAAAGGGTACACTGTACAAAAGTATATTTTGTACAATTTGTTTCTAATGTTAAGAATTAGGTGGAAGTTACGGTTCCTTGCATAAACCCTCGATTCTGTTTGTTTTGCAATAGCTGTACCCACAGGCAGTAATCATTTTATAGACGGGAACACTGGGACTTGGAAAGATAAAACTATTTCGTTCACTTAAGAAATACTTTTCAGCACCTGCCATGTGGCACTGGCGATCGAGCTGGGAACACAACAGACTCTTTCCCTGCTTTCCTATATCTCATCTAATGGTGGAGACAGGCCGCGGACAAAGCCATGTGTAATGCAAAGTGAGGCAGTGCATGTCGTGGGTTGAATAATGTCCCCTGCAAAAGATATGTTCATGTCCTTACTCCTGGAAGCTGTGAATGTGACCTTATTTGGAAAAACATCTTTATAGATATAACTAAGGATCTCAAGATGAAATCATCCTGAATTAACTGAGTGGGCCCTAAATCCAGTGACCAGTGGCCTGATAAGAGACAGAAGAGAAGGCCACCTGAAGATGAAGGCAGGGATTTGATCACAGGCTGCAAACCACCTGGGTCCATGAGAAGCTGGAAGAGGCAGGAGGAATCTCCCCACACCCATCATGGAGGGAGCACAGCCCCCCTCACACCTTGATTTCAGACTTCTGCCTCCAGAATGGAGAGAGAATAAATTTCCACTGTAGCCACCCAGTTTGTGGAGCTTTATTGCAGCAGCCCAAGGAGACTAGGACAGTGAGTGACACTAAGAAGAAAAGTGAGGCTGGGCGTGGTGGCTCACGCCTGTAATCCCAACACTTTGGGAGGCTGAGGCGAGTGGATCACCTGAGGTCAGGAGTTCGAGACCAGCCTGGCCAACATGGTAAAACCCCATCTCGACTAAAAATACAAAAAGTTAGCCGGGCGTGGTGGCGGGTGTGGTGGCCTGTAATCCCAGCTACTCTGGAGGCTGAGGCAGGAAAATCGCTTGAATCTGGGAGGAGGTTGCACTGAGCAGAGGTTGTGCCACTGCACTCCAGCCTGGGTGACAGGGCGAGACTCAGCCTCAAAAAAAAAAAAAAAAAAAAAAAAAGAAAGAAAAGAAAGAAAAGTGAGCAGGATGGGGCCTGGAGAGTGGGGCCTCTTGTAGCTAGAGGAGTCAGGAGAGGCAAGAAGGGACCTCTGTGGGTACGGCGGGAGGACGGAATATTCCAAGCAAAGAGAAGGGCAGGAGCTAAGGCCCGGAGGGGGAAACATCTCTGCTGCTACCACAGTAGTCAGACCCCTCTTATGTGAACCGGTCTATGCATTTGCACCAAAATGAGGGTCACGCTCACACGCTCCCCACACACAGCCTGTTTCCAGGCGCTATTCACGTCTTACTTTCATTGTTTCATAGCCATTATTTGCTGAATGACAGGCAAACGTTGGCTGAGCACTTCCTGCAGCTGTGGGCACTGCTGGGCTTCTAAAGGGCTTAATTCCAGCAGAAGCAACAAGGCACTGCCCCTTGGAACATGACACCAGGTGCCAAATGAACGCGGCTCGGGACTTGCTAAATTCCAGGGGGTAAACACACAGCACAGATGCCTCTGCTCCTCCTCCCTCTTCTGACACCTGTAGCAGGCATCAGTATTTGATCACCAGGCAGCATTTCCCCCTTGGCTGGGACAGGCCTCCGAATCCTCCTTATCAAACTTCAAGTAGCCACTGACAATTATTTGCACCTGGCAAATGAATAAACCCATTTACCAAAGGATTTTCAGAATAAGGAATGATGGGGACAGGGAGGAGTTATGGAACCTTCTAGAAGATAGTGGGATGGCTGAAGGAGAGGCTCCGTCCATGTGGAGAGAAAAGTCAGGTGGGGAGACAGAAAGAAGACCCAGACAGAGAAAGACTGACCTCAGAATTCCCAAACTTCAAGATCTTTTCTCTCTCTCTTTTTAAGCCTGCCTGCTTTAAAAAAGAAGAAAAAGTTTTGTAAGAGACAACTTCTGACTGTGTTGCCCAGGCTGAATTCCGACTCCTGGGCTCAAGGGATCCCCAGCTTCAGCCCTCTGAGAGCACCCCCGCACCCGGCTCTTTTCTTTTAACTTCTCCAAGATCTCTTTTCACAACTCTTTCCCACGCCAATGGATGGTTGTCCAGTAGGATTTTGTCTACCAAACACCATGGCAGTTATTAAGTATAAAACTGACTCCTTTTTAAAAAAAACTTTAGTTTTGAGAGCAGAAAAAATTGCACAGAAAATAGTTTCCATGTGTCCCTTCTCCCAGCCCCACCCCCACCCCGTGTCTCTTATGAATAACACTGTGCATTGGTGCGGCACATTGATGCCACTGATGAGCAAACATTGATTCATTATTAACTAAGTCCCTTTTTTTTTTTTGAGACAGAGTCTTGCTCTGTTGCCCAGGCCGCAGTGCAGTGACACGATCTCGGCTCACTGTAACCTTGCCTCCTGGGTTCAAGTGATCCTCCTGCCTCAGCCTCCTGAGTAGCTGGGATTACAGATGTGCATCACCACATCTAGCTAATTTTTTTGTATTTTTAATAGAGACAGGGTTTCGCCATGTTGGCCAGGCTGGTCTTGAACTCCTGGCCTCACGTGATCCAGCCACCTCGGCCTCCCAAGGTGCTGGGATTACAGGCATGAGCTACCGCGTGCGGCCGGTCCATTGTTTACAGTAGAGCTCACTCCTGGAGTCGTACATTCTGTGGGTTATGACAAATGTATAAATGACATAATGACACGGGTCCACCATGGCAGTGTCATGGAGATTAGTTTCACTGGCCTAAAAACCCTCTGAGTGCCATTAATTCATCCCCCACTTCCCTGGACCCCTGACAACCGCTGATCTTTTTACTGTCTCTATAAGTTTTGCCTTTTCCAGAATGTCACACAGTTGGAAATGTGACTCCCTTTCCAAACTTACTCTCCTTTCAAAAATTCAAAAGCATCCAGGCCTGTCACTCAGAGTCAAGAGAACTGCGATCCAAAGCAAAGAGGCCCAGGGCCTTCCATGTTTAAACTCACCAGTTTGTGCCTGCCACGGTCACTCACGGAGGTAACCACCCTGATTTGGCCAAGATGGTCCCAGTTTTACTGTGGCTGTCCTGGCATCTTGAAACTCACAAGAGATGAGGTCATCCCCTTGGTTTAAAATCCAGACTCCTTCATAGGCCACACCAGGGCCCTGTAGCCCTGATGCCTGACTCTCTCTCCATCTCTCCACTTCTGCCATTCGAAACTTCCTTCCTTCTCTAGGCCCCAGGTATGTGCTCTCTCCCTGCCAGCCTCTGCCTGACCTCTTCCCTCTGTCTGGAACATGCCCCAGAGGCCCCAGCACCCCTAAATCTCACCCTGCCGGCTCCTGCGCATCCTTGAGGTTGTAACTGAGTTGTCGCTTCTCCAGAGAGGCCCCTTCTGATCCCTGGACCAAGTGAGATCTCCTGCAGCGGGGAGCCCCACTGCACCCACGGTTTCCCCAAAGTGATGGCAACTTTATCACAGTTACGAGTTTAAAAGAGGGCGCTGAATGCAAACAGCGCTAACGTCCACCAACAGAGAGCAGGTGAACAGCACGTGGCATGCCCAGAGGATGGGACATGGTTCAGCCATAGAAAGGAATGAGACACTCATCCACACGACAGGTTGGATGGGCTTGGAAAACATGATCCACGTCAAAGAAACCAGTCACAAAAACCACATCCTGTGTGACGCCACTCAGGTGACCTGCCCAGAACAGGCAACTGCACACAGACAGGAAGCCGATGAGTGGTCGTCAGCGGTTGCGGGGAGGGGGCATTGGGAGCTGCTGGTGTTTCTTCTTTGGGTGATGGCAATGTTCTGGAATTAGAGGGAGGGTTTGCATGACCTTGCGAATATACTAAAACCACGGAATCACGCTTTTAAATGGTGAATTTTGTTTGGATTGTGTCTCCATACAAATCTATTTTAAAATAGGTTCTGAAGACATACTTGTTGAATGGAAAATGAATGAATATTTTTAACTGGGAAGCCTGATCGGAAGTTAAATCTATGATTTTCGTTGGCTTTTGGATACAATAGAATTCAAAGTTCGCAGTTTCTCTCTTTGCAAGTTCCTAGAACCGTGGGCTTCCCAAGTGAGGTTGTGCCTGAAGGGGTGAGGTCAGTTCTCAGGAAAGCAGCTCTTAGAAATGCAGGAGGGGCAGAGTGCACAGGGGGTCTGGGGCCGGATCTTCCTTTCTCCTCGTCCGGTGTAGCCTGTTCCCCAGACTCAGTTGCCTGTTGAGGAATTCAGAGGGGCTTGGGATCCCCTCCAAGCAAGGGCACAGGGTGGTGGTAGCCTCCCCTCCCACAGTCGATTCTCAGTAACACAGAGAGGTGGTAAAAGTGAACGTCAGAGCACATACCTCCCCATTTCAAGCCCCGCATAACTTGCTGTAGCAGAAGCTGCTGCTCATAGCCCCTCTCCACTCACCCTCAACAAGGTCTGCTTACTGCAAACACCTGAGGCTCTCTGCTTGAGGGATTTTATTTTGGCACCTGGGCCAGAAATAAGGCCATGTTAACTCCCCGCTTCACTTCCCGGCATTCCCCCATGACTGACCCCAGGGGATGGGTAGACGCCCCAGCTTCTGCACCCCCTGTGAAGTGAGATGCCTCCCTTCACCACTCCTCCACAACTGTTTCCTGGGGTTACCTTGGGGGACCCCGGGAACGTGGAGAACCCGAGTGAAGACCTTGCCATCACCCTTGTAATACAATTAGATTTCTTATTCTGGCCCCAAGAGGCCCCATCTGTCAACTCCCCTCCTCCTGCCCCAACCCTGGTCTCCTGGTCGTCAAACGAGCTGAGCTGAATGCTGCCTCCAGGCCTTGGTACTTCCCATGCCCCTTTGCCACACACGCTCTGCCCCCAGCTCTTCCCTGCTACCCTCCGTTCAGGGAGGCCTTCCCTGAGCACCCCACATAAAGCGCACCCTCCTACTGCCCTGCCACTGTGTTCCCTTTGTAATCACCCATTGAGCGGAACTTGCAGTGTGTGTACTTTTCTCTAGGTCTAAGTTTCGCTTCAATTAAAAGCTCTGAAAACAAAGCAGGTCAAAGTTTAATGAGAAACAGGATATTTGAAGCTCTCAAAGTATGTCCCTACCAGAGACTTATTCATTGCAAAGGGAAAACAGTCACTTTACAGTGGAGAAACCTGGCACACACCAACCTTGCCAGGGGATCAACATGATCATCACCAGGAATGGGATGAGACACATCATGTGCCCCCAATATGATTCGCAAAGGAGGACACGGTGCCGCGTCTGGGGCATTCCTGCAGAGGCTGAGCCTGAATCTCAGCAAGACGTGCATCACACCGAGGTGCAGGACGTTCTGGAGTTTGACTGGCTTGGATTCTTCAAAAATAACCATGCTAGGAAAGTCAAGGGAAGGCTGTGGAATGTTCCAGATTAAAGGAGACTAAAGGCCAGGTGTGGTGGCTCACACCTGTAATCCCAGCACTTTGGGAGGCCAAGGCAGGTGAATCACTTGAGGTCAGGAGTTCAAGACCAGCCTGGACAACATGATGAAACCCCATCTCTACTAAAAATACAAAAATATAGCCAGGCGTGGTGGCAGGTGCCTGTAATCCCAGCTATTCAGGAGGCTGAGGCAGGAGAATAGCTTAAACCTGGGAGGCAGAGGTTGCAGTGAGCCAAGATCATGCCACTGCAGTCCAGCCTGGGTGACAGAGTGAGACTCCGTCTCGAAAAATAAAATAAAATAAGGCCAGGCGCGGTGGCTCATGCCTGTAATCGCAGCACTTTGGGAGCCCTTTGAGGCGGGTGGATCATCTGAGGTAGGGAGTTCGAGACCAGCCTGACCAACATGGAGAAACCTCATCTCTACTAAAAATACAAAATTAGCCGGGTGTGGTGGCGCCTGCCTGTAATACCAGCTACTCGGGAGGCTGAGGCAGGAGAATCGCTTGAACTTGGGAGGTGGAGGTTGTGGTGAGCCAAGATTGTGCCATTGCACTCCAGCCTGGGCAACAAGAGCAAGACTCCATTTCAAAAAATAAATAAATAAAAAAGGAGACTAAAGAGCTCCCTGATGGTAATCAAATGCAACTTGCAGTTTTGGGTCAGATCCTGGATTGGGGGAAAAAAGGTCTTTCTCTTTTGCTGTAAAGGACATCAGTGGGACATTTGGTGAATTTGGATAAGGTCTGTAGAGAATTGTATTGTCTGGTGTGAACTTCCTGATTTTGATCACTGGACTCTAGTTATGTAAGAGAATGTCCCTGTTTTTTTTCTGAAAATGCACCCTGAAGATTTTCAGGGTAAAGGAGAGGGAAGAGGAGAGGAAAAGGGAGGGGGAGAGAGAACACACAGACCTGGGGAATCCGGTGAAGAATATATTCAGATCTCAAAAGGTCACATACCGTGTGATTCTCCTTCATACCATGCTTGAAATGACAAGATTATAGACAAGGAGAACACATGAGTGGATGCTGGGGTTAGGGGTGGTGTGGATGTCACCACAAAGGTTGTGCAAGGCGGACCTAGGCGTGATGGAATCGTTCTCTTCCCTAGCTGTACGGGTGGCTGCATGAATCTATACAGTGAAAAAATGACTCAGAAACCACACACAGTGGCCCTCCCTCCGTCTGAGGTTTCTGAGGAGCCTGCGGATACTGGGAGGGCTGACTGGGGGACTTGAGCACCCTGGGATTTTGCTGTCCTGGGAGACAGGGTCCTGGAACCAATCGCCGTGGATACCAAGGGACTGCTGTGCTCACATTGTAGCTGCACACGTTTCCTGGCTTAGATTTGGCACTGTGGTTATGTAAGATGTAACCATGGGAAGAAGCCAAGTGAAGAGTACCCTGGACCACATCCTGGAAATCTGTAATTATTTGAAAATACAAAGGTAAACACACCTCTGTCTCTCTCCATTCCTTACTCGGCTTTATTTTCCCCCAAAGCCCTTCTACCACTGACTTGGTCTGTTTGCTTTTTGCCCGTGCCCCCCCTGGACTGCCAGCTCCCTGAGATCTGTTATCTTTCCTGCTTTATTCCCAGCACCTGGAAGTGTGTCTGGTACATAGTAGGGGCTTGAATGGAATGTTTACTGTGTTGAATGAACAAGAGAGCCCTGGCCCGAGGCGGCAGAGTGCCTTGGCCCCAGTGAACCTGAAGGGAGCCAAAACCCAGGGACAATGACTACATTCAGGCGCCCACCCCGGGAAGCCTGGGGAGCTCCCATGGTGATGGGACTGGATGCCGCAGCTGGCTCTTTGCATTGGGTCTGGCTGTCATTTTTACCAGCCAGCCTGGACACCAAGGGACTTTTGATCAACAGTTTGGGCGGTACAGGGGCGGGTCCCATGAACCCAGTTAAACCAGTAGGAAAGCTGGTTAATTCATTCAACAAATATTTAATGAGAGCCAGAGGACCTTGTGGGAGGATAAGAATAGCCCAGTGTGAGCCAGCGATACCGCTGACCTGCCCCCGGGCCCTGTGCTCAGATTTTGCCCTCACTTCATCCTTGTAACAATTTGCTTGCGCTCAGCATTTTGCGCTCACCATTTTGCAGAAGGGGAAATTGTAGCCAACAATGTGGTACCCACCCAGATCCCCTCAGACCCGTTTTCCCCGTGTGGTGCCCCCCTCCCTCAGTGTTGGGGCTTCCTCAATAACCCCCAGCACCTACAGATTTTTGAAGGCCAGGTCTGGGCTCCTGGGCTGCTTTGCCTGGACACGCAAGACCAGAAGTGCCTGGAAACGTTCTCACCCCCAGGCAACCGGCAAGTGCGAGGCAGGAGGTTCTAGCCTTTGGTGGGACAAGGCAGAGGCATAACTCGCCCTTCACAGCTCCCAATGGGGTGAGGCCAGGCCTGGGACTTGGCCTAAAACTGTACCCATCCGCACTGTGTTCCTACACTCCCTTGCCAGTTTCTGTTGTGGCACTTCCTTCATAAATCACTGGCATGTGGCCTGGGATGGTGGCTCACACCTGTAATCCCAGCACTTTGGGAAGCCGAGGCAGGAGAATCGCTTGAGCCCAGGAGTTCGAGACCAGCCTAGGGAGAGCCCATCTCTACAAATAATTTTAAAATAAGCCAGGTGTGGTGGTGTGCTCCTGCGGTCCCAGCTACTCAGGGGGCTAAGACAGGAGGATTGCCTGAGCCTGGGAATTCCAGGCTACAGTGAGCTGTGACTGTGCCACTGTACTCCAGCCTGGGTGACAGAGTAAAACTCTCTTGGCGGGTTGGGTGGAAATCACCAGCATGTGAGTCTTTGTCTCAGGACCTGCTTCTGTGGAACCTGACCTGAGACACGATCCGAGACACATGGTGGTTGAGTCTGTTGATCACAGCCACACAGCTAAGAGAAGATGAAAAGCCAGGTTCTGTGTTCCTAGAGTCAGATGCCCAGGAGTCAGATGCCAGAACCTGCACTCCTATCATGCTGCACTGCCTCCAGCTAGACCACCCGCCCACCCACCCACCTGTGCACCCACCCATCCATCCATTCATCCATCCACCTACCCACCCCATCCATCCACCCATCCATCCATCCACCCACCCACCCACCCATCCATTCATCCAACTACCTACCCACCCATCCATCCACCCACGCATCCACCCACCCATCCACCCATCCATCTACCCATCCATCCATCCACCCACTCACCCATCCACTCATCCATCCACTCATTCATCCACCCATCCACCCATCCATCCACCCATTCATCCACCCATCCACCCACCCATTCATCCACCCATCCATCCACCCTTCCATCCACCCATCCATCCACCCATTCATCCATCCACCCACCCACCCATACATTCATCCATCCACCTACCCACCCACCTATCCACACACCCGTCCACCCACCCATCCACCCATCCATCCACCCATCCATCCATCCACCCACTCACCCATCCATTCATCCATCCACCTACCCACCCATCCATCCATCCATCCACCCACCCACCCATCCATTCATCCATCCACCTACCCATCCATCCATCCATCCATCCATCCATCCATCCATTCATCCACCCACCCACTCACCCATCCACCCTCCCCTCCACTCCTCCACCCACCCATCCATCCACCCACCCAACCACAAACTTATTTTGACCAGCCCCTACTGCTAGGCATGGAGGAAGACTGGGGATCAGGACAGATGAGGGCAATTATGACTCTCAGGTCCCTCCCTGGAAGCTCTCAGCCTACTTAGGAAGGAGACTCAACCTCATCCCTCTGATCACTCACTGACTCAAAAGTCATGGACTGAGTACCTACTGTTTGCCTGCACCACGCTAGATGTCAAGCAGAGAGATGACTTAGGGTCTCTACCATCTAAGAGCTCTCAATCCAGAGGAGGAGCAAAACCACATGGCACATGTTATGATGACACCATGTGCAGGCACAGTGGGGACACAAAGGCAACCTGTAGGTGAGGCTCAAGGAAGGCTTCCAAAGAGGTGATTCAGAGCCAGCGCTAAAGATTGAGCAGAGTCCTGGCAGGAGAAGGGGTTGGAGACGTGCTGCCTAGGAGAGCAGCAGTGGTTGCACAACATTCGGGGTTCCTGATTGATGCTGAAATGAGGGCTGGGAATTGCAGCAAGCGTGCTCCTGGCCCAGGTCTGCAGGCAACGCCTTTGGAGGTGGCCCTCTGCCTGTCCTCAGACAAGGGCCTCGAGTCACACCCTCCCATGGGAAAGCTTCAGTGTGGGGCTGAGCTCCAGGGCCCTAGTTTGATCCCTTCTATGCTTTGGGACCTTAAGCCATATATCTTACCCTCAGAGCCTTGGCCTCTTTCATCTCTAAAACGGGTCAGTTACATGTACCTTACAGGCGGTCATGAAGGCTACACAAGTATTGCCTGGCTCCAAGGAAGTGCTGGATAAATCCAGCAGGGCCCAGGTGTGTTTGGGCAGGTTGGTGGATCTCTAGGGAGCGCCACTGACACGGTTGTGATTTGCATATGCTGATGGCAGAAGATGGGGCCCCCTTCTCCAACCCCCACAAAGACACTGAAGGGGGTTGTGAGTGCCCATGGTTGCACTGCTGGGTCCTGCCTGGGGAAGGGGTCCTTGGTGCCCATGTGGGAGTCCCGCCACTGAGAGCTGCTCACCAGAGCCCAGGAGCTTCAGGCCCCTCCATGGGTCCTTGGGGCCAAGTCAGGCCAGGGAGAACACAGGGTGGGAACCCTTTCAACAGAGGGTAGGCATGGACATTTAGAAAACTAAATTCACTCTGGGTCAATGCTTACTTTACCTGTGACTTCTGGGAGTTCTTGACAAATTGCGCCACTCCCTGAGCCTCATTTCTTTTCTTTCTTTTGAGACAGTTTCGCTCTTGTCGCCAAGGCTGGAGTGCAGCGGCGCAATCTTGGCTCACTGCAACCTCCGCCTCCTGGGCTCAAGCAATTCTCGTGCCCCAGCTTCCTGAGTAGCTGGGATTACAGGCGCCCACCACCATGTCCAGCTACTTTTTGTATTTTTAGTAGAAACGGGGTTTCACTATGTTGGCCAGGCAGGTCTCGAACTCCTGACCTCAGGTGATCTACCCGCCTCGGCCTCCCAAAGTGCTGGGATTACAGGCATGAGCCACCGCGCCCGGCCTCATTTCTCACAAGTTGGAATGGAAGGAGAATACTGCCCCCCACTCAGGGCTGCTAAGGACTGAATGGGCCCAGAATACATGAGGTCAGGCGAAAACTCCCAGCCTAAGGCTGCTTACGACCTTGAACCCGAATGCTGAACTGGGATGCCCAAAAACAACCACTTCCCCTGTGAAAATTCTACCCTCCTGAAGTTATTGCATTAGTTTGTTTATTTTGTTAATGTTTTAAGTGTTTCATAAATGTGTTTTCATTTAAAAATACAATTCCATTTATTTCTCAGGACCTGGCCAGCATCATACGATATCACTTTTTTTTTTTTTTTTTTTTTTTGAGATGTAGTCTTGCTGTGTCGCCCAGGCTGGAGTGCAGTGGCATGATCTTGGCTCACTGCAACCTACGCCTGCTGGGTTCAAGCAATTTTCCTGCCTCAGCCTCCTGAGTAGCTGGGACTACAGGCGTGCACCACCACGCCCAGCTAATTTTTGTATTTTTACTAGAGACAGAGTTTCACCATGATGGTCAGACTGGTCTCGAATTCCTGACCTCAGGTGATCTGCCCGCCTTGGCCTCCCAAAGTGCTGGGATTACAGGCCTGAGCCACCACATCTGGCTGAATAGAACAACAGCAACAACAACAAAAAAAAACAACAAAAAAACATAAAAACTGTTTCTCTCTTCTCTCATGATGAACTGTACCCCAGCTGATCTTCCTCCAGGCTTTGGGACTTTGGGCCATGTACTGGAGCCTTGGGCTCTCTTATTTCTAAAAGGGTTACACACACCTTACAGATGGTGATGAAGGCTACGTGAGTATTACCTGGCCCTGAAGAAGCCCTGGGTAGATAGAGTTTCTCCACATTGGACTTGTGTCTTAGCTGTCAGGACACTCAATGCTCTATTTAACATTCCGTACCTGCTGAGCTTCACCTGGCAGTATCAGTTGGAAATCGCCTGGTTACAAGCAACCGAACTGACTCTGGCTCTATTAAGCAAAGCAAAAAAGGGAATTTAGTGGAAGGATCAGCACCTCACATAATGAAGAGGAGAAGGGCAGAGGTTCAGGTTTGGAAATTGGGAAGGAAACAAGGGAACTTGAGGTGAGGGTGGCCAGTAAGCCAGAAGCTCCACCACCCTCACCTGGCCAGCAGCCTTGTCAGGACATAGGGGCAGGGAGAGGAAAGATCTGTCTTTCTCAACTTCTCTTGTTTTTTTTTTTTTTTTTTTTTTGAGACGGAGTCTCACACTGTCACCCAGGCTGGAGTGCTGTGGCTCAATCTCAGCCCACTGCAACCTCTGCCTCCCAGGTTCAAGTGATTCTCCTGTCTCAGCCTCCTGAGTAGCTGGGACTACAGGTGCATGCCACCATACCCGGCTAATTTTTGCATTTTTAGTAGAAATGGGGTTTCACCATATTGGTCAGGCTGGTCTTGAACTCCTAACCTTCAGTGGTCCGCCCGGCTTGGCCTCCCAAAGTGGTGGGATTGCAGACATGAGCCACCGCACCCGGCCTTTCTCAACTTCTCTAATGGGAGGGGAGTCACTGTCTTTCATCCATCCACCTGCCCATGCAGCAAAATAGTTACTAAGTGCCCATCAGGTGCCATATATTGTGGGAGGAGCTAGGAGTGGGGCGGTGGTGGCGGTAGAAGCAGCCAGGTAAAGGCCACAGAGGTTCTCTGTGACTAGGTGTTCTATATTAATCATCTGGCTGAGTGCGGTGGCTCATGCCTCTCATCCGAGCACTTTGAAAGGTCAAGGTGAGAGGATTACCTTAGAGGATTAGTGAGACCTGTCTCTACATATATATATGCATATGTATGTGTATGTATACATATGTATGTATATGTGTATATATGTATGTATGTGTGTATATATGTATGTATATGTGTATACACACACATACATTTATATACATATATATATTAACCATCTCCTCCCATCTTATTATACTTTTAGTGCCTTGTTTTGGGTTCCCCAGAGGCAAATCCTGAGAGGAAGATTTGAATGCAAGCGGGTATATTTGGGAGGTAACCCTGGCGTGAATTATGCTCCCCACAGAGGGAGCATCACTGAGCCCGTCACCACTATGGGCAATAGGAGCTCAGTGTTGCAGGGGATGTCTGTGAGATGGTATAGAACACAGAGTTATCCCTACCAAGGGGTGGGGAGCCTGGGGTATTGATCCCCAACTTCCATCCCTCCCAGGTTGAGGGCTGCTTCTCAGGCACCGCCTCTGGTCTGCCATGAGGTACACGGGCTGGGCCTGCTTCTGCAGCCAGAAAGGCAGCCCTCAGGCAGGGTGTCCCGGTCTCATATGACCTCAGGAGGCAGACTTCTTTTTTTTTTTTTTTTGAGATGGAGTCTCACTCTGTCGCCCAGGCTGGAGCGCAGTGGCGTGATCTTGGATCCCTGCAACCTCCACCTCCTGGGTTCAAGTGGTTCTCCTGCCTCACCCTCCCGAGTAGCTGGGATTACAGGCGCCTGCCACCATTCTTGGCTAATTTTCTGTATTTTTAGTAAAGATGGGGTTTTACCATGTTGGCCAGGCTGGTCTGAAACTCCCGACCTCAAGTGATCCACCCTCCTCAGCCTCGCAAAGTGCAGGGATTATAGGCATAAGCCCCTGCATCACCGGCCCGGAGGCAGCCTTCTGCAAGGAGAGATGAATGGGTGCGGGATGGAGGGGGTGCCTGGCTCATCTGCCGCACTGGGCTTTACATTTTTACGCTGGGCTTTTACAAAATATTGCACACCCCATATTCCATTTGAGGGTGAGCCTGCTCTGCCCACCTCTTTGCAGAATGTAAGTCATGAGCTCTGAAGACCGGCCTTTCTTTTCTCTCTGCACTGATTTGTGTGCTACTGCTGCTGCTGCTGAAAGAAATCTCAGATCAGAAGAAAATGTTGCTGCTGCTTGTACAGCTGCAGAGAGAGAGAGAGAGAGGTCCTATTCTACACCCTAAAACTGTCCTTGCCACGGTTACTATTTTTACCTTGTTAAATGTAAACTCAAACAGTCATTGGGAACACCCCAAACAAAGGTGCAGCTTAATGAACCCTAGAAGCCAGCAGCCAGGACAAAGAGGAACTTTGCCCCCATCCCTGCGAGCTCCCCGCAGGCCCTGTCCCTGCCCCGCAGTCTGCACCCTCCTCCGAATGTGGCCATTCTCCTGACTGTGACATTCACATGCTCATCCCTTCCTCGCCTGCCTACACACTCTGGTTTGGTTGTGCCCGTTTTGTGAATTTGCCATGTCTGTTACTTGTCTTTAGCCTATAGGTTTCCCATCTGTCTTAGTTTCCGTTGCTGCTGTAACAGATTATTACACATTTACTGGCTTAAAACAACACAAGTTGGTTGTCTTACAGTTTCAGAGGTCAGATATCCAAAACAGTCTTACTGGGCCAAAGTCGACGTGCAAGGTGTGTCAGCAGGGCTGTGTTCCTTCTGGAAACTTGAAGGGGGTGGGATCTGTTTTCTTGTCTTTTTCTGCTTCTAGAAGCTGCCTGTGATACTTGGCTCATGGCCCCTTCCTCCATCTTCAAATCTCTCTTCCTCCCTCTCTCCCTCCCCCAATCTTTCTGAACTCAGTTTCTGTCATCCCCTCTCCTCTCTGACTCTAACCGCACACACTCCCCACCTACAACCCTTATAAGGATCCTTGTGATGACATTGGACCCACCTGGCTAATCCAGGCTCCTCTCTCCATCTCAGGATCCTCAACACAATCGCACCTGGGAAGCCCCTTCTACCCTTCAGCGGACACATTCCCAGGTTCAGGGGATTAGGACATGGACATCTTTTGGGAGCCATTATTCTGTCTAACACACGATCCATCTTTCTTGCTTACAGTTTATCTGTTGAAGAATCCTGGCCGTTTGACCTGTGCACTCCTATAGTCTGGATTTTTTTTTATTTTTTCGAGACGGAGTTTCGCTCTGTTGCCCAGCTGGAATGCAGTGGTGCGATCACTGCTCACCACAACCTCTGCCTCCTGGGTTCAAGTGATTCTCTTGCCTCAGCCTCCCAAGTAGCTGGGATTCCAGGCCTGTGCCACCAAGCCCGGCTGATTTTGTATTTTTAGTAGAGATGGGCTTTCTCCATGTTGGTCAGGCTGGTCTCGAACTTCCAACCTCAGGTGATCCGCCCGCCTTGACCTCCCAAAGTGCTGGGATTACAGGTGTGAGCCACCATGCCTGGCCACAGTCTGGATTTTGCTGGTTGCATGTTCCCAGTGCCGTTCTGCCTATCCCTCTGTCCTCACTATTCCCTGCAAATTGGGATCCAGAGGGTTGCCCAGCCTCTGGATGGATGGCTTTGGTTCTGTGCTCCTGCATCAGGAGGCTCAGGATGCCTGGGGAGCGTCTCTCTTTGTAATGTACTTGTCGTTGCTCAAAGCCTAGATTCACTAACTCACTGGGGATTGCAAAACTGTACTACTCCACCATTGCTTTTAAATTTATTGATTGGAATACTTCTATAAAAAGAGGCATTTCTTCATCTGCAATTTTGTTACCGATTGGTACAGGAAAGGCAGAAGAATTGCTGGATTCCTTCCCTTTATTAGCCACTTTTCAAGATAACATGTTGGTTTCTCATCATCCTCTGAAAGTGATCAGATAGTCTTTATATTTTTTATTTTTCTTTTTTTAAATCACATGTACATATGCAAGTTTTAAAAATACATTTGTGAACTCGTGAGTTTAAACATAGGTGCATTTCCATCCATTGCAAATATTATTCATATTGAAGCTCACATGGTCACACAGCTTTGGCTGGTGGGAATGACTTCGGATTGGCCCTGAGTTCTTTGGCATAATTCTTTGCTATCTGGTGTAATAAGATAATTCAGCCTTGTCTTGTACACTGGCTGGCACCTTTCCAGTCCTGGAGTCAGCTATTTCTCCAAGACACCGTGCTTTTTAATTTTAGTGTTTGAAATGAGAAACGGCATTTCAAGACCATAATTGGTGTGTTAGGCTACTGAGGCGACTACTTTTTCTAGGCCTTTCCAGTGGTCAGGGCTAGCTGATATAAATATAAAATAAAAATTTTTTAAAATAAAATATCTTGGCCGAGTGCAGTGGCTTACACCTGTAATCCTAGGAAGCCAGGGTGGAAGGATCACTGGAGCCCAGGAATTTGAGACCATCCTGGGCAAAACAGCGAGACCCCCCGTCTCTACAAAACATAGAAAATTAGCTATGCGTGGTGATTGCACCTGTAGTTCCCACTACTTGGCAGGCTGAGGCAGGAGGATCGCCTGAGCCTGGGGGGTCGAGGCTGCAGTGAGCTTTCCTCATGCCACTGTACTCCGGCCTGAGAGACAGAGCGAGACCTTGTCTCAAACAAACCAACCTCCTGAGTTCATATCATGAACCTCTGAAATGTCTGCGTTTGGATCAGCCGTCTCATTTCATAACTCGTTGCCTTATTCAGTTGGAATTTCTGTCCTTCCCAAGGTGTAAAGCCTATGAGTTTTCTTTGCTAAGATGGACAACTGGGGAGGTTTCAGTGTCTCCCTCGTGCATGAGTATAAAGGAGACAAGGTGTCTATCCCTCTGCTAGACAGAGTTTGAGAGCCCATGTCCTTTTTATTTATTTATTTTTTATTATGAGACAGAGTCTTGCTCTGTTCCCCAGGCTGGAGTGCAGTGGTGCGATCTTGGCTCACTGCAACCTCTGCCTCCCGGAGTCAAGCGATTCTCCTGCCTCAGCCTCTCGAGTAGCTGGGATTACAGGTGTGTGCCACCATGCCTGGCTATTTTTTTTTTTTTTAATTAGAGACAGGGTTTCACCATATTGGCCAGGCTGGTCTCAAAATGCCTGACTGCAGGTGACCCACCTGCCTTGGCCTCCCAAAGTGCTGGGATTCCAGGCATGAGCCACTGTGCCCAGCCCCATGTCCTACTTAAATCACAGTACACAACTGGTTTCCTGAGGCTTGGGGACAATCAAACCTGGGACAACGGTGGCACTGGGGTTTGCTCAGAACCCAGCCCTGACCTCCTGACCCTCTGCCTTCCCGGGTGTCTGGGGAACCCCACACTCCTCAATTGCTTGAGTCTCTCGTCTCCCCACTGGGCCTGGGGAGGACAGAACATTCTAGAGACTTCTGGAGGCATCTCAGCTCTTCCAGCTAGTGGGCCCCCTCTCGTCCTCTCCGGGGTTTTGGGAAGCAGGTCCCCAGGGGTTGCTTGTGGGGCATCTCAGGAGCATTGCTCCGGGCAACCCAAGCTCAGTCCTCACCACCTCCTGCCAAGTCACCGCCTGCAGCCTCCCCACCTCGGAGACGCCTGCTCTGCCTGGAGCCCTCAGGTTGAGGGCACCCTTTGAGCCCCTCTTTAATCCTGCACTCCCCAAAGCTGTAAAAGAAGCCCCCAGTCTCCTTCTGTTCTCTCCCAGCCCTTCCCTTGCACAACAGACTCCTAGTGACTTGCTGTGATCTCACTCCCGGGGTCCTATGGCAGCCTAGCGATCCGGCCATCTCCGTTTTGGTAACAGACATCGCCGTTTTGGTAAGAACAGGACATCTTTGCCTTAACGAACGCTTTCTATGCACTAGGAACCATTCTAAGCAGTTCCTGTACCTTAGCTGGTTTGCTCCTCATGAGCAGCGTGTGAAGCAAGTGCTATTATTCGCACACATTTTATGAAAGAGGAGACCAAGGCACAGAGGTCACCTGGGCAATGAGAGGAAGAGTCGGGTCTTACTTGCTGACGGTGGGCTCCAGGGCCAATGCATCTAACTGCAGGACAAGACTGCTCAGGACTAGTCCTCAGCATCCTTTGGAGAAGAAGCCAGAACATGCACAAAGAATAAACTGATTGAGGCCGGTCACAGTGGCTCATGCCTATAATCTCAGCACTTTAGGAGGCTGAGGTGAGCGGATCACTTGGGGTCAGGAGTTTGAGACCAGCCTGGCCAACATGGCGAAACCCCATCTCTACTAAAAATACAACAATTAGCCGGGTGTGTTGGCGTGCTTGTAATCCCAGTTACTCTGGAGGCTGAGACATGAGAATAGCTTGAACCCTGGAGGCGGAGGTTGCAGTGAGCCGAGATCGTGCAACAGCACTCCAGCCTGGGTGACAGAGTGAGATCCTGTTTAAGAAAAATAAAAAATAAACATAAAAGAATACCCTGAATGCAAGAGTGGAGCCATCTCTTTGTGTCACCTGTTTCTCTCTAGAGCAGCAGTTCTAGAACTGGGGTTGGCATCAGGATCACCTGGAGGGTGAGTTAAAACACAGATTGCCATATCCTGTCATGAGATTAGGAAAAACACAGAAACAAATGAGGTTTGCCAGGTCCAAGGCTGCAGTATCTGGCTTAACAGGTCTGGAGTGGGCGTGAGATTCTGCCTTTCTAATGCGGACTCTAGTGACATGGATTCTGCTGGGTCTAGGAACCTCACTTTGGGAACTGCTGCTCTTGTAATTTTTTTTTTGAAACAGGGTCTTGTTGTGTTGCCCAGGCTGGAATGCAGTGGCGCCGTCACAGCCCATTGCAGCCTCCACCTCCCAGGCTCAAGCAATCCTCCCACTTCAGCCTCCCAAATAGCTGGGACCACAGGTGAGTGCCACCACACCAGGCTAATTTTTAAATTTAATTTTAAATTTCACGTAGATATGGGGTCTCCCTCTGTTGCCCAAGCTGGTCTTGAGCTCGAGCAATCATTCCACTTTGGTCTCCTAAAGTGCTGGGAGAGCAGGTGTGAGCCACCGTGCCTGGCCTCTTGTGAACTTTTGACCACTGAGGGAGACGAGGACTAGGCTGGTACTGCCCTGGTCCCTCCTAGGATAAAGCTGTGGTGGTCCCAGCTGGAACTTCCCAAACCAAGTGGTCTAGTGATAATGACCTCATGGGTATGTTAAGAAAGAGAAATGAATACATTATCCTCATGTATTCAAGATGCATATTCTGATGCATTTGCAGGTGACATAAGTGATATCTGAGATTTGCTTTAAAATATTCCAGCTCCTGTTCCTGCAAAAAGTTGAAGGTAAAACAGTGGCAGCTGGTGAGAAGTGCAAAGCCACCTAGTACACTGTTTTTCATGCACTGTTTATATTTTAAAATGTTAATAATAAGCCTTACTTCACGTAGACACAAAATGTTCTGGCTCCCTGACTTAGTAACTATTTGACCTAGAGTAAGAGGCTGACTTATTAGGATATCGAAGCCTTGGTTCTTTCTCCCATCCAATGGGGATACTGGCATCTTCCCAGCTGGGCTGGTTGTTGAGATCACGGATGCTGAGTGGCACTCAGCCTGGTGGGTAGTTAATGAAGCTGTAATTACCCGAATTTGCTCTTTGCTCACACATTCTGCAGTCCCCACCTGGCCAGGGAAGGCCCTCCTGTGCCCAGTGTGTAGGGGTACTGTCCATTTCAAGGCACCTGCTCAACGGGTTCCTGGGTTGAGTGTGGAACTTGCCAGAAACCTGCCCATCTGGGAGTAGGAGGTGTGGGTATGGGATGCATGACAGAAGGCCTGTCGGCCGGCACAGCCAGGAGGGCTGCCTAGGAGCTCCCGTGGCTGCCCCACACCGAGGTTCGGGCCTGCTGGGTTTTTCTTTACGTGGGGACAGGGTCTGGGGCAAGAATTCCCTGGCATCCAGATCAAAGGGGTTTCCAATAGAGTTCATGGGGCTCTTGGCCTGCCAAACTGTCTCAGTCGAAGTGTTTTCTGAGTGTTGGTTTGGTTTGGTTTTGATTGCAAATAACAGAAATCCACGTGTGCTAGCCTAAGCCAGAATCAGGGGTGCTGGCTACCGGGGACCATGGACTCATTGCCTGGAACCCAAGTTCAAAGAGGGCAGCCCCATCTCCTAACAACTGGAAGCAAGTCCTAGAAAACTGTCATGGTGGCTGGGAAACCAAAGAAAATGGAGAAGGTGGCTTTTCTTTCTCTGTCTCTCTCCTCTCCCCCGCTCCCTGTCTGTGGGTCTCTTTCTCTCTCCTCTTCCTCCTCCTCTCTTGGTTTCTCTGTCTCTTTCTCTCTCCCCCTCCCCCTCATATCAAAGATTAAAGGCAGGAGCTCCAAGTTCCATCCTCTCTGTTCAGACAGCCACCAGGTTAGGACTAAGTTTTGCCCAGCGCTTTCCGAGTGCCAAACCTACATCAGGAAGTGTCACCATTTCCTCCATAAGCGGAACACTAAGTATCACTTAGTTCCACCATAGGCCGGGAGGAAAGTGCTGGTTTCATCTTTCTCACTTCCAGAGAAGGAAATGGAAGCAACACAGAGAGGTTCACAGAGAAGTGGTAAAAGAAGCTGCCTGAACCCACGCCGCTGAATGCCTCAGTCCGGAGCCAGGCTCTAAATCACTTGCCCTGTGCATCACCTTCTAGCATCAAAGACTCAAGAGAAGGCCAGGCACGGTGGCTCACACCTGTAATCCCAGGACTTTGAGAGGCCGAGGTGAGTGAATCGCCTGAGCCCAGGAGTTCGAGACCAGCCTGGGCAGCATAGCGAGACACCATCTCTACAGAAAAATACAAAAATTAGCCAGGTGTGGTGGCGTGCACCTGTGGTCCCAGCTACTCAGGAGGCTGAAGCAGGAGGATCACTTGAACCCAGGAGGTCGAGGCTGCAGTGAGCCATTATTATGCTACAGCACTCCAGCCTGGGCAATAGAGTGAGACCCTGCCTCAAAAAAAAGGAAAAAAGAGCTGGGTGCAGTGGCTCACGCCTATAATCCCAGCACTTTGGGAGGCCGAGGCAGGCAGATCACGAGGTCAGGAGATCGAGACCATCCTAGCTAACACAGTGAAACCCTGTCTCTACTAAAAATATAAAAAATTAGCTGGGTGTGGTGGTGGGCGCCTGTAATCCCAGCTACTTGGGAGGCTGAGGCAGGAGGATAGCGTAAACCCAGGAGGCAGAGGCTGCAGTGAGCTGTGATCGCACCACTGCACTCCAGCCTGGGCAACAGAGCGAGACTCTGTCTCAGAAAAAAGAAAAAAAAGACTCAAGAGCACATTCTTGGAAGGGAAATAGAATTGGCTCAGCTTGAGTCAGGTGACATGTTTCTGGACCAATCAGCTGTAGCCAAGGAGGTGGGTCTCATACGAAGACCATGAGGACCCCGGGCCCAGCGTGATGGGACGGTGGGCCTGGCACCCAGTCCCAAAAGCCTTGCTTCCTTCCTTTCTCCTGGATAACCCACCTCTGCCTGCCACAGACACCCAGAACCCTGCTGCCTCCATCTTCCCACTCATGCAGTTAGATGAGGCCTGAGCTCCAATCCCACCCCTGCCATTTCTCCAAGGATCCGCTCTTGGGCAAGTGACTTCACCTCCCTGGGCCTCAGTCTCCATTTGTGAATGGGGCCATAATTCCCACCTCTCAGGGGTGTGGGGAGAGTCGGTGACATAATGACCCAGGTAAAACTTTCAGCATCTCCACATTATTTTCAGGGGTGAGAAAAAAGAAATGGCTTGGAGTCTGAGCTTCCTGGGATGTGCAGAATTCATCAGGCTCGGAAAGACGAGAGTGTGGGACCTCAGTCATGCCGTCACCCCCAGGCCTAGGGGTAGTTAAAGGCATTTTGTTCCTGACTTGCTGCCTCACCCGCTATCTTCATGTTCTGGGAATTTGTGACACAAAGAACAATGCCTAGCCAAGCAATAGTTTCTATTATTTTCATATAAATTCTTGGTAAACAGCTTGGGAACTGCCTTTCCTTTTTTCCTTTAAAAACCTACTTGTAACTGCTGCTGAGTGGACTTTATATTCAGAGCAGCTTGAGTCCATACTCTCAGGTTGAAATCCTCAAGCTTGGCCCAAATAAACTCTCTACTTAATTTAACTAAGTAATTAAGTCATTTTTTCCTCCGTTGTTTTTTTTTTTTCCTTTAGGTCAACAGGGTCAAGTTCAAACTCAGCGTGTGAACCGGCTGGCACCTGCTTAGCTTTCTAGCCCCACATCCTCTCACTCTTGGGTGCCCCCTTTCCCTGGCCATGCCCACCTGCTTGGAGGTCCTTGAACTTCTCTTCTCCATGCCTTTTTCAATGTTCTTCCCTCTGCCTGGAATGCCTTTACCCCTCTTCCCTCTCCTGACCTAGCCGCTTGCTCCCTGCTGGGGGTTCAATGACGTCTCCCCAGAATGCCCATGTCCTAACCCCCAGAACCTGCGGATGTGACCTCATTTGGAAATAGGGACTTTGCAGATGGGATGAAGTTAAAGGTCTCAAGAGGAGATTATCCTGGACTTAAGAGGGCCCTAAATCCAATGACAGGTGTCCTTCAAAGAGAAATCAGAGGGAAATCTGGGACACGGAGACAGAGGCAAAGGCCACGGGAAGACGCTGCAGAGATGGGAGAGGCACATCCTCAAGGCCGGGAGTACTGAAGTGGCCGGCTGCCATCGGAAGCCGGGAGAGAGGCGCCGGGCAGATTCTCCCTCGAAGCCCGGAGAGAGGCACGGGTTGGATTCTCCCTTAGAGCCTCCGGAATGACCCAGCCGTGTCAACACCTTGGTTTTGGCTTTCTGGCCTCCAGAACAGTGTGAATGCATGACTGTTGTTTCAAACCACTTGGTGTGTGGGCATTTGTTAACAGCAGCCACAGAAACTCATACTCAGAAACTTTGCTCAAACGTTGCCTCCTCTGGGAAGGCCGCCCTGACTCCTCATCTCGACTGGAGGCCCAGATCCCAGTATGACCCTCTCCTACCTCTTACCTCGGTGGCCATGATCAGCGACGCACCTGTGTGGCTTCACTCCAGAACGTAAACTGAAGGGCGGGATTCCCTAACGGCTTAGATTACAGCAGCCTCTCCCAGAGAAGTCCACAGTCTAACAGGCCTCGCAGCTGTCAACAAAAGATGGTTCTGTAATGGTGGAACTTCAGGCAGCTCACAGGGGCCTGCAGGAAGGATGTTTTGGGGGCTGGGCTCCTTTTCACTCAGGCTCCTACTCCAGGTGTCTGCACGGGAAGAACCTCTGTGGGGGCTGTAAGATCAGGTTTGTCCTGAAAGACAGTCACCTGAAATGAACCCACCTGCCTTCTCTTTGGACCAACTTACTGATATCTGTGAGAATGTTCTAGAAAAAAGGCTCAGGGTGCGAGCTTATACTGGCAACTCAGATGGAAAGCAACCTGGGAGGGAATGTGGCCACATCCGAATAACCAAAGTCCAAAGGGATTATTATTATTATTATTATTATTATTTTTCTGAGACAGGGTCTTGCTTTGGCATCCAGGCTGGAGTGCAGTGGCACAATCATGGCTCACTGCAGCCTCGACCTCCTGGGCTCAAGCGATCCTCTCACCTCAGCCTCCTGTGCTGGGACCTGAAGTTGTGCACCACCATGCCTGATTTTTTTTTCTTTTTTTTAAGAGACAGAGTCTCACTTTGTTGCCCAGGCTGGCCTTGAACTCCTGGGCTCAAGCAATCCTCCCACCTCATTCTCCCAAAGTGCTGGGATTATAGGCATGAGCCATCATGCCCGGCCCAAAGGGATGATTTAGTTAAGTTTGCCCTTACGGAAAAAGCTGCTTTCAGGGTCCTTGGATGGCGGGAGGTGCTTTGTCTCCAGCAGGCCTGGAGGGGCCCACAGGCTTGCCCACTAGTTTCCAGCGTCCCGGTGCCCCGTCTTGCAGTGGGGACCCAAAGCACCCAGGGGCCCATCCCGCAGCCATGCTTTGAGACCCTGTTTGCTGTCAGGAGGGACAGAGTCCTCTCAGCCTCTGGCCACCCCTGCTCCCTGTGGCTGTGGAACCGTCCCCAGGTGGTTAGAGAGGTGGCCGCAACTGAGAAATTGCTTCCTCAATACAGGAGAACTTGTGCTGCAAGAGAGAAAACTCCAGACAGGGGTTCAGAGAAGTGGGGCTGGCCTCCTTCTGTTCCTGGAAGAGTGGGAGAACGGGAGGTGGGGCTCTGATGTCCCAACAACCTGCCCCGCCAGTTTCCAGCTGTGAGGCCGTGGGGAGATTGCCACATACTCCCGTCTTCCTCATATTCCATCCACACGTGGGTAATAAAACCACCTAGTGAGGAGGAGGTGACAGTGCAGTCAGGATCTTTTGATGGTGATGGTTGCTCATGCAGCAAGATCACAGAGCTACACACACGTGCAAAGACACACACACACGCACGCACACACACACCCGTGCAGAGTGGGACACAGATGAGTATGCTCCATGGAGATTGCCAGCGTCACCTTCCCGGTTTTGATGTCATGTCGTAACCGTGTGAGATGTTACCATGGGGGAGGAGGGGTGGAGGGACCAGGACCTCCCTGTATATTTCTTTGCATGTCTTGTAAATTTATCAGAATTTCAAAGCAAGAAGTTTTTTTAAAAAAATTCTTTAAAGAAAAAAATCCAGCCAAATGACCTTAGTATAAAATACAATTTGACTTTGACAATTAATGGCAATAAAAGGGAACAAATTTGTTCTTCTTTCAGAGCCAAGTCTTGAACCCCATCAGCCCAGGGCCACAGCCCCTCGCCACTCCTTCACACGGCTCATCACGTGGCCCCATCTGCCCCGACTGGTTCCCGCTGGGTTTCTGTCATCGTCACCAAAGTGCAGTGGTCATCCAGCCTCTCAGCGCCTTTGAGTCCCTGGCTGGGGTCTTCAGTGACCCTTCTGTGTTTCTTTGCCTCCCAGCCTTGTAAGTTTCCTGACCGTTTTCACACCCTCATCTCATCTGGTCCTATGGAAGGCACGGCAGATGTTACCCCCCGTTTCAAAGCAGTGGAAACTGAGGATCAGGGTGGCTAAGCTCTTTGTCCAGGGATACGCAGCTAAGGACCAGTAGGGCCACCATGGAACTCAGCTCCAGTCCAGAGCACTCCAACAACCTGAGGCAGCCGGGTGTCTGCTCAGATTTCAGCTCAGGAGAGAGACACTGTCATCTGTCTCCAAAACAGTCAGGTCCAAGGGAGGATCTCAAGGGGAAACTGTACTAGGTTCAAAGCCAAAAACATACAGCTGCTTCCCAGACCAGACGGGCCAGGCACACACCATCTGCCTGCGATCACTGATCCATCTGTGTCTCTCCTCCCGTGCAGGGAGGAAGCAGGAAAGGCCAGGGAGGAGGGAAGGGAGGCTCTTTAGCCATCCCAGGGGCAGCATGATGAAGGGGAGAGCCCCTGGGAATCAGCAGGCCATGGTTCAAATCCCTGCTTCTCCATGTACTGTGTCCCACTAGACTATAGGCAGCAGGGGCGGTTTCTAGGCTGTTCCAGGCTGGAACAGCGACAGGCAGCAGACACCACAACTCATGTGCAACTTTATACACAATTAAAAGAAAAAGCACAACTAACCAGTCTGATATTATAATGCTTTCACCTTAAAAAATATTAGAGTTAATTTTTTTAATTTAAACTTTTTGTGGGTACATGTGGAAACAAAATGAGTTCACTGTAGGGGTATGGATTTGTTTCCGGGTTCTCTATTCTGTTCCATTGGTCTATGTGTCTATTTTTATGCTAGTACCACGTTGTTTTGGTTACTATGGCTCTGTAGTATGATATGAAGTCAGGTAAAGTGATTCTTCCAGTTTTTTTCTTTTTGCTCAGGATAGCTTTGGCTATTCTAGGTCTTTTGTGGTTCCATATAATTTTAGGATTTTTTTTTATTTCTATGAAGAATGTCATCGGTATTTTGATAGGGATTGCATAAATCTGTAGATTGCTTTGGATACTTTGGACATTTTAACATTGACTCTTCCAATCCACGAACGTGGAATATCTTTCTCTTTTTGGTGGGTCCATTTCCATTTCTTGCATCAGTGATTTAAAGTTTTCATTGCCGAGCTCTTTCACTTCTTTGGTTAATTCCTAGGTTTTTTTTGTTTGTTTGTTTGTTTGTTTTTGAGATGGAGTCTCGCTCTGTCCCCCAGGCTGGAGTGCAGTGGCGCGATCTCAGCTTACTGCAACCTCTGCCTCCCAGGTTCAAGCAATTCTTCTGCCTCAGCCTCCTGAGTAGCTGGGATTACAGGCATGCACCACCACGTCCGGCTAATTTTTGTATTTTTAGTAGAGACAGCGTTTCACCATGTTGGCTAGGCTGGTCTTGAACTCCTGACCTCATGATCCACCCACCCCGGCCTCCCAAAGTGCTGGGATTAGAGGTGTGAGCCACTGCGCCTGGCCTATTCCTAGGTATTTAATTTTAGCTATTGTAAGCGGGATTACTTTCCTGATTTCTTTTTCAGATTGTTCATTTTGGTGTATAGAAATACTATGGATTTTAGGCCAGGCACCGTGGCTCACGCCTCTACTCCTAGCACTTTGGGAGGCCGAGGCAGGCGGATTGCCTGAGTTCAGGAGTTCGCGACCAGTCTGGGCAACATGGTGAAACACTGTCTCTACTAAAATACAAAAAATATATATATATATTAGCCGGGTGTGGCAGCGTGTGCTTGTAGTCCCAGTTACTCAGGAGGCTGAGGCAGGAGAATTGCTTGAACCTGGAGGCGGAGGTTGCAGTGAGCCCAGATCATGCCACCGCACTCCAGCCTGGCGACACAGCGAGACTCCGTCTCAAAAAAAAGAAAAAAACTACTGATTTTTGAATGTTGATTTTGTATCCTGAAACTTTACTGAATTTATTTATCAGTTCCAATAGTTTTTTGGTGGAGTCTTTAGGTTTTTCCAAATATAAGATCATATCGTCTGCAAAAACGTATAATTTGACTTCTTTCTTTCTAGTTTGGATGCCCTTTTTCTCTCTCGTCTGACTGCTGTAGCCGGAACTTTCAGAACTGTGTTGAATAGCAGTGGTGAAAGTGGGCCTCTTCATCATGTTCCATATCTTTGAGGAACGGCTTTCAGTTTTTCCCCATTTAGTGACACTAGCTATGGGTCTGTCATGCATGGCTTTTATTATGTTGAGATATGTTTCTTCTATATCCAGTTTTTTGAGGGTTTTTATTATGAAAAGATGTTGTGTTTTATCAAATGTTTTTTCAGCATCAATGGAAATGATCATATGGTTTTTGTCCTTCATTCTGTTGATATGATGTATCACATTAATTGATTTGAGGATGTTGAACCATCCTTGCATCCCTGGGATAAAACCCACTTGGTCATGATGAATGATCTTTTTAATATGCTGTTCAATTTCCTAGTATTTTGTTGAGGATTTTTGCATCAATATTTATCAGAGATATTGGCCTATAGTTTTTTTTAATGTGTCTTTGTCTGGTTTTGATATCAAGGTAATACTAGCCTTGTAGAATGAGTTTGGAAGTAGTCCCTTCTCTATTTTTCACAATGGTTTGAGCAGGATTGGAATTAGTTCTTCTTTAAAAGTTTGGTAGAATTCAGCAGTGAAGCCATCAGGTCCTGCACTTTTCCTAACTGGGAGACGTTTTGTTATGACTTCAATCCTGTTACTTGTTATTGGTCTGTTCAGGTTTTGGATTTCTTTCTTTTTTTTTTCTTTGGGACAGAGTCTCACTCCATCACCCAGGCTGGAGTAAAGTGGTACAATCTTGACTCACTGCAACCTCCACCTCCCGGGTTCAAGCAATTCTCATGCCTCAGTCTACTGAGTAGCTGGAATTACAGATGTGCACCACTGTGCCCAGCTAATTTTTGTATTATTATTGTTATTATTTGAGACAGAGTCTTGCTCTGTAGCCCAGGCTGGAGTGCAATGGCGTGATCTCAGCTCATTGCAACCTCCACCTCCCAGTTCAAGCAATTCTCATGTCTCAGCCTCCCGAGTAGCTGGGATTATAGGCACCTGCCCTCATGCCCAGCTAATTTTTGTATTTTTGTAGAGACAGGGTTTCACCATATTGGCCAGGCTGGTTTTGAACTCCTGACCTCAGATGATCTGCCTGCCTCGGCCTCCCAGAGTGCTGGAATTATAGGTGTGAGCCACCGTGCCCAGCCTAATTTTTGTATTTTTAGTAAAGACAGGGTTTTACCATGTCAGCCAGGCTGGTCTCAAACTCCTGACCTCAAGTGATCTGTCAGCCTTGGCCTCCCAAAGTGCTGGGATTACAGGCATTAGCCACCGCACCCAGCCAGGTTTTGGATTTTTTTCATGGCTCAATCTTTGTTTTTTTTTTTTAAACAGAGTCTTGTTCTGTTGCCCAGGCTGGAGTGCAATGGCGTGATCCCGGCTCACTACAACCTCCACCTCCCGGTTCAAGCGATTATTGTGCCTCAGCCTCCAGAGTAGCTGGGATTACAGTCACATGCTTCCATGCCTGGCTAATTTTGGTATTTTTAGTAGAGCTAGGGTTTCAAGATGTTGCCCAGGCTGGTCTTGAACTCTTGACCTCAGGTTATCCACCTGTCTTGGCTTCCCAAAGTGCTGGGATTACAGGCATCAGCCACTGCACCCAACTCACGGTTCAATCTTGCTAGGTTCTATATGTGTAGGAATTTATCCATTTCCTCTAGATTTTCCAATTGGTTGGCATACAGTTGCTCATAGTAGCCACTGATGATTCTTTGAATTTCTGCAGTATCAGTTGAATGCCTCCTTTTAAATCTCTCATTTTGTTTATTTTGGTCTTCTATTTTTTTTTTTTCTTAGTCTGGGTAAAGGCTTGTCAATTTTATCTGTCTTTTCAAAAAATGAACTTTTTGCTTTGTTGATCTTTTGTATTGTTTTCTTCATTTCAAATTCATTTATTTCTGCTCTGGCTTTTATGATTTCTTTTCTTCTCCTAACTTTGGGTTTGGTTTGCTCTTGCTTTTCTAGTTCTTTAAGATGCATTGTTATGTTATTTATTTGAAGTTTTTATTCTTTTTTGATGTAGGCACTTACCTCCTCTTTAAGGCCAATAACTCTTAGATTTGCCCTTTTGCGACTATTATCTAGATCCTGTAGGCCATGCTTCATTCTTTTTTATTATTTCTTCTTCTGTCCTCTGACTGTGTATTTTCAAATAGTCTGTCTTTAAGCTCACTAATTCTTTCTTCTGCTCGATCAATTCTGTTATTAAGAGACTCTGATGCATTCTTCACTATGTCAATTGCATTTTTCAACTCTAGAATTTTTGCTTGATTCTTTTTAATAATTTCAATCCCTTTGTTAAATTTATCTGATAGAATTCTGAATTCCTTATCTGCGTTATCTTGAATTTCTTTGAGCTTCCTCAACACAGCTATCTTGAATTCTCCGTCTGAAAGAGATCACGTACCTCTGTTTATCCAGAATTGATCCCTCGTGCCTTATTTATGGTGAGGTGTCAGAATTAGTCCCTCATGCCTTATTATGGTTCATTTGGTGAGGTCATATTTTCCTTGTTGGTGTTGATTCTTGTAGATGTTTGTTGGTGTCTGGGCATTGGAGAATTAGGTATTTATTACAGTCTTCACAGTCTGGGCTTGTTTGTACCTGTCCTTCTTCCTCTTCATATTTTTTTTTTTTTCCAGACAGGGTCTCACTCTGTTGCCCAGTCTGGAGTACAGCGGTGTGATCACAGCTCACTGCAGGCTTGACCTCGGGGATCAAGCCATCCTCCTGCCTCAGCCTCCCAAGTAGGTGGGACTACAGGTGCATGCCACCACACCCTACTACTTTTTGTATGTTTTGTAGAGGCAGGGTTTTGCCATGTTGCCAAGGCTCGAACTCCTGGGCTCAAGCAATCTGCCTGCCTTGGCCTCCCAAAGTGCTAGGATTACAAGTGTGAGCCACTGGGCCTGGGCTGCCTGTCCTTCTCGGGAAGACTTTCCAGGTGTTTGAAGGGACTTAGGGCCACAAACTCAGTAACACTGTGGTTCTTGCAGACTCATAGAAGTACAGCCTTGGTGGTCTTAGATAAGAACTGGAAGAATTATCTGGATTACCAGCAGCAATTCTTATTCTTTTATCTTTCTTTCTCCCAAACAAATGGAGTCTCTGTATCTGTGCTGAGCCACCTGGAACTGGGACTGGGGGACATAAGCATCCCTGCAGCCACCACCACTGGGACTGCACTGGTTCAGACCTGAAGGCAGTACAGCACTGGGTCTTGCCCAAGGCCCACTGTAACCACTACCTGGCTACCACCTATGTTCACTCAAGGCCCTAGGGCTCTATGATCAGCAGGTGGTGAAGCCAGCAAGGTTTGTGTCTCTCCCTTCAGGGCAATGAGTTCCCTCAGGCCCTGGATAGGCCCAGAGATGCTGCCTCAGAGCCAGGAATTACAGTCTTAAACGTTTACCTGGTGTTCTATTCTGCTCTGGCTAAGCTGGCACTCAAACCACAGGACAAAGTCCTTCCTGCTCTTTCCTCCCCTTTCCACAGGCAAAGGAGCCTCTCCCTGTGGCCACTGTCACCACTGGCCCATGGTCGGGGGTTCTGCCAGGCCATTGCTGGTGTTCACTTAAAGCCCAAGGGCTCTTCCGTCAGCTTGTAATGAATGCTGCCAGGCCTGGGACTCACCCTTCAGGGCACTGGGCTCCCCTCTGGCCCAGGGCAGGTCCAGAAATGCTGTCCAAGAGCCTAGGCCTGGACTCAGAGACCCTAAGGGCCTGCTTGGTGCTCTATCCCACCGTGGCCAAACTGGTACCTAATGTGCAAGACAAAGTCCCCGTTACTTTTCCTTCCACTTTTCTCAAACAGAAGGGGTCTCTCCCTATAGCCACCACAGCTGGGAATGTACTGGTCACACCTGACACCAGCACCTCTCAGGGCCCAAGGCCCACAGCATATTACCTGGGGATCACTGTTGGTTATTCAGGATCTGAGAGCTCTTTAGTGAGCAGGTGATGAATCCTGCCAGGACTAGGTCCTTCTCTTCAAGGCAGTGGGTTCCCTTCTAGCCCAGGGTATACCTAGAAATGTCACCCACGAGCTAGGGCCTGAAATGGGGGCCTCATGACTCTGCCCAGTGCCCTCTCCAACTGTGGCTGAGCTGGACTCCAAGATGCAACGTAAAAAGGCCTCTTTTCTTAACTCTCCTCTCCCTGAGCAGAAGGAAGGAGTCACTTTCATTGCTGCCAACTGTGCTGCCTGGAGTTGGAGGAGGGGTGGTTCAAGCACTTCCTTAGCCTTGAAGCCTGGTGTCCCTCTAGGTCATGTGCCCCACAGGTCCTCTGGCTCTAAGCCCAGCCCAGTACCAGGAGTTGCATAGGAATTACAGTCCTTGTGTCCTAGACAGCTTTTCAAGTTTACCTAGTACCTCAGAGCACTTTAGTCCACGGTGGCAGGGCTTGCTGAGACTCAAGTTCCGACCACTGGGATGGGCAATTCCCCTCTGGCTAGGGTTGGTCCAAATGCTCCCTCTGTGCATGGGCGCTGGCTGAAGCCACCACGGCTTTGCTCTCTGCTGTGACAGGGCAACACTGAGTTCAATGTGAAGCCCCCCAGTGGCTGCAGTCTTCCTCTCCCAAGTGCATAGATTTCCCCATGCCTCGTGGCTGCTGCTGCGGGATGAAGGAGGGGTGGCACCGGCGATTCAAGACTGTCTTTCCTAGCCTCTTCCATGCCCCTTTCTGCAACACGAAGTGAAAACCAGGAACTGTGATTGCTTACCTGATTTTTTGTTCTTGTCATGAGGCTTTCTGTGTGTAGTTAGTTGCTAAAATTTGGTGTTCCTGCAGGGGAGATGAATGGAGTGGGCTTTTATTTGGCCATCTTGCTCTTTCCCTTTTGATTTCAAGGTCATTAAAGGCCTTTCTTAGACTTACATAGACATAAGTTTTCATCATGCGTTTTTTTTTTTTTTTTTTTTTTTTTTTTTTTTTGAGGCAGAGTCTTGCTCTGTCCTCCAGGCTGGAGTGCAGTGGCACAATCTCAGCTCACTGCAACCTCTGTCTCCCTGGTTGTGCCTCAGCCTCCCCAGTAGCTGGGATTATAGGCGTGCGCCAGCACAGCTGGCTAATTGTTGTATTTTTAACAGAGATAAGGTTTCGCCATGTTGGCCAAGCTGGTCTCGAACTCTTGGCCTCAAATGATCTGCCCATCTCGGCCTCCCACAGTGCTGGGATTACAGGTTTGCGCCACCGCGCCCGGCCTCATGATGCGTCATTCTTATGTGTGTATCACATAAAAATATAAGTGCAATAAATGAGATAAGGTATTTCATAGGACTTCTTTCTGAGAGCATTGGTGATGCAGAATTTTTGGTTCCTCTGTTGTTTCTGGAAGTTTCCACCAAGCTGCTGACACCCAACCTACATGTTTTGATATTCACATGTACAGGCAATGATGCCTCCCTCGTGTCTGGGCCTGGAGGACACTGGCCATAAGACAAGCCCTAACTTCAGGAATGTCAAAAGGTGAAAAAAAAAATGGTGCCTCAGATTTGATTAAAGAAAAGGTGGTTAGTGCCTGGGAATATTACTTGAGAGAATGAGTGCATGAGTCAGTGCATGAACAAGTGATGAGTGAGTGGAAAAGTTAATTACCGTGAGCCTAAGGGAAAGTGCCCCGGGAGAACTTGCTGACGGGTGAAATGATACAAAGTCGAGCTTCCTTATTTTGGGCTTAAACCAGAAGTTCTCACCGGGTAACTGTACCCCACGGGACTTTGGCAAAGTCACATTTTTGGTGGTCCCAGCTTGGGGGAGGGTGCTTCTGGCATCTAGTGGGTAGACGCTGGGGTGCTGCTCAACATCCTACACTGCACAGGACAGCCCCCACCACAAAGAATGATCCTGCGCAAAACACCAATAGTGCCAAGGTTGAGAACCTCTGCCTTAAGCCAAACAGGGACAGCAGTTCCCCTTGAAATGCACACGTTCCCAGAAGTGTTCAGATATTATGACCAACTAGCACATCACCACCTCCAGGATGTCTTCCCTGATTACTGCCTTCCCTGCCTTCTGCCTTGGCTTAGCATCCCTCACTGGGCTCTCTTGGCACCTCCGGCCCCTGCTCCCATCTGTGCCTTCCCCACCCTGGATCATAACTCTCTCATTTCTCTCACTCCCTCAAGGACTTGGGCTCCTTGAAAGCAGAAAGCAGGTCTTATTTTTGACCACTTGGCAGTATACGACCACCTTCCTGCCTTGGTATTTGCATCTTGACAGTCCAGTCCCATTCATATGATCGTGACTGAGTTCACAGTAATAATCATAATGAGGTTGGAGTTCTCGTTGACACTTTAGAAATGTGGACCCTGAGGCTGGGGCATGTTCAGTAACCTGTGAGGGCCGCCCAGCTGGTGGTTGGGACTCAACACAAGGTAGGACCAGCCTGTCTAGTCTTGGGCATCAGAAGCTCTGGGCTCAAAGCCCATCTCTGTCATTTGCTTTCTTTTTGAGCCTAGGCAACTTGCTTAACTTCTCTGAGGCTGAATTTCTACAGCTGGAAAATGCGGATGTTCATACTCTTTTCACGAGGTTTTGTATTAAGAGAATTAGTGTGCATTGTGCCCGGCTAATGATAATAATTATAACCATCCCTGTGTGCTCAGCACTTACTATGTAGCATCTCACGCAATACCTACAGGAACTCTGAAAGCCAGCTACTTTTATTACACCCAGTTCAGAGAAGAGGAGACTGAGGCTCTGAGAGGGCAAGTGCCTTGCCCAGGATTGGAACTCAGGCTGAACAGGCTCTAGTGTCTCCACCCCATCTAGTGAGCAGCCCTCCAGGGAGTAGGGATGAGCTCAGCCCAGTCCCTTCCACTCCAGAGTCCTCCGCAGGATGGCACACTGTCAGGCGTCCCTTCTACACCTCAGTGGCGGGAGGGAGTCAGCTCCGACAGGCCAGGCTAGCAGAAGAGCAGGCTGTCTGGAGCCTGAGTGTGGGGTGGGACTGCCTGCTCGGAATCCTGGTTTTGGCTCTTACTGACTTCACAGCTTTGGGTGGGTCCTTTCAGATCTCCAAGATCCACAGTTTCCTCATCTGAGAGATGCACAGACGTTGCCAGGCCCCCTGGAGTCTCTGCTGCTTGTAATTATTTGCTTCCACTGTATGTGGCTAGCTGGGGGTGCACAGTCCCTTAGGGCCTCTGTCCTCAGCTCTGATGAGCCCTGGGGACTTCAGCCAACCCCAGGACAGTGCGAGCAAGCCGTCTAGCACAGGTGGGGCACCCATGATTTAATGGGAGAGCCCCGGGGTGCCCCAGGGGCTCTGCCGATGTCCCCTTGGGTGCCTTTGTGCCTCTCCCTCCCTGGCAGCAGGTGGGCTGCCTCCTCTCTTAGGGGGAGGGGCAGCCTCGCCACCCACTGATGGGTGCTGGAAGCGTTACGCATACTCGGGTTCCGCTGTCCAGCCCCAGTGGGACCGACTCCACAGTGTGGCTCAGGGCTACCGACATCATTTGCAAAATGAACAAGCAGGCCCCTTGTTCAACAATGACTAAGAGTTTTTAAATGGTGACAGCAGATCATTAAACCAAGCATAGGGTCCTTCTGGATGCACAGCCCTGGAGCCAGCCCTGGTGGGACTCAGGCTTCCTCCAAGACCCCCAGAGGGATTGCAGCAAAGGTGCCCTCCATGGGCCCTCGTCACCTCTCCCTCGTCTGACTGTCTCCTCCTGTTCCGCTTCCCCACTCTCATGCCAGTTTTTCCCAGGAACCGCCCTAATGAATCACTTTCAACAAATCCCCCTCCCAAGGTCTGCTTCAGGGGCTCTATGCTAACACAGGGTTCCAGGAGCAGAGCCTAGCTGACACCTCATCCCAGCAATACCCACGCTGCTTCCCACCCCTGAATTAAACAGTGACAAAGTATCACAAAACACCAGAGACTCGGCATCTTATTTGGTTGTTTTTATTGTTCTGTGGCCTCCTCCCACCTGCTAACATTTAGGCCTCAGCACATCCGGTGGCTACAACTAGGAATCACACATTAGTAAGCAAGTTCATTTCCATTTCCTGAAGGATGAATTTATCTTGGGAACATTTGAGATGGGTACATACCTCCCAGAGCCAGACTTGGGAGGAATCTGTCAAAAATATCAAGATGCTGAGCCTTGTCTTAGAAAGGGGCTTCAGAAATGCTTTCATGGGTGGCGGCTTCTTCCCGGGGTAAAGGTCTCGTGGAGCTGCAGGGCCTTGCTCCCAGGATGGTAAAACAGGGACCCAGAGCTGTTAAGTGGCTCCCACAAAGTCACCCAACCAGGCTGGGCCAAACTGGGTTTGATGGCCAGGTGTCCTGTCTCTAAGCATCTCTGGGGTCTTGCTCTGCTGAGCTGAATGTGAACTGTGAGGGTCAAACTACTTTTCCCAACTGTTTCCAAGGCTTAGCAGAAAGTAGAGGAATGTTCTTGCAACCTAGCTGGAAAGCAAGCAAAGAAGGATCAGGGTGAACCGCTGCAGGGCAGACCAGAGACAAAGAAGGGTCAGGGTGAACCACTGCAGGGCAGACCACAGAGTCACAAATCTTTCGTCTCCCCGCCGCCACCGCCACCATCAGAAACACCAGGAAGATGCCCCTTTCTGAGAAGACCCAATTCTGAACTCACTGTGACGTCTTCACGGCATCATCTTATTTAGTTCCTAACTCCTCCCCTACCATCAGTTCCATTTTATAGATGAGGAGGCTGAGGCTTGGAGAGCCGAAATTATTTACTAAATCCACAGTGCTGGAACAAGAATTTAAACCCAGACCTAGCTTGCTCCAAAGGCTGTACTTTTTTTTTTTCTTGAAACAGGGTCTCACTCTGTCACCCAGGCTGGAGTGCAATGGTGCAAACATGGCTCACTGCAGCCTTAACCTCCCTAGGCTCAGGTGATCCTCCCACCACAGCCTCCCAAGTAGCTGGGACCACAGGTGCACACCACCATGCCTGGGTAGTTTTGTATTTTTTTTTGTAGAGATAGGGTTTCACCATGTTGGCCAGGCCAGGCTGGGCTTGAACTCCTGGGATTATACCATATGCCTGCTTCGGTCTCCCAAAATGTTGAGATTACAGGCGGGAGCTGCTGCGCCCACCCAAAAGCCTCAACTTCCAAACTGCCATCCTCAACTGCCTCCCAAGGTCTCGTCCTCATCCACTGGCCTCCTTCTTCCCTGTTAGAAGCTCAGTCCTCAGCTGCATCTGACCTACTCCAGGGACGGCTCCTGTCATCAGCAGGTAACAGACGTGCTGGCATCAGTCCCTACGGGCTCCAGATTTTCCGGGAGGATTCTGGAACCTGCAATCTGACATTTGCGTTTCAGCGACGTCCTGGGAGGCTGTCACCTGCTTTTAGGGGCTCCTTTTTGCCCTCTGTGGCTATCCAGCATTCACAGGGGCTGGGTAGATTTTCAGGTTTAGGGCTGCAACTCCACAGCCCTTTGCATGCACCTACGCCTCACCTTTGAGGGCACGTGAGGGCAAGCCTGTGCCTCACCTGCGGCCTCCTCTGGAGTCAGCCTCCCTGCCACCTTCCTGCGTCTACCCCAGGGGCCTTCTTTGGCTCCCCAAAGCCAGCGTCCCTCCTGCCTCAGTACTTTCACTCTTCCAACTCCCTCCACCTGGGCGCCTATCCTCCAGACCCTCCCCAAGCAGCACCTTCTCACCTTGGATCTTGGCTCAGACTTCAACCCCCACAGGGCCTTCCCTGACCCCAAACGAAGCAGCCCCTGCCCCAGGCTCTGCTCCTGCCCAGGGACTCTGCCCCACATTGCCTGTTCACTTCTTCACCACACCTGTCTTTGTATTGATTGATCTGTTGGCTTGTGTAGCCGTCCCCTACCAGGATGTGGCCTCCCTGAGGGCAGCGGCTCTGTGGGATTTGTTCACTATACCACCCTGGCATGAACTACCGCTGAGCAACCAAGAGGCTGGAACCATGACTATCAGATAGTTGGCACCCAACAGAATTGTTTGACAGAAATGAGAAGAGATAGACAAGACTTCCTGGAGACATCAAGGCAAAGGAATGAAAAGGAAAGTTGCGACCTAGTCTGGTCTTGGATTTTTGATTCAGAGGGATACAGAATTGCTTCTGCTTCTGATCACACACAAAGTTCTCCTACGTTCCTGCCTTGAAATTGCAGTAGGTCCTCATTTAACATCATGGATAGCTTATTGGAAACTGCAACTTTAAGCAAAATGACCTACTATATAACAAAAACAATTTTACCATAGGCTAATGGATATAAACAAGAGTTAAGGCCAGGCACAGTGACTCATGCCTGCAATCCCAGCACTTTGGGAGGCCAAAGTGGGAGGACTGCTTGAGGCCAGGAGTTCAAGACCAGCCTGAGTAACATAGTGAGAACTCATCTCTACAAAAAATACAAAAAAAAAATTAGCCAGGTGAGGTGGTGTATGTCTGTAGTCCCAGCTACTGAGACTAAAGCTGAGGCAGGAGGATGGCTTGAGCCTAGGAGTCTGAGGCTGCAGTGAACAATGATTGTGCCAGTGCACTCCAGCCTGGGTGACAGAGTGAGACCCCATCTCTTAAAAAAACAAACAAATGAGTTAAGCTTCTATGGCATACAGTGCATATAGTATGTCGTTGCATTTAAAGTCAGTTTCCAAGAACCTATTGATGACGTTAGGTGAGGACTTACTGCAGAAGGGAATTTCAAATTCTACCAGTAGGGAAAGCGCTACTCTCACCCTCCTGCTCCTCAACCTGGTGGTGAAAGCTGCCAGGACACTGGCTGCCCACATTTACCCTGGCCATGACTCTTGCTCTCTGCCCACTCACCTGCTTGCCGTTGCTTTACTGAAAGTGCTTCTGTTGTCCCCTTCCAGGTTCTGCCACATTCTTTGAGTCACCTTCTGTGAAAAGAACACAGCTCTGTTGGGGTAGATGTATCTATTCCTGCTCTAATGCCCCCCGTGGCTCACCAGGAACTGCCAAATGAAGCCTGGTGACCTGGCCCTCTCCTCCCTCCCCCAGCTGAGGTCACTCAGTCCCCACCTGCAGTGCCTCCTCTCCCTCCCCAGGCCCCCCAGCTGGTGTCACCAGCTCTGTCTATGTTTCTGGTCTTACCTCCCACCACCTCCACAGCTCACCACACACTCCAGCTTTGGGGATGGCCAAATTGCTTCCGACCTCAAGAGCTTCACACATGCCATTCTGCTGCCCACTATTTCTTATTCTTTAGGCTGAGCTTTCATGTCTCCTCCTTAGGAAGCCTTTTCTCACAACCTGGACTAAGGTGTCCTCATAGTATCCAGCATGTGATGTCAGGAAGGCTTGTCACTATTCTCATAAAATAACCACTTGGGCTATATTCATGTCTGAATTTTCTGCTTGATATTAGCTGCATGACAGCAGCGACTGGGTCTGTCATGTTCACAAATGTAGCTCCAACCCCCAGCACAGACTGATGAGTAATACTTAGAAAATATGTGCTGTAAATTATTGATAAAGACATATCAGATGGATGGGAGAATGGATGGATGGATGGGTGAATGGATAAATGATGGATGGATGGATGGGTGAATGGGTGAATGGATAAATGATGGATGGATGGATGCATGGATATATGGGTGGGTGGATAGATGGATAGATGGGTAGATGAATGGATGGATGGATGGATGGATGGATAGATGGGTGGGTGGATGGACGGATGGATATATGGATGGATGGATAGATGGATGGATAGTGGCTGGCTGGATGGCTGAATAGATAGATGGATATATGGGTGGATGGATGAATGGATACATAGGTGAATGGATGGATGGGTAGATGGGTGGATGGGTGGATGGATGGATGTATGAATGGATGAAAGAAGAGATAGATGAATGAATGCAAGGATATGTGCATGAATGGATGAATGGGCAGATGGATGGATGGTTGGGTGAATGGATGTACGGGCAAATAGATGAGTGGATATAAGGATGGTTGGATGGAGGGATAAAGGAATAGAAGGGTGGATAAAATAATAGATGGGTAGATGAAAAGATAGATGAATATATAGATGGATAGATGGAAGAATGAACAGATGGATGAATAGATCGATGGAGGAATGGATGGATGGATGCATGCTTGAAAAAATGGATGGATGAAAGATTAGATGAATATATGAATGGATGAATGAGTGAATGGATAGATGAATGGGTGGGTGGATGGATGGTGGGTGGATGCATAGATGGGTGGGTGGATGGATGAGTGGATGGATGGATAAATGGATAGACAGATGGGTGGATGGGGCCAGGCACAGTGGCTCATGCCTGTAAATCTAGCACTTTGGGAGGCCGAGGCGGGCAGATCACCTGAGGTCAGGAGTTTAAGACCAGCCTGGCCAACAAGGTGAAACCTCGTCTCTACTAAAAATACAAAAATTATCCAGGTATGGTGGCGGACACCTGTAATCCCAGCTATTTGGGAGGCTGACGCAGGAGAACTGCTTGAACCCAGGAGGCAGAGTTTGCAGTGAGCCAAGATTACTCCAGTGCACCCCAGCCTAGGCAACAGAGTGAGACTCCATCTCAAAAAAAAAAAAAAGGTAGATGGGTGGATAGATGGATAAGTGAAAGGATGTATGTATGAATGGATGGATGGATAGATGAATGGATGATTGGTGAATAGGTAAGTAAATGAAAGGATGGATGGATGGAGGGATGAAGGAATAAAGGGGTGGATAAAAGGATAGATGGGTGGGTGAAAAGATAGATGAATATGTGGATGGATGGATGAATGGGTGGATGGATGGAAGAATGAATAGATGGATGAATAGATTGATAGAGGAATGAATGGATGAAAAAACAGGAAGATGAATGAAAGAATAGATGGATATATGAATGGATGAATGAGAGGATGGATGGATGAATCGGTGGATGGATGGATGGATGGTGGGTAGATGGATGGGTGGGTAGATGGATGGAGGGATGAATGGATGGATGAAATAATAGATGGAGAGATGGATGGATCAATGGATGATTAGATGGATGAATGGAAGAGTGGTATCAGGCGTGTTTTCCAATTCTCTGAATGAAAGTAGCAGAGGCTTAAATATGAGCAGTTCCAGGCTCTGCTCTTCAGCATGAGGTCATGTTTGCCATGAGCTCCTCTGTGACTCACAACTCCCTGCCCACCATCAGACCACAGGTCTTCTATTTTGTTTCTTAATCCCAGGTCCCATTTTGTTCCCTATATCTCAGCCCTGGGCTTTTATTTTTTTCTTCACATAAGAAACTTTCACTGCCTTTTTTTTGTGCCCTCTGGAAAGAAAGAACAGTTTCTTCTTTTACCTGGATATTCTTTGTAAAGTTTGTGTCGTAGGATTCGCCCATCTGGAAAACAAGTGAGAGGAAAAAACTTCTTTTAGGAGTTTAGAAGGCCAAAACTGTTGTCATAATAACACTGAGGAATTACTTGTGTTTTTCAGTCTCCCCATCTCACTAGTGTACAATGGAATTGTTCAGAGGCTACATGAGCATTTGTAATGTCTCAGCTCTAGTTTCTAATATGATAATATCCAGAGCCATCAACCCATAAAGGAAAGCCCTGTGAGATCTCCTTAACATCTTTCAGGGTACAGCGGTCTTGAGAGCAAAAAGTTTCAGAACCACTGTCTTTTTTTTTTTTCTTTTAGACGAAGTCTCACTCTGTTGCCCAGGCTGGAGTGCAGTGGCATGATCTCAGCTCACTGTAACCTCTGCCTCCTGGGTTCAAGTGATTCTCCTGCCTCAGCCTCCCGAGTAGCTGGGATTACAGGCATGCGCCACCACACCCAGTCAATTTTGTATTTTGAGTAGAGATGGGGTATCGCCATGTTGGTCAGGCTGGCCTCGAACTCCTGACCTCAGGTGATTCACCCACCTCAGCCTGCCAAAGTGCTGGGATTACAGGCGTGAGCCGCCATGCCCGGCCAAAACCATTGTCTTAACAGATGAACTGGAAGCCAAATTTCAACACACTGTTGAGTAAATGTCATTACAAAATATGTTCACAGGGGGAAGAGATGACACTCTTTTGAGTCTGCCCAAGAGACACTCTGATGTCATTACTGCAAATGACAAAGTAACTTGAGTATGAATCCTCACTCGTCCTCTTTGAGCCTCAGTTTCCTCTCCTAAAAATAGGCATAAAATTAGTACCTCTTAAAGTTATTGTGAGGATTAAAAGAAACAATTTCATTTAAAACATATCTATGCAGTATTAGGATGAGCCGTATGAAAATTCTATCTTTGTGTGTAAAAAGTGGTCAACTGCTGGCAATTTCATGCATGTCCCATGACTAGCCGTGCTACCCACCCCATGGTAGCAGGAAAGCATTTGCTGACAGGAATGTGACCAGGACATGTGGATGCTTGAATGTGGCAATCTCTCTCAAATTTAGCTCACTTCTCCATCCTGGTGATCAGCGCTGCCTTTTCTGCTATAAGGTTAATCAAGCACATATGCGCGGTAGCCAGACATTTTCTTTTTCTTTTGTTTTGTGGCCATACTAAAAATCATCAGGCTGTTTGGGACCAGCACGGACATTTATCGGTCAAGGTGCTAACGCTCCATGGAACCGCTCCAGGCCCTCCGGTGGGTCAGCGCCTGCTGATCAGCAACTGCAGCAATAACTATTTTCCAAAGCAAATGGCTAAGGTTTTTGTAGGCTGGGGGAGCTCCCCAAAACTTTCCTGCTCCCCCTTTACCTGGGGGTGAATTCTGGCCCATAACACCACAAGGAGACAGAGGTAAATGTGGACCCCGGACCCCCTCCTCAGGCCAAATATAATCACTTATAATTTATTACCAAAAATGATTACTCGTCACTTTTCTCAAATTGCCTCCCACTCAAGGCTAGACAAGCCCCACTTCATTCTTCTCAAGCAGTGTCTTGGGCAGGACAAGGAGGGGCCAGCCCCCGCAGCTCAGCTTCTGTGTGACCTCAAACCTACTCAGAAAAATGCACCGATTTTCCCTGAACCCACTCTCTGAAAAACCAGATTTACTATACATGTCAGTGTTCATTTTCCTCTTGCATAAAATGTGAACCCCTCAAATGCCTGGTTCCAGGTGCTGGATGGTCAAACTTGAAGGACTATTGGTACCCGCTAGAAGCCTCTCTTACGGGAGGATGGCATCTTAGGTGTCGGCACAGGGCCTGTCGCTTACTCTCAAATGGTCCAGAAAAATACACACGTAGATTTATAAGTGGGGAGAGAGCATAAAGGAAAATGTAACGGTAGTTTTTTAACAACTGGTGAATCTGGGTGGGGGATTCAAGGTACTACTTTTGCAACATTTTTATAAGTCTGAAATTATTTCAAATATGCAGTTTTTAAAAACTTAAATAAAAAGCTTCTTCCTTGGTAAGGCTGGGACAAGGGGGCCACCCTTCCCCTGAGATTTTTGCTCCAAGGGAAGTTGCTGGAATTCAAAATGTTTTCAAACCTATATATAATTACCAGTAAATTACCAGTAATTATTGCTAAGTGTCAGCCCCCTGAGAACAAGGCTAGGGGGAATTCCACTTACAGTTCCATTTGGAAGCCTCAAATCGTTCATTTGGGAGGGGAAGCTCACACACACACACACACACACACACACACACGCACACACACACACAGGCTCTGAGGCTGGTGGACAGTCTTGGAATTCCAGCTCTTCCAGCTCTGCATCTTTTGGGTAAATTCCTGAACTCATATCCTCCCTTTACGAAGACAGGGATGATGGTGGCACACATTCACTGAGGACCTACAGTGGGCCAGGTGCTATTCTAAGCACTTCATACGTGTTTCTCTCACTCAAGCCCCATAACTACCCCATGAAGTAGTCACTATGGTTACCATCGCCATCTCTATTTTACAGATCAAGGAACTGAGGCTAAGAGAGGTTGGGTGACCTGCTCAAGGCCACGGAGGAAGAAAGTTACAGGCTTTGGACTTCTTTCTGTGGTTCTGAGCCTGCACTCTGAAACCTATGCAGCACTGCCTCCTGGTTCTACTTCTCCTTTTGCAGGCTTGCAGCAAAGCTTAATTTAAAGAGAGCACTCCAAAGGTGCATGTTAACAGTAGGCATCACTGGTGTGGTCACCACTGAATGACTGACCCTCTTTGCTTAGCTCTGTCTTGAAATGGGAATTTTTTTAACTGGTTTGAACCCTTAAGAACTAGTTTGACTTGGTTTGACCTTGGTCTTAGACATCATAGGGCTGAATGAAAAGATCAGGGGATGAAAAAGACAAGTGCCCAAGGCATTCCTATTATGCCGTCATTATTATAAATGGTGGCATAGCCCAACGAACTCACAACTCGCCCCACAGCTCTCTTTTGGAAAAGGCTATCCCTTCCACACTCCAGCAGCCTCACAGTGGCTGGCAGGCCCTTGCGGTTTTACCTCCAAAGGACCATACACCCCACCCACCCACGGCAGGATTGAGTGTCTAGAGACAAGCAGTGATAAAACAGTGAAGGTTGTTTACTGTGCTTGTGAATTGATGGACACTCTACACAGATTAACTCACTCCTCAAAGAGCCCTGTGAAGTACCTCAAGTATTATGAACCCATTTTACAGAAAAGGCAAATGAGGCCTGAAAAGGTTATGTTATTTGCTGCCCACAGCAGTAAGGGGCTGAGTAGCTGTGGCAGCCCAGGCTATCTGGCTGGAGAAGCCACCCTATAACCCCAAACAAAGCCCTGCAAATAGCAAGTGGAATGTAGAGGAAACCAAAAAGGCATCTCTTTGTTTCAAAGCCTTTTGTAGATAATTTCTTCAAAGTTCAGGATTCCGGGATTTGCATCACTTTATCTGCAATGATAATGACATTAAATGCATGACTGATTTTACGTCTATGCCTTTCTTGAAACACTTCAGAGAAAAACATTCTCAAATCAGAAAAAAAAAGAGGTTTTGGCAGATCATGCACTCCCCAGTATACTTTCGGCAAATAGGGTCACTGTAATTATCACCAATCTTGTCTGAGGGTCCTGTCCTTAGCTATTAGGGCTATGAGATGCCGAAGCGGGGACAGGGGCCCCTGGGTGTGGTCTCAGTCTGACTGACACTGACTTTGACAAGGTGAACCTGGCCACCCTGAAGTCCCAGATTCCTGGCTCACCACACAGTTCATCCAAACTCCATGCCAAAAAGCACATTGAAGTCTTTCAACTTGATTGCCTTGAGTGGGGTTCGAGATGGTTTTAGATACCACCAGGAATCGCTGTGCCATTGTTCTTTCTTTTCTTGGGAAAATTATGCCAATGAGAGCAACACAATTCACTCATCTATTTATTGCCTTTGTGTCCAAAGACGAACACAAATTAAGTCAAACTGAACAGTCCTGGCAGAAGTTCTGGAAGTTAAGGATTCTCAGACAATTCTAATTCAATGCAGTTTGAAAACAGATACAGATGCTTCTTGACTTACAATGGAGTTATGTACTGATATACCCCCTACAAGCTGAGAATATCTTAAGTCAAAATGCACTGAACACAGTTAACCTACTGAACACCATACCTTAGCCGAGCCTACCTTAACTGTGCTCAGAACACTTACATTAGCCTAGAGTTGGGCAAAGTCATCTAACACAAAGCCTATTTTATAATAAAATATTGAATGTGTCGTGTAATTTGATTACCATACTGAAAGTGAAAAACAGAATGGTTGGATGGGAACTTGAAGTACAGTTTCTACAGAATGCATGTTGCTTCTGCACCAGCGTAAAGTCTAACAATCTTAAGTTGACCATCGTAAGTCGGGGTCCATCTACACATACGTGGATATAAAACATCCAGTGCTTACTGACCACCTACTATTCCTTAGGGCTGCTCCGACTGCTCTGCACTTATGATTTCAGTCACGCCCCACAACAGCATGTAGTAGCCCCATTTTACAGATGAGGAAACTGAGGCTCAGAGATAGGAAGAAATTAACCCCAGTGTCGCCCAGCTGGGAGGTGCAGAGCTGGGGTTTGCAGCCAGTCTGCTGGCTCAAGAGCTTCGGTCACATGCTAGTGTGACAGGGAAAGGGTAGGGGCCATGAAAGAAGGAGCCGGGCAGGGGGAAGATGTGAGGAGCTCTCAGTCAGGCCCAGGTGCTGGGGCTGCTTCCTGGGGCAGGTCGTCCATGCGGGTGAGAGGCGCTTACAGGGAGAAGGGGACTGGGGCAGGAGCCAGGATCAGGGCTGGGGTGCCACACTCACCTGCTTGCCGGCGCTGCTTGACGCACTGCCCACGGTTGGGGATACCTTCGGCCACGTCACCTGGGCTCAGGATGTGGCACTCATAGCCCGAGGGACAGAGCAGGGGTTCGGCCCCATCCTCCGTGGTGCTGCACGCCTCTGCTGCAGGAGGGACACACGCTGGGGTCTAGAAGGCCGACTCCCAGGACAGGTGCACATGCTAGGGTCTAGAAGGCAGACTCCCGGGACGGGTGCAGGGAACGCACCTCACCCAGAGAGGCGGCCTCGCCTCTGTACCCCAGGTTCCAGGCTAGGCCCTGGGTCTCACTCAGCGGCATGTGGCACACGTGCACACCCACAAACACGCACACAAACACAGGCAGTCCAAGCTCACCTGATCCCAAACATACTCTCACAGGCTCAGCAACATCCATATAGACATGTTCACGGATACACCCTGAAACACACACTCAGCCCTACAGTCGCATGGGGACACAGACATTTACACAAGCAAGTCAGACGCACAAATACACACAGACATATACGCACGCATCCCCACACACAAATCCTGCACACACATATCCACACCCACATACACACACGCTTACCCACACATGTACACTCACAATACAGTCACACACTTTTGCATGCACACACACACACACACACACACACACACACAAATATTCAGCCACAGGCACAAGGACAGCCACACAGTTGCATATACGGCCGCACACTCTAGCGGACACAGTCACACAACACACAGATGGACGTGGAGTCAGAAGCACAGCCGCAGGTGTGCAAGGGTGCCCGCTCGCACCTCCTAGGCCTCCAGGCCCCCGACCTGCATGCTGTTCCTTCCAGAAATTGCCCTCTGCCTCCTGGTACCTCCCCCACCCCCAGGGAGGCTTCATCATTAGAGAGCGGTGAACCCCCTAGAATTCTAGGAATTTGAAAACCAACCCTAAGCCCCCTCCCCTTCAATTCTCCATCCAGGAGGAGGCTCCATTCTTGGGGAGAGTCGAAGCCCTTATTCTGTACTGGGCTTTGATTCTGGCCAAGCCCCCAGCCATCAGCCCTTCTTCGCTGGGGTGGGGAGGATCAAAGAGGGCTGAGTGTTTGGCTGAAGGGCCCGTGCATGGGGGACAGCCGGCCTGGTGCTGCCAGCTTTCTGGAAGCAGCTGAGAAGGAGGGATCGAGGCTTGGATGTAGGGTCTGGGCTTTACCCGGCAGGTACCTTGTAACACCTCCTCAGGGCCATCCAGGAGCCAGCCATTGCCACCAAGCCATCGAGGTTTCGGCTGCACCAGCCAGTCTAAGACTAACACAATACGGGGTCAGATCAGGGCCCTCCTCAAGCAGCTGAGAAACGCCCAGGCTTGGGGGCTGGGGGCACCCCAACTTCATGACAGCACAGAGGCTCCCCATGGGAGAAATAACTATGGTTCCTGGCACACCTTCACCCTTTGCTTTTAGTGATAGAACCTTTCACTGTGGGCTGGGCACTGGGCCACAAAGCTGGGGACTAGCCTTCCCTGCCTCCCTTGCAGCTACAAAGATGTGAGCAGCAGTGACCATGCAACTTCCTGTCTCACCCTCCAATCGGGGCTCTCTGCTCCTCTCCCTCCCTCTTTTCCTTCCTGCAGGCTGGGGGCCATTCTGACCATGTGGACAAGGACATCAGTCAGACTGCAGAGTGGCAAGAAGGAAGGAAGCTGGGTCCCTAGATGGCTTTGCGAGCAGAGCTACCTGCCTACCACAAATGTCTGTCTCTGCACTAATAGCTGAGAGAGAAGAAAATGCCTCACAGGTTGGGTCCCTGTATTTATGGGTCTTTTTGTTGCAGCAGCATAGCCTGTTCTCTAACTAATACTTTATTTTTTTAATTTTTAGGTTCGGGGGTACACATGCAGGTTTGTTGCACAGGTAAATTGTATGTCACTGAAGTTTGGTGTATGGGTGAAGTTTGGTGTACAGGTGATCCCATCACCCAGGTATAACCAATATACCTGGTTTTAACAGAAAGAGTCACCCACACAGTTTATGGGAAGGCCTTCAAAAGGCAGGGGTCGAAAACTCAAATGCCTCTAGGGGACAGGAAAACAGACCAGGCAGGGCCACAGCAAAGCAGAGAGTGCCTCCTGCCTGGATGAATCAGCTGCTGGTTAGCCCTGACCAGTCATTTCCAATGCTCCCAGACTGTTTTATTTTTTTTCTTACTGTAAGTTCTTATTCTATTTATTTATTTACTTCTTATTTATTTATTTATTTATTTATTTATTTATTTATTTATTTATTTTGAGACAGAGTCTTGTTCTGTCACCCAGGCTGAAGGGTAGTGGCACGATCTCAGCTCATTGCAACCTCTGCCTCCCAGGTTCAGGCAGTTCTCCTCTCTCAGTCTCCCGAGTAGCTGGGATTACAGGCATGTGCCACCACGCCTGGCTAATTTTTGTATTTTTAGTAGAGATGGGGTTTTGCCATGTTGCCCAGGCTGGTCTTGAACTCCTGGCCTCAAGTGATCCACCCCCTTCGGCCTCCCAAAGTGCTGGGATTACAGGAGTGAGCCACTGCACCCGGACTGTAAGTCTGTATTTTTTTCTTTTTTTTTTTTGAGACAAAGTTTCACTCTTGTCGCCCAGGCTGGAGTGCAATGGCGCAATCTTGGCTCATTGCAACCTCTGCCTTCCGGGTTCAAGCGAGTCTCCTGCCTCAGTCTCCCAAGTAGCTGGGATTACAGGCACGCATCACCATGCCTGGCTAATTTTTGTATTTTTAGTAGAGACGGGTTTTTGCCATGTTGGCCAGGGTGGTCTAGAACTCCTGACCTCAGGTGATCTACCCGCCTTGCCCTCCCAAAGTGCTGGTATCACAGGCATGAGCCACCACACCCGGCCAAGTCTGTATTTTTAAAAATAGAAATCTTCTGGTTTTTAAGTGTTGACAAGTAATTTTAAAACTTTTTTTACTAATGATGATGATGATGATTATTCTACAGAGATAGGCGGTCTCCCTATGTTGCCCAGGCTGGTCCCAAACTCCTGGCCTCGCGTGATCCTCCTGCTTTGGCCTCCCAAAGTGCTGGGATTACAGGTGTGAGCCACCGTGCCTGGGCAGAAAACTTTAAGCATGTTGGAGATCAAAACTGTTCTGGGATCACATTTGCTTGTGACCTCTGCATTCGTTTGACTCCAAAGTAAGACAAAAATAAAAATTACTAATATTTATCTTTATAAAGAGAATAGAAAAATAATTAGCATCTTTTAAAGTATATTGATGGGTACTGGTAAAAATGCTGGTTAGCTTTTTCTGTAAAGGAGCACTCGCTGATTATACTGATTATAATGACATGGAAGTTGGAACAGCAGAGAAAGGAGCCAGCAGTCTGTGACCTCCAAAACAGGAATGACGCGATGGTTCTTCAGCCTCTATACGCAACCTTTCGGTTCTTCCCTCCTTTCCACCACCACATCAGACCACGTGTTAGGAAACATTTTCAGGTGGGAAACGTAGTAATATGTGCTGTTTGTATTCTCTTTTGCCTTGATCAAAGGCTTCTGAGCAGCAGGGAAATAAGCAAATGTTTGGAGTAGTGAAACTTGGTCCGGGCTCCCCATTACTCTAGTTGAAGACCCTTAAAGGCCTGGTGGCCCTGGGGTCTCAGCTCTTCATGACCTCACTGGAACTACCTGGGATCACCTCCCAAATAAACAACCTGGGCCCAAGTCCTTGTCTCTGGGTCTGCTTTGGACAGACCCAAATCCAGATGGCAATGAAGAAGTAAGGTGCCTGGAACAGGGCCTGAGTTAGACCAGTGTTTCTCAATGCAGAGCGATTTTGTTCCCCAGAGAGCATTTAGGAAAGATTAGAGACATTTTTGGTTGTCACAACTTGGGGTAGAGGTTGCTACTGGCATCTGGTGGGGAAGGGCCAAGGAAGCCGCTGACCATCCTACAGTGCACGGGAGAGCGCCCCCCTGCCCAGCAAGTAGAATCAACCAATCCCAAATGTCAATATGCCAAGATTGTGAAATCTGGTGTTAGACAGCATTGTTGTTATTACTCACTAGTAGTATGATTGCTCTTCCTGCTGGCTAGTGAATGAATGAATGAGTGAATATTTATTGAGTATTATATGCCCAGAGACCGTTTTAGATGCTGGGGTTACAGCAGTGAATGAAAGACAAACTCCCTGCCCTGTGGGGCTGACCTTCAAGTGGGGAGAGAACAGTCAATGAACAAACAAGTAAAACACAGTCTTCCAGATTACGCTACAGAGAAAAATTAAACAGGGATGGAGGGTTTAAAAATGGCCAAGGAGGGGCTGTCATTGAGAGAGGGAAATCTTTCCTGAAAAGTGGCCTTTGGAAATAGGTCTAAAGGAGGCAAGGAAGTGAGCCATGGGATGTCTGGGGGAGGATATTCCTGGCAATGAAGGACCCCACACGTGGGTACAGGTGCCAGGGCAGGGGCTCCACATTCCCACACTCACGGCCTAAGGCAATGAACACTTCTCTACAGTCAGACAACTGGATGGAAACTGCAGGTCTGCCTGCTGTGTGACCTTGGGCAAATGATTCAGCTTCTCTGAGCTTCAGTTGTGACACAGGGCTGATAACAGTCATCTCATCAAGCTGTGTGAGCGTGAAACGAGATGATGTATGAAAAGGCTATTGGGAATGCCATGTACAGTTGTATCATCTGTGCACTGCTCAAAAGCACCTGCTATAGGCAGGAGGCAAGGCTAGAATCCCTATGTCAGGTCACATTCCAGAGGAAGGGGCACCATTTTTGATAAGTCCACCCAGAGGGGAGTGCCTTTATGTGCTTGTCCACCATGAGGGGCAACATTTAGGTTTTCTTATGAAGGCTGAGTAGGAGGCTGCCTGGCCTGGAGCAGCGGCCAGTTCCTGCCCAGAGGCAGTACTGAAATAGTCCCTGTCTGTCTTGATGAGCATTATAAGACTGTAATTATGAGCATGATTAAGTGTGCTGAGTCCCCTGTCATCGCTGTGACCTCACCCCAAAGAAAACAAAGTGAGGTCATCCTTGCCATCTCTGACTCTCCTCTCAGCCTTGGGAGGAGGGGCTGGGCCACCTTCTCGAGCCGCCTTCCCTAATTAAGGCCCATGGGAACCCACAGCCTCTCGTGGAAGGTACAGTCCAAACAGCTGTTGTTATCACCCTGAGCAGAGCCGAGGGTGGAGAAGACTTCCTTGCCGCAAATCCTACCCGCTTAGGGGCACATTTTCCCCACCCAAGGGCACATTTTCCCCAGGAAATAGCTACTTGTCTACCCTACTCCCCACTTACTGTCCCCGACGGGGTCACCTCCTTCCCTTCCCAAACCTTCTCTTCAAAAGGGATCTGAAACTCCGTCCTGCCAATGATGAATCCCTGAACATTGTTTCTCCCCGAGAGGTTGGCATCGTGATTCAACACACATCTCATTATCTGCTCCCAGCCCCGCGCAGTGCTGAGCACTTTGGAGTGGCAGGTCCACCGTGAGCTGCACGTTGTCTTTTCTTTTCTTTTTCTTTCTTTTTTTTTTTGAGACAGAGTCTCACTTTGTCACCCACGCTGGAGTGCAATGGCACAACCTTGGCTCACTGCAAGCTCCACCTCCTGGGTTCAAGTGATTCTCCTGCCTCAGTCTCCCAAGTAGCTGGGATTTGAGGCTCCTGCCACCACGCCTGGCTAATTTTTGTATTTTTAGTAGAGACGGGGTTTCAGCATGTTGCCCAGACTGGTCTTGAACTCCTGACCTCAGGTGATCCACCCATTTCACAGGAGAGGAGACTCAAGAAAGTGACAGCTGGCCGGTGGATCTGAAGCCACGCACCCGCTCCTCTCTGGGGCACGCCCCATCTGGATTGCTAAGCTCCTGGTCTCCACCTCAAATACCCCAGGGCCAGGCATGAGAAGTGTGGCGGGCCTGGTGGGTTGATGGGGTGAGTGGGAAGCTAGAGGACACCTCCTCATCCAGGGGCACCTGAGGTTCCAGCTGGTGGCAGCCCAGGGAACATGGTCCGGTATTTTAAAGAAAAGCCTCGAATCTTGATCTTTTAAATGAGAAATCCCACTGCACCCGCATCCTATCAGCGGGCATTTTCCCGGGAATGGGTGTCTGCTGGACTGTGGCTCCCTGGAGGCATCTAGGGTCCCTGCCCCCATCCCATTTTCATAGGAAGTGGCATTTTCTCTGGAAGGGCATCTCCTACAACGCAAGTCCCCAGGGGCAGTGGGACACACAGCAGCTGCACAGCAGCGCCACGCCTGCTCAAGGAGCGCCCGTCCCAGTTCACAGGTGCGCAGTGGAGGCGCCCGAGACCCGCCCAGGTGGCCCAGCTTTAAGCCCAGCTCCTTTCTTCCCCTCCCCCGGGACAGCTCTGTTCACCTGTCCTCCTCCCTCAGCCCCCTCCCTCGGGCCCAGGACCTACCTGGCGGGGGCGGCACAGCTTCTAGGCAGGCGTAGGCGCATCCGTTGTAGCAGCAGCGCCGGTGCCGCGGGCACTCGGAGTCCGCCTGACAGCGCGCGGCCTGGCAGGCGCCGGGGGGCAGCGTCCGCGGAGGCGGCGGGCAGCGGTCTGCTCGGGGCTGCCGGGGGCCGCCGGGCGCGCCCGCCTCCTCGGCCTGCGGGGAGAGGGCGGTGTCAGCAGCTCTGGGGCGCGCGTTCGAGTCCCGGCGCCACCCGGAGCTTGCAAGGGGGTGGGCAGTGCGCCGGGCCTCTCTGAGCCTGCGTTTCCTCTTGTGAGAAACAGCAAGCAGGCAGAGCCAGCCTCGGAGGGCGGCTCAGAAGGTCAGAAGATACCATGTATCTTTTTATAACAGTCGGCACGAAATAACTGAAAGCCCAGAGCAAAAGGATAAGCAAATCTTGGTGTGTTTGCTGAAGGACAATTACTTAAGTATCTACCCGGTGTGAGAGAGAGATGATACATAATACATAATATATGTGGTATATATGTGTATATACATATATGTCTGCATGTATACATATACGTACACACATATGTCTATATGTACATATGTATATGTACATATGTGTGGATTTCTTAGAATCCATGTTTATATAGAGCTTTGAGAATTTACAAATTATACACAGAATCATTAAATCCATGCAACAACATCGCTACATCTCAGAAAATAAAGAAAGGAAAAAAGCCAGATCAAAAGAGAACACCACAGTGGGATTCCACTTATATTTGCAGCTCAAAAACAGGCCAAGCTGATGTCTGGCATGAGAAGTCAGGAATCTGGTGGGCAGTGACTGGCTGGGAACACGTGGTCTTGGGACTGGCTCTGTTCTGTTTCTTGGTCTGGGGGCTGGTTACATGGTGTGTTTATTTTGTGGGAATTCATGGAGCTGAACACGTAGGATTTATACGCTTTGAAGTATTTTTTGTTTGTTTGTTTTGTTTTGTTTTTGAGACGGAGTTTCGCTCTTGTTGCCCAGGCTGGAATGCAGTGGCGCGATCTCAGCTCACCACAACCTCCACCTCCTGGGTTCAAGCGATTCTCCTGCCTCAGCCTCCCGAGTAGCTGGGATTAGAGGCATGTGCCACCACACCCGGCTAATTTTGTATTTTTAGTAGAGACAGGGTTTCTACATGTTGGCCAGGCTGGTCTGGACCTCCCTACCTCAGGTGATCCGCCTGCCTCAGCCTCCCAAAGTGCTGGGATTACAGGTGTGAGCCACCGCGCCTGGCCCGAAGTATTATGTTTTAATAAAAAGTTCAAAAATAAGATATAGGGGCCAGGTGCTGTGGCACACAAGCGTATAATCCCAGCATTTCCAGAAGTCAAGGTGGGTGAATCACTTGAGCTCAGAAGTTTTGAGACCAGGCTGGCCAACATAGCGAAACCCCTTCTCCACTAAAAAAAAAAAAAAAAAAAAAGCAGTCAGGCATGCTCATTCTCTCCTGTAGTCCCAGGTACTTGGGAGGCTGAGGCGGGAGGATGGTTTGATCCCAGGAGGTCAAGGCTGCAGTGAGCTGTGATCGCACTACTCCCCTCCAGCCTGGGCAATAGAGTGAGACCCTGTTAAAAAAAAAAAAAAAAAAAAAGTCCAGGCGCAGTGGCTCACACCTGTAATCCCAGCACTTTGGGAGGCCAAGGTAGGTGGATCATGAGGTCAGGAGATCGAGACCATCCTGGCTAACACGGTGAAACCCCGTCTCTACTAAAAATACAAAAAAAAGAAAAAAAATTAGCCGGGCGTGGTGGCGAGCACCTGTAGGAGAATGGTGTGGACCTGGGAGTCGGAGCTTGCAGTGAGCCAAGATCGAGCCATTGCACTCCAGGCTGGGTGACAGAGTGAGACTCCATCTCCAAAAAAAAAAAAGATATAGTACTGTACTTAACATATAGGAATATGGGTGAGTGACCAATAAGATCAATATTTTAAAGGTAAGACCGAGAAAGTTTAAGCCACCAGGCAAACTGCCCTGGGTCCCCTGACACCAGACTCCATCCAGGCCCAGTAACACTCTTCTGCTTCTATGAAAATGGGGTGCGTGGTGAGCAGTTTGTGCTCATTTGCACACACACACAGAGTTAGATACAGGATAGATTAATTGGAAAAAAACCACCCTGGCTTGCGCTGCCTCCTGGCCTCTGCCTAAACTGTTCCTTTAATCTAAAATGCTTCACCTACTTACCTCCCCACAAGTCCTCCCCCAACATATTCAAAATCTGGCCCCCTTGTGCTGGCCCAGTACATAGGGCATATCTGCAAATTGGAATAGTAGACAGCCATGAAAACCTGCCTTTAAGGTGTTGGCAAAAAATGAAATAAGACTCAATGTGCCACATATGAAAGATCGCCAGGATATGGCGGCTCATGAAGAAAACCACGGTTCGGAACAGCGTGTAGGCTCTGCCCCATCTGTGTTTTTAAAAAAATGCACACAGATGTAACATATATATATCTATTTGCATAGGCTGAGAACGTTTTTGGAAGGATACACAAGATCACACAAGAAACCATTAGGAAAGGTGCCTTTGGAGAGAAGAATAGGGTGTAAAGCTGAGAGAGATTTCTTTCTATTGTACACCCTTCTGCAGTGGTTCAATGTCTTTTTACCATGTACACATTCTTCTTCAATTTAAAGGCAGTCTCCATGCAGAGCGAGGGCACATCATCCAAGTCCTGGCTTAATCTAGACTTGACTCACAGAACCTCACAAAGCTACTGAAGCTGCTTTGATGACAGTGTGGGCGCCGTCACCTCCAGGCCTTTGCCCGTGCTGATCCTCTGCCGAATGCCCGTTCCTTCAGGTCTTCCAGAGGGACCATTCCCCGAGACTCAAATCAGCGCTCAAGGCTGGGATGTGCTTCGGTGACACCAGCCCTCCCAGGCCAGGGTTAGGGCCACACCACCCCCGCTTCTATGTCCCACACCCACCCTCCCTTGTCACTCTTTCTCGGTGTCTTAATAGAAATCCGCCATCGCATTTAACCAGTGAGCGACCCCTTCAAGGGAGGGCCTCGAGCCTCCTGTGTCTCCTCCTGCACATACAGTTGGCTGAATAAAGGTCCCCAAAGACACCAGGCCCTACTCCCTGGAATCCTAAATGCAAAGGAAAAAGGGTCTTTGCAGACGCAATTAGGTTAAGGATCTTGACATGGGGAGATGATTCTGCATTTTCCAGTGGGCCCTAAATCCAGTCACAAGTGTCTGAGAAGAGGGGAGCAGAGGGAGATCACACACACACACACACACAAGCACGCCCCCCCCACACACACATGTACACACGCACGCACACACACATGCACACAAGAAAGTCATGTGAAGAGGGAGGCAGAGATGGCGTCTACAGACCAAGGAGTGACCATGATTGCCAGCAGCCACCGGAACAGGGATTGGCAAGGAAGGAACCTCTGGAGTTGGGGGGGCGCGGCTCTGCTGACCCCTTGATCTCAGTCCAGTGAAGCTGATGCTGAACTTCTGGCCCCAGAACCATGAGACAATTCATTTCTGTTGGCTTAACCACCCCTCCCACCCCAGTTTGTGGTCATTTGTTACGGCGGCCCCTGGAAACTTGATATCTGTCCCTCTGCCAGGCACATTCTATAAATGAACCCCACCCCAGGCCCAAGTCCCCATCAGTGCCTCCACAGTGGCCTCGTCCCTGGCCTCGATGCCTCCAAATCCATCCATTCTCCAAACTGCAGCCCAAAGAGGCTTTATGAAAGGCACCTGTGGATTTGGTCACCTCTGTGCTCCAAGGCCCCAGAGGCTTCCCAGCACCCTCGGGACAAAGTCCCAGCTCCCCACTCGACCTCCGAGCCCTGCGCCAACCAGGTACATGTTACTTTTTCGATTTAATAACTTAGATATAGGATACATTGGCCTCATCTCATCGCCCCGACCCTCCTTGTCCTTACATGCCAGCAAACTGCCCTCCCTCCTCCCCTCGCCCTCCAAGCACATTCATCTCTTCAAACCGTTTCCTCCAGCTGAGCTTGTCTCATCCGGCAGAGCAGACGGGCAACCAGAGCGGGCTCCACAGCTAACGGCCTTGGTTCAAATCCCGGCTCTAGGGCTTAAATCCTCTCTGCCACTCACTTGCTGTGTGACCTTGGGCAAGCATCAGTTTCTCCCTACAGAACTTCCCTCCTGGGGTATCCTGAGTCTGCACCCAGGATGGTGTCTACACCCAGGATGGCATCTATGCCCAGGCTGGTGTCTACACCCAGGATGGCATCTATGCCCAGGCTGGCGTCTACACCCAGGCTGGCATCTACACCCAGGCTGGCATCTACACTGAGGATGGCATCTACACCCAGGCTGGCGTCTACACTCAGCATGGCGTCTACACCCAGGCTGGCATCTACACTCAGGATGGCGTCTACACCCAGGCTGGCATCTACACTCAGGATGGCATCTACACCAAGGATGGCGTCTACACCCAGGCTGGTGTCTACACTCAGGATGGAGTGTACACCCAGGCGGGCATCTACACTCAGGCTGGCATCTAGCACAGTGCCACCGATCATCATTGGCACGTGCTGGTCCTCTGCCTGGAAGGCCTCCCATCAGCTTCAATTGGCCAAATCACCCTTTAGTCCTCAGCTTAAACAGCCTTCTGAGGGCAGCTTTCCCCAGACTCGTCGGGATGTTTCTAGTATGATTCTTCATTTTTAGGCCCTCGCCACCCCACACTGAGAGCAGAGGCTGTGTCTGTCCCTGCCTGGCTGGGACCGAGCGCAGTCCTTCCTGCGTGCCTATCTGGGTAGCTGCAAATTGCACACGGTGTCACCAGTGCCCTGCAGGGGGCACCAGGTCCCTGGGAACAGGTCCGGGCCGGGTGCCCCTGGGAATTGGTGGAATCACCAAGGCCAGAGGTTTTCAGCTGCCCCCAGGGAGCCTCAGGGCCTGAGACTGAGGGCATGAGGGGCAGAGAGCAGGAATGGCCAAGCAGGAGCGGGGGGTGGTGCGGCAGGAAAGCCTGGGAGGGGGGCCCCTGGCCCCCATCCCTGCTTCACCCAGAGAACCCTTCTTTTTACTCTTGTAAACATTGGCTGTTAAATTCACGAAAAGTGAAAATGACCACTAAGCTGGCATTTGGTGGATATGGAGACGAGGCCTTAAGGAGGTGAATGGTTTTCCCCAAAGACAGAGGGGAGACCAGAGCGTGGACCTTTTATCACCTTTTATCACCCCTTTCTCCGCCCAATCTCCCTCACCCCTGTAACCACCACCAATAACTTTCCAGCCGCAGCAGGTGCATAATCCCACGCCATTAGCTCTCAGTTCACTTGCTGCAGAATTAACTACATTGGACCCATGTTGGGGTCCGCAATTTTTAATCCTAATCTAACATGACAGGCGCCCCAGCCTCCTTCGGAGGGTGGTTAAGAATACACCGTACGTCGTCGGGAGGGGGCGGCTTATTTTTCCGCCCAGCTTATTTTTCGATGAAGCCTCATTTATGAAATTTAATGGAACCTGGTGATCAGAAGCAAAACACTTTTCACCCACCACAAATGCCTCCCAGTCCTGGGACTTCCTTAATGGCAGTCCCAGATGGGAGGGTACGCAGAGATCAATTTGAGCTGTGCCGCCGTCTCAGAGGAAAATTCAAATGTCATTTCTCAGAATTTGGAGAGAACAAAGAGATAAGCGCCTTAGAAGCCACATCTCCCGAGTTATTTACTGCGTGACTGAAACAACAGATGGTCGTGAGTGATAAAGCACTGATTTCACTGAGAGGCCCAGATTAAAGGATTACATGTTTTGAAAAATATTTCATGTCACGCAAGGTGACACTCAAAGAGGGTTCTAAACACAGGGCGTTTTCTGGAGTTCTGGGAAATAGCTTTTACTCAGAGACATGAACAGCTTACCCTCCAATTTATCCCTGGCCCCATGGGTTAAAGGAGTTAACAGCCAAGGTTCTTGGCCTAGAGGTCGGACTGGAATTGACTCCCCTGACCCCCTCCACGTCTCTGACCTCTCTTCCAGCACTCCCCTCCTTACTCATTCTCTCCAGCCACCCAGTCCCACCTCTGGGCCTTTGCACTGGCTCTTTCCCCGCCCACCCACCATATCTGCCCGGCTCTCACCTACCTGGGATCTGCTCATACAGCCTTCCCTTCCCCCTCTCCCTGCTTTGTGGAGCTTCACACACCTCATCACCCTTGGGTGGACTGTGTATTATGAACTCATTTGTTTGCTGTTTTTCTCCCTCCTAGGGACAGGAACTTGGTTTTGTTCTTACCTGTGTCCCTGGCTCGTAGAACAGTGCCTGGCACATAGCAAGTACTCAGTAAATATTCTTCGGGTGGAACAAAAGCTGTGATGATGATGATGATGATGAAGATGAGGATGATGGTGGTCAACACACCCTGGCAGTTTGCTGGGCACCCTTCTAAGTGCTTAACATGCATTAACTCGCTGATCTGCACATGGGCCCTGTGCAGTGGGTTCTGCAGAGCAGGGGTCCTGCACAGGTGTGGGGGCAGCCCTTTTGTTTGTGTAAGGCTGTGCTATGGGCAAGCATCATCACACTCCTATGCTCACTTAATGCGGATGTGAATTAGGGGAGTGGGTCTTGATATCCCACACTCCAGAGATGAGGAAGGATGCTTTCAAAATGTAAAGCTGGACTCGGCCATCCTCAGTTTCTGAGGATTCGCTGCTCCTCCTGGCCTTGGAGGCTTCCGCACACTGTTCCTTCTACTCGGAACGCTTCCTAACTCTTTTTCACAGCTGAACCTCCACATCCTTTGGGGCAAGAACTTAGGAGCCATATCCCAAGATGGAAGGGACCGAAGCTCATGATCTCTTATACATCAAAGGCTGCTTTGCACAGGGATTAAGGGCTCAGGTGTAGGAGTCTGACGCGTCTGGGTTTGAACCCCATGGCTGTGCGATCATACAGGAAAATCACTAACGTATCTGAGCGTCATCTGCAAAATGGACACAAAAGTAATACCTGCTGCCGATGTCTGTGGTGAAGATCAAAAGAGACCACACCTGCGTGTGCTCGGCTCAGCACGGGCAATGCTAATCCATAGTTCACCTGATTTTTATTCCTTTTATTATTATTATTATTATTATTATTATTATTATTATTATTATTTTGAGAAAAGGTCTCACTCTGTCACCCAGGCTGGAGTGCAAGGGCACGATCTCAGCTCACTGCAACCTCCGCCTCCCAGACTCAACCAGTTCTCATGCTTCAGCCTCCCAAGTAGCTGGGACTACAGGTGCCCGCCACCACGCCTGGCTAATATTTTGTATTTTTAGTAGAGATGGGGTTTTGCCTTGTTGCCCAGGATGGTCTTGAACTCCTGAGCTCAGGTGATCTGCCTGCTTCAGCCTCCCAAAGTGCTGGGATTACAAGCGTCAGCCACCACGCCTGGCTCCTTTTATTTTTAATCAATGGACTCAGAAGCCTCTCGTCCCATAGTAACTTCATTCTTCATATCTTCCAGTCTTTCTTCATTTCCGCTGTATCCTCCCTCAATTCACTCCCAGATGATTTAGTGAACGCCCACCATCTCCATAGCGTTAGGTTAGATGCTCAGCAGATGCAGAAGAAACCTAAGGAGCTCCAGTCCAGCTGAGGCTGCAGATACACGTACGAGAAACCCACCAGCAACAGTGAAAAGTGGGATTGGATATAACCTCATCATTTCTGGATAAGACCAGGGCAAACAACTCGCAGAGTTCCTAAGAGAAGGGGCCATGCGGAAACAGCCACCCAGCATGTGCAAGAGCACTGCCCTCGGAGGACCACCTGAAGTCGCCTCCAGCCCTCCCCAGTAGGTACCACTGCTGTCCCCATTGCATAGGTGAGGAAACGGAGGCACACAGTCACCATACACAGACACCAGGCTTAGAGCCTGGGCTGTGTGATTCATGCTTATGGCAAGGGAGGCAGCATTTAGTAAGCTCTTACTGTGTGCCAATGCTGTGCTGGGTCCTCACATACTGAATCTTCAGTATCACCCTCTGGGGCTGCTGCTATTCTAAACCCACTTTACTGATGAGGAAACTGAGGCACAAAAAAACTAAAAGCATTTGCCCAAGAGCAAGCAGCTGAGAAGAGTCAGAGGCAGGACTCGAACCTGGGTCTGTCCTACTCCATGGGCGTTCCTGACCCAGGAGCCTGGAACTGGGAGTTGCTTCCCAATGGTGCCTGTCAATTTCTTCCCATTCTTTCAGTCCAGGGGCTCTCTCCCCCTCCCAAAGTGTTCCCTCTGCCCTCCTGTGGCCCAGCCCCAGCTCAGGGTGGAGTCAAAATGGGGGCCCCCAGGTACACATTTGTCCTGGCCCCCTCTTTGCAGCCCTTCCCTCCCAGCTTATGTTGCCTCTCAGATGAAAACAAAATAATGCCACATGAAATCCCTGAGAAAGGAGGACACTCACCCCAGACGGACGACACCTTCCTGAAAACCCCAGAGCAACCCGTGATTTCCAGCTTTTATTTTCATTCCTGCTCAGGGATTGTACAGTAAGTCTATTTCAAAGTAGCCACTGAGCACACATTCATGGTACAACTTAGACAAGAACCCTCCGGTTCTGTATGCCTTACCTGGATAAAAATGATTCCTGGCCGGGCGCGGTGGCTCACACCTATAATCCCAGCACTTTGGGAGGCCAAGGCAGGTGGATCACCTGAGGTCAGGAGTTCGAGACCAGCCTGGCCAATATGGTGAAACCCGTCTCTACTAAAAATACAAAAACTAGCCAGGCGTGGTGGCGGGTGCCTATAATCCCAGCTATTCAGGAGGCTGAGGCAGGAGAATCATTTGAACCACGCAGGCAGAAGTTGCAGTGAGCCAGACGGCACCACTGCAATCCAGCCTGGGTGACAAGAGTGAAACTATATGACCTTTTGTTCATATAGATGAACAAAAATAGATTTGCAAAGCCATTCTGCCACTGATATCCCTAGGAAGCAGGTGGGGAAATGCCCATTTTGGGCTGCAGCAGTGGGAACCCCAATTCAGCAAGTCCAAGTCCAGATTCAATTAAAGCAAACAAGCTGGATGTGCAACCAAAAGAGGCTGGATACATAAGTGAAGGCACAGAGAACACCAGGCAGGCCTTAGAAAGGAAGATGTCGATCCACCATGTTAACATACTTCCCACAGATTATTAAGTGAAAATGCAACATATAAAACAGTGTGAATAAGCCAGACACCAAATAGCACATACTGGATGATTCCATTTCCATGAAACGTCTACAACAGGCAGATCCATAAAGACAGAAAGTGGATTGGTAGTTGCCAGAGGCTGCGGGAAGAGGGAAGGAGGACTGACGGCTAATGGCTGCAGGGTTTCCTGTAGGGTTGATGGGAACGTTCCAAAACTAGGCAGTTAGGACGGTTGCATGACTCTGAGTATACTAAACACCACTGAATTGTACCTTTGAAAGGGTGAATTGTCTGTCATGTGAATTTCATTTCAATAAAAGAAATCTGAATCAGTACGAATAAAATACCACTAAGAGAAAACACGTGTGCTGTGTGTAACTGCTTCATGAAACAATCTAGACAGACACCCCAGAATGTCACCAGAGTTTACATCTTGGAGGAAGAATTCAGATCATTTCTACTAATTTATAACTTTCTGTGTTGCCTGACTTTTTTTTTTTTTTACAGTAAACATCATTCTTTTAATAATCAGTAGAAGAATTTATAAACCACTTCCATTTAGGGAAAAAGAATCCAATCTCCAGAGCTGCCACCAAAGCTACCCACATGCCTCCCTCAGTGCTCACCACCCCCTTCCTTCCACATGCAGGAGCTTTTACCCTTCTTTGGAAAGTTCCAGCAGCTTAGCGGCCAGACCAATAAAAATGCACCCCAGCACTGGTTTGCGTGGTGGAGGAAGAAAGCCAGTTTTCCTCTAAGCATTACTTGCTCTTCCTCTGGAATTTGGACGTCAAACATCTAAAAATATGTCGCTCCCCGGAACAGTGGGCTTAGAGTTCAGCGTGCGTAGATGAATGCCATTTCCTGGTGCCCGGGGCCCTTAACACTGGGCTCTGGGGACAGAATTTGGCACAAGGTTAATGGGACTTCCTCAGAGGGAGGCCAAAAAAAAAAAAAAAAGAAAGAAAGAAATTCACGAGACGGCAAAGTCGACCAAGTCTTCCCAACAATGTCATTGTCAGTCAGTGCACCCGAGAGTCCTCTAGAACTTTCCATCCCTTCTATTCTGTTCCGGAAGGTTTTAACATAATTGATTCATTCATTCAACAGTAAATTCATAATTCCCAGGCCCACTGGGTTTCGGGCGCTGGGCTGGAAATGGGGAGTTCCGAGTTGAACCAGAAGACGTTGGCCCTGACTTCACGTGGCTGTTTCAGGACAAGTCAGAGACACCACACACAACAGCACACAGATAAGGCGAACGAATTGCTTTTTGTGGTCATCTGCAAAAGCAGTTAGAGAGAAACCTAAACAAATCATGCCAATAACAACAACAGAGCTAAATGCTAAGAAGGAAGAGCTGGGCTCTTATGTAAACATTTAAGGGAAATCATAATGGGGCATTCAGGGAGAGGCCTCGGAGGAGATGGGCGTGAAGCTACGATGACCCACGAGCCGGAGTGGGCACCGTGAGCGGACACTTGCTGAGAGGCTGCCTCTCGGTGCTGGGGACACAGAGGACTCACAAGGACTCTATGTGCCATCGCAGAATTCCCGAGAGGTGCCTCAGGTTCTCGCTGCTTTTTAGAAAAATTATTGTGGTAAAATATATATAACATGCAATTTTCCATTTCAGCCATCTTAAGTGTGCGAGTTGGCGGCATTAATTAGACTTACGATGTGTGCAACCACCTCCATGATCTATTTCTGCGGCTTTTCCATCACCCCAGGCAGAACCTCTGTTCTCATCAGACAGCTGCCCCCTATTCCTCCCTCCCCCAGCCCCTGGCAACCAAGAATCTCCTTCCCGTCCCGCTGGATTTGCCTCTTCTGGACGTTGCATCCAAACAGTGTCACACACCCGTGGCCTTTGTGCACTCAGCATCATGTCTTCGAGGTTCATCTGTGCAATGGCGTGTGTCCAGGCTCCGTACCTTTCTATGGCTGAGTTCTAGTCCCCTGAGTGGACAGGTGCGATGTGCTCACCCCATGGGCATCCATCTGCCTCTGCCCTGTGGCTGCGGTGAGTGCTGGCACAGAGGTGTCCTGCTTTCCTGTCTCCCTCTCCCGAGTGATAACCACACAGGGACCTGGGATGCTTCTTTACTCGTTGATTTCCACCTGGAATTTCAGGGCTGGGACCTCAGATGAGGAATCTCAGTCCCAGCGAGGAGAAAGTGATTTGCCTAAGGTCCCCCTCAAAAGTCAGCTATTCATGGACTTTTCATTCCTTCCAGTCCCCCCTCCATGCCAGGTTCTGGGCTAGACACCAGGGTGTGGCCAAGCCTACAGTAAGTTTGCTTCACATCAGTACGACATATCCCCTCTCTCCAGCACCCAGGCAGCTCCGGGGCTTTTCTGGGGTTCTCAACCATGAGCCTTGAAGACCCCCTCCTGGGTGCTGCTGGGGGTTTCCGGAGCCTACTGAGCACCCGCTGACCCCCAAGACGTAGGCATCTTCATAGTCTTGATGATGAAGTCCCGCAGGGTGTGAGCTCACCTGGTTCAAGGAGCAGACAAAGCTCCCAGACTCTGGGGATATAGTGATAGCCCCACTTGTCCCCAGCCAAAACAGCACAGATAAGTCATTCTCTGCAATGGCCTCAGTTTCCTTATCTGTGAAATGTCTCGTTGCCGGTTGCAACCAACAGAAGCTGACTCCCTTGATGCCCAGAGCAGACTGTATTCGTGTCCGAGGGTGCTGCAACAAAATGCCACACGCTGGGGGCTTAAAACAACACAAGTGGATTCTTTCACAGTTCTGGAAGCCAGAAGGCTGAGATCCAGGTGTCTGGCAGGGTTGGTTCCTTTGTGGAGGCTCTAAGGAGAAAACCTTTCAATGTCTCTCCCAGCTTCCAGTGGTGGCTGGCAGTCCCTCATGTTCTCTGGTCCCTCATGTGTCTCTTGTAGATACATCACTCTGACCTCTGCAACCCTCTGTCTTTGCATGGCCTTCTCTCCATGTGTCTCTGATTCTATGTCTCTTCTCCTTTTCCTTTTTTTTTTTGAGATGAAGTCTCACTCTGTCGCCCAGGCTGGAGTGCAATGGCATGATCTTGGCTCACTGCAACGTCCACCTCGCCTCCCAGGTTCAAGTGATTCTACTGCCTCAGCCTCCTGAGTAGCTGTGATTACAGGCATGCACCACCATGCCCAACTAATGTTTGTATTTTTAGTAGAGACAGGGTTTCAGCATGTTGGCCAGGCTGGTCTCGAACTCCTGACCTCGGGTGATCCGCCCACCTCGGCCTCCCAAAGTGCTGGAATTACAGGCGTGGGCCACCATGCCTGGCCCCTTCTCCTTTTCTTATAAGGAACGGGGTTCATATTAAGGAACCACCCACCTCCAGCATGACTTCATCTTATTTTGACTAATTACACCTGTAATGAACCTGTTTCCAAAAAAGGTCACATTCACAAGGATCAGAAGTTAGGGGTTGGATATATCTTTGGGGGGACACAGTTCAACCCACAGCATGGATCCGACAGGATTCGAGTGCAGGGAGTACATTTGGGAGGGGATCCCAGGAAGCCCCAGCTGGGGAGTGGGAAGCTGGGCAGGAAAGGGAAGGCGCCCTTCAGGGAGTGTTAATGAGCAGGTGGCTGCCTGGGCACTAGAGCTCAAACCCAGTGGACCTTGGAGAAACCGTGTGGAACACTCCTCACTCGTGTCCCACCAAAGTTGAGAAGCCAGCTGGGCCATCGGGCTCCAGCTCCATTTGCTCCTACAGGTGTTACCTCCCCGGCACCTTGGCCTGACTGTGTGTGGGCTGAGCAGGCTCCTGCAGCCAGAGAAAGCCTTCAGGCCAGCAGACACAGATGCTTACGGTACAAAGATGAAGGTGAAGGTCAGAACTCATGGAATGGTGAAAGCACAGCTCCAGGCCATCTGCTTCTCCCACTCTTGCTATCTCAGCAAAAAATAAAAGGATGTTTGGAAGGCTCTCAAGAGCTCACAGAAATAATGGGGGAAAGGAGATGGGGAACTGAGGAATGCAAGTTGTGGGCCACTGCTGGCTCCTACAGTCCCCTACTGCTATTAGCACAGGGGGTGCCTCCAGATAGACAATGCAATGCTCCCCTCCCTCCCCCCGTCTGGCAGGATGCATTTGAAAGAGAAAGTGGCACCAGCTCCTGGCTGCTCTAGCCCCTCCCAGCCCCCCTCAGCAGGACAGGCATCTCTGGGCAGGGTGCAAACTGAACCACCATTTCCAGCTGCCCTGGAGGGGTGCTTAGAGGGGAAAACAGACCCACAGTCACACTGACAGTAGGGGCCAGCCTGCCCAGGCCAGGGGCTGCATAGCACCGAGGCCCGCATGGTGGCTGCCATGGGCCCCACCCGGTGGATTTGTCGAGAGGCTCCCAAGAGCGAATACGTGGCAAACTCTTGCCCTGACACAGTGTAAGCGCTCAGTAAATCATTGTTCTCAGGAGTTTCATCTAATGCCAGGAAAGAAAAACCAAAAACACCAAGTCCACAGAACCGACTGAGCTCCATGGAAAGGTTATTGGACTATTTACAAACGTTCTGCTTCTGTTTTATTCATTCTCATAAATATTTGGTTCTGGAATGGGGTTTTTGGTTTTTTTTTTTTGCTTTTTGTTTTTTGTTTTTTGAGATGGAGTTGCGCTCTTCTTGCCCAGGCTGGAATCCAATGGCACGATCTCGGCTCACCGCAACCTCCGCCTCCCAGGGTTCAAGCAATTCTCCTACCTCAGCCTCCCGAGTAGCTGGGATTACAGGCATGCGCCACCATGCCCGGCTAATTTTTTTTGTATTTTTAGTACAGACGGGGTTTCTCCATGTTGGTCAGGCTGGTTTTGAACTCCCGACCTCAGGAGATCTGCCTGCCTTGGCCTCCCAAAGTGCTGGGATTACAGGCATGAGCCACTGTGAGCCACTGTGCCCGGCCTGGAATGGGTTTTTAAATCTGTCCGTAGTGCACATGTAGGGAATGCAGTTCTGTGCCAGTCAGGGAACTGTGGGCTCTATGGTCTTTTTACTGAGCCCTGCAAAGCAGGCACTACTGTGTCCCGTGCTGCAGATGAGGAAACCGAGGCTCAGATAGGAGAAGGAAACTCCTGAAGGTCTTAGAGATAGAAGGCGGGAGACCCGGCACTTCTCATTAGAAGCTTCTCCTAAGGGCCTCCCACGGGAATGGAAGGCAAGCGTGCTCATCTCTGGCACTGTCTCTGCATGCTTAGACCAAGAAGCATAAACAGCACTCAGGACATTAACCGGCCCCACTCTAAGAGACCAGTCCGCTACACAAAACTCACTCTGCCGGGGGACGAGGCTTTGAGAGACTAGAGCAGGCTACAGGCAGCCCTGCGCTTGGTCAGGACTGAACCACCAGCTCTCCTCATGTAGCCCTGGCCAATTTCCAAGGTGTAAATACTCCCAGCATGGTTGATTTCAGGCAACCCACGTGAGGCCACTGAATGGGAGTGGGAAGAGATGTGGAGTAGCTTCTCTCCTGGTCATACCACACGGATGCAAAAGACATAAAACCCCAGGAGCCAAGAGAATAGCAAAACGGAGCAATACAATTGGAAAGTGATGCATTTCTAACAAGAAGTATTTCCTGGCTGGGTGCGGTGGCTCACACCTATAATCCCAGCACTTTGGGAGGCCGAGGCGGGCGGATCACCTGAGCTCAGGAGTTTGAGACCAGCAAAACCCCATCTCTACTAAAAATACAAAAAATTAGCCAGGCGTGGTGGTACATGCCTGTAATCCCAACTACTCAGGAGGCCTAGGCACAAGAATCACTTGAGCCGGGGAGGTGGAGGTTGTAGTGAACCAAGATCACACCACGGGACTCTGTCTTAAAAAAAAAAAATTCTTTCCTTTCTTTTTAATACAAATGATTTAACTGTAAGTTTATATAACTTAGTTTGTGATCATGGCTGTGTGGAACAAAACTGGCTCTCCAGAGGGGGTGCAAGCCAGTTCAGCACACAGCCAGCATCTCCTCACTCTGACGAGCCCATAGCCCTTGAGGGTCAGGGCCAAGGCTGAAGGTCTCACTCAGCGTAGGGTGAGGGAGTGGTGCCTCACGGGGAAGTCTCGACTTTGTGCATGTGGGGGCTGCTTCCTATCATCCGTAAGTCCCTGTCGAACGAAAGGGCCATGAAAGTCATAGGTTCTCCATCTTCATTTCCCAGGTGAGGACTGAGGACCAGAGAAGGGCAGCGAGTGGTCCAAGATTGCACAGCACATTAGAGATTTCACTGTGATAAGTTCCAGGCCAGGTGCTCTTCCCAGCCCTCCCTGTCCTCTGAGCCACAGGCGAACAGCCTGTCTTCGCCCAGGGCTTTCTCTGAGGCACAGTTTTTTTTTTTTTTTTTTTTTTTTTTTTTTGAGACAGAGTTTCACTCTTGTTGCCCAGGCTGGAGTGCAATGGCACAATCTCGGCTCACTATAACCTCCACCTCCCGGGTTCAAGCAATTCTTCCACCTCAGCCTTCTGAGTAGCTGGGATTACAGGCATTTGCCGCCACACCCAGCTAATTTTGTATTTTTAGTAGAGATGGGGTTTCACCATGTTGGTCAGGCTGGTCTTGAACTCCTGACCTCAGGTGATCCACCCGCCTCGGCCTCCCAAAGTGCTGGGATTACAGGCATGAGCCACCGTGCCTGGCTGGCACAGTTGTTCTGCATAAACCTCACCTATGTCTAGGCGCTGAGGAAGGAGGCCAATATCTGTTGATAACCAGGGAAAGTTTCAATTCAGCGAGGAGCCAATTCAAAGCACTTGCATCCTGACCAGTGGTGGCTACAAGTGAATCAGCTCCTGCAGCCCACCCAGGCCTGTGTTTTAGAGACTCCCCCAAATCCCCCGCGCATATCAACCCTGACCCTCCTATGTGGATGTCACAGTGCTGGCTCCTATGACATCTTGGGACATGGTGGAGATAAAATCAGATGACATATTGGCAATCTCTCTATGGTTGTAGAACCAAAGTGCTACTAACTACAGTTGAGGGTTAAATCATCCTGTTGCACCAGAGAAGAGCATGGAGGAGTCAATAAAATCTGAGAAGAGTCTCTCACCCCTCCTCAATGCCTCCCCTCTGGCCAGGTCTGGTCTCCCAAGCAGCTCTTAGATGCACCACTTCTGCCTGTGAGCCTCGGCTCATGCTGAGCCTTCTTCCAGGAATTTCCTTCCTCCTCCTAATTCCTAATCCTTCCCCAAGATCCAGTCAAGGTCTCCACCTCCTCCAGGAAGCCTTAGGTGACTACACCATCTCACATGAGCTTTCCCTTCTCCAAGCGCCTCATCATGTCACTCTACTACTCTTTCCACTTCTCGAAGTCCTCCTGTCTCCCGCCACGAGCATGTGCCGAACATGGAGAATATGAGCCCTGGAGGCCCAGATTTGTCTCAATACAGTTTCAGGCACCCCACTATGCCTGGGGTCATTAATCATTCTCCCTTCCCTCTTCTCCAGCTGGCAAACTCCTATTTATCCTTTAAAGCCACAGGTCCACTGTCCCCAACCCTAAAAACCCTGTCTGACTCTCCTGGGGAAGAGCTGCACACGCATCCCGTGCTACCACTGCAGCCGCTCATAATTCACCCACAAGAATGTACCAGGCGTCAACTTAATGGCAGGCACCAGGGGCACACATTAGTGAAACAGAACCCTGCCCTACCCCAAGGAACCTACATGCTACCCTGTTAGGCAACACCAAACAAAGTCACAATTATTTGATTGAAAGCTGCCAAGATGCACTGCCAGCTTGCTATGTTGCAAAGACGTTCTACATACTGAGACATTCAATCCTCACACAGGTGCTGTGGGTGCCAGCATTACCTTCTTGAGCCCTCTGTGTGCTGATATCGTCCTGGCTCACTCCGTCCCTGCGGATCTGTGATCTCTGGGGGGTGGGAGGAACCAAAAATGATAGCCTCCTCCACCCCATTCTCTCTCCTAGTTCCCTTCCTGCTTTATTGCTTCCTCAGCACTTGCAATCTGCACATACTAATAAATGAGATCTCTCTCATTTATTCTTTGCTGCCCCCAGCCCCCCATTGAGTTCCCCAGGCAGAGATGTGAGGCCTGTATCCCCACAGCCTAGGACAGTACCTGGTAAACAGTGGCGACCCAGACATAGTTGTGTGAAGAAATGCATCCCTCTGTCTTTTGCAGATGAGATTGCTGGGGTTCAGAGACGTCAAGCAGCTTGCCTGAGAGAAGCCACGCAGCTAATGAGCAGCAGAGCCCGATTCACACCCAGACATCTGGCCCCAGGGCATGTGTTTCTTGCCACTCACTGCCTCATGCCTTCTCTTTGTACTGCCATCGTTTGTCACCCAACTGCCTCTGCACCTCGGCCACGCCACCCTTGAGGATGGGGGCTGGTACCTCCTTTATCTTGTATCCACAGGACCCCACAGAGTGCCTTCCCCAGAGCGGTTTCTGCTAAATTCTGTTTAACAGAGTGTATTCATTCTGTTTGCTGAATGAATAAACAACCACATGAATGCATAAGTGTATTTCACAAACATTTGGTACTGATCAGGGAGACGGAATGCTCCGTTTAAATCCTGGGGTTCCGAAATGAGATGCTGTCTTTCAGGAGCAAGCATACTTTTGTAACAAGGCAAAAGTAAGGCACGATTCTTTGGCACATTTGTGATGTGTCTTTTGCCTCTTGATTCACAGATAAGGGTCCTTTTTTGGGGGTGAGCCCCATCTGCCCACCACACAACTCAGACACACACGGATAGGAAGACGCCTGCCTTGCCACGTTTTGGGGGAGCACTTACAGGAGAAGGCAGTGTCTAGGGATCGCCTCTCCTCAAGGCTGACTCCCACCCACACAGGCTGCCCCAGCCTCCCCATCCCAGGCACTTACACGGGATTTCTCGGCCAGCCTCGCAGGCAATGCCCGTTTCCAGATATTCTTGGCAGAGCCGGCGTGGAGGAGAAGTAGCAAGAGGCACAGAGCCCGGATGATCTGCCTCCTGCAGCTGCCCGGCCCCACGCCGGTTAAAGGCATTTCCTCCCTGGGCAGCGACCTTCCAGACGCACACAGAAGAGGGGCCCCCCTCGCTGCGTGGGCCTGTGAGTGGGGACAGGAGCGTGCACAGTCTGCTGGACTTTCTTAGTTCCACCCAGCAGGGTCCCTCGGATCATGTGTCCGCGTCCAGCACATGCCCCTTCCTCGATGGTGGCTGGCCTGCCCGGTTATTTTTAGCTTGCCCTATAACATCTGGCCCCAGACGCTCCAACCAGGGCGTCTGCAGCCCAGGCAGCTCAGTGGGCGGTGGCAGCAGGAGGAGGGGGCACCGGCTTGCTTGGAGACGTGGCCGGGAGTGGCCTGTCACTCTCCACTCTCCATAATGAGCACTTCCTTGCAGGCTGGGGCGGTCTCCTCCCAAGGAGGTGTGCTTGACACAGGGCTCGGGGCTGGACATGCAGGGGAGTGCAGCCGGATGGGTGGGGGCTCGGCTGCTACCTTGTTCACATTTCGAGCTGGGCTGACAAACTATCTGCCTATAAAAGCTTCTTTGAAAGAGGCTGCTGGACTGGCACTGGCCAAGGGTGCAGCCATGAAGAGACGACTTCCACCCTTGCACCCGCCGGGGTCCTCCTGCCTGATGTGGGCATGTGGGTAGTTCCTCATAGCGTGTGTTTCCTGTGAGATTTAAAAGAAATTGAGCACATAAAGCATTTCACACACATAAGTGTGCTGTCACTGTCAGCCGGTGTATCTGCACATGTGCATTTATGTGTATGCGTGTGTGCACGTGGGTGTGCATGTGCACGTGTGTGTTTTACAGGAATGTAGCACAGCGGGCTCAACATTTCACAAACTTCATATTCCCTTGTCTGTTCTCAGCACTTCCAAGACAGATACTGGTTTTTTGTTTTGTTTTGTTTTTCGAGACGGGTCTTGCTCTGTCACCCACGCTGGAGTGCAGTGGTGTGATCACAGATCACTACAACCTCTGCCTCCCGGGTTCAAGCGATTCTCCTGTCTCGGCCTTCCAAGTAGCTGGGATAACAGGCATGTGCCACCATGCCTGGCTAATTTTTGTATTTTTAGTGGAGACTGGGTTTCACCATGCTGGCCAGGCTGGTCTCAAACTCCTGACCTTAAGTGATCTGCCCGCCTCAGCCTCCCAAAGTGCTGGTATTACAGGTGTGTGAGCCACCACACCCGGCCCCAAAACAGACACTGTTTTGATGCCCGCTTTACAGATGAGGAAACAGAGGGGGCTGCCTGAGGTCATGCAACAGCAGCAGAGAGGAGGCTGGAACCCAGGTAGGTCAGACCCTGTGGCACCCCCCTAGGCGAAGCAGAAGGGACCCAAGCACTAGGCTTGACGCACCTGCCTGATCCCAGTTCAGCCTCTGCGAGATGCTGGAAAGCCTCTTGCTCATGGTCCTCAGTTCTCTCATCTGTGAAATGGGCATGTGAAAGTCTCTGCCTCTTGAGATCGATGTGGGGCTACAGGAGAGGGTGCCAGCTGTGCCCAGCACTTGCACAGAGTGAGTGCTCCAGAAAGATTGGTTCCTCCCTCCCTGGGGACCCTCACCCCCCACCTCCTGGCCAGCACAGCCTTCAGAATGCCCTGGGCAGGTATCATCAACCCCTCTTGGCCTTTTAGTGAATGACAATAGTGGCAAACACATATAGTCTGTGTAGGTCGGGTACGGTGGCTCACACTTGTAATCCTAGCACTTAGGGAGGCAGAGGATGCCTTGAGCCCAGGAGTTCAAGACCAGTCTGGGCAACATAGTGAGACCTCATCTCTACAAAAAATACAAAATAAAAAAAGTAGCCCGGCGTGCTGATGCACACCTGTAGTCCCAGCTAATTGGGAGACTGAGATGGGAGGATCACCTAAGCGTGGGAGGTTGAGGCTGCAGTGAGCTGTGATGGCGCCACTGTACTCCAGCCTGGGTCACAGAGCAAGACCCTGTATCAAAAAAAAAAAACCTTAAAAGCCATACAGTCTGTGTGTTCGGCAATGTTTGAAGCACTTCCTGCATTTTAATGCTTTTAGGTCTCATATTAGCCTTATAAGCAGGTGCTGTCTAGGATCCCATGCACAGAGAGGTTAAGACACTTGCCCAGTGAGCAATGCAAAATTTAAGTTCACCATCAGAGTCCTGTAAACCCAGGAGCCCAAGCGTGAGAGTCTTTTTACATTTTAGACCCTAGATGCCTCCTTTGCCTCCCGCTAGGCCCAGCCCTGATCATTACCTTGCCCTAGATTCTAGAATATTCCTTCATTTCTTCATCCAGAAACTACTGGCTGAGCCCTTATGGGGGCATGGTCCAGCGTGCTCCACTCCCTCTTCTTTCAGCTTTATGGGACGCAGTCTCAATGCCCCTCCCTGCAGGGCAAGGCTGCTTATTTAGAAGCCAGGAGCCACCCACGGACATGATGGAGCTGCTACCCCTACTTACCAGGACGACCTGGAACAGGTCCTGCCCCATCTCTCTGCCTCTGTTTTCTCATCTGTAAAACAGGGGTATGGAGTCAGAACTTACTCGCAGGTTTGCCATGAGGCCCAGCTGCACTTAGGCGAGGATCTAGGCTCAGCACATGCTTGCTGTTAGGAGATGAGCGTTCTGAGGCACCGCCTCCTGGGCCTCCTCCACCCGCACCCTGTTCTCCAGGCAGAGCGGAACCTTGGCCCAGGTTCCATTTGAGAAACTTCCTGCTGCTTGGAACCTGGGGCCCTGCGCTCTCCTAAGGCAGCTAACGCCTCCCATGTGGTTCTTGCTCATCCTCCATCTCCACCTTCCCCTTAAAATGTAGGCGTTTCCCATTGATGTTACAGTCTTGGCCCATTTCCTGCCTCTCTCTCTCTCTCCCTGGGTGGCCTCACTTCTGCCAACAGTATGACTCCCCTCCCTCTGGGTAGACGAGGTTCCAAATGCCCTCTCTCAGCCTCCTTGCTGGGCAAGGCGCCAGCCCTGTGCCCCTGCAGCGCCCTCCACCTGGAATGCTTTTCCACCCAGCTGCGGCACTCCTCACCCATCACCTCCTCCAGACTTTTGTTCACGTGTCAGTTTCTTGCTGTGGTCCTCTCTGACCCCAGGATTGAAAACCACCATTTGCATACCACTGGGACTCACGGTGCCCCTCTTGGTTTTATGCTTCTTCGTACTCATCTCCACCTGACATATTCTGTATTTTACTAACTTTGCTTTCTTCGTTTATCGTCTATGTCTCCACACTAGGATGTCAGCTCCACGGGGGCAGCTTCTGGGGATCTGTTTGTTCACTTTGGAATCGCCGATCCCTAAGCAGTGCCTGGTGCAAAGTAGACACTCAGTAAAGACGGTGTAATGAATGAGTTGTGCTTAACACATTTCATCTACCAGCTCGATGGCTCGACGTGGCTGTCGCTCTCTACCCATGCTTCCCTGTGAAACATGGCTGGTCTGAAATGAGATCTGTCATAAGGATAAAATGCAGACCCGATTTGGAAAACCTGTGAGTGCATGTGTCTTTATGACAGTAATGAATTACTGTCCTTTGCATATATTCCCAGTCGTGGGATTGCTGGGTTGAATGGTAATTCTACTTTAAGTTCTTTGAGAAACCTCCAAACTGCATTCCACAGTGGCTGAACTAGTTTGCCCTCCCACCGACAGTGTATAAGCGTTCCCTTTTCTCCACAGCCTCACCAGCATCTGTTGTTGGCTGGAGACAGGAAAAAAAAAATGTCAACGTTTCATTAGGAGTTTTTACGTTGGTCGTGCATTCAACTGCTAATTCAACTACTAATGTTTATGCTATATTGGGTTAAATATAATATGGTATTACATTAACTGTACCTGTTTCTTTTTGGAGACGAGGTCCCACTATGTTGCCCAGGCTGATCTTGAACTCTTGGGCTCAAGCCATACACCTGCCTCGGCCTCCCAAAGTGCTGACATTACAGGTATGAGCCACTGCACCCGGCTCCGTATCTGTTTCACATGGCTACTAGAAAATTTACAATTACACATGTGGCTTGCCTTATGTTTCTATTAAGTTTTGCTTGTCTGAGATATCAAACTCCTTCTCTAAGGTTCAGCCAAGGCCATCACTGTCTAACCAGACACCCAAGCTCAAACCTTCACTTCACTGCTAATACCTACCTTACTCCTCTCTTTATCTGGTCTCTAATTCATAATTTTTTTTTTTTTTGAGATGGAGTTTCGCTCTTGTTGCCCAGGCTGGAGTGCAATGGTGTGGTCTTGGCTCACTGCAACCTCCTCCTCCTGGGTCCCAGAGATTCTCCTGCCTCAGACTCCCGAGTAGCTGGGACTGCAGGCACCAGCCACCACCCAGCTAATTTTTTTTTTTTTTTTTTTTTTTTTTAGTAGAGATGGCGTTTCACCATGTTGGCCAGGCTGGTCTCAAACTCCTGACCTCAGGTGATCCAGCTGCCTCAGCCTCCCAAAGTGCTGGGATTACAGGTGTGAACCACCGCACCCAGCCTAATTCAGAATTTTTAAAAGTTATTATATTATGGTTTTTTTCCCCTAATAGCATAATTCATGTTTATTAGCAGAGAACTGGGAAAACAGAGGAAAGAATAAACAAAATCTTTAAAATACATACATCTAGTATCAGTATCCAGAGATAACCAACGTAGCCTTTCTTTTTTTCTATGTATATATATTAGTCATGATAGAAGTCAAGGCCAAGGCCAAAGTCATGGCTGTGGGTGAGGTCAACATGGCAACGTCAAGTAACATTAAGAACACAGACTCTGCATCAGAGAAATGCAGATCAAAACCACACTGAGATACCATCTCACACCAGTCAGAACAGCTATTAAGAAGTCATAAAACAGGCCAGGCGCAGTGGCTCACACCTGTAATCCCAGCACTTTGAGAGGACAAGATGGGCAGATCACATGGGATCAGGAGTTCGAGACTAGCCTGGCCAAAATGATGAAACCCCGTCTCTACTAAAAATACAAAAATTAGCTGAGTGTGATGGCAGGTGTCTGCAATCCCAGCTACTTGGGAGGCAGTAGAATCGCTTGAATCTGGGAGGCGGAGGTTGCAGTGAGCCGAAACCACACCATTGCACTCCAGCCTGGGCAACAAGAGCAAAACTCCGTCTCAAAAAACAAAAAGTCATAAAACAGTGGATGTTGGCGAGGCTGTGGGGAAAAGGGAACACTTACACGCTCAGTGAGAAGGCAAACTAGTTCAGTCACTGTGGAATGCAGTTTGGAGATTTCTCAAAAAACTTAAAGTAGAATTACCATTCAACCCAGCAATCCCACGACTGGGAATATACCCAAAGAACAGTAATTCATTCTATCATAAAGACACATGCACTCAAATGTTTGCTACACACTGCTGTTCACAACGGCAAGGACGTGGAATCAACCTAAGTGCTCGTCAACAGTGGACTGGATAAAGAAAACGTGGTACTTGTTCACCATGGAATACTGTGCAGCCATAAAAAACAGCAAAATCATGCCCTTTGCAGCCAGGGCTCCAATGGATGGAGCCGGAGGCCATTATCCTACGTGGCCCAATGCAGGAACAGAAAACCAAACACCACATGTTTTCACTTATAAGCGGGAGCTAAACATTGAATACATGTGAACATAAAGATGGGAACAACAGAAACTGGGGACCAGTAGATGGGAGAGGGGGGAAAGTGGACGTGGGCTGAAGAACCACCCGTTGGGTGCTATGCTTATCACATGGGTGATGGGATCACTGGGACCCCAAGGCTCAGCAGCATGTAATTTACCCGTGTCACAAATCTGCACATATACCCTTTAATCTACAATAAAAGTTGAAATTTAATAAAAGAAGAACACGGACTCTGCAGCCAGCTTGCTCGGGCACAGACACCTGCTCTGAGACCTCCCAGCTGTGCGACCATGGGCAAGTCACCTGCCCTCTCTGTTCTTTGGTTGACTCATCTGTAAAATGGGAGTAACATACCTGTCTCACAGGGTTGTCGTGAGTGTTGAATGAGTAGTATGTAGAAGACGGTTGTACATGTTCCTCTGTCCTCACTTGACCATAAATTTTTGAGGACAGGGCTGAGCGTTGTCCATCTCCGAAGCTTTCTCTGGGACATGGACAGGAACCTCTTTTAGTGAGCATTTACTATATGCCTGGCACAGTGCTGGGCTCTTGAGATCACCATCTCCACTTCTTCGTTGTGCTCACTCTGCTCTAGCTTCTTCCTTGACAGCTCCCACCCCAGGGCCTTTGCACAGCCCCCCAGTTGCTCTCTCCCCAGATACCTGCTTAGCTGATCCCTCAATTCCTTCCAGTCTGTGCTCCAATTTTGCTTTCTCAATGAGGCTTACCCCAACTGAGCTTTTAAAATCACCATCTGCCTCTTTTACACCACCCTAAATTCCCAACCCCCTTTGTCCTGCTTTCTTTTTCCATAGTTTCATCACCTTCTAATAAATTATGAAATGTACTTATTATGTTTACCACTGATGGTCTCTTTCCCTGTGGTACACAGAATCATGGGCCCTTAAAAGATGTCCACATCCTAATCCCCAGGACCTGCGAGCATGTGGTCTTACCTGACAAAAGGGACTTTGCAGAAGGGATTAAAGCAAAGATCTTGAGATGGGGAGAGTATCCTGGATTATCTGGGTGGGACCAACATAATCACAAGGGTCCTTGTAAGAGGGAGGTAGAGAGTGAGAGTCAGAGGAGATGAATGGTGGAAGTCGGGTGGGGGTGGAAGTCAAGGGAAAGTTGATTTGACACGCTACGCTGTGGCTTTGGAGATGGAGGAAGGGACCATGAGCCAAGGAATGCAGGCAGCCCCTGGAGGCTGGAAAAGTCAAAGGAAGTTCTCCCCTAGAGCCTCAGAGGGAGCACAGTCCTGCAAACCCCTAGAGTTTTCCCCAGTGGGACTCAGGTGGGACTTCTAATCAACAGAACTGTAAAATCATAGACTTGTGAACTTGTTGAGTTCGCAACTGCTAAACTACATGATGCTGAGGCTTCAGATCCCAATGATCCCGTCACCCAGGCCCTAAGCATAGCACCCAATGGCTGGTTCTTCAGCCCACGCCCCCTTTCCTCCCTTCCCCATCTAGTGGTCCCCAGTGTCTATCATTCTCATCTTTACGATCACTTGTAGTCAACGTTTAGCTCCCACTTAGAAGTGAGAACATGTGGTCTTTGGTTTTCTGTTCCTTTGTTAGGTCACTTAAGATAATAGCCTCCAGCTCCATCCATGTGGCTAAGTTTATGGTCATTTGTTACAGCATCAAGAGGAAGGTCGTACTTTGGGAGGCTGAGGCGGGCAGATCACTTGAAGTCAGCAATTCAAGACCGGCCTGGCCAACATGGGGAAACCCCATCTCTATGAAAAATACAAAAATTAGCTGGGCATGGTGGTGGGAGCCCATAGTCCCAGTTACTCGGGAGGCTGAGGCAGGAGAATTGCTTGAACCTGGGAGGCAGAGGTTGCAGTGAGCCAAGATTGCCCCACTGCACTCCAGCCTGGGCGACAAAGCCAGACCCTGTTAAAAAAAAATTAAAAATTAAAAAAAAAAAGAGGAAGGTCCTATACCCACAAGTGGGATATAGGCTCTGCAAGGTCAAGTATCCATGTCTCTTACTGCCTGCAACCCAGCGCCTCGCACAGGGACTGGGCAGCATCAGCCCTCAGTAAGTCCTGGACCGATGGACAGAATCAATGTCATCATCATGGCCCCATCAGGAATGATCCCTGTTCTATAAAGAGATGGAAGGCCACAGAATTTAGGGGCTCTTTCCAAAGTCCCAGCTAGTGACTGAACTCCAAAGTGCTTTCCTCAATATACACAGGGCGTGGTACATGAGACACTCAATAAATGTTCTTCTATTGAGCCATCCACTCCGCAGCAGTATTCAGACCACAGGGACCCAGGATGCCGAGCAGTGACCCCTCAGTTAATTTCTCACAATCATTAACTTATAAAACCACCTTCTGAAGTTTTTGAGACACGAAAGGTAACTACTCGGAGAACACAGCAGCACTGCAGGTCTTGTGTGCGAGGAGAAAAGTTCCAAGAGGAGAAATAAACACAGAACAAATCCGCCTGGGAAACCAGCTGCGTTCCTTTGATCAGTGACAAGTCAGGATCGCAGCCTGACAGCCGGGCTGGATGCTCCCAGCTGGGGCCTGATGTTGCTACCCAGGGCTTGCGTGCCATCATGATTTCAGGGCCACCACCCCTTCCCGGCTTCCTGCCAGGCTCAGAACTGTATGTCCCAAGTGGCAGAGGCCCTTCTAGTTTATCTGAGCTCTGGCAGCCTGAACTTGATCCCAACTTAGCGGGCAGTCCTCTTGGGGACTCACCAACTCATTAGTTCAACTTCCTGCAGATCTGTGGGCGAGGTTTCCTCTGGGAAGGCCTCGGAACTGGCCGGGCCTCTCATCTCCTCTGCTCTGGGGTTTGACCTCTGCTGCCCGCCAAAGGCTTCTGTCCCTCAGAAAAAAGAGGAAAAATGTTATCTTTATTTCGTTATTTATTTTATTTTATTATTTTTATTTTTTTGAGACAGAGTCTCGCTCTGTTGCCCAGGCTGGAGTACAATGGCATGATCTCTCGGCTCACCACAACCTCCGCCTACTGGGTTCAAGCAATTCTCTTGCCTCAGCCTCCCAAGTAACAGGGATTACAGGCATGTACCACCAAGCCTGGCTAATTTTGTATTTTTACTAGAGACGGGATTTCTCCATGTTGGTCAGGCTGGTCTCGAACTCCTGACCTCAGGTGATCCGCCCACCTTGGCCTCTCAAAGTGCTGGGATTACAGGTGTGAGCCACCGTGCCTGGTCGTTATCTTTAAAAATATAAAGGGCACAAGTGCTTCAATGCCTTGCTCTAAGGAGGCAGAGGACACGCTCATAGGTGTAGAGTCCAGGAAAACATCCTTCTTCTCTACCGCCGATAAAACGCCCCGACCTGGGCACTGAGGCCTCACATTCCTTTCCCAGGGAGATAGAACCTTTCTTCCATAGTGATCAGATCAGGCAAAGGGGACAGGTAGCATTCATTTGTACTTCATACTAAAGTGTGAACGACTTCCAGCAGAGAGAAACATACTGGCATGAGGAGGAGGAGCAGAGTACACTCATTCATTCATTCAAATACGTGAGTACCTACTATGTGTCATGCCTGAGGACACCAAGGAGAGTAAAACCAGGCCCAGCCGCAGCCCCTCTAAGGCTTACTGCCACACAGAAGGGCCAGATATTAATCAGTATTTTTAATAATCACTCAGATGGCACCATTTGGTGCCATACATGGTTTTGAGGGCTTTAAAAATAATCACTGTAGCCGGGCATGGTGGCTCATGCCTGTAATCCCAGCACTTTAGGAGGCTGAGGGGAGCAGATCACATGTGGCCAGGAGTTCGAGATCAGCCTGGCCAACATGGTGAAACCCCCCATCTACTAAAAATACAAAAATTAGCCAGGCGTGGTGGCATGTGCCTGTAGTCTCAGCTACTCAGGAGGCTGAGGCAAGACAATCACTCAAACCCAGGAGGCAGGGGTTGCAGTGAGCCAAGATTGCGCCACTGCACTCCAGCCTGGGCAACAGAGCAAGACTCTGTCTCAAAAACTAAATAAATAAAACAAAAATAAGAATATTCACTCATTTAACCTACTACAACTCTTCTAGGTAAGCGCTATCATCACCCCCATTTCACAGATAAGGAAACTGAGTCTTAGATTAACAATTGAGTGGTTTTAAAACAGTCACCATTCATCCATCAAAACTCTGATAAGTAGGTTCTCCTGCAATCCCCACTTTAGAGACAAGGGATTAGGGTCGGAGAGATTAAGAATTCATCATCTGCGCACAACTGATCAGTGGCAGAGCTGGATTCGAACCCAGACACTGGTGTTCAGAACCTGTGCTTGAAACCCTTATACGATGTGTTTACAGGAAGGTCAGGTGCAGCACGGGCACAGAGTGAGGGATTTGACCCAGCTGGAGGGATCATGCAGCCAAAGGCGAGAGAAGGGCTAGAGCCCAATGGCCATGGGGAGGATAGGAAGGATGAGGCAGGCAGACCCTAGGTTTGGGCCCTGAGTGGCAGGGTGGCACCATCCAAACAGAGCCACATGACGTGACCAGTCCTAGCACTTCTGCCTTTGCAGGCCCCTTTCTCTACGGAAAAAAATACATTCACAATCATCTTTTACAGGTGCATTGACTTAAAAGATGAATAATACAAGCTGGATTATATTCTTTTTCTTCCCCTATTTTAAGAAAAATTAAAACACCTTCCTGGGCCCCTCCAAGTCTCACGGACCCTGGACACTGTGCCTGCTATGTCTATGGGAGGAATCAGCCCTGGGCCCAAACACTGCGCTGTGTGACCTGAGGCCAGCCTTCCCACTCTCTGAGCCAGGAAGTCAGGACAATTAAATGAGACAGTATAGATCAGCCTAAAGGCCCTCAGCACTTGGGAGGTGCCTAGTTCACGGTGGTTCCCTCCTCACTGTAGCCTTCGCAAAGAGCAGGGAGCAGGGATATGGGAAAGGCCCCTCCCATTGCACAATCGGCCTTTAGGCTGGCCCCGCCCAGCCCTGTTCCCGGCTGTGAATGGAAACAGATGCTCCCTGGGGCTGCCCTCTTAGAGAGTCAGACCTTGACCCCACTTCATCCCTGCTGCCCTGTTACCGACCTTCACTTATGGTCCTCTCCCCCTTCCCACACAGTGGACTGTTCTCCCAGTCAGGGGACTCCCGGCCGCTTTCTCGCACTCCAAAAAGCCTGCTCTTCTCCTTCTCCCGCCCCCACAGGGCAACCCATCCAGGGCCAGACCACCCAGAAACTGACCCCTGGGCTCTGGTCAGCGTGGCCTCCCATGCTTCATTCTGCCATGTGGGATTGCTGCAGGAAAAAAAGGCCGTCTTTCAAGCAGCAGGAAGTCGGGAAACCAGGAGTGCGTGAGTCCAAAAGCTAGGCTGGCCTTGCCGCCCTTCCCCGCACCAAACCGAGCCCAGACCCTCAGCAGACGCAGCCCCACTCCAGCTGCAGGGGCTGGGCCTCTGCTGCTCTTCTCTCGATTGTAAGCTCAGGACCTGGACGACCCCCAAAATAGGGCTTGTGGCTCATTTGTTTTCATTTTTCCTCCAAAAGCAAATACGATTGTGAGACCCGCTCCCGCTCTCCCACCTCCCAAGCTGAAAACCTTGCCCCTGCCCTTTCAGGACAAAGGACTTGAAAGACCCAGCCTTTCTCAGCCTGGCTGCATGCTGACATCACCTGCACCAGGTGCGGTTCAACACCACCCACATCCGGGTTCACCCCAGACCAAGTAAATCAGAACCCGACTCAATTACATCCTAACCAGTTAGTTCCAAAGCTCCCCCATGATACTACTCAGCAGCCAGGGCCAGGAGGCCCAACAAATCTGGCCTCTCCCCCACCTGCCCTCACCCGCTCGGCGCTCCCTCTCGCTCCTCCTCGGCCCAGCACACTGACCCTCTCCATGTGCCTGTTCACCACGCACTCTTCACCCCAGAGCCTTTGCATACGCTGTTCTCGCTCCCCAGGGCATTCTTCCCTGTTTTCTTTGCTGAAAAAATTGTTAAAACTTCCTCATATCTCAACCCTTAGCAAGACAGTCGGTCCCTTTCTCCTGGAAATGTTCCCTGATCTCCAGGCCAGCTCAGTTCCCCTAGAGAAGACTTTCATAGCCCTTGTCCCTCTGCTTGACAGCACCTATGCAACCCTGAAGTTGGAAGTGACATTTCTTTCCTTTTTTTTTTTGAGGCAGAGTCTCGCTCTGTCGCCCAGGCTGGAGTGCAATGGCGCTATCTAGGCTCGTTGCAAGCTCCGCCTCCCAGGTTCACGCCATTCTCCTGCCTCAGCCTCCCGAGTAGCTGGGACTACAGGCACCCGCCACTGCGCCTGGCTAATTTTTTTTTGTATTTTTAGTAGAGATGGGGTTTCACCATGTTACCCAGGATGGTCTCGATCTCCTGACCTCGTGATCCGCCCGCCTCGGCCTCCCAAAGTGCTGGGATTACAGGCGTGAGCCACCGTGCCCGGTGGAAGCGACATTTCTGTCAATGCCTGACTCTCCCACGGGATGGTGGGCACCCTAAGTACAGGGACTGAGTCTTTTTTGTTTTCTTTCTCATCTACTGTGCACCTCGCACACACAGTAGGAGCTCAGAGAATGTTCACCGAAGGCATCCATGGGTGCTCCTGCCCTCCCAACCCAGTGCTTCTGCCCTGACTCTGCAGGGCCTTCCTCAGACAGTCAGCAACCTGAGGGTCATCCACTTCCTGACGTCACACTTCCCAGACCTGGCTGGCCTGGCCCCCACATCTGCAGCAGCACAACGTTGCAAATGTACTAAATGCCATTGAATTTTACACTTTCCAACTGTGAACTTTTTTTTTTTTTTTTTTTTGGAGATGGAGTCTCGCTCTGTCTCACCAAGGCTGGAGTGCAGACCTGTGATCTTGGCTTACTGCAGCCTCTGCCTCCCGGTTGCAAGCGATTCTCCTGCCTCAGCCTCCCGAGTATAGTAGCTGGGATTACAGGCACATGCACCACACCCGGCTATTTTTTGTATTTTTAGTAGAGATGGGGTTTTGTCATGTTGGCCAGGCTGGTCTCAAACTCCTGGCCTCAAGTGATCCGCCCGCCTTGGCTTACCAAAGTGCTGGGATTACAGGTGGGAGCCACGGCGCCCAACCTACACTGATTAACTTTTTGAGTTTTACTTCCATGAAAAAATAAGGTAGAAAAAAAAAAGGACCTGCTAGAAGAAACCGATTTGAGGACTCCACGCCCCACACCCCACACCCCAGGTCAGGGCAAGAAAAGTGAGCTCCAGCCCCCCAATGTCATTGCTTTGTCAGTCCATCGCTCATCCCCCCACCCCGCTGTGGTGGGCTGGGTGGGGGCTCAGGGTCCTCTGCGGCAGGTCAAAGTCAGACGATCCAGGAAGATGTTGGTGTTGGCTTCATAAAAGCTGATCCAGGCAGAACCATTCAAAGCTGTCACTTGCCAGGAATGTCATTAACAAATAACCAACTGTAAGTCTAGAAAAGCTGGACGTCAGGCCATCCCCCTCTGCTGATGCGTCTCCCAGGAGGTGAGCTTGCAATTTCACAAGCTCTTCCCAGAGTACACCAACTTTCCAGGAAAGTAACTGCTTCCCACCTTCCTACACACCAGCTCCACCTGTGTTTCTGGGGATGCCCCATGGCGGGCCCTGGTGATGACGGGTAGGGGTCCTGGTAGGCGAGGGGACCTGGGCAAAATGTCAGCGGGTTCCCTCCGTCATGAAGGGGGCCATCAGTCAGAAGGCAAAGATCATGAAGACCGATGCTGTAAGGACACAAAAGCCTAAGAAAGCCTGGGAAAGTGACTTTAGGCACGTTAGGGAATTGGACAACCCCCTTAAGACTGGGCGGGAAGGAGCGGTGTCCAGCGGGTGACTTCTAAACCCACAGAAGAGAGGAAGCCGGCCAGTCAAGTAAGTGGAGGCCATGGTGGAAGGAATTTCCATGACACCTGCCCCTGGCTCTAATCCCTGCTGGACTCTAAACTCATGAGGGTCTTGAGGGGCAGAACGGCTCTTGCTGGATCCAGAGATGAGAGGAGAAATTGAAGGGCAGTGACAGCAGAGTTTCAAAGCAAGCCCCTCCTTAGTGGTGATGGTGGCTGATTGCCCAAGAGCCAACCAGGTATTCCTTCCCCCTTTTATTGGTGATTGGTTCAGGCATCAGTCTGTCATCTGATTTGGACCAATGAGGTGGGAGGGAAGTCAGGTTAGGGGCTTCTGGGAAAGTGGTCCTCATACCTCAGAGATGCAGGAAAGTGATGGTTCAGGTGCACGTCTGGACTTTACCCAGCAGGGATACGATGCCCAGATCTGCAACAGCCACTCTGTGACTGTGAGGAAGGCCAATCAGAGGGTGAGGCCAACACTGACATGATGGCGTTTGGCAGTGGGGGGACGGGCGGGGTGGGGGACGATCCTGAGTCCCTGGTGATATCGCTGAGCTGTTGAATTTAGTCAATCTCGGAGCCAGCCTACCTCTGGACTTCTTGTTACATGGGACAAACTAATCTTCTTTAGGGTTAAGCTAGTTGAGTTGAGCTTTTGCTGACCACCAACTACATCCTGACTGATACACATCACGTTCTCATCCAGCCAGACTGATGAGCAGCTGTGAAAGCAGAAGGGAAAAGGGAGTGGAGTGACTCATATTTCATGAGCAACTACTGTGTGCCCTACCCTGTGTGTAGGTCTCTCCTTAGTCCTCTTACCAGCCCTTTGAGGTGCCGATTACTATTGTGACCCCACTTAACAGAAGAGGAAACCAAGGCTGAGAGGTGAAGACACTGCCCGATTCCACCTGGTGGGACTGGGATGTGAACCCAGTTCCACTTATGCACCTGGCCAACCTGCTTTCCGGAGAACAGTGACAGAGCTGCCCTGGCAGGGAAGGGAAGCCTCAGCTTGAGCTGAGCCACCTTTTCCTGGGAATATCCCTTGTTACCTAAGAGCTCAGGACACTGACCTGCCTGATGATCCGCAGCCATCCAGAGCCAGGAGCCCACCCAAGAGAGATCAGGAACTCAACTGGATGCCATTCAACCACGGGCCCCACTGTCACGACCTGCATGGAGACGCCGCATGGAACCCTTCGTTCTTCCTTCCTGGAGGTCAGTGACAGCTTGGAGTGATCCATGGGACAGTAGAGCACACTGAGCTCTCCGATGACCATCCTGGCAGGGACCTTGGGGAACACGTTAGCATGGCAGGAGTTTAAAAAGAGAGAAAGAAAGAGTCCTTGATCCTTATTATGCAGCGCCTGGTGCAAATAAATCTATCGCTTGCAAAAACAAGCTGTCCTATAATAAATCACAGCGTGATGGGCGCATAAATCCAGAACTCAAGCTCCCAGCCGCTGCCTGGCCGGGCATGTGGGGCTCACACACAGCAGGCCTGTGGGAAAGGCAACAGCCCCCGCTCAGGCCCACGCGCCTGCTCAGCCTTTCCCTTTCCTCAAGAACAGGCCTCCCATGGTTTCTCTAACGCTTATTTTTTATTTTATCTATTTATTTTTGAGATGGAGTCTTGCTCTGTCACCCAGCTTAGAGTGCAGTGGCACAATCTCAGCCCACTGCAACCTCCGCCTCCCACGTTCAAGCGATTCTCCTGCCTCAGCCTTCTGAGTAGCTGGGACTACAGGCTCCCACCACCATGCCTGGCTAATTTTTGTACTTTTAGGAGAGACAGGGTTTCACTGTGTTGGCCAGGCTGGCCTTGAACTCCTGACCTCAGGTGATCTGCCCCCCTTGGCCTCCCAAAGTGCTGGGATTATGGGTATGAGCCACTGCATCTGGCCTATATTTTCATTTTTCTAATAACAAAGGCACAGGTTTTTTATTAATCAGTGGGAAAATGGAAACAATCTTGGATATTGAAAACAGAGGAGATTAATGCAGAGAATTGGCTATACAAGGAACAGAAGGGCCAAGAAACCACATAAGAGATGACCAGGCAACCCAGAGATGAATGGCAAGAAGCACTGCCCCATCTGCAGGGCGAGCAACAAACAGAGGAGGGGGCATTTCTACCACCCAGGATCTAGGGCTGCAGGAGGAAGCTGGAATCACAGTAGCCTGCCCAGTAAAGCTGGGGCCACGGAGGGTGCATGGCCACTGGTAGAAACCCCGTCCAAGGAGAGACCTGTCCAGAGAGATGGGGAGAAATGCCCTGGCTTCCCTCTTCCTCCCCTTCAGACTCCCCACAATGCTGCCTATTGGCTGAGCCTAGTGACAGAAGGAGAGCCAGGGACACGCTGCTTGCAAGAGGCAGTCCCTTGTGATGTCCTGCAGAGCAGGAGTGGGGGAAGGGAAGAAGCGACAGCAGACTCAGGACCAGCACGTGTATTCACTGCAAAATACATGCCCTCCCGCATCAAAAAGGTTACCATCTTTATTTCCTCTCTGCCTTTCTTCTTCCTTTCCATCCCAACTGGATCAAAAGCTGATAGATTCAAAAGTGATGGCGGAAATTTTCCATTCATTTATTAAGTAAATAGTTACTGGGCATCTGCCATGTGCTGGGTACTGAGACTCAGAGAGGTCAGAGACAAGGTCGCTGCTCCCTTGCACTAGGGATGCACTAGAATGCACTAGTTTGCATTCTGCTGGGGGGTGGGGATGTCACACGGTAAACAAGAAAGAAATGAATGAACAAGATAATCCCGCACAGTGGTGAGTGCTATGAAGAAAATGAAACAGAGTGGCGAGCGATGAGAACGGCTTGCGTAGGGTGGAGGCCAGAGAGGCCCTCCCAGAGCAGCTGACGTCCTAGTCAAGACTGGAAGGATGGAAAGGAATTCTCTTGCAGAGAGAAGTAAAGGCATATCCAGGCAGGGGGCATGGCAGGTGCAAAGACCCTGAGGTGCACGGCCCTGTGTTCAAGCCACAGCCCTGCTGCTTCCCAGAAATGAACCTTGAGGCAAGTGTGTGAGTTCTCGGAGCCTCAGTTCCCTCCCCATCAAATGGGATAATAACCACGCCTGCCGCACAGGAGCGCTGCGCAAATCAAAAATGACTACCCGTGAAAAGAAAAACAGCCCAGTGAAAACTAGGAAATTCATCACTATCATCTCCATCCACAAATCACATCAGTCCTTCCCACAAGGCAAGCTCCTATCGACTCTGATGTTTGTTACCTGCATTTTAAGCAAATCATGTCTCTAAGTCAGGGGAGCAGAAAAGAATTAAGATCTATAAAATTAACAGAGCCCAATACTAAGAGGCATTACCAGAACCAACATCTTTCCCGAACAGTGGACATGTTTCTGTTTGGTATATCCACACCTCTCATGGCCACAGGACAGCCACCTGTATATCATTAGTTTGGCTAACACTGTACTCCCTAAATGAAAGGAGGTTTCAAAGGAAAATCTTAAATGCTAAAAACTTTAAAATGGTGAAACTTTTAAAAGGTATTAGGATAATTGCCACAATAGTACTCTAGCTTTTGCTACCTTGATAAGTGTATTTAGCAGAATCTGAGAGAACTGGTCCAGGGTAGATGTAAGTGAGCATAATTGAATTAATAGAAAGAAAAAGAGAAGAGAGAGAGAGAAAGCGAAAAGAAAGAAAGAAGCCAGGCGCGGTGGTTCATGCCTATAATCCCAGCACTTTGGGAGGCCAAGGCAGGCAGATCGCTTGAGCCCAGGAGTTCAAGACCAGCCTGGCAACATAGGGAAACCCCATCTCTACTGTAAATTTAAAAAATTAGCGGGGCATGGTGGCACATGCCTGTAATTGCGGCTACTCAGGAGGCTGAGGTGGGAGGATTGCTTGAGCCCAGGAGGTTGAGGCTGCAGTGAGGTGAGATTACACCATGGCACTTTAGCCTGGGCGACAGAGCCAGACTCTGTCTCAAAAATAATAATAATAAGGAAATAAAGAAAGAACTGGAGTTGCCAACAGACAGTGAGACAGCTAGGGCCCCAGGTAGGGGACTGCAACCCACCACGGAATTAGGCATCTGAGAGCGTCCGCGCCTGACGAGGCTCTGGCTCACAGCGCCCCCTGCTGGAAGCATCCAGATGCTACTAAGGGAAGAAGTGAGTTATTTAAACTACAGAGTATATAACATTGCCTAGTTCCAAGCTAACTGGCCTGGTTAATCTCCTCCCTTTATAAAATGAAATTTGTCATGATTTGAACAGAGCTGGTTTGAGTTTAATCTGTCATCTCCACCTAACTGGCTAAGCGAAATAACAATAAAGACAACTACAGAAGAAGATGACATTCACAGATGCCCATCGGGGATGTAGCTTATGATCATAAAACATGGGGGTGGGGGTGGGGGGGGGCAAATGTTCAATCTTAAGGAATTGGTTATGGAATTATATAGATTTAGGCAATGGAATTCTATGCCCCTATTGAAATGGTACATAATTATTGACTTGGAAAAATGCTCGTAATGTATTGCTAAGTGATAAAAATGAATTATACAACATAATGTATTATATATTTCAGTTTTTGCAAAAAACATGTTTTTGTTTGTTTGTTTGTTTTGTTTTGGGGGGGATGGAGTTTCGCTCTTGTTGCCCAAGCTGGAGTGCAATGGCGCAATCTCGGCTCACAGCAACCTCCGCCTCCCGGGTTCAAGGGATTCTCCTGCCTCAGCCTCCCGAGTAGCTGGGATTACAGGCGCACACCACCACGCCCGGCTAATTTTTTGTATTTTTAGCAGAGACGGGGTTTCACCATGTTAGCCAGGCTGGTCTCTAACTTCTGACCTCAGGTGATCCCCCCGCCTCAGCCTCCCAAAGTGTTGGGATTACAGGCATGAGCCACCAGCAAAAAACACATATTTTAATGTATATACGTCCATTGGAAAATGTGAAGAAATACACATTAATACATTAGCATTTGGTTATTTCTAGGGGGTGACATCAGGAATCCTCCCTTTTTTACTTGCGTCTGCTCTCCCATTTTTCTATAAATGACAGCTCACATATATAACATGATAAAGTAACTCTCTAGCATTGAAATGGGATTACAGGAGAAGTATTTGACCTACCAAAAGGAATGGAACTGTTTTCCAAGATTTTGCAAAACCATTTGTTTTGAGTCAGTTCAATTAATCACATTTATTTAGCTTCAGAGAGGCCAAGGACTAGAATCTGACCCCTGTGGGTACTAGGTATCTTGACCTAGGTTCATACCCAAGTTGCGGCCTCAGCAACACACAGCTTTCCCTAAAGCAGAAGAAACCAAGAAACAGTGAGCATGGGCCTGCACAGCCCCTCCCTGTCCTGGGAAAGCAACATGCATGTGCCCAACACACCCATGCACACACACACACATACACACACACTTGAGCAGGTAAACCAGGTGCTACCTTCTGCCCTAAAAGCCAGTGGATGCAACCTCACAACAGTCTAGAACTAAGCCCCGGTGCCTGGCACACCGTGGGCACATAGAATGGAATATGTGGCTTTCATTCAATAACAAAGTAGAGTGGAATAAATACCTGAATAAGCAGAATACAGAGAATGAAGGAAATGAAAAGGAATGAGGTGGATAAAATGGAGTGAAACGGACTGTCATAAATGAATAGAATGATAAAATCAGAGGCATGGCCTAGAGTGAATAAATACCACAGAACTGCATGAATCACGAGATATAGTGAATGAATGGGATGAATGAATGGGAGGAGGTGAAATGGAATGAATGAGTGAATTGAATGAATAAAAGAAGACATAGTTGCTGACCTTAAGGGGTTCATGCTGTAGGGGGAAGGAGACCAGTAAGCCAAGAATTACCGGAGCTTTGCCCCACGCCCTGTGCTAACAGACCAGCTGTGGAACACAGAGCAATTGATCTTGTGGTGTCTTATACATGGTCCTGTTGACCCTCACAGTGGACGGACAGCTCTGTAATGCAGCCTCCTTCATTAGTTCCTTTTTGCAAATGAAGAAATGGAGACGGGGCAGCTTTCGTCTATTCCCTGGAAAGAGTATTTCCAGATTGGGTTCGAGATCTGCAGGCAGGAGGTTTATCAGGTTATGCTCTTGGGGCCACATCCGTGGAAAGGGAGTAGGAGCCCAGGGAAGAAGTTGGCTGGGACATAGTCTCAAGGAGAGCCTCAGCCAACCTCCTGGTGGGTTCTGAAGCTGGAAGAGCCTTCTGGGGTGCCCTGGGGTTGGGCGAGGGGGCTGGGCCTTACACCCAGCCACCTACCTCCCCACACTGGCCAGTCATGGGATACAGGCCACTTTTGGAGAGGGTGGCATGAAATTTATGAGCCTCTTCCCACGTTTCCTTCCTGGGACTGTCATAACCAGGTATCACAGAACAAATGGCTTTAAACAACAGAAATGTATTCTTTCATCACTCTGGAGTCCAGACATAGGAAATCAAGGCATCTGCAGGGTTGGTTCCCTCTGTGGGCTCTGAGGAAGGACCTTCTTCTGGCTCTGGGGACAGCCAGCCACCCTTGGTGTTCCTGGGCTCGTGGACACATCCCTCAGATCTCCACATCCGCCTACACGCAGCATTTCCCCCAAGTGTCTGGCTTCACACACTAGCTTCTTATGAGGACACCACCCCGCTCCAGTACGACCACATCTTAATTTAACAAATTACATCTGCAACAAATCTATGTCCCAACAGGGTCACATTCTTTGGTTCTGGGGGTCAGAAATCAGCATATTTTTCTTGGGGGACACATGTCAATCCACAATGCCAGTCAAGGGATTTTCTGAAGCAGGCTGGTGGCCGAGCGCCCGCGGCTGCCAGCAGCACTCCCAGTAGCTGAGGGGCTGAGGCCTTCAGTCCTGAAGGGGCCTCTGGCCTCAGAGCGCCTACTAGAGAAACTGAGACTTGAGGGGTTTAAATCACTTCTTCAGGGTCACAGACGTAGCAAAAAATCAAGCAAGGGCTTGAACCCTGTGCTCAGGCACGTGCTAAAGAGCTAGAACTTGATTCTGTGGCCAAGGGGAAGCCGTCGAAGGAATTTAAGCCAGAAATTGATCACATTTATTTTCCAGAAAGGCAACTCTGAAAACTGGGTGACGAATGGGAAGGTGGGCTCAGCAGTGGAAGCCAGGAGGGCTGGCAGGGGTCAGGGGCTGCTGCAGGAATCCAGTCTCATGGGATAGTACCCAGGCTGCGATGGGCAGAGGAATGACCCCCAAAGATGTCCCCATCCTTATTTCCAGAGGCTGGGTCCATCTTGCTACTGTGGTTAGCTTACATGGCAGATGCGCAAGTGTGGACTTTGCAGATGTGATTAAGTCAAAGATCTTGAGGCGAGAAGATGATCCCGCGTGATCCAGGTGGGCCCAATGTCATGACCAAGGTCCTTATAAGAAGGAGGGCAATGGCCAGGCATGGCGGCTCATGCCTGTAATCCCAGCACTTTGGGAGGCCGAGGCGGGTGGATCACCTGAGGTCAGGAGTTCAACAACAGCCTGGGCAACATGGCAAAACCCTGTCTCTACTAAAAGTACAAAAATTAGCTGGGCATGGTGGTGGGTGCCTGTAATCCTAGCTACTCGTGAGGCTGAGGCAGGAGAATAGCGTGAACCCGGGAGGCGGAGCTTGCAGCTAGCCAAGATCGCACCACTGCACTCCAGCCTGGGCAACAGAGCAAGACTCTGTCTCAAAAAAAAAAAAAAAAAAAAAAAAGGAGGAGGGCAAGAGGGTCTGAGTTTGCTTGTCTCACCTTGATGTACAAGGCTCAAAATCTGACTCCATCCTCTAATTCACTCCTCGCCACTCTTCCCCACAATCCCCCTTCCCAGCCCCAATCACCTTCTTTGTGTCCCTCAAACACACCAAACTCATGCCTGGACCAAGTCCTTTCACTTGCTGTATGAAGTAAATGCTCCATCTAGAACGCTGTCTTCCCCTATTTTAAAAAAATGTGTGCATACCTGTCCTCCTATCATTGAAGTTTCAGCTTAAATGTCACCTCTTTGGAGAGAGAGAGAGGCCTTCCCCATTGTCCTAGTTAATGGTAGGGTGACCCTGTCACTCTCATTGCCCTATTATGATTTTCTCCGCAGCCACTTGTCACTCTTGTATCTTCCTGTCTGATTTGTTTATTGCCTGTCTCCTGCTCAAGGTCAGCTTCAAGAGAGTAGAGACCCCGCCTACCTTGTACACTAGTGATTCCTCAGTGCCTAGAGCTGAACATGCAATAGAGTAGGTATTCAAATATCAGATGGATGATGGATGGATGGAAGACTGGTGAATGGATGGGAAGATAAAAGGATGTGTGGATAGAAAAATGGATGGAAGGATGGAGCTATGGAAAGAAATATGGAACCATGGGTAGATGGTTGGATGGAAGGATGGATAGATGGAAAACTGGTGGATGGAAGGAAAATTGATTAATGGATTAAAGGGTTAATGGATGGCAAAACAGGTTGTCAGCAGGATGAGTAAAATGAGAAGATGGGTGGACGGATGGATGGATGGATGGATGGATGGATGGATTGGTGGGTAGATAAAGAATAGGCAGATAGAAGGATGTTTGGATGGATTAAAGGATGGGTGGTGAAGGATAGAAAGTTGGATTGATGGAATGATAGAAGGATAGAATAATGGAAGAATAAATGGATGGTGAATGAATGTATAGGTTGATTAAAAAAGATGGAAGATGAATCAATAGAATAATGGACAAATGGAAGAATGAGTGGATGGATGAATGATGGGAGGATGGTTAGATGGAAGGATGGAAGGTTGAATGAATGAAAGAGAAAATGGGTAGATCAAAGGATAGGTGGGTGGAAATACATGGATGGAAGGAAAGATAGATGATGAGGGGATAGAATAGAAGGTGACAGAATGGAGGATATATGGAAAGAAATGGAAGTAAATGGATGGAAGGAAGGATAGATGTAAAATTCCTCAAAATGTGGCTACCAGACTGAGCTGGATCAATATTTTCCATCTGTTTTTAAAGAGGTTGCTCTATGCCTTCCTGACAGACTTTTGTTACCAAGTGACAGAAGTCAACAGGCTGTTTGCACCTCTAATCCTCAGAACCAGATTCTGTAATCATCTTATCTTATCAGCAAATATCTATATTTAATAAACTCCCCACCTGATGTCTGGCCCCACACACAGCTATTGACTTAGCTGCTTGATCACGAGGGCTTGGTAATCCCGGTTCAAAGCATTAGCACTAAATTCTCCCATCACCAGTGGGGCCCCTCTGTGCTCTGGTCCCCTTCCAAAAAAATAAATAAATAAAAGAAAAAAAGACTCACTCACATCACTTCCCTTTTTAAAACTCTTAAAAGTCTCAGGGGGCAATCTCTGGCTCACAGGACTGGTACAGATTCCAGGGCGCTCAAGGTCCTTTATACCCTGGCACCAGCCTGACTCACCAGCTTCATCCTTCATCCCTCTCCAGCTCCTCACACAAATCCCATGTGCTGCCACCACATGACATCCGTCTCTATTGTAAGAACAGATCCTACCCCCCTAGCCTCCAGGCATACACGTATGCTGTTCTGTTGACCCAGAACACTGCTCTTCTTTGTTCCATCTAAGGAATGGCCTTCATTCTTGTCTCAATTGTCCCCTCATGGAAGACCCGCTGGTCCCTCAAACACAACATCTTCCCAATCTCCAGCCCAAAGCTGGTCCTTCTGTATTGTCCATGTTCCTGAAGGATCTACTCCATCCCCTAGACCTGAAACCCAGGAGGAATCCAGGATCCTGCCTTCACCCCCACCCCCATCAAATGCTGAGCTTCTCCTGTAGCTCTCATGCTCTCCCAAGCTACCCCACTCTCTCTGCCACCAACAAGTCCCAGCCCTCTTCTCTCTCACTTCCATGCTGGCTGCCCCATCCCCACCCTTGCTCTCTCCAAGCCCTTCCACTGTGGCTAGCAATGGGGCATTAACCCGGTCCCTAACCTACCTTTCGAGACTGTGACAACCATTCTCCAAACTCTGCCCTTCTACTAGATGGGCTTCCTTTCCATTCCTTCCAAGCAACAGGTTCTCTCAGCTCCTGGCTTGAGCAGAGACTGTTCCCTGTGCTCAGAACACTCTTCCCTATCCCTCTCAGCCTGGACAATCCTCATCTTCCTCATCAACATCATCATCACCATCATTAACAGTAATAATGGCAACAACAGTGAACATCTGAGAACTTACCATGTGCTAGACACAGTGCTAAATGTTTCACAGGCAAATGCCATTGGATCCTTATGATCTGCGAAGTAGGATTTATTGTTATGCCCATTGTACAGATGAGGAAACTGAGGCAGAGAGCTCCAGTAACTGGCCCAAGTGCTTGGCAATTGAAATAGAGATTTGAACCCAGGCAGTCTGACTCCAGAGTCCTCCTCTTACCACTACACTCTAGAGACACCCCAGATGAGTCCACACTTCCTCAAGAAAGCTCTCCACTACCAGGCAAGGTTTGCTGCCTCCCCCTCTGAGCTCTCACACGGCTGGTGCTCTGATCATAGCATCTAACTTCTGCATCATAATCGCCTGCCTCGAAGATTGTCTCCAAATAGGGCCACCGAAAATTCCTCCTAATCCTGTATGCGCCTGCCAGTCCGGACACCAAGAATCGGTGCTCTTCTCTCCTCTCCTTGGTCTGGCCTTGTGACTTGCCTTGAGCAATAGAATTCAGGGAGCCCAGGCCTTAGAAGACAGCAGCTCTCATCTCCTCTCTCAGACCCCGGCCGCCATGCTGTGAGGAAGTCCAGGACTACTAAACCATGAGATGCTCTGTGGAGACGCCTCATGGGCGAGGCCACCCTGGACGTTCCAGACCCAGTGGAGTTGCTGACAAACTCCCAGCTGTGTGGCTGGGCCCAGGTGACACCAGCAGACGACCCAGCTGAGCCCCAGCCAACCCACAGGATCGTGAGACTATCACAAATCATTGTTATGCTTGGTTCATCTTTCAGCCTTAGTTTCCCCATCTGAAAAGTAGGGAAGGTGATTCCTAGGTACCAGATTTCTCGTGAGGATTAAATAAAAGTACCTCACAAAAGAAGATGGTCAATCGTTGGCTGCCAGTTTTTTAACTCTGGACCAGCCAAGAGGACAATCGTTCCTTTTGACTTTCCCCACGTCATCAACTGCGCCCCAAGTCCACACCACGCTTGCATCCCCACACTGTCCAGAGACACAACTGTCTGCGCCTCCCAGTCTCATCCTTCTGTGTCTGCAGCCCATCTGGTGTTGCTCCCTGGTCCTGCTGGCTGGGGAACATGGGGGTGGGGCAGGCTGATGTCTTCCACTCACCCGGAGCAGCTGGCCCTGGAGTCCTGGGGACAGGTGAAGGAGACCAGAGAAGTGACTCCGTCCAGATGTGTGTACACCATCCTGCGTGGACTATGGCTTGGGCACAGAAGGGACCTGACCCACTTAAACAAATGGCTGTAAAATGCATCTCCACTATGTGGGCTACAGTCGTGAATGATTTGACCCGGACCTGTTCTCAGGCAGCAGAAACAAGAAACAAAGGATATTCCAGTTAGGGAATGCTCTCAAGATCATCTATTCCAGAAGTCACAGATGTGCGTGCCTGTGGGGTGAGGCCAGACAGAAATGTACAAGACAGGTGAGTATAACACAACAGGGCGCAGTCTAACACTGACCAGGTGCAGTGTGGTGACTTCAAGAATTTTTTTAAATGAAAGTATAACATACATATACATGTAGAGGGTGTATAACTTCAAGGCCGGTGGATTGCTTGAGTCAGGAGTTCGAGACCAGCCTGGGCAACATGGTGAAACCCTCATCTCTACAAAAAATACAAAAATTAGCCAGGCATGGTAGCATACCAGCTAATTTTTGCATTTTTAGTAGGGACAGGGTTTCACATTATTGACAGGGCTGCTCTCAAACTCCTGACCTCAAGGGATCTACCCACCTTGGCCTCTCAAAGTGCTGGGATTACACGCGTGAGCCACTACTCCCGGCCTTTAGAAACTTTTTTTTTTTTTTTTGAGACAGAGTATTGCTCTGTCACCCAGGCTGGAGTGCAGTGGTATGATCTTGGCTCACTGCAGCCCCTGCCTCCCGGGTTCAAGTGATTCTCGTGCCTCAGCCTCCTAAGTAGCTGGGATTACAGGCATGTGCCACCACGCCTGGCTAATTTTTATATCTTTAGTAGTAGCCATGTTGGCCAGGCTAGTCTCAAACTCCTGACCTCAGGAGATCCACCCGCCTCAGCCTCCCAAAATGCTGGGATTACAGGCATGAGCCATCGCACCCAGCCTCTAGAAACTCTTTGAATCACATATTAGTTATATTGTGTTATCTTCTGGTTTTTCAATTTTATTAAGGTCAAGTTTGTGATAAAGGTAAAAATATATATACATATTTATAATTTATATTAAAAGTTAAAAAGTTTCCAGTTTTACTAAAGTGAAGCTTATATTAGAAGTAAAAACAGAAGCATTCACTTTACAAGCTCCTGGAACCTGTAAAGCCCTGAATCGAGTCAGTGGTGTCCTAATGCAGAAGGTTAATGTTTGCACACGTGGCATTCTAGTTACGTTTTGAAATGGCTTCACGGTCCATTAGCCACTTTGTGGAGGCATGAATTTTCCCAGAGCACCATTTTAGCGAAGGGGACTGATGGCCCGAGAAGGAAAATGGGAGGCTGGAGGGCGCGATGCCCCATAAAACCCAGATTTCATGACACTGAGGAGATTAAGCTGCTGTGTGCCACACTGTTCATTTCAAGTGGTCTTGAGGGACTCCCTTTAATCTCCAGGTGAAAGCTGACGATTCGGAGGGTGATAATATGCAACCGTGTTCCAAAGAGTCCAGAGAGAAAACCCAGCCTGGTCCCAATTTCTTACCTTTTTTTTTTTTTTTAAATCTCTCATTTGTGGCATCTGATGAGGACTTAGTGTGATTAAAGTGGCGGCAGGAGCTAAAAGATAAAACAGCTATTTGAGGGAGGGAATTTTTCCAGCTGAGCTAGGAGATCAGTTAAATCCCTGGCTGAGATATCAAATCATTAGCACCTCCATAATCCGGGGGTGGCTTAACCCTGCCTGACACGTTGGAGTGGCGAGGGACGGGGCTGGGGGCACAAAGACCCCAGGGATGGTGCTGACACAGGGCGCCAGCCAGGGAGTACAGATAAGGCAGGCGGGTCTCCTGGGGTCAAGGTGAAGAAGGTGGCAGGAAATAGAAATGCCAGGTGTCTGCCTCTGCCCTGGAGCAATTTGTGTGCCGAGGCCAGATGAGTGACCTTGGCGAGCCAAATGCACACTGAGGCTAGGTCCTTGTCCAGGTTTTGTTGTTGTTGTTGTTGTTTTCTGGGTGTTAGGAGTTGCCTAACGGCACAAATCTGGGATGGCCTCAGGCCCCTAAACCCCACCCACGTGCCTTCTAATGGGTGGTTGTAAATTAACTCCTGAGTTCACCTACCAGCTGCAGAATCCTGACAGTGATATTAAGTCTCTCTGGGCCTCAGTTTCCTCATCTGGAGAATAGGGGCAAATGACAATGCACCTTCCACAGAGCCATGGGAGGAGAGTCTTCTAGCAAATCTCCAGGTCTAAGGTGGGTCATGCCCAGCAGGCGTCACCTCTCACCCTTCATCTCTGTAGACAGTTCATCTTAATTGTGGATGTGTTTTAACTTATTTAAACCCAAAGTGAGCTGGACACATTGAACGCTGAAGGAGAGACTGGCTCTTCAGATTCCTTCTTCCAAATGAGGCCAGGTTCCCTCCCTGACCTCAGCAATTTCTACTTCTCTCTGCCCATGCTGACACGTGGCTGATGTGTACCAGAATGGCCATGTAGCCCAAACAGGTGAAAGCACCCTTCCATACCAATTAGCAAACAGCCTCTCCCACTGCATCCCAAGTGCCCAGCTTCCCTGCGCCCTCGCCCCTGACTGCCTATGGTCTGACAACCAAAGGGTTAACCCTGGACAGCAGGGGGCTCTGAGACCTATGGCCCAGTGAATGTCATACTGTAGAGGCGCTGCACTGGGCCCACCAATACTCTCAACAGGGATGTGGCTTCCTCACCCCCTCCATTTGTAGAGCAGAAGAAACTGTGGCTCCAAGAGGGAATGTGACCAGCTCAAGGTCAATCATCCAGGGAATGGCAGAGTCAGGACCTCCCGAAGCTGTCAGACTCCTCTGGATGAGGTGAGAGCATGCAGAATGTTGGGGAGATACTGAAGGCAACCCATGCCTTGCCTCCTGGTGCACATCAACCCTCACCTCTAGACAAAGACTGCCTGGGTCTCAATCCCAATCTGCCACCTACAAGTCTTGTCATCACAGGCAAGTGACTTCAGCCTTTTGTAAGATCAAACTAATTTTCTTAGTTTTAAACAAAACAATACAACAGAGCTTTTCAACCTCACTACTGTGGACCTGAGAAAACAGATTATTCTTTGTTGTGGGTGCTGTTCAAACATCATAGAATGTATAGCAGCATCCCAGCTTCTACCCTCTGGCTATCAGTGGAACCTCCTCCCCAGTCAGGATGATCCACACATCTCGAGGCATTGCCTGCTGTCCCCTGGGCGGCAAATCCATCTGAGCAGGAGAGCCCTGCTTTATAGGATTGTTTCGAGGGTTAACAAGTTTAGAGAGAGAACCTGACGTACAGTTAGTCACTGTCACTGCCTGGTTCCTCAGTTAGGATTGGGGTTGCCTGCAAGGAATGGTGACCCTAAAATAAGTGACCTAAACTGGACAGTCGTTTGGTTTACTTGGACACAAATGGACAAACATTAGCAGTTTGGGGCTAGATGGCAGTTCGGCTCCACTTCTCTAACGTTTGAACTCGTCCTCTGGGTCCAAGGGGACAGCTACAGACACTGTGGAGAGGGGAGGGGCAGAGGGCACTTGCCTGCCAGCCAGTAAGATCCCCAGATGCCACCACCATGACCTTCCACTAACATCCCATTGGCCACAATGTGGTCACATGGTCACACCTAGTTGCAAGGGAGGCTGGGAAATGTAGTCTTTATTCTGGGGGTTGGGAGGTGGACAGCTAATGTTATATTACTGTGGAAGAAGAGAGAATTGGCTCAATGGGGTCATGGAATCTCTTGGGCCTGCTGCAGTCAGGAAGCTGATTAAAGCCAGAGGCTGTCAGAGCCATGAGGACAGAGGGCGAGATAATCCTGGGAGCATCTGGTACACTTTGCTTAATAAACCACTGGACAAGAAATATTAGCAGAGCACATAAGAAATAAACACATAGGAAACTCGCCTCTAAACAGAAATCCTGCAGAACTGACACCCATTATAATCAACTCCCTCCTCCATGCCAGGACCATGTGCCCTCCATGTTCTGTGTGAATTTGTGGCAGGAGGACAGAAACATTGGAACTGGACCAGGAATCCAGGGGACTCTACTTTCCTCTTGATTCTATCACCTGGAGGCTGCATGACTGAGATGAAGTCCCCATGCCCTCCAGGCCTCAGCTTTCTCAGTTGTACACAGGGCCAGTATTGGAGTCTCAAACAGCAAAACGAGCCTGGCCACAGTGGCTCACACGCGTAATCACAACACTTTGGGAGGTCAAAGTAGGAGGATCACCTGAGGCCAGGAGTCTGAGATCAGCTTGGGCAACATAGGGAGACCTTGTACTCTACAAAAAATAAAAAATAAAAAAACCTAGCCAGGTCTACCTGCCCATAGTCCCAGCTACTCAGGAGGTTGATGTGGGAGGATGGCTTGAGCTGGGGAGTTCAAGGCTGCAGTGAGCCATGATCGTGCCAGTGCACTCCAGCCTGGCCAACACAGTGAAACCCCGTCTCCACTAAAAATACAAAAATTAGCCAGGTGTGATGACAGGCGCCTGTAGTCTCAGCTACTGGGGAGGCTGAGGCAGGAGAATCACTTGAACCTGGGAGGCAGAGGTTGCAGTGAGCCAAGATTGCCTCACTGCACCCCAACCTTACTTCTCTAAAGACAGCCTGAGAAAAAGCCTGCCAAGAAAACAAGGGACAGTGCTCTTGCCAAGTTTAGCTTCCCACTACATCCCAAGTGCCCTTCTATTAACAGGCTATGGTGTAGAAACAGGGCTGATTATGTTTGGGGACTTGACCCCCAAATCGGCATCTGCCTTTGAGGAGGGAGCAGAGGGGAGGACCCTTGAGCTTGCAGAGACAGCGGTGACTCCATCTTGGATGCTAATCTGCCATGTTGATTTCTGATTGTCTCCAGTCCTAGGAATGCCTCTTGCTGCCTATTTTATTTACTATCCCTAGTGTAAGAACATGACAACCTTGATATCATTGGACAAATTCTAAGCTATGGCACACACGACATTCTTGCCTGTTAGGAGGGTTGCCTTTGTCTTACTGGAGCATGTACCCCCTTCCCCTGTGGTAGATGATATGGTTTTGCTCTGTGTCCCCATCCAAATCCCACCTTGAATTGTAATAATCCCCACATGTCAAGGGCACGGTCAGGTGGGGATAATTGAATCATGGGGCTGTTTCCCCCCTACTGTGTTCATGGTAGTGAGTAAGTCTCACAAGATCTGATGGTTTTATAAATGGGAGTTCCTCTGCACAGTCTCTCTTGCCTGCTGCCATGTAAGATGTACTTTGCTTCTCATTTGCCTTCCGCCATGATTGTGAGGCCTCCCCAGCCATGTGGAACAGTGAGTCCATGAAACCTCTTTCCTTTATAAATTACCCAGTCTTGGGTATGTGTTTATTATCAGCATGAGAACAGACTAACACAGTCGATAAGCCTTGGGTCTGGGGGTAACAGGGACAGAGATCTACCCGTCCTGCTGCCTCCAAGACCATGCTTCTGTCTGCAAGCTCCCCCCGTAAGACAGGCTTTATCCACAAACTCAATCTGTCTGCCTTGCTCTTTGGTGTCTCGGCTCCTTTGCCTTTTTTTTTTTTTTTTTTTTTTTTTGAGATGGAGTCTCACTCTGCTGTTGCCCAGGCTGGAGTGCAGTGGCGGGATCTCCATTCACTGTAACCTCCACCTCTTGGATTCAAGTGATTCTCCTGCCACAGCCTCCCAAGTAGCTGGGATTATAGGCGCCCGCCACTATGCCTGGCTAATTTATATATTTTTAGTAAAGACAGGGTTTCACCATGTTGACCAGACTGGTCTCGAACTCCTGACCTCAGGTGATCTGCCCGCCTCAGCCTCCCAAAGTGCTGGGATTACAGGCATGACCCACCACGCCTGGCCTCCTTTGGTTTTTGGAGGCCACATTGCATACACAGCCTTTTCATGGAACAAGCTTCCTCCAAGGCTCCCACGACCCACAGGCACCACACTCAGGGCTCACCAGCGCATGAAATCCTCACAAGCCCATTCCACAGAGAGGAAAGCTGAGGCTCAAGAGGTTAAAAAGACACACAAGGCCACACAGCAACTTCTGTGCCAACAGAGCTTAGAATCAAACCCACTGACCTCCAGGATCCCGGCCTTGTCTTGACACTCTCTTCTGATTTCCCAGACGGAAGCTCAACTTCTTCTGGGGTCTCCCTGTCACTGTCAGTCTCCTGCATTGTGGTCATGTTATGGTGACATTACAGGGAGCCAAGACTCAGCGCTCTGCTCCTGCATGGCTCATTCAGGGGCCTGGAGGCCCAGCTTCTCTCTGTGTGTCTTGTGGCATTGCAAGCTCAGACCACGGCAAGAGCCCAGAGTGTAAAAGCAGAAACACAAAGGGCTCCTCAGGTGTGTCTCAGGGATGAGGACCCTCAGACGGCCCTTAGCAACCAGATGCACACTCACCCCCAAACCCCTTCTGCAGCATCTGCAGATCACTGGGCACTCACCATCTACATATAGCTAGTTTGGTTTAGTCTTTTTGAGACAGAATCTCACTCTGTCACCTGTGCAGTGGCATGATCATGGCTCACTGCAGCCTCGACCTCCCCACACTCAAGCAATCCTCCCACCTCAGCCTGCTGAGTAGCTGGGACTACAGGCATGCACCACCATGCCTGGCTAATTTTTGTATTTTTTGTAGCGATGGGGTTTCACCGTGTTGCCCAGGCAGGTGTCCAACTCCTGAGCTCAGGGGATTCTCCTACCTCAGCCTCCCAAAGTGCTGGGATTCCTGGTGTGAGCCACGGCACCTGGTCTATTTTGCTTTACATTTTAATATAAATGGGACTGCACCAGAGACATGGATCTGCATCCTGCTTCCTCCCCTTAACAACATGCTTGAGATCCCTCCACGTCTGTTATATAGAAGGTTATCGTGTTATTTTTCATAGCTGTGTAGTATTCCACAGTGTGATGATTAATTTTATGTGTTAACTTGACTGGGCCACAAGGTACCCAGACATTTGGCCAAACATGATTCCAGGCATGTCTGTGAGAGTGCTTCTGGGTGAGATGAACATTCCATCAGTACACCGAGCAAAGCTGATCATCCTCCCTCATGTGGGTGGGCTTTGACCCATCAGTTGAAGGCCCAACTAGAACAATAAGGCTGAGAAAGAGGGAATCCCTTCTGTCTGACTGCTCAAGCTGGAACACTGCCTTTTATTTCCTACCTTTGGACTCAAAACTATATCAGCTCTCCTGGCTCCCCAAGAGAAACCTCACATTCTGGCCTATGGCCATACCACCCTGAACGTGCCCAATCTCATCTGATCCCGGAAGCGAAGCAGGGTCAGGCCTGGTTAGTACTTGGATGGAAAATCTCACATTCTGGCATTCTAGGTGGACACATCTTTTGAGGGTCACCCTTTGACGCTCTACCCTTGGCAACAATAATGGAGGTCAACATTTACTGATCCGCTTGCTACAGACCCAGTAGGCTCCCTGTGGAACCCCTCACAACAGTGCAATGGAGGAGGCGCTACTGTTGCCCATTTGGATGATGAGAAGATGCAGGCTTAGCTAGAGAATGAAGCTTCCCACTGAGGTCTTGCCGCTAGGAAGATGCAGACCTGGGCCGCTGCAACGGTCAGTGCAATCACCCACGGCTTAACCACAGTTGCAAATTCTACCCCATTAAGTGACAGGTACCATCTCACCCTCTAAAAATTACCTCAACCCCAGGCATACAATAACATCAAGCCAGGAAAATTATTGGATTTGATGATATTGAGCTGAAATGGAAATATGGATTCTCTACGTACATAAGCATGAGAATGAGCCTGTGGGAGCCCATTACATTTCCTCATTAGACTGCTATTGGCATCACTTGATTCCCTAATAGCCCATGTCCTGCCTGAAGCAATAGTGAGTCTTCCATGTAATTTCTGAGAGCTTAAATGTCCCCACTGACATCATGGGACTTATTTTTCTTTCTAAATACATTTGCAAATGGTTGTTTCTCAGCCTCAAATCAATACATCATGAATAGAATAAACCAGAGTCGCAGACAGCCTCACTGAGCACTTTCCACAGGAACAAACATCATTCTACTGAGCAGGCCCAGAGGAAACCTGGACTTAAAAGTCACAGAGAGCCCGGGCAGGGTGGCTCACGCCTGGAATCCCAGCGCTCTGGGAGGCCGAGGCGGGCGGATCACTTGAGGTCAGGAGTTTGAGATGAGTCTGGCCAACATGGTGAAACTCATCTCTATTAAAAAAAAAAAAAAAAAAAAAAAAGCCAGGCACAGTGGCTCACACCTGTAATCCAAGCACTCTGGGAGGCCAAGGTGGACGGATCATGAGGTCAGGAGATCGAGACCATCCTGGTCAACATGGTGAAACCCTATCTCTACTAAAAATACAAAAATTAGCTGGGTGTGGTGGTGCATGCCTGTAATCCCAGCTACTTGGGAGGCTGAGGCAAGAGAATCACCTGAACCCGGGAGGCGGAGGTGGCAGTGAGCCGAGATTACAGCATTGCACTCTAGCCTGGGCAACAAAAGCAAAACTCCGTCTCAAAAAAAATAAAATTAAAATTAAAACATTTTTTTAAAAAAGGCATAGAGACTTGGGTTCAAATTTCTGCTCTAGTCCTTTGAAATCATGTGACCTTGTGCCAGGCACTCAACCTCTCTGCAGCTTGGCATCCTTGTGTGTGATACTGCAGCGATGCATTCATGTCAGAGAGCTACCAAATCAAGTAAGACTCAACCACAGGCCGCAAGTTTGTCGATTATAATGCATTATGCAGATGTCAGCCGCTATTCATCTTTCGTCAAGCATGAAGAGTCCACTGCCAAGATTTGACAATTCGGACCTCCAGGTTTTTCATCTAGGTTTAGTCTATCTCAAGTTCAAATGCATGTCCTTAAATAATTAATTTCTCTTCATATTCTAATCTTGAAAGCCTGAATGCCTACAATCTTAGTGAGGCGGTGCAACCAAAAGCAATTAAATTCCTATGAGAGACAAACAGTGGCTGGTGGTTATGCGCTCACAGCTTGGAAAATAGAATTGGAAGGTGTCGAATGGGCTGCTGCCTCTCTGAAAAGGAGTTCCACATGACACAGGGAGGACAGGCTAGACGCTGGGGGTCCCGGAGTCGAGGGATGCGAGTGTGGCCCCTTTGCATTACGAGCTGCCGGAGCCAGAGCTCAGAACTTGCTTGGACGCGGTCTGCAAGGGGCTGGGCGTGGGGCTGAACGGCTTCTCTTCCTCTCCTGCAGCAGAGCCACAGCACATGCACACCTTACCACAAAGCTCCCGTCTTCACCACTCGCATTCCTGGCCACCAGAGAGGGTCCTGCCCAAGGGCACCCTGCAACATCGTCATGCTTCATCGTTGCAAGGGCCACAAGATGCACCAGGGCTGAGATGGCAACCAGGAGCAAAGGAGTGCCTGGTGAGGTGTACTCTGACATGGACACAAAGCTGATAAAAGACTGCCTGGTATGCCAGAGAGAGCAGGATCCCTGGAAGAGATGGCCATCTGGACTTCCCAGGACCACAGGTATGCTTAGTTCCATACTTTGAGCATACACTGGACATAGGGGTCTTTTGAATCTACCAGAGCTGTGTTTTCTGCCATGATCATAAAAGACCAGTTCCCAGGATGTACCAGAAAACTCCCGTGGACAGGTGGCATCACTTCTGCCACCTTCTTAGTCACATGGTATAAGCCAGTTAGGAAACACAAATCATCAGGCACCTCTGCACCTGTCAGCAGGCCACCATCCTCTCCTTTCCTTATTAAAAAAAATAAATTTGGCCAGGTGCAGTGGCTCACGCCTGTAATACCAGCACTTTGGGAGGCCGAGGCGGGCAGATCACCTGAGGTCAGGAGTTCAAGACCATCCGGGGCAACATGGTGAAACCGTGTCTCTCTACTAAAAATACAAAAATTAGCTGGGTGGGGTGGCAGGTTCCTGTAGTCCCAGCTACTCAAGAGGCTAAGGCAGGAGAATCGCTTGAACTGGTGAGGCAGAGGTTGCGGTGAGCCGAGATCACACCACTGCACTCCAGCCTGTGTGACAGAGTGAGACTGCGTCTCAAAAAAAAAAAAAAAAGAGAGAGAAAAATTCACATACAAAAAAATGAAAAAAACAAATAATAAATTCACCTTTAAATCACAAAAATATACTTGCATTTTAATTTTGCTAGGTTTATAAAGAGGGAGCAGTCCAGTAGAGTATTTAAGAGTGTGGACTTAGAATGCCGGTGCTCAAATCTCACTCACATTCTCCTCACTGCTGTGTGACCTTGGACAAGTTGCTTGACCTCTCTGAGCTTCTGTTTTCTCATCTGTAAAAAGATACTATAAAGCGTCTCTATCTCAAAGTTGCTGGGAGGGCTCCCTGAGGTTAAGATGGAAAGGATGCCATCAGCTCTCAACCATTTACTACTCTATGGGTCTGGAAATATGCATGACAAGATGGAAACAGGGATTGTTTGAGATAAGCGTGTGTATTCGAGTATCTTCTGTAGACATAAATTTTGTACAAATATTCAAACCATTGGTTATGGACTGAATGCTTGTATTTCTCCCCATCTTCATTTATATGTTCTAACCCTAACCCCCAGTTGGGTGGTAGTAGGATGAAGGGTTTTGGGGAGGTAATGAGGTCAGAGGGATGGAACACTCATGAAAGGGATTAGTGCCCTCATAAAAGGGACCCCAGAGAGCCCTCTTGCCCTCTTCCCTCAGGTGAGGTTGAAACACGAAGTTGGCAGTCTGTTGCCTGAAAGCTGGCCTTCACCGGAACCCAACCACGGTGGCGGGTTCCCTGATCTCAGACTTCCAGCCTCTCTAAAACCATGAGAAATACGTTTCTGTTGTTTATAAGCTACCCAGTCTGTGGTACTCTGTTACAGCAGCTCAAATTATCTAAGACAACACCACGTGCTCATGCAGTGGGTGCACAGACCGGAGGAGGGAAGATGGGGCGACAGAGCGAAACACTCCACTCCGTTTTCATTGTCGTAGTATTTTTGGAGAGCCGGCATTTGGATCTACACATACACATATAAGAACATTGAGAAAATATGGAAGTTATCTGGAAGAAAAATAAATCTTGTTTTCTATAACCTACCACCCTATTCCCAAGAAAGAGATGGTGGGTCAGTAATAAATGCTCTCATTTTTAGCTAGGCAAGCCCTACCTGGAATGTAAAAAAAATAAACAAAAAGAGTCCTTTCTTTTGGATTTTAGTCATAGTCTCCAATCTAGTGCCCAGGGGTTTGGAGGGTGTGGGGGTCTAGAAAGTTCCGTCATTCAACTCTTCTGAAACTGTCAAGGTCCTTCCCCTGAAAGCTCTCAGTTCTGTGTCACAAGCCACCATGACTTCTCCCTTTCAGACCCCCTCTCTCTTCTCCTCTTCAAGGACCCTTGACCTCCTTCCCTACCCCAAGGGTTCTCCATTTCTCAGTCCTTCTGGGTCTGTGTGGACCAAAGGGAGGGGCTTCCCATCTGTAGGTGTGTCCGAGTTGGTTCCTTCTGGTGGGTTCGTGGTCTCACTGACGTCAAGAATGAAATCGCGGACCTTCGCGGTGAGTATTATAGCTCTTAAAGGTGGCACGGACCCAGAGTGAACAGCAGCAGGATTTATTGTTAAGAGGGAAAGAACAAAGCAAGACGACCCAAGCGGGTTGCCGTTCCTGGCTGGGGGAGGCCAGCTCTTATTCCCTTATTTGTCCCCACCCATGTCCCACTGATTGGTCCATTTTACAGAGTGCTGATTGGTCCATTTTACAGGGTGTTGATTGGTCCATTTTACAGGGTGCTGATTGGTCCATTTTACAAACCTCTAGCTAGCTACAGAGCGCAGATTGGTGTGTTTTTACAGAGCACTGATTGGTGCATTTTACAAACTCTTGTAAGACAGAAAAGTTCTCCAAGTCTCCAATCGACCCAGGAAGTCCAGCTGGCTTCCCCTCTCACAGGGAGTTCACCAACACCACCTTCCAACCGCATTACTGCTAGATGGGGCTCCTCTTAACCCAGCTCTTGGTATTACATTGCTAAAAGAATTTCTATCTCTTCCAGGCCAAGCACAGTGGCTCATGACTATAATCCCAGAACTTTGGAAGGCTGAGGTGGGTAGATCACTTGGGGCCAGGAATCTGACACCAGCCTGGCCAACATGCTGAAACCCCATCTCTACCAAAAAATACAAAAATTAGCCAGGCGTGATGGTGGGCACCTGTAGTCCCAGCTACTAGGAGGCTGAGGCACGAGAATCTCTTGAACTCGGGAGGCAGAGGGTACAGTGAGCCAAGATCGCATCACTGCACTCCAGCCTGGGCGACAGAGTGAGACACTGTCTAAAAAAAAAAAAAAAAAAAAAATTTCTATATCTTCCAGCATTTTGTCAAATTAGCAAATATTCTCTTTTTGGAACACGCCAGGATCCTGTGGAAGGGAGGAGGAAAAAACAACACATTCCATAACATTTCTTTTTACATAATTAACCTAGAAATACATTTTTGAATGCCTACTGCACACATTCAGGGAATGTGTTGTGTTGTGCTAGCTACAAACATTTTCAAACATTTAAAAAATTACGATCTAATGAGAGCCAAGAGCGTGCATATGGTTTTCTAACCTAGAGAGCGGGGGAGACTCCCTGAGGGAGAGACAGTGAAGCTGCACACGGGAGGATGAGTAGGAACTGGGGAAGGTGGAGGGTGGGAAGGAAATGACGTTCCAAGCAGTGGGAACAGCATGAGCAGAGATCCACGGGGGGAAAAAGGTGATGCAGTCTAGCAGAACACTCCACTTTGTCTTCTCGGGAGCTCATTTTGATAGTGTTTTGTGAGAGCCAGCATTTGGATTTATACGTATACGTAGTTTTTCAACCCAAACAAGATTACACAACATTCTGTGCTTGCTTTTTTTGGTCAATAAATTTCATCTTCTCATTCCAGTAAGATTTCACCTCATCTAATACCCAGACCAAATTCAAATGATCTCAATTTACCCAAAAATGTCTCTCATGGCCAATTTGTCTCAACTGGTATTTCATTATCGAGCAGGCAATTGATAGCTCACAAGAAGATCCAAGACTCAAGACCTTCAGGCAGCCTAGGACAGTGGAAAGAGATCTACCCATTCGAACGTCTGTTCATTCATCCATCTATCCGTCCATCCATCCATCCATCATCCATCCATCCGTTCATCGTCTGTCTATTCATCCATCAATCCATTAACCATCCGTCCATCTATCTGTTCATCATCCATCCATCCCTTCATCACTTATTGTATGTTCCTTCCATGCTAGCTCTTACACCAGGTGTATAACTGACAAACTTCCAGCTCTGGCTTAACCCTAACTCCTTAGATCCAGGCCAGCCCTGTTCCCACAGCATAACACTGCTGGAGGGTCTCAGTCTCCTAGTTTTACTGGGATAAGGAGACCGTAACCCCGACCTCTCCACCACTTTTTGCTCATTCAGACTAAATATACAGTGGATAGTCTTGTCTGTCCTTCCTATTTACTTAGCTAGCAAAAGTGTTATGTGCAAAAGCCTAAATTTTTGCTGACAGCAAAACAAATTTTTAAAAATCCTTTTAGAATAAGAAATATGTTTGTGTTCAGGCAAAGAACAAAACTTCTGCACTTAAAAAAAATTAGGTCAATTATTCTATTGCTTTTAGCTTCTCAATCTTGCCTGATTAAATACTTACTCTAGAAAAATGAGGATCCACGGGAGGACAGCAGACTTTCCTGGTGACCTTCTTGCTCCCCTCTAAGGAAAATCACTGCCCTAGATTTTCAAAATCTTCATAAAAGCCGAGTATGTCTCGAGAAAATAGCTCTTAAAAGGTGTGAAAGCAAATTATGAGATATTTCCAGCAATAAAACCGAGTTGGTGTTTCTGGTAAAACACACAGATTCATTCACACGAAGTGCCATTATCAAGATATTAGAAACAAGACTCATTTATCTCTTTTAAAACTTATTAATGAAACCACTAAAAATAATCCCTAACCCTGACTGCTTATTTTATGCCAAAAATTATGCAAAGTATTTACATACATAATTTTATTTAATCCTTAAAACAGCCCTTTGAGGTAAAAACTAGTGATCTATCATTATCCCCATTTTAGAGATGAGGAAACTGAGTTTTACAAAATCTAAGTAACTTGCCCAAGGTTAGAAAGCTGGAAATTGAAGGAATGGAGATTTAAACCCAAGGAGTCTGACTTCAGAGCCTACACGCTTAATTTCCATGTGATAGTTGGGCTTCATATAAAAAAGAAAAATACATATATGCAAAAGCAAAATAGAAATTACCTCTAAATCTTCCATTCAGAGATAACCACTTAGCACCTTGATCTATATTCTTCCACTTGATTTTTCCTTTGCTTTCTTCACTTACCAAATGTAGCATGAACATTCCCTATGCCAACAGGCATATTTTCTGCTGTGTTTTGAGCTCTCTGGAAACACAAATACATTACTGGAAGCTCCACCCCTAAGACTGGAAGAACCAAGAGAAAGAAGATATCACGAATGGATAAAATCTCCAGGGACTCTGGTGGGAACTGGGAACAAAGGTGCAATTTGGAGGGCTGCTCTTTCCTTGGCTTCTGGCAAAGTCTTGTGGTTTATGATGAGATGTGGGTTATTAGGAGCCATCAGAAAGGACCAAAGAGGATGGAAATTGTAGAAGCAGCAGCAGCAACTTTAACATGACCACAGGTTCTTTGACATTCCTCCCACTGAGAAGTGGAGCCTGGGTCCCCTCCCTTTGAGAGTGGGCAGGCTTCTGACTGCTTAGACACAGCAGACATGACACTATGTGACTTTTCAGGCTGGGTCACAAAAAGCCATGCAGCTCCTACCTTACTCACAAGGCACTGACCTGTCATTTCAGAAGTCTCACTACCCATGGAGGCTGCCATGCTGAAGTGGCCGCAGAGAGGTGCTCTGAGCAACCGTCCCAGCTGAGCCCAGCCTTCCAGCCATCCCTGCCAATGTGTCAGACACAGGACTAAAAAGAACACCTTAGAAGGGGATCCTCCAGCCACCGCCTCATATACTAGAGTCACCCTCAGCTCTGGGGCTTCTGGCTGAGACCCTAGACATCATGAAGTAGAAAAGCCTTTCTTGTTGTGCCTTGCCCAAAGTCCTGACCCACAGAAGCCAGGATTCTCTCTTTTTTAAAAATTGGTAATAAATAATCATTATTTTATGCCAGTGTTTTCAAGATGGCTTATTGCACAGCAAAAGATCACTGTGACAGAATTTGGCACCTGGAAGTGGGGACTGACCTATACAAACTTGGAGCAGGGCTCAGAGGTTGCTGTGCTTGCATCTGAGGCACCACCATGTGCCATGAGACCAAAAATCTCTCAAAGATCCCAATGATCCCAGTCTCCACCTTCCCTTCCTGGGCCTCCAGGAGATGTGTTCTACTAGGAAAGGGCATCAAAATATAATTTTCAAAACATTTTTTTAAATGGGGCCCAGCATGATCACTCACACCTGTAATCCCAGCACTTTGGGAGGCCGAGGCAAGTGGATTGCTTCAGTCCAGGAGTTTGAGACTGGCCTGGGCAACATGGTGAAACCCTGTCTCTACTAAAACAAACAAACAAACAAACAAACAAACCAAAAAAAAACAACAAACTTGTCCCATGAATATAGAATGAATGAGTATGTGTCAAAAATCCCTCATTCTCATAAGTGAAAGGACCAAGAACACTAAAGCTGGTGACCATCCTGAGTATTCACAGGCATGGGAGAAGAATGCTGGGACAGGGATTCTGGGTGAGACACAAAACTGGAGAACATTCTTCAGGGCAATAAAACCATGACCTTGGAGGTTTCTTCACTAACAGACAGCAATCAGACTCATTTCTACCAGACAAAAATTTGCAAGTTAACATGTTAACGTCAGACTCCGGGGGCCCTACTCAACAGTACAAAAAGAGTCAAACAAAGCCACAGTTCCCCCAGAGAATTAAATATAAATAACTCCCGAGCTGGCCTGTTCACAGAAGCTACAGTGTGACATTGAAAGGATGCACACACAGCCGTCTGCTTTGCTCCCAAGTTTTAGATCCTTTTTCCTCAGGAGAGTCCTGGTAGCAGAAACTCTTCCTTGCCCAGGCACATCAGACACAAGGGACCCCAACACCCCTCCGCCAACACTCCTCCAATTCCAACATCCTGAACGTAGATGCCAATCTCTGCCTATGATCTCCTGTCTCTCCACCTCGCCCCTGTCTTCCTGGAGACCTCAGGCTCCCACCCCTCCTGGCTTTCCAAGACCCCCAGACCTCCCTTGACCCCACTAGGCACCCCTAGCCCCCAAGATCCAGGACCGTCAAGCTTCCCAAAGACCTACCAAAAGATGGATGATTCTGAAAACATGCAAAGTTTCCAAATCATGAGGAAAAATAACCTGTTATTAATATAGATTTTGATATTTAATATATCCATTTGTTCATTAGTCAATTTTGTACCCAAAATATTTCATTACATTGAAAAGCCACATGTCAGCTTCCTTGTCACATTGGAAGTGACCTCTCTAAAGCAGGTACAACGTCTGCTGAGGAGTCAGTGCCAATCATCCATTAAACAAGGTCCTCATAGCCAAAAGATTTGCAAAGCAAAACAATAAATATGTACCCACATCTTTGCAGAGCAAACCAGTTTCTGGATGTGAAAAGCGGGTGCACATAAGAAGGTTGATAGGCTGTGAGATGAGGCCTTCAGGAGTAAGACCGCCTGAAATGGGCCAGCTGCTCCCCATCACTGTGCCCTACTCCCAAGACTCCTATTCTCATCTCCTGCCATTTGGCCTTCTTGTCCCATCATTGTCACCCCTGAGTAGACTCCACTCCTGTGAACAAGGCCGGTGCAAAACACCCTGCACCATGCCAAAGACTCCACTACAACCCCAGTGTTGCGCATGATGGACAAAGTGCCTTTTCCATCAACTTCTCAAAGGTGCTGAGCAGTTCTGCAAGAAGGGAACCTGCTTGGCCCTCCTTCCCCCAAACTTACTGGAACAACACTCTTTTCCTTGGACCGCTGGTGTCACTCATACTCAGAAATGGCTCAGCAGATGGCAAGTCATTGAGAACAGACGCACAGCACAAAAGTTTCGCAGGAGGGCACCAGGGAGTGGGGGAGAGTAGAAAGATGAAGTGGGTGCGGAGGAAGAAACTAACACCCCCCCCCGCCCCCGACACACACACACACACACACACACACACACACACACACACACTGTTCTGCAGGAAATAATTAGCAACTGACAAGGAATAGTTGAAGGCAGTCTACCGCTCTCAACGCTGCCCCAGTGGGGTCTTCGTGTGCTGGGCTACACAGACTCACCCAGGCTGTTCTTTGGAAACCCTGGGAAACTTTAAAAGGGTCCCTACCCATCACAGTCCAGGACACGCCTGGGACCAGCCCATTTCCATATCCAACAAGACCCAGATCCTGGTTCCTTCCCTGCCTGTCAGCCAGGACCCGGCCTTCTGTGGGAAGTCCTCTTCCCGGGTTTCCCTCCAGGCCTCCCATCTCACAGGACTGAGAGGAAATTCATTGCTTTCCCCACAGTTTTGCCTTCTGGATTGCCCCTCAATTGCCTGCATCTCCCTCTTCCCTCTCCACTGGATCCTGACTCCCCTCACCTCCTGGCCTCCACCCTGTCCCCCCACCTCTCACCCTACCTTCCTTTTCATTCATTCACTCCCAAACTTCCAGCTTCCTGGGCTCCCCTCCCCTCCACACTGCAACTTCCCTCTGTTGCCATAGAAACCGCCCTGAAAGGTGACAACTGACCTTCCAATTACCCAGAGGCCTGTGCCGGCTGTGCCTCCCCGTCCATTCTTAGATGACCCCCATTCTGCACAGACCCCCCTTCTCACTGCACCTCTCTGAAGGTGAGTTCTGATCCGGGGACAAAGGTGCTGGGGAAACGCGCCTTTGAACTCCAGCGCTGTGCAATTCTGTGTGCTCCGGACTCCAAATCCCCACGTCTCCAGTGATGCCCTGAACCCAGCATGCGCAAGGCCAACATCCTCTGCCCCAACTTCTCCTCCCCCACGGCTTTCTATGTGAGTGGCTGCCCCCTTCATCCACTCTGCCACACAGACTGGAAATCTTGGGGCCACAGCAGCCTCCTCTGGCCCTTCATTCCCTGCAGCCACCCAGTCCCAAGCCCTGTCAACATTTATTCTTCCTGAAACACCCCTGCATTCCTTCCACCGCCTCCTTTGTTCAGGTTCTTATCTCACTCACACACTCTTTTTGTGGTCTCTTAACTGGGGTCGCTGTCTTGTCTCTGCCTTCATCTGGTCTTCAAATCCCACCCTGGATGTATCCTCCCCAAGGTACGTCAGATCTGGCCAAGTACTTCTTGAATTCTTTCCATGATTCTGCGATGCCTTTGGAATAAGATCCAAGAATCCAACCCAGGATTCAGCGCCATCTTTGCTCTAACCCCATTTTCCTTTCTAACCTAATCCCTGGCCGTCCTGTGCCAGCCACACAGACCTGCCCCACCCTATACACCTCAACCCTCACTCCTGGATTCCCCTCAGCCCAAATGCCTGCCCATAGGTCCATGCCCAGCTCAATGCCCCTTCCTCCAAAAACCTTCCTTGGATTCTCCCAATGCTAACCAATCTCAGTTTTTCCCTGTCCTCCCCAGACTCAATGGTTACACTCCATCCTCATTACTCTAAATCCATCTTTGTTATGACGGACTTGGTTATGAATCTGTCTCCCCATGTGAAGGCCTAAGGCCAGGGATGTGTCTTGTCTTCTTCCTTTTTTCTTTTTTGAGATAGGGTCTCACTCTGTCACCCAGGCTGGAGTACAGTGGTGCAATCATGGCTCACTGCAGCCTCAACCTTCTGGGCTCAAGTGATCCTCCCACCTCAGCGTCCTGAGTAGCTGGGACCACAGATGTGCACCACCAAGCTTGGTTAATTTTTGTATTTTTTGAAGAAACAGGGTTTCACTATGTTGCCCAGGCTAGTATTGAACTCCTGGCCTCAAGCGATCCGCCCACCTTAGCCTCCCAAAGTGTTAGGATTACAGGCATGAGCCACTGCATCAAACAGGACTGTGTCTTTTTCACCCTGAACACCCCTTGGGCTCCACAATCATGCTCTGTCCATGGCAGAACTCAGCAGGAAGTAGACATCCCGCAAGAGACAGTACCTCCAACGTGATTGTACAGGCCCAATAAACTAGCCAACTGTCCCAGCCATCAAAAAATATTTAAAAGGCTATAACTTTATTATAGTTGCCAATATGTCCTATTAAATCATTATGATCATAAGCGGGTTTCAAAATGACACAAATAGATTAAAAACAGGTTAAATTAAAAGTAAAATTCAGGATCTTAGTAACCTTAAGGTCACCAGTCGCAGCTCAGTCTATACCCCATCTTGTCTCGTGCTTCTTACTCAACCATGAACCCTTTTCCTGGCCTCTGCTGCCTCCTGAGGCAGGAACACAGCCCCAGAAATGTAGTCTTAGTGGAAGTTAAAATATTGGCGACATACAGAAGAATGGTTGGGAGCAGACCACCTGGTTTTGAATCCTGGCTGTCGTGGGCAAGTTCCCTAACTTCTCCAAGCCTCAGTGTCGCCATCTCTAAACTGGGAGAATAATCGGATTGACCTGAAAGGCAGCTGGAAGGGCTAATTAAGATGAGTATGAAGAAGCCAGGCATGGTGGCTCACGCCTGTAACCCCAGCACTTTGGGAGGCTGAGGTGGGCAGATGGCTTGAGGTCAGGAGTTTGAGGCCAGTCTGGCCAACATGGCAAAAACCCATCTCTACTAAAGATACAACAATTAACCTGGCGTCGTGGTAAACACCTGTAATTCCATTTATTCGGAGGCTGAGGCAAGAGAATCACTTGAACGCGGGAGGTGGAGCTTGCAATGAGCCAAGATCGCGCCACTGCACTCTAGCCTGGGCAACGGAGCGAGACCCCATCTCAAAAAAAAATAAAATGAGTACGCAGAAAGAATGGGGCCATAAGAAGTGATAGTTATGCTGCACTGGACATTCTTGACACCCCAACCTAGCAAAGGAGAAACAGAGATATGTTGTCTCTTGACTATGAGCGCTGGGAGCCAGCATCCTGTGGAGGGCACATTAGCACTCCTAATCCACGTACAAAACCCCTGAGCTCCTGTACCTTCTCCTCCACAGGACCAAAGAATCACGAGATTTAGGGCCAAATATCACCCCCAGCATGCTTGCTCAGGGCAAAGAGAAAGCATTCCCTTGCAGTGGTGGCATCTGCTATGACCACCTTAACCCAGCCAGGGACCCAGCCTCACCCAGGGCAGACAGCCAGGCACACTGAGCTCCCAGCGTCTCCACCTAGGAAGCGTTCTTGCCAAAACTGCTCAAATGAAGTGCAGGCAACACTTTAGACCTCATTTCCAGACACAGAGGGGAGAGCGGGGCAGCTGACAGTAATTGGATAAATCCAGAAGGAAGAACAGTCTACCAGACAACTGACCTGATCTCTTTAAAAAGTCAGTGTCATAGGGGAGAGAAAGGAAGGTGCTGGAAAGAACAGAGGAGCGTTTGAGATTAAATGAGCAAAGAAACATAACCCTCAATTAATCCTTAATTGGATCTTTGTTTGTTTGTTTGTTGGTTTTTAAATAAAAAAAACGTAAGAGACCTTTTGGAGACAAGGAAATTTGAATACGGGGTGGGTATGAGATGGTATTAGGGAATTATTGTTAATTGTGTTCAACTTGATGAGGATTTTGTAGTTATGTAGAAAGTCATCATTATTTTTCTGAATTTCCATGGGAAGAATTCAAGGGTAAAATATTAGTGTCTACAACTTACTCTGAAGCGCCTTGAGGAGGGAAAAAATTATATGTATATCTATATGCATGTATAAAGTCAATATGGCCAAGTGCTAGTAATGATGAGTCTGGGTACTGAATAGAGATATTCACTGCACTCATCTTATAATTTTTCCACTAGCTTGAAAACATTTCATAATAAATAGATATTAGGATCTGGGGGGCCGAGACCCCAGCCCTTGGTCCGCTTGGTAACCCTCCAATCAGAATCTAAGAATGTCAAGTCTCCTCAGAGAGTCGCCTTGCTCCAAAAGAAAGGACTCTGCCACTGCCAGAGCTTCAGCTGCCTGGCATTTACAGTTTTAACTCAACTACATGTTGCTTTGTAGCAGTGGCTGTCCCTGACAACCCACAACTGCCCGAGCACAGACTCGCTCTCAGAAAGAGCTTGCACCTTTCAATGGGGACAATTACATCCTGAGCAATATTTTTAAACAGGAAGCTTAAGCGGCTGTAAATGGTCCAACCAGATCCCTCTTGCTTCCCAGAAAAGGAAGACAGAACATGGGCAGAAGGTATCAGGGCCAACCTTGATCTCTGCCTTTCCTCCATCTTCAGGACCTCAGCATTCCACCAGGAAGGGAGGCAGAGGAGGACGAAGGGCAGTCACAGGTAAACAGTTGGACACAGAGCTGGGTATAGTTGCAGGCTTCAGTGGTGACTGATTAAAAAAATGGGGCTTCTGGGGCTCAAGAAGCTTTGAAGGCCCAGCCGCTTGGCAGCCACTCACTGTAATACCTGATCATAACCTGCAGCCAAGGCTGAATCAGCCCACTGATATTTCTTATTCGACCCTACACACACACACACACACACACACACACACACACACACACACAAAACCTTTTGAGTTGAAATATGACATACATACTAAAGTGCACGGATCAGTTGTACAAACTGAACACTGTCATCAGCCCCCAAAAACAACATGCCCAGCCCCCAACCCCCGCTCCTGTGTCCCTCCCAGTCATTATTCCCAAGGGAATCATCTTCCTGACTTGTATCACTGAGGAGTAGTTTTGCCTGGTTCTGAACTTCCCATACATGGAATCAGGCTGGCTGTGCTCTTTTTGGGTCTGGCGTCTTCCCTCAGCATGCTGACTGGGAGATGCTTCTGCATTGCTGCAAATGGCTGTGGTGCACACATTCTCATTGCCGTGTGATATTCCATGGTGTGGCTCTGCTATGATTAATTTGTCCATTCTCCTGTTAGTGGGCATTCCAATCTGTGGCTGTCATGAAGCAGCACTGTGACAAATCTCCTAACTGGTGAGCATATGTGCACGTCTCTCATGGGCATCCACCTAGGAGCAGAATTGTTGAGTCATCAGAAACACACAGGTTCAGCTCCATGGTGCCTTGTAAATGTCGGAGTTGGTTGGTAACGTTTAGAATTTGAGACATTTAGGCAGGGTGTGGCAGCTCATGCCTGCAATCCCAGCATTTTGGGAGGTCAAGGCAGGCGGATCACTTGAACCCAGGAGTTTGAGACCAGCCTGGCCAACATGGTGAAACCCCATCTCTACTAAAAGTACAAAAAAAATTAGCCTGGCATGGTGGCGCGAACCTTTAGTCCCAGCTACTTGGGTAGCTGAGGTGGGAGGATTGCTTGAGCCTGGGGGGTGGAGTTTGCAGTGAGCCAAGATCATACCACTGCGCTCCAGCCTGGGTGACAGAGCAAGCCCGTCTCGATTACCAGAAAAAAAAAAAAAAAGAATTTGAGAGATTTAGCACAAAGATCAAGATAATATCTCTTCTTTCCAAATGGAAAAACATTGCAACACTAGATCCACATTCCACCTTCATGAGTTGGGGGTTTGGGCTCCCCATTTTGCCAAGCCCCAACCCAGCCTGCCTTGTGTCACTTCCCCAGCTCCTGGAGGCATCATGACTTTGGGACTCTCCGTGGTAAATGATCTGAGTGTGCTTTTACTTCAAGTCTATAATGAAAATTACTTAGTTTCCCCAGTGAGTCCATTCTGAATGATCCTGGGGGCCTCAGGACTGTGCTCATGTTACTCCAGGGCAGTCTGAGGCCTTGAGCAGGAATCAATTGCCCCTGATGTATGCCGGGCACAGTGGCTCACGCCTGTCATCCCAGCACTTTGGGAGGCTGAGGCAGGTGGATCACCTGAGGTCAGGAGTTTGAGACCAGCATGGCCAACATGGCAAGACCCCATCTCTACCAAAAATACAAAAATTAGCCAGACATGGTGGCACACGCTTATAATCCCAGCTACTTAGGAGGCTGAGACAGGAGAATCACTTGAACCTGGGAGGCAGAGGGTGCAGTGAGCCGAGATTTCTCCACTGCACTCCAGCCTAATTTCCCCTGATGTGGTGTAACAGAAGCTGAAACAGCTGAGGGCAGGTCAGGGCCACCCCGCCCCCCCACCGCCCCACCCCGCCATCTGATGCTATCTACTCAGTACCTCCTCCACCTTCCTCCTGTTTATTCCAGTTCCTCTCTCAACCTCTAGCCACACAGATGGCCCCTATTTACACTCTCATCACCTCCAACCTGGCCTGATACATAATCTCTTTCTTCCAGGCTGTCTCCTTCTCAGGATGCCTTTTAATTTCACTTAAGCAACATAAAATGATACAGAGAGAGAAAAGGAAATTTCCCTCTCACCTCCTCTCCCAAGCCCCTCAGTTTCCCTCCCCAGAGGCAACCACCATTTCTAATTTCTTAACCATTTTTCAGAAATCAAATGAACTCACACACTACCCTTGTCTATTTTGACGCAGGCTGGTGCATACAATGAGGTCTGTTCTGCAGCTTGCTCTGTGTGTCTTGCTGGGCCTTGACGGCGGTGTGTATAGATTCTCCTGATTCTTTTGAACAGCTGCAGTTTTCTCTTGCCTTTATGACCATCATTTATTTAGCCAGTCCCTTAATGAGGGATATTTTGGTCATTTCCAACCCACCACTATCACAAACAACACTGTAATGTTATATACGTCTTTGTACACATGAGCAAGTATAGCTGCAAAATAAATCCCTAGACCTGTGACTGCAGGTCAGAGGAGGTCTGCATCTCTTACTTTGATCAATCGCGCCAAATTGCCCTTTAAAAGGACTGCACCCATTTACACTGCCTCCAGCAATATCTAAGCAGCTCAAATGAGCTCTTGAAAATGCCTATCTGATCACGATCCTCCTAATTGAAAGCCACCCGTCCCCATCTCTGACTGCACGGCAGAATTCCGAAGAGACATCAAAGCAACCCTATAAGTAAGGCCCCAACCCCTGAGGTTCTGACTGAGTTAAGATGTGGCCCAGTCATTGGAGATTTTTTTAAGCTCCCCAGGTGATTCTAGAATGTTCCAGGGTAGCGAACCACAGCTATAAATTCACTAGGGGTTCCCCATGCCTATTCCCACCACATAAAGTCCACGCTCCTCAGCAAAATAGAGAAGGCCTTTCATTTTCTGATGCCCACCTGCCTCTCTGCCCTTCTTCTTCGTACTTGCCACTTCATGTCCAACTCTCTGGTCCTGCCGAATCCGTTTCAGCTTCCCAGAAGCACCGTGTTCTCCAGCTCATCTGCCTTGACTCAACCTGCCCCTTCTGCCAGTACCCGCTTCTCCACCTTGCTAGCTGCTGCTCACCCCCCAAGGTTTGATTAACCAGGGATTCTATCTTTAGGAGCATCCGCTGACCTTCCTGGGGAGCAACAGTCACAGTGATGTACTAGGGGCCACAGGCACAGGCTTGCGAGAGCCGATCCTTAGCATCTCTTCCCAACTCCCTGTTCAACGATGCTGTTGTTGGCTCGACACTGGCCATGACAGGGGTACTTACGCCACAGCAACTGGCAACCACCACGCGTCAGGAGCTTTTTTCTTTCCCCCAGAAAGCCAGCTATTATCAATTAATATCACGCAGGTGTTACAAAGCTCCTCTGCACGCTCATGGCAGCCTGGGATTTCATCGACTGCAGCTCCTCTCATGCTGTTATCAGGAGACTTTCAGACCCTGTAATAATAGATAGCACTGAAGATGGTGAAAATAATAATGGCTAGCACTTACTGAGTATATGTGTGTGCCGGACACTGAAATGAAGGCCTTACGTGCATGTGTTCATTTGCTCCTTACGACAACCCTGAGAGGCGAGGACTATCCTGACCTCTGCTGTCCCAAGGCACAGAGAGGAAAGGTGACTTGCCTGAGGTCACACAGCCAGTGAGCAACATAGCCATGACAGTTGATGGTCAATGTATGTCCTGTGGAGGGAGGGATCCTAACTTCTGCAAGCAGGTGCTGGGTGGCCTGGCTAGATAGACAAGGCAGGGCCTTATCCTCAGCAAATTGCAAATATCCTTGATGGTTTGTGACTGGCCTATCCCCTCCTTCAGGCAGGAATGTATTAGTTAGCTATGGCTGCTATAACAAAAGCCATCAACTTAGTGGCTTAAAATAATGCAAATTTAATATCTTACAGTTCTGGAGGCCAGAAGTCTAAAATGAGTCTTACGGCGCTAAAATCCAGGTATCTGCAGGGCCATGTTCCCTCCTGGAGGCTCCAGGGGAGAATTTATTCATTGTCTTTTCCAGCTTTTAGAGGTCACCTGCATTCCCTGGCTCATTGCCCCTTTCTCCATCTTCAAAGCCAGCAGTGTCTGATTGAGTGCTTCCTCACATCACTCTCTCACACTCTCTTTTCTGCCTCCCTCTTCCACATTTAAGGACCCATGACGACATTGGGCCCACCTGCTGAATTCAGGATACTCTCACTACTTAAGATCAGCTGATGAGCACCCTTAATTCCATCTGCAACCTTAATTCCCCTTTGCCATGTCAAGTAACACACGTGCAGCTTCAGGAACTGGGACATAGACATCTTCTGAGGCTGATATTCTGCCTCTCACAGGGCTCCCCCTTTTCTTGCTCCATTTTGTGGGACAAAGACAACTCCCTCTTCTGAAGGACACTTCAAGAAAGAGCCAGGCCTTGGTGACATCTGACTAAGAAGGTAAGAGCTAGATGTGATCACATCCACCAATTTGGGGACTTGGGGTCCTCCTACCAAAACAGTACAGAGAGATATGCTCAGTCTAATTTTGATGATGATGATGGTTGAGGTATTAGGTACAGCAGGGCGAGTTCTATGGGCTTTACAGAAGTTAACTCTGGGTCAATGGGAACTCTTCTTCTTCCTGTGGCTTCCTCTGCTACTCCTCCTCACCCATAGCCCAATGCAGCCACCAGCCCCACTTCTACATGATGTTACAAGGCCAGCACCCACTACCATGCCAAAGTCTCCATGTCTTTGGGTCCAAATTCTCAGGAGAGAGAGAGAGCAAATTTGATTGGTTCATCTCAGCCTATGGGTGAAGCCCTCTTAGGGTAGGTGTCCTTCCTTTGTCTGATTGGACAAAAAAATCTTGGTTCTATCTGATTGGCTGGGGCCAGGAGGCGGTGTACTGGCTATAAATACATCTGTGATAGGCAGAATAATGCCCCCCCAACCCTGCAAAATGCCCATGCAACCTGTAAATATGGAAATAAGTTCCTTTGCATGGCAAAAGGGACTTTGCAGTTGTGATTAAGAATCTTAAGACTGGAAGACAATCCCAAATTATCCAGGGGGCTCAATGTAATCACAAGTGTCCTTACAAGGGAAAGAGGAGGAGGAGAATCAGAGATGGAGATAAGAGCACAGAAGCAGAGGTCGGAGCGATGTAACTGCAGGCTTTGAAGATGGAGAAGGGGCCACAAGTCAGGGGATGCAGGAGGCCTCTAGGAGCTGGAGAGGGTACGGAAACGGAGTCTGCCCTAGAGCCTCCGGAAAAATCCCAGTCCTGCCAACACCTTGACTTTATCCCTGTAAGACCCCTTTTAGACTTCTGGCCTCCAGAACTGTAAGAGAATACATTTGCTTTTTTTTTTTTTTTTTTTTTTCTGAGAAGGAGTCTAGCTCTGTCACCAGGCTGGAGTGCAGTGGCGTGATCTCGGCTCACTGCAACCTCCGCCTCCTGGGTTCAAGTGATTCTCCTGCCTCAGCCTCCCAAGTAGCTGGGATTACAGGCACGCACCGCCACACCCAGCTAATTTTTGTATTTTTAGTAGAGACGAGGTTTCACCATGTTGTCCAGGATAGTCTCGATCTCCTGACCTCGTGATCCACCCACCTTGGCCTCCCAAAGTGCTGAGATTACAGGCAGAAACCACCGCACCCAACCAAATTTGCATTATTTAAAGCTTCTACATTGGTGTTATTTATTACTGCAGCCATAAGAAGCTCACACGTAGTCACTATGGCTCATCCCTTGATCAGAAAAATGTGGCAGAAGACATCTGGGTGGGGCATTTCTACGTATGCCTCGAGTTCCAGGCTTCCAGGACGCCAGGAGGATGGGAGATGGGTTACTGGCCCTGATTAGCTGAGGTCAAGTGTCCATACCCGGGAGGGACACTGGGTACAAGAAGACAGTAGCACTAAGCCAAAAGGTGGCTGGGACTTCACAAAGACCTGAAGAAGGGCTTAGTGGATGCCCTGGGGAAAGGGCTGACGGGACTGAACACCAGGCTGAGGGAAAAGTCCTACAACCTGGGCAAAGTGTATTGACAGAAGGCACTGAGCTGTGGAAAGAGCACTGGACTGTGAGTCCACACTGAGCCTGGCAGTGCCATCCACTGGCTGGGAGGGCTCAGGCAGGGCTCTCCCCTTCACTGGGTCTGAGTTCCTCTATAGGTAAAATGAGGGACCTGCACTAGGTCAGTAAATCAAGCCTTCTTTTAGAAAAGTTTTTGAACAGCAGACTCCTGTATTTACCTAAATCTTTCTTGGGTAATTTGGGGAAAAAAAATTGCTAAGATGGTAATCATAGCCGGGCACGGTAGCTCACACCTGTAATCCCAGCACTTTGGGAGGCAGAGGCAGGTGGATCACTTGAAGCCAGGAGATCAAGACCAGCCTGGCCAACATGGGGAAACCCTGTCTTTACTAAAAAAACAAAAATTAGCTGGGTATGGTGGCAGGTGCCTGTAATCCCAGCTACTCAGGAGGCTGAGGATCAAGAATTGCTCGAACCCGGAGACGGAGGCTCCAGTGAACCAAGATCTTGCCACTTCACTCCAGCCTGGGCAACAGAGCGAGACTCCATCTCAAAAAAAAAAAAAAAAAAAAAAAAGATAATCATAATAATAGCAAGCATTTGAATAGATAGGACTCACTTTTGTGACAGGCAGTCTTCTAAGAGCCTTATCAATGTAAATTGATTTGTTCAAAACTCACAACAAATCGATAGATGCTGTCATCTTCAGGTCACAGACAAAAAAATTTAAGGCACAGAGAGGTTAAGAAATTTGCTCAAGGTCACCCAGCAGGGAATTGGTAAATTCTTGATTTGAACCCATATACTCAGGATCCAGAGAGAACTGAGAGGAATGGGGATAAGTTAGGGGAGATTTAACCAGAAAGGCTAAATCCAGACAAATAAGAAACAGCTGAGAGAGGTGGGGAGACAGCTGGGGTAGGAGGAGGAATCATGAGCTGGAAAGACAATTCTGAAGACTCTTCTAAGAGCACCATTGGAGCAGCTGTGGGGTCTGAGGAACACGGGAGTCAGTGGAAGGAGGGAAGGAAACTTCTCCATTACTGGCAGGTGCTCTGGGATCTCTTTGAGTGGCTCTGTGTGGACACTGGACCATGCTGGGCCACAGCCTTTATTGGGGTTACACTTACAGTCTTATGGAGACAGATCAGAGTGCAGCTGCCATGGCTGAGGTAGCAGGTCCAGGGGTTCATCCTCCCCGTTGTCACTGCCCCAGGCCAGGCCCCTCAATCATTTCTGCAGAGCCCTAAGGCTTCAAGCAATACCATTTGAAAACCGCAATACCAGATGGACCTCCATTCAGTCAGTTCTCTTCTCTGCTTGGATTCGTTCCCATTGCCAAGGCCACAGAGAGCCCACCTAGGTCAGCAGCACCTGTCATCCCCTTGCAGGCAGCTGTGGAAGGCTCACCCTCTAATCTCCCTCACTCCTGGATCCTCCCATCAAAACTCAAGCGTCTGTTAAGTGATGGTTCTTTTTTTTTTTTTTTTTTTTTGAGACAGAGTCTCACTTTGTCACCCAGGCTGGAGTGTAGTGGCGCGACCTCAGCTCACTGCAACCTCCGCCTCCCGGATTCAAGCAATTCTCCTGCCTCAGCCTCCCGAGTAGCTGGGATTACAGGCACCCGCCACCATGCCCAGCTAATTTTTGTATTTTTAGTAGAGACAGGGTTTCAGTACGTTGGCCAGGCTGGTCTCAAACTCCTGACCTTGTGATCTGCCCGCCTCCGCCTCCAAAGTTCTGGGATGACAGCTGTGAGCCACCACACCCGGCCTAAGTGATGGTTCTAACCAGCAAGATGACCTTGAGCAAGCCTCTTCTCAGGGCCTCAACTATCAAATGCAGTGAAGATAACACATTCAGAAGCCAAGAGCCTGGGCTGCAAAACCTCTTAAGAAAGTGAAGAACAGTCAACGTGTAGTGAGCAACTACAAGATGCTGGTTTTACAATTGCAGCCATCGCTGGTTTCACTGTCCTCATTTGACTGAGAAACCCAAGGCCCAGAGAGGGGAAGTGACTGACCAAGAACACACAGCCAGGCAGTGCAGAGTCCAAGTTCACACCCAGGCCCTGGACTGATGCCTCTTCCTTTTCACCCACCCAACCATCCAACCAGCACAGGAGCTTGCACTTATGGTTCTGACCTTCCCTGAACCCTCTCTCATTCCCATGTTTTAGAGACAAGACAATTGAGGCTCAGAAGCACTAACTCACCTGGCCAAGGTCACCCAGCCTTTCACATAGGAGCCAGGATCCAGGCATGTGTGTGAATTCCAAGCTCGGAGCTCTTCCTATTGCTGTTCTGTAACACAGCCCCCCTGACTCCCACCCAGCGCTCAGAGCCTGGGCTTCTGTCTGAACCTGTCCCAGGCCTGGGCTGCTTAAAAGCAGCAAAAAGTTCCTCCTGCAGCTTCAACTTGAGCCTGTCACCATCATCAGCATACCCCGAGAGACTCTGGGGTGCCTGGGACAGGTAGCTGCAGATGCCTCCGGCCCCAAGTTGCCCTCTGCTCCTCCCGAGTTGTGCTCCTCCATGCCAGAGGAGGGAGGACAGCTCCCCTTGCCTCCTAGGCGGTTGGCAGAGTGGCAGCGGCTGCTGCTTCTTCCTGCTGCTGGCTGATGGAGAGATTATTTCTAAGCCCTTCCCATTCCACACCCCCCCACACTGGCTGTCCCCGTGGGACTTGAAGTGCAGAGTCCGCTGCTCAACCAGGACAGCTGCCCTGGCTCCCTCCCAGCAAGAACCCCCAGACCCTCATCTCTCATAAGGAAAGGGACTTCTGGGTCCTTTAAAAAAAAAAAAAAATCCCACCTCAATCCCCCAGGGCTCTCCTGCAGCTGCTGGAGAGAGAGATGCAGAATGAATGAACTTCTGGTTTCTGGAGGAGGCACGGGAAGAAAGATTGGAAACTGACTCTGCTAGAAACTGCTGTTTTGGGGATTTTTTTCTTCCCCTTCATCTCCACCAGAAACCTGTCCCTTCCCTGGGCACCAAGAGATGGGCTCCCCTTGCCTGGCAGAGAAACAGCTGGAAACTGGCTCCCTGAGACAAGAAGGTGAGTTAAACTGGAGGGGAAGAGTTACTGCTTGCTGTAGGGTGGGCGGGGGCCAGGGGGAAGTTGACGCTGTTAGACATCCTTGGCAAAAGTGCTGGTTTGAGTGAATTCCTTTCCCGTGCTCCAGAAGGAGCTGTTTGCCAGCTGTTTGGAGAGCCGTAGATGGCAAAATTGGGTTTATTCAGTGAATGCAGAAAGGGCAGTTTTCAGGTTCTGGAAGGAGCCCCAGGCTGGGGGACAGAGTGCTGGGTTGGATTCGGATTTGCTGTGTGACCTTGGACAAGTTACTTCCGCTCGCTGGGTCTTGGTTTTTGCACTGGGAAAATGAGGAAGCTTGCAAAGGGCTCCCCAGATTTCAAAATACTCTTCTCTCTGCAGGCTCCTCATCCTCCTCTGGCCATTCCCTGTGAGCAAAGTAATGCATTCAGAGCAACAGAATGTTGTGTAGGGAGCAAGAGTGTGAAATAGGTTACGATTCACTCTCCACTATCCACCGGAATCCAACCGGCTCTGAAATTGAGAGGAACTTTGATTTCCGTTCCACTGCCGAGTTTTTCTCTTGATTGGAGTGGAGTGCATCTGAAAATGTAAGCTTATAGATGCTTTGGAAATGGCTTTGGCTAGAATGAATAGCATAAGAAATGGTTGCAGGATCTGAAGGTGAGAAATATTATGAAAAGGACTTTTTAAATATGTGAAGTGGCTAAATCTAAAACACTCACACTAAGTCAAGCACCTCATATAGGTCTGAAATGGAGACAGCATTAGAGGCCCCGTCATTTTTTTTTGTTTTTTTCTTTTTGAGATGGAGTCTCGCTCTGTTGTCCAGGCTGGAGTGCAATGGCGCAATCTCGGCTTACTGCAGCCTCCGCCTCCCGGGTTCAAGCGATTCTCCTGCCTCAGCCTCCCGAGTAGCTGGGACTACAGGTACATGCCACCTTGCCTAGCTAATTTTTGTATTTTTAGTAGATACAGGGTTTCATTGGCCAGGCTGGTCTCGAACTCCTGACCTCAGATGATCTGCCTGCCTCTGCCTCGCAAAGTGCTGGGATTACAGGCATGAACCACTGCGGCTGGAGGCCCCTTCATTCTGCACATAAAAGCCTGCGGGCCCAGAGAGGGGGAGTAACTGGCTGGAGGTCACACAGCAAGGATGGCTGAGGCAAGCACGCAACGAACATGGAGGAGTACTGTGATTGCAAGTACGCAATGCTCCTCCGTCCCCTTAGCAAAGGCCTCCCCAAATGGGGAAGCGACCAAGAGGGATTAAGCGAGACTGGTGGAGTTCCTCCTGAGACCTAGATGCTTGGATGCTCGCTAAGCATAGTCACATTCCTGGGCTACTCGAACCTTTAATAACAGACCCTCGCTGAACCTTCCTGATGTCAGGTGCTTGCTAAACAGTAGGCAAGACACGCAAACCTTCCGTGCGTCAGCCTCCTTATCTATAAAGTGGAGCTCTTATGTCTACTTCATGAGGTTGTTGAGGTGAGTTAGGGGAAGCCAGGCATGTCAGAAGCATCTAGAAGTATTATTAATACACACTTTCTTGTATATTACTGCATATAACCCTTGCCATGCCCTACGATGTGGGCACTCAGACTGCCCCAGTCATACAGATAAAGCAAAGGACTCAGAGACACTGAGTAACCCACCTGTGCTGGCAGTCTGTAAGGGATCGGTCCCTGCCAGTGAACCTGAGAGCCTACATTCTTAAGCTCTATTTTTACTACCTGTACCTTGCAAGATTAGTATGAGTCTTGTCATTTGAATGAATGATGCTGAGATCAGAGAGGTTAAGCCACATACCTGAGACCACAGAGCCCAGAAGTGGCACCGCTCCGACTTGTCCAGCTCAGGACTGAATTACTCAAGCCCCCATCCGTGCAACGTCTATTCTGGAGACATCCTTCTGAGATGTCGGTAGAGGTTCCACCAGGGAAGGGTTTTTTTCACTGATGTATCCCAAGCACATAGTAGGTGCTCAATAAATATGTGTTGAACTAAAGGTTAAAAGAACAAGCCATGCAGATGCAGTCACAGGAAAGCACACGTAAGAACATCTGCAGTCGTGACATCCAGGACTCTTTGCCCCAAGACTGATTTCCCTTCCTTTTGCTTGCTCTTTGTCCCTTGGGTGTCAGACTGGTAAACCCAGCGCTTCCTACCTGGTGGTCTTCAGCAATGCCCATGCCTTCCAGAGACGGGGGCCTGCATCCCAGACACCACCACTATGGTTCCCACAGCCCTTGGAGTCAGCTCCTGTCCAGCCCCATGGAGACGCCGTCCATCAAGGGCCTTTACTACCGGAGGGTGCGGAAGGTGGGTGCCCTGGACGCCTCCCCAGTGGACCTGAAGAAGGAGATCCTGATCAACGTGGGGGGCAGGAGGTATCTCCTCCCCTGGAGCACACTGGACCGGTTCCCGCTGAGCCGCCTGAGCAAACTCAGGCTCTGTCGGAGCTACGAGGAGATCGTGCAGCTCTGCGATGATTACGACGAGGACAGCCAGGAGTTCTTCTTCGACAGGAGCCCCAGCGCCTTCGGGGTGATCGTGAGCTTCCTGGCGGCCGGGAAGCTGGTGCTTCTGCAGGAGATGTGCGCGCTGTCCTTCCAGGAGGAGCTGGCCTACTGGGGCATCGAGGAGGCCCACCTGGAGAGGTGCTGCCTGCGGAAGCTGCTGAGGAAGCTGGAGGAGCTGGAGGAGCTGGCCAAGCTGCACAGGGAGGACGTACTGAGGCAGCAGAGGGAGACCCGCCGCCCCGCCTCGCACTCCTCGCGCTGGGGCCTGTGCATGAACCGGCTGCGCGAGATGGTGGAAAACCCGCAGTCCGGGCTGCCCGGGAAGGTCTTCGCTTGCCTCTCCATCCTCTTCGTGGCCACCACAGCCGTCAGCCTGTGTGTCAGCACCATGCCCGACCTCAGGGCAGAGGAGGACCAGGTGAGCGGCCTCTGATGGCATTCACGGCTCCATCCCGCAGGGTGCCTGGGCGGAGATGTCTTTTAGGGGCCCAAGAAAATGTCTTCAGATCTTAAAATAAGAAGAAAAAAATGAATATTATCCAACATGGGTTATATTCATTATTAGGCCATCAGTCATAAAAGATAATTTTCCATCTTTTTTTTTTTTATTGGAGTCCTGCAAAGGCAAAAGTGCCTAAGGCTCACCGTGAAAATCATTACGTGGCCCTCAGCCATGCGTGGACTCAGTGGGCCACACAGACACAGTGTCACCTCTCCCAGCTCTCCCGAGTCTGTGACTACAGGCAAATCACGCCACCTCCTCTCTGAGCCTGTCTCCCACTCCGTGAAATGGGTAACATCACCTCGAAGGTTTACTCACCCAGTGAACTCAACATGTGTTTACTGAACACCACTCTGTGCTAAGCCCTAGAGCAGGTCAAAAACATAAAATCCCTGCCTTCTTGAGCTAACATTCTCCTGGGCATCCCCACTCCATTTTCAGATGAGGAAACTGAGGCATGGGCCATTTATTTTCCTCGGAGCTCCACAGTAAGGATGCCAATGATGCAAAGGTCCCCGGCCTCAGTTTCCCTGCAGTGCTCAGTGTCTGGGCCAGTCTCACTGGATGGGAAACTCACAGATGAGCTGATCTGTAAGTCACTCTGCCCCAGGAGGCCAGAGTAAAAAGTGCTGCTTGCCCACACCTTCGTCCCCTTTGCAGGGAGTTACAGGAGACCCCGAGACACCCTCCCTCCACTCGGGAGCCAGATGGTCTGAGAAGTGAAATAAGAACCTAGCATTTGGTTGAGAGGGTTATTGGAAAGCTTCAAACAGAGAATTAGATTGTTTCCTGATTTAAAAAATCACTCCTCTCCAGCACCGAGCTCCCCCAGGGCTGCCCATCATCTTAATGTTTGGAGCTTGCCTTGTAATCAACAGAGAGAGAAACTAAACACATACGTAAGATGGTGCTTGCTCTATTTGGCTCCTAACAGTTGCCAGCCCACCTAAGTTCTCTTCGCTTAAAGATATGTCCCAGGGCAAGACAACAGGATCAGAGAACTTGCCAGATAGAAAAGACTTAAATGGAGAACCAGCCCATGCCTCACAGACAGTAGGATCCCAGTAAATATGGGTTGAATAAAATGTGTCTTGTCCAACCTACAAAAGTTTGGCCCTAAAAAAACCCACAAAATATTTGGACCTTTAAACAGCTTGTTTTCCCATGGAGAAGATGACAATGCCAATCATAGGCATTTTTTCATTCTACAGCATAAAAACATGAGATTTAAGAGCCTGCTTGTTCACAGAAATATTTATGTGTGGACTCTGCAGTACAAAGATTAAGACAAAACAAGTGACCTCCCTACCCCATTTCTTAAGGGTGCCCTGATCCCAGTTAATAAAGAAAGGCCCCTGGATGCTCACAAGCCTGTTCCTCTTACAGATTTCCAGAGAAGGGAGAAATTGTGTAGGAGCCAGGATTTCGGTTGCGCAGACGGCCAAGATCTTTTCAAAACCTAATGCTTTGAAAATTACGCAGGGTATGAACCCAGGCCTGGCTTAACAGTGACTCAGGAAATCAAATTAGAGGGGAGAGGTGGGCCCGCAGACCTGCGCAGCCAAAGTTTCAGCCGAGGATCAGGCAGCCACGTCTCCTCCTGGGACAAGAGAGATTTATGCCCGGGCCCAGCCACAATATCTTTATGCTTTCTCCTTAGTGAAAGCATCTTTGTGTGTGTGCCCAGAGACAGGCTGAGGTGCTGCCCAGAGAGTGTCTGTGTTTCCGTTTAGATAATAATTCAGAGAGCAGGGAGGCTGAGGACGGGGCAGTCTTTGTTCTCCCAAGACGGTGACCTTACATTTACGTAAAAGGATGATGTCCTCTTCCTGGACACACGTGCTTTGTATTCCTTATTTGCCCTCAGGGAATGTCAATCTGAGAGGGACCAGCTGCTTCTGGGGACAGGCAGTGCCCATTGAGTTTGGGGCCAGTGTCCTGTAAATTGACCCTGATACCATCCACGCTGAAGAATTAATGTCACGATGGGTGGGGGAACAGATCCCAGGGCTATAACCCACAGAACTCTTCCATCAGAAACAGAAACAATGGATGGACATTTGCTGTAAGCAGTTTCTGTTTTTCTACCTTCTCATAGCAACGTCCGTTGGCATAAACCTGATAGTGGGGTAAAAGGTCTGTGCCAGAGATTGCAAATTACAATGGAGGCTGGGTGCAGTGGCTCACGCCTGTAAGCTCAGCACTCTGGGAAGCCGAGGTGGGTGGATCTCCTGAGGTCAGGAGTTTGAGATCAGCCTGGCCAACACGGTAAAACTCCATCTCTACTAAAAAAAAACAAAAAAAAATTAGCCAGGTGTGGTGGCTTGTGCCTGTAATCCCAGCTACTTGGGAGGCTGAGGCAGGAGAATCGCTTGAACCCGGAGGTGGAGGTTGCAGTGAGCCAAGATTGTGCCACTGCACTCCAGCCTGGGCAACAAGAGCAAAACTCCATCTCAAAAAAAATTACAGTGGAGAAGGGAAGAGGCAGTGTAGACAGGAAGGACCAAGCCAGCACCTGAGCTCTTCTAAGGGGCACCGGATTTTAAAGTTCCGGATTTCCCAGGGGGGACTCTTCCCCAAAAGGATGAAAGAACCGATGCCTCCTAAGTGCCGCTCGTGAGGCTGGCATTTCACACCGTGGACTGATTTCATCCCTGTGGCAGCATAGGGAAGTGAATACCACTTCTACCCCCATTTTACAGATGAGGAAACCGAGGCTCAGAGAGGTTTTATCACTTTCTTAAGCTCACAGTAAGGCAGAGCTAAGATTTGAACTCACCTCTGATTGGCTCTAAAATCCGACCCCCTATGACTACACAACACTGATACCATCTTTCTTTCCTTTCCTTTTCTTTTGTTTTCTTTCTTCCTACCCTCGTTTTATTTTTCTTCCCTTCTTTCCTTCTCTTTCTTTCTCTCTCTCTTTCTTTTTTTAAATTTGAGACAGGATCTCACTTTATCACCAAGCTAGTGTGCAGTGGCATGATCTTGGCAGCTCACTACAGCCTGCATCTCCTGGGCTCAAGTGATCCTCCCACCTCAACCCCCCAGGTAGCTGGGACTACAGGTGGGTGTCACCACACCCAGCTAATTTTTTGTATTTTTTGTAAAGACAGGGTTTCCCCATGTTGCCCAGGCTGGTCTCAAACTCCTGAGTTCAAGCGATCTGCCTGCCTTGGCCTCTCAAACTGCCAGGATTACAAGCATGAACCACCGTGCCCAGCCCTAACTTTCAATTCTGGGCCACTTCGCCTCTAGTCTAGAACCTCAGCCTCAGGGCCATTTTGTGCTTCTAAGGCAGCCAGACTTTGTAAAACAGCTCTCAGGCCAGCATGATGGTGCGAAGGCCAGATGTCCTGGGTTTCAATCTTGGCCTCACCCATGACTAACCCAGTGATCTTGGGAAAGTCACTTAACCTCCTTGAGCCTCAGTTTCCTCCTCTATGAAATGGGGGTGCTCTAAGCACTTCCCTCAAGGGGTCATGTGGTGCATAAAGCAGCTGGGACAGGCCGAAACACGGAGGTGCTCAGCGAAAGTCCGTCATACTGATCATCATTCATTCATTCATTCATTCATTCAGTAGTAGTTAACAGGAAACCAAACATTCATCCTTTACCATCCTTCAACAACAGTCATTGACTGCCTACTAAAGTCCATTCTTCTGGGTGCTGGAGAGAAGACAAATTTCTGATTTCCTTGGAGCTTAGATTCTGAGCAGCCCTGCTCTATTTTTTTTTTTTTTTTTTTTGATAGGGTTTCACTCTGTCCCCCAGGCTGGAGTACAGTGGCACAATCTCAGCTCACTGCAGCCTCTGACTCACAGGTTCAAGCAATCCTCCCGCCTCAGCCTCCTGAGCAGCTGGGACCACAGGCAGGCATCATCACGCCTGGCTAATTTTTGTACATTTTGTAGAGATGGGTTTCACCATGTGGGCCAGGCTGGTCTCGAACTCCTGAGCTCAAGTGAGTCTCCCACCTCGGCCTCCCAAAGCGTTGGGATTATAGGCGTGAGTCACTGCACCCCAGCCCCCTGCTTCATTTTTCTGAGTTGACATTTACATAACATGAAATTGAGCAACTTAAAGGGAACAATTTAGTGGCATTTAGTACAATCACAATCTTCTGCAGCCACCATCACCTCTGTCTAGTTCCAAAGCTTTTTCTCAGCATTCCAAAAGAAAACCCTGTCCCAACTAGGCAGTCTCTCCTCCTTCCTCTCCCACCAGCCCCTGGCAATCACCCATCTGCTTTCTATCTCCATGAATTAGCCTATTCTGGACATTTCATAGAAACAGAATCGTGCCAGGTGTGGTCTTCTGTGACTGGCTTCCTGCTCCAGCATCATGTCTTCAAGGTCCATGCACTGTGCCATGCGTCAGACCTTCATTCCTCTTCATGGCCGAATACTATTCCACTGTATGTATATGCCACTATTGGTTTATCCATCTAGCACTGATGGCCTGCTCCATGTTGATAGCTGAAGATAGAAAGACACGTTCCAAAGACCGACCCCCACCTCCAAGGAACAAGATGGATTTGAGACATGAAGCCAAGATTCTGTTCCCATGGCTGCCATACAGACCCCTTTCAATAGGCAGGATTCGAGATCTAGTCCTGACTCTTTTTTTTTTTTTTTTTTTGAGATGGAGTTTTGCTTTTGTTACCCAGGTTGGAGTGCAGTGGTGTGATCTCAGCTCACTGCAACCTCCTCCTCCCGGGTTCAAACAATTCTCCTGCCTCAGCCTCCCACGTAGCTGGGATTATAGGCACCCAACACCATCCCCAGCACATTTTTGTATTTTTAGTAGAGATGAGGTTTCACCATTTTGCCCAGTCTGGTCTCGAACTCCTGACCTCAGGTGATCCGCCCTCCTCTGCCTCCCAAAGTGCTGAGATTACAAGCTTGAGCCACCACGCCCGACCCCGACTCTCACTTGAATGCACTGGGAGATCCAGGGCAGGTCACGTCTACCCCTGGACCTCAACCTTCTGCTGGTAAAATGATGGTCTGGACTTGTCATTTTACAGGCTGACTGGTCCCTAGTGCCCTTCCAGCCCTGGGCACCTGCAGCCTCATGTCCTGGTCTGTTTGCTGCAGTTTCCCAGGTTCTTCCTTTCCCTCTGCCTTCATTGTCCTCCCTGCCATGCATCCCTCGCACCCTCTCCATGTGGCCTCAGCCCTGGCCGGGCAGCTCTGCCTTTCCCTCCCTCCTGGCAGCCTGAACACCACTGGCCACCTGCAGTGGACTGTCTTTCTTCCTCTTTCCTGCTACTAAGACATCCCAACCACTGCAGATAGTATCAGGTCAGGGTAAGGGCCAGCATCTTTAGTTTGCTCGTCCTGGGTTGAGTCCCAGCTCTCCCACTCCCTGGCTCTGCCCTTGGACAAGTCCTTTTCTTTCTCTGTGCCTCTATTTCCTCACCCAGCAAAGAGGACAATCATAACACTATTCAGAGGGCGGTGCTGAGGACTGAACGAGAACCTGTATATCAGGGGCCAGCACAGAGTGGACGCTTGTTGTTCTGCTCCCCCTTGGGGCTGGGCTCACACCCCTGGACCTGCTCTGCTGCTCTGCTCACCAGCCTCCATCCCTGGCTCCCTCCAACCTAATAGCAATGGCCAAGTCAGGGGCCGGTGGCTCAAATGTCCTCTCCATCCCCTTCCAGTGTCTGCCCTCATTCCTCCTCTGCTCCGGCTGTCAGCGCGTCTTTTCTGAGAGCCTGCTCTGGCTGGAGACCCGGTGGGAGAAGCAGGCGAACTCGCCACGCGCAGGACCAGCCCTGCCGGCCTTCCCACTGTTCTCCTCCCATCTTGGGTGCTACGCCTGCCCCACAGCATTGCCTGGGGCTTTCAGGGATATTGTCAGAGGGACATGCACACCCTATGGCAACCAAGTAAGGTGCCCTTGGTGATGTCTCTGCAGAACCATGGTGGGCTTAGGGAGCAGAACTGCACGGGCTCTTTGGTCCTCGCCTTCCCTCTCATCCTGGACTGTAGACATTTCAGTGTCTTACTAAGGTGGAGGGCAGGGGAAGGAAGGCACAGAGAGAGTTTTCTTTGTTTGTTTATTTTGAGACGGAGTCTTGCTCTGTCACCCAGGCTGGAGTGCAGTGGTGCGATCTTGGCTCACTGTAAGCTCTGCCCCCCGGGTTCACGCCATTCTCCTGCCTCAGCCTCCTGAGTAGCTGCGACTACAGGCGCCCACCACCATGCCTGGCTTTTTTTTTTTTTTTTTTTTTTTGAGATGAAGTCTCACTGTCACCCAGGCTGGAGTGCAGTGGCGCGATATCAACTTACTGCAACGTCTGCCTCCTGAGTTCAAGCGATTCTCCTGCCTCAGCCTCCCGAGTAGCTGGAACTACAGGCGCCCACCACCATGCCCAGCTAATTTTTGTATTTTTAGTAGAGACGGGGTTTCGCCATGTTGGCCAGGCTGGTTTCGAACTCCTGACCTCAGGTGATCCACTAGCCTTCGCCTCCCAAAGTGCTGGGATTATAGGCCTGAGCCACTATGCCTGGCCCACAGAGAGAGATTTTTCAAAGACCAGGCGGGACTCTTGGGGCCTCCTCCCCGGGATGCAGCTCACCTTTTGGGGTGCCATTTCCACCTCCCTGCCTCCTCACCCTTTAGTAAGAGGCCCTGTACAAGAGCCAGCTCCTGCCTCCTCATCTGTCCCTTTCTCGGACCATGAATCAGCTTCCTAAAAAACTGGCCTGCTCTCTGGAGCTTCTCTGTGCTTGGTGGCATTTGGTAATTGCTCTAGCGAATGCTTCTTATCCTAGTTTTGTTGCTTTTGTTTTTTTCCTGCAGCTGTGTCTCTCCCTATGTCCCAGCCAAGAAGCAATATTCCCTGTTTCCTGGCCTGGGGCCTCCTTGATGCTCTGCAGGTGACACTGTTTCCTCTGCCTCCTCACAGTCCCCCCACCTCTGCAGGTCCAACTCCAGCCCCCCGCAAATGCCCCATGCAGACGCCACCACCCACACTCATTCATGAGTCGTTCAGGAAGGGCCCCTGCAGGCCGGGCCTGTGCTGGACACTGGGAGAGTCCCTAGGTCTCTCCTTCGGTGACTGCTGACGGGACACCAGCACAGAGGCGATGGGATGGCGGCCCGCCTTCCCCACACGGGGAGAACCGCTGTGAGATTCAGAGTCAGTGGATACTTCTTAGACCCCTGCTGGGCTCCTGGCCCTGTGCTAGTCATTTCCCTGTTTCCTAATTTAATCCTCACCACAATCCCATTCTACAGATCAGAAAACTGGGTCTCAAGAAGTTATGCAACTTGCCTGACAGCAGCTAAGCTAGTAATGCTCCCTCAGTGGCAGCTGCTTTTTTTTTTTCTTTTTTTTTTGAGACAGGGTCTTGCTCTGTTGCCCAGGCTGGAGTGCAATGGTACAATCTCGGCTCTCCTCCAACCTCCTGGGTTCAAGTGATTCTCATGCCTCAGCCTCCCGAGTAACGGATTACAGGTGTGCACCACCACGCCAGGCTAATTTTTGTGTTTTTAGTAGAGACAGGGTTTCCACACACTGGCCAGGCTGGTCTCAAACTCCCTTGCCTCAAGTGATCTGCCCACTTCAGCCTCCCGAAGTGCTGGGATTACAGGCGTGAGCCACCATGCCCAGCCCAGTGGCAGCTGCTTTCTAGTAAGAATTTGCTGGAACCTCTAGAAGAGAAGTCAGCCATCCAACCCGCCCAAGGTGAAGGCCGTGGAGAGCCGGTGATGGATCAGCCACAGGGCATGAACCGGAGGGCAGCAGCGGGAGAGGACTGAGGAGGAAGAGAAGCAGCGTAGATTTGGGAAGCTTCTACACTGCAGCATCCCTCAGCGGGTCTCCCGGGTGCCCACAATCGCCCTGTGGGATGACAGTTACCTTCCCCACTTCACAGAAGGGAAGACGCCTTCAGAGAGATGACTCATCGGCCAGGTCCCATGGTGGGGCTGACCCCGTCCGGTTGGTTCCAGCACTCTCAGAGCCCTTGTGTCCCAGGGTTGGGAAGTGGGGACAGCTGCTAGAAGGAGTGGGCGGGGGGGTGGCGGGGAGACCTGGGGAGGAGGGATTGCGGCTCGGGGTGAGTAGTGCCTGGGGGGAGGCCCATGGGAGCGGAGTAAAGGAGGGGAGGGTAGCGGAGGGCACGGCTGGCCGAGAGAAAAGTGGCTAAAGGAGTGGGCAGAGGAGTGAGTCAGCACATCCAGGCCCCAGGAGAGCCTCAGAGGAAACAGCTCAGGGCCTCGGGCCAGGGCCAAAGGCACAAATGGTGAACTCACAGCAGGAGGGAGGGGAGGGAGGGATGCCGAGCTGCAGAATGGACCAGCCCTGACTAAGGAGCTGCAGAAGTGAGAGGTGGCCACGTTCTGAAGTGGGGCTGGCAGCATTTTGCTGGGAGGGACAGAGGGGGCGAGGAAGTCTCCAAGGTCAAGACTGTGGGCCCTGAGCCCCTCCCAGATGGAGCTTCCAGAACTGGCCTGCATTGCATCTGCAGGGCCCCCAGGGCAGCAGCTTTGCCCTCAGGAAGCCCCGCTCTGCTGCTGCGTGAAACAGGTGAGGGCCAGGCTGTGGGACCCCCACTACTTCCACTTCCTGCCTCCCCCAGGAGTGTTCAGCCAGCTCAGACTCCGACGATAACTCCCATACCACAATATTGGCCCTTTTAAAGTGCACAATTCGGTGGTCTTTAGTATCATCGTGGAGCTGTGCAGCCATCACTGCTACCCTCCTCCTCCATCCAGCCCCGGACACCCACCCCTCTGCTTTCTGTCTCTGTGGATTTGCCTGCTCTGGACATCTCACATAAGTGGAATCATCCAACATGTCGTGTCTGTGTCTGGCTTCTTTTCACTCAGCATCGTGTTTTCAGGGTGCATCCATGTTGTAGCACGATTTAGCCCTTCATTCCTTTTCATGGCTGACTACTATTCCATTGTATGAATAGGCCGCATTTTATGTATTCACTCATCAGTTTATGGATGTTTAAGTTGTCTCTACTTTGGGGCTATTATGAATAATACTACCATGGACTTTTGTGTACAAGTTTTTTTGGGTTTTGTTTTGTTTTGTTTTTTTCTGAGACAGATTCTAGCTCTGTCGCCCAGGCTGCAGTGCAGTGGCACAAGCTTGGCTCCCTGCAACCTCCACCTCCTGAGTTCAAGTGATTCTCCTGCCTCAGCCTCCCGAGTAGCTAGGATCACAGGCACCTGCCACCATGCCTGGCTAATTTTTGTATTTTTAGTAGAGATGGGGTTTTACCATGTTGGCCAGGCTGGTTTTAAACTCCTGACCCCAGGTGATCCACCCGCCTCGGCTTCCCAAAGTGCCAGGATTACAGGCGTGAGCCACCACACCCGGCCTGTGTACAAGTTTTTGTGTGGACATGTGTTTTCATTTGTCTGAGCTATACACCTAGGAGTGGAACAGCTGGGTTGCATGGTAATTCTGTTTAACCTTTTGAGGACCTGCCAAACTGTTTCCACTGCCGCTGCCCCATTTTACATCCCCACCAGTAGTGATGGGTTCCAGTTTCTCCACAATCTCACCGACACTTGGCTATTGTCTGTCTTTATGATTTTAGCCATCCTAGTGGATGTCAATTTGTGTCTTATTGTGCTTTTGATTATCCTTTTTTTTTTTAACTTTTCATCATGGAGAACTTCAGACATTTACAAGGTAAATAGAATAATATAAGGAACTTCTGGGAAACCATGACTCCATGACTTAGCTACACACAATGGTCAATATTCTGCCGCTTTTGTGTATGTTTGTCTTTGAGACGGAGTCTCGCTCTATCGCCCAGGCTGCAGTGCAGTGGTGCAATCTCGGCTCACTGCAACCTCCGCCTACCAGGTCCAAGCCATTCTCCTGCCTCAGCCCGCCAAGTAGCTGGGATTACAGGCATGTGTCACCATGCCTGGCTAATTTTTGTATTTTTAGTAGCGACAAGGTTTCACCATATTGGTCAGGCTGGTCTCGAACTCCTGACCTCAGGTGATCCACCCACCTTGCCCTCCCAAAGTGCTGGGATTACAGGCGTGAGCCATTGTGCCCAGCCAATATTCTGCCATTCTTGTTTCCTCTCTTTCCATCCCCTCTCCACCTCAGATCACTTATAATCATTTGTTACTATTTTTCTTCTACAGTTTTACAGGTGAAATGTACATACACTGAAATGCACAAATCCTAGGTGTAGAATTTAATAAACGGATGCACCCGTGTCAGCCTCTCCCCTGTGAGTATAGAATATTTCTGTGACCCCAGAAAGCTCCCTCGTGGCCCTTCACAGGCCATCCCTACACTACCCAGAGGCAGCCACTGTTCTGATCACTTTGTGCACCCTAGATGAGGCTGCCTGTTCTCGAGCTTCCCACAAGTGGAAACACACACCCGGCTTGCTTTGCTCCACATCATGCCTGTGGGATTCATCGGTGTTGTTTCACCATTCACACCCTGGGCCTTCTCCAGGCTGACGCTTGCTCTTCTTCATTGCAGGAAGGAGCCAGAACACACCTCGCTCTGCCTGTGGCAAGGGCTAGGAATAGGGTGACCAACCATCCCGGTGTGCCCAGGGCCCAGGGGGTTCCTAGGACCCGGAACTTTCTGGGTTTAAGCACAGAACTTCCACAAAGGGAGAAAGGAAAACTTTTTTCTTTCCTTCTTTCCCCTTTTTTTCTTTTCTTCGAATGTTTGCTAAGCTGGGAGTTATTTCCTCTGCCCACACTCCATAAACACCCCCTGCCCCAATGCCAGCATTTCTGAGGAACCAGTGCTGGGAGGCTGGATTTAGGATGCACAGCAGAGCCTGATGCAGGTGCAGTGACGCGGCAGAGCAGAGCCCTTGCTGCAGTCCAGAGAGGTGGCCAGAGGGCCAGGCCGTGGGAGGGCAGGAGCCGGTGTGCATGGCTTGAGTGTCCAAATGCCAGCCCCACAGGCAGGAGGAGGACCTGGCAGCGCCTTCTCGGCCTCTCAGGAGTCACCTTCCTGAGCTATCGGGTCATCAGTATGGAAAAGTTATTCCCAGGCTATAAGTATTTTAAGCCTAGGGAGAAACTCCCAGGATGTCTGCAAAGAGAGAGGCCTTGTAGGCAGAATCTAGCTCAGAGTCTGAAAACCTTCCAGGTGCCTCAGAGTGAATGGGGGGAGTTACCAAAATGTAGATTCCCGGGCCCCACCCTAAGGTTTGGATTTTGTGATGGGGGCCCAAGAATCTGCATTTACAACAAGCACCCTGGGGGCTTCTGGTGCCAGGGTTTCCAAATCAGCTTTCAGAAATACCAATTCTGTTCCAAACTCTGCATTGGAAACTGAAGCACAGAGAGGGCCAGTGGCCGCTGCAAAGTCACACAGCAAGTTTGTAGCAGGGCTGGGGAATCAGAACCCAAAACTTCTGAGCCCTTCAGGATCCTGAAGCAAACCCTGGGCAGTCATGGCAAAGACCTCTCGGTGGGCTGGAGAATCCCCTCATCTTCCTGTAATATCCAGCAACAGGAAGAAGGTATTGCTACCCTTACACTGACCAGGAGACTGTGGTCCATGACCAATGTATAGTTCGGTTAAAATGGCTACAGCGCATCCTGTGCCTGCTAGGTGCACGGTCCTGTTAATGGCTTTATGTGCATAATTTCCATTCATCATGACAGCCCTCCAGAGGTTAGACAACTGAAAGTCCAGAGGAGACAAGTGATTTGCCCAAGTAAGTGGAAGAGATGGGATTTGAAACTGCGCTAGGCTCTGAGAGTATTGTAACTAGACAAGCAGACATGGTTTCTGGGGGGCTTGAAGGCTGGTAGGGCACAGAAAGTTCCTGATTCTCCAATCTTGCTAAAAACTTGCTGTGTGGCTTCGCACTGGCCACTGACCCTCTCTGTGCTTCAGTTTCCAAAGAAGAGGCTGGAACACTCTGGACTCCACCCCTTGGCAGTGCTGCCTCTGACTCCCACCCCTGCAATAGTCCACACAGAAGTCCAGCCAGAAAGGTGCCCTGCCCTGGACAGGCAAATAGAGACTGTCGTGGTTCAGTCTCTTTCTCTTTCTCCAGCAGCCAGGCATAAAGAACATTTCAATTTATGATTTCTGTGGACACTGGAAATAATTTCTTTTTCCATTTCAGAGCATTTTAATCCAGAGAAAACTGTGGTTGTCAACACCTTGCCTTTTACACAGAGAAGTTGCTTTGGCCATTCATCCATTCATCCATCAAATATACATATCTGTGTGTGTGTGTGTGTGTGTGTGTGTGTGTGTGTGTAAATATGTATAGCAAAGTTTTCTACCCTGGCTCCACATTTGAATTATCCATGGGGGTTCTGGAAAATTCTACTGTGCAGCTCAAACCTACATTAATTAAATTAGAATCTTGGGAGGACCCTGCCCAAGCAACAGAATGTTTCAAGGAACCCCCAGGTGATTCCAACATGCAGCCAAGCTTGAGAACCACACACTAGAACAGTGCCTGTCAAACTTCAGTTTGCATGAGTCACCTGGAGACCTTGTTAACTGCAGAATATGATTCCGTGGGATGGGGTGGGGCCTGAGATGCTGTGTTTCTAACAAGCTCCTCGGGGAGGCTGATGCTTTTGGCTCAAGGTCCACACTTTGAGTGGCAGAAGGACTGGTGGAACTACCCTGAACTACTGGGGAGGAAGAACAAAATACAGAACTCAGAACGGCCCCCGCCCAGCTGGAACTGCTGAGCTAGAATCCCGCATGTCGATGGCAGCAATCACACATCCCAAGGGCTGTCTTGGGGATTCAGGAACCCTCTCTGCCCCACCAGCCTTCAAGCCATCAGAAACGATATCTGTTTGTCTAGTCACAGAATGCCCGGGGTTAGAACCATGCCTGGCACAAAGTGGGCCCTCCATACATTTCTGTTAGCTAAATGAATGAGGGGTGGTAAACAACAAAGTTACAAAATAGCCAACAGTATCTAAGAGACCCTGGTACCGCCTCCTATGTATGTGAGCTCAGGCGAGTCACTTCACTGCTGTGACCAACTTCCTGGGCCATCAAATGGGGTCACACTGCCTGCTCATAACATTGCTATGTGGCTTGAGTGACAGCAGGAGAGCAGTGCGTGGTCCCCCAAGGTACTTAACATCATTAAGGTACAGGCTGGCAGCTATAACAAAGAGACCCCAAACTAGAATAGTTTTAAGCCAAATTTTTCTCTTGTGCAATAGTCCCAAGGTGAGGGATGTAGGTGAGTATCGACAACTCTTATTCCAGATTCTCCCGCCTTGATGTTCCCTCCTCCCCTGGGGCGCTGGTCCAGTCCTCTCTTCTTAGCTGGGTTGCAGGCCCATTTGTGCTGTCCCGGCTCACAGGAAGGATGGAAAGAGTGTGCAAGAGTTAGATCCAGAGGTGGTTTGCATCACTTCTGTTTCCAGTCCGGAGGTGAGGACTTAGTCATATTTGGCCACACCTAGCGGCAAGGGAAGCCAGAAAGAACAGTCTCTGACCTAGCCGATCTGCTGTGTACCCAGCCACAACTGGAAAACTGTGTAAAAGGAGGTTCTGGTGGACGACTAAGTTTACAGCACAAAGCTCATGGGCATGAAGTCGTCCCCCGATTTCCAGCACAGTTGCAAGTCCACTCTCTACCCCGCGTTGTTGCCTCTTCTCCCCGCAGGGCGAATGCTCTCGGAAGTGCTACTATATTTTCATCGTGGAGACCATCTGCGTGGCCTGGTTCTCCCTGGAGTTCTGCCTGCGGTTTGTCCAGGCCCAAGACAAGTGTCAGTTCTTCCAGGGGCCCCTGAACATCATCGACATCCTGGCCATCTCCCCATACTACGTGTCGCTGGCGGTGTCTGAGGAGCCCCCGGAGGACGGCGAGAGGCCGAGCGGGAGCTCCTACCTGGAGAAGGTGGGGCTGGTCCTGCGTGTGCTGCGAGCGCTGCGCATCCTCTACGTGATGCGCCTGGCTCGCCACTCGCTGGGGCTGCAGACGCTGGGGCTCACCGTGCGCCGTTGCACACGTGAGTTCGGCCTGCTCCTTCTCTTCCTGGCCGTGGCCATCACCCTCTTCTCCCCTTTGGTCTACGTGGCCGAGAAGGAGTCCGGGCGGGTGCTGGAGTTCACCAGCATCCCCGCCTCCTATTGGTGGGCCATCATCTCCATGACAACGGTGGGCTACGGGGACATGGTGCCCCGCAGTGTGCCAGGCCAGATGGTGGCCCTCAGCAGCATCCTGAGCGGGATCCTCATCATGGCCTTCCCGGCCACGTCTATCTTCCACACCTTCTCCCACTCCTACCTGGAGCTCAAGAAGGAGCAGGAGCAGCTTCAGGCCCGCCTCCGCCACCTCCAAAACACCGGTCCAGCCAGTGAATGTGAACTCCTGGACCCCCATGTGGCCAGTGAACATGAGCTCATGAACGATGTCAATGACCTAATCCTGGAGGGCCCAGCCTTGCCTATCATGCACATGTAACTCAGCACCCCCCATGACTACATGGTAACCTCAACCCATCACCCTGCCTGAAACACACTCAAGGGTACCCCGCATAGACCACCTGGTGGTGTTTCTAGAGCCCAGGGAAGACTTTCAAAGCTGGAGGGGCATAAGGCCACAGAGGCTGTGTGTCTGTGATCCTTGTCCCTCGGGGCCCCGATGTCCCAGGCTGACTGTGTCCAGCCTGCTTGCCTTTTCCTCTCTCTGCCCATCTACTGAGCATGTCCAATCTTGCTGGAGTAGCTCAGTCTCCTTTCATTCTCTTTTCCTTCCCAGCAGAGGCTTTAACATCCCAGGCTGGGTTCTGGATGCCCATAGAACTGGTAACCATTGGTATTTGCATACTGAGCCTATGTAATTTCATGATTTCCCTAAGACCCTCCTTCCTGGGCCATGCCACCACTGGAAATCAAAGGTCCAGTCACTGCAAACCCCTCTAATCAGATCTCCCCACCCAACCTTTCCACGGGTTCCAGAGGGATCAATATGTTCTCCTTCTGCTCACCACCACCAGTGATATTTCCCTAATGCTGCTACCTCCCGCCAGCTCTGAACACTTGTAGCTAAGAAGGCAGAATCAGCCTTTTTGCAGTAAATCTCATGTTGAGGCTGATGCCCCCAAGCCTGCCATCCTTTACCTGGAGCTCAAGAAGGAGCAGGCATCCCCAGGCATGCCTGGGATCTGTGACCTGGGACCTGGGACCTGGGACCTGGGCAGAAACTCCACTTTCCAGCACAGCCAGGCCCTCCCTGGCCGCCTGGACTCTTGGTGTGGTGTTCTCCAGTTATCCAGTCCTTAGCCTTGACAGAGACAAACTCTTTCAGGGTCCATGTTGTCCCTTGAGAGGATCGTTCCTGCTGCTGGTTGCTCCCACACTGCAGGGGCCTTAGCTTTTCATCCACAGCTGAGCCCCCATGGACTCAATGTAGCTTTGGCACAGAAACAAGGGGAATTGTAGGTGCTGTCCCTTGCTGGCTTCCCAGACTAGTCATCTCCATGCTGGAGGATAGACATTCTTAGCTCACATTTCAATGTATTCATTTCTGCATTCATCTGTGAACAGAGTCTGTCCTTTGCATCCAGGGGAGGAGGCAGATGGAGGTCTGAGTCACTGGAGATAAACCAGCATATTCTGAGAGCAGGCAGGAAGGAGCAATGACTTCCAAGCAGTGGGCTCCCAAAGGCCTCACAGAGACATGGGCAGGGCTGGAGAGTAGAGGTGTATTTTAGGAGATGAAGCTGAACAGCTGGGTTGGGTTGAGAAGGCGTGGGCCTTGAATGCTTTATGGAGGGCAGAGTGATGTGCACAGGCTGTGGGTTAGGGAGATGATGAGGCTGGATTGGGCATGAGAAGCCCAGTTTGGGATGAGGAGCCATTGAGCCATTCAGGCAAGACAGCCCTCCCTCCTTCACGGGCTTAATCCTGCAAGATTCTGTCAAATCCTGGCTTCTCCCAGCAGGACACACCTTGGAGACATCCTGATGGCACTTCCCCAGAGTGGCATGGCCCACATAGGAGTTTGCTGTTGGCTCTAGGACTCTTGAAGAAAGTGCACAAGATCAAAACAGGTGACAGTGAAGTGGTTTCGGCCCTGCCAATCTGATATCGTGTACGTATGAGAGTGGTCAGCATTTTACCACTGGTAACAAGTTCCTTGCTGTTCATTCATTCTGCTAGTTTTTTGCGATTTCCCGCTGTGTGCCAGGCATAGTCCTCCACTGATGGCAATGCCAGACAGCAGCGTGGCAGAGGGCTCTGGCCCAGGAAGCACCCTGCACCAGCACCTAGCGTCCAGGGAGCCTTGGCCTCCTGGCGAGCCTGCCTTTCCTTGGAGTCCTCCAGGTGTCCCCCCAACTATACAGGCACATGTCCCCATTCTTTTAGACCCCAATCTTTCCCAAGCTGACATGTCACCAGGTGACATAGTGGTTCAGTGGCCATGACACAAGGAAAGCCCCTTCACCCTATAAAATCCCCAGCCTGGATGGCCACTCCACTCCACAAAGTGACAGGCAGATTCCCATAAGCGTTGCGTAGAAATTCCATGTCACAGGCACCTTGGACAGTAGCCATAGAAGTGTTTCTGTTCCAGAGTAACATTTTATTTATTACTTATTTATTTATTTATTTATTGACAGAGTCTCTCTCTGTCCGCCAGGCTGGAGTGCAGTGGCTTGATCCCAGCTCACTGCAACCTCCGCCTCCTGGGTTCAAGCAATTCTCCTGCCTCAGCCTCCCAAATAGCGGGGATTACAGGCACCCACCACCTGTAATCCCAGCTATTTGGAGATCAAATGCTCAGCTAATTTGATATTTTTAGTAGAGACAAGGTTTCACCATGTGGACAGGCTGGTCTTGAACTCCTGATGTCAGGTGATCCGCCTGCCTCGGCCTCCCAAAGTGCTGGAATTACAGGCACGAGCCACCGCACCCGGCCCAGACTAACATTTTTTTTTTTTTTTTTTTTGAGACAGAGTCTCCCTCTGTCACCCAGGCTGGAGTGCAGTGGCTCAATCTCGGCTCACTGCAAGCTCCGCCTCCCAGGTTCACGCCATTCTCCTGCCTCAGCCTCCTGAGTAGCTGTGACTACAGGTGCCACCACCACGCCTGGATAATTTTTTGTATTTTTAGGAGAGACGGGGTTTCACCATGTTAGCCAGGATGGTCTCCATCTCCTGACCTCGTGATCCGCCCGCCTCGGCCTCCCAAAGTGCTGGGATTACAGGCGTGAGCCACCGTGCCCAAGCCTGACTAACATTTTAATAACTACGCTTAGGCAAAATAGTAAAAGGACAAAGTCTCCCACTTACTCTCTTTCTGGGGACTGACTGGCTTGGGCGCTGGCTGAAACCCAGTGTCTTCACTCCCTGTGTGACCTCGGGCAGGCCCCTTCCCCCTCAGTTAGCTGCAGGCAGGTGTTGGACTAGATCTGTGGTTTTCTGACCTGGGTTCCACAAAGCAAGCTCAGGGACTGTCCTGCGGATGAAGAAGACCAGCAGCAAAGCAGGCAGAGCTCTGCCTCCTGGGGCAAAACATTTGCAATTAATGACACTGAAAAGAATGTGCAAATCCCCAGTCTCCTCTCCTTCCCGTCAGTGTCCAGCCCAGCCCTTTGAACTGAGTGGTAAGCTCATTCTGGAACCAGAGACAAAGCCTAAACAGCCACTGGAAGGTCTGGGACCCACATCAGCCCCCACATCTGCCCTGCCTTCTCATCGAAGACATATTTTGTGCGCATGCCTGGTGAAAACTTCTTAATGACAGCTCTGCCCATCCCTGTAACTGGCTTCTACCCAGGCATATCCCTTCTCCTCTGCTTCACCTACCAGACCTCTTCACCAAAGTGTGCCAGCACTAAAAGAAACATTTAAAATCAAAATTAGGTGAAGCACCACCACCATTATGAGATTCTATAGTGTCTTAATGTTCACCCAGTTGAGATTCTCTGCTAAATTAGACATGGAAAATTGGAATTGATTGCTCGCATGTGGGGCTTAATTAAACGCTCTATTTTTTCTCCCTGGTAATGTCCCAGGAGACGGGTCTAAATTGTTTTAGTCTAGCGTTGCCGAACTGCCTTTCCTTCGTGCTGATTGAATGGGGTGGAAGTGACAAGCAAGTTACCAGGCAGTTTCTTCACCCCTGTTGGCTGAAAGGTCCCTTATGTTACCCAGAAGCTCTTGTTTTCTCTGAGGCCAGTGGGCATGACTATAGCCAAAGGTGGACATCTTCCAGCTGAAGGCAAAGAGAAAACGGCCCTTTACGGCGAGCCATTTTCGTGTTGTATTGTCGACGTGGTTGCCAGAGGTAACTGGGAAACTTTGACTCAGCGTGTCCTAGCCAGACAGAGTTGAGCCCAAGAAGTGAGACGGAGAAGGGTGAGTTAATTCTTCAATAGCATGAAAGGTATGCAAGACTGTACTGGGGACCCGTTGACTCTGTTTCGATGGTTTTAGGACTTTAGAATATGGTAACTGGAAGTCTCATTGGAAGACAGTCAATCCGAGCAGGGAGTTTCCACGAGGGACCTGTGCACCTCTGTAGATGACGTGCATGTCACAGTGCAAAGTGTCCAGTGATTCCATCGGATTCTCAAGGGAATCAATGACCCCTCCAGAAGGACAACAAATTCTTAAGTAAATCAACTCCCTCATTTTAAAATGGAGAGATGAAGCCCCGCACAGTGGCTCATGCCTGTAATCGCAACACTGTGGGAGGCCAAGGTGGACAGATCACTTGAGCCAAGGAGCGCAAGACCAGCCTGGGCAATATGGCAAAAGCAAGTCTCCACAAAAAATACAAACATTAGCAGGCTGTGGTGGCACGTGCCTGTAGTCCCAGCTACTCAGGAGGCTGAGGTGGGAGGATCACCTGAGCCTGGGAGGTCGAGGCTGCAGTGAGTTATGATGGCAGCACTGCACTCCAGCCTGGGCGATGGAGTTAGACCCAGTCTCAAAAAAAAAAAAAAAAAAAGATGGAGAGATTAAGGCTCAGAGAGGGAGGGCCACCAACCCAAAGGCCACACAGCCAGTTCATCTAGTTAGATCCAAGTATCTCAATTTCCAGCAGAACACTCTGTCATGCTGCTGCTCTTAGGCTCATGTAAAACAGCGTCCAAGTCCTCAAAGAAAAGATTGAAGATGAGATGGTAACAACACTTTGCCACGCTGTCCTGAGCAGATGTCTTCGGGTGTCCCACGTACTTTGTGTTACACAAAAGTTACACAAATCAGTTTTACCAGACTTTCATTTTCTCATTTATCCCAGGGAAAGTTTAGATGAGAGGATTAAAGCCCTTCCCAGTTTGGACAATCTATGACTCTGGGAAGTAGGGCTCATTGCCACAGTTGATACTACGGAGAGGGGCAGACAAGAACACGGAGAGAGGTGAGAAAGAAAAACAGACTCTGTCCCTTGACTATCCACAAAATTGCTCCCTTGGCAAAAATTGGCAAGTAGTCCAAGTTTGAATGTAAGTTCACTGAGATCTCTTTCCACTTCCCGCCCACCACATCAGGGCACCTCACCCACCATGAGGCCTCATTCTGGAAGCACCTGGCTAGCTGGCTACACACACTCAGTGGCCTGCCTTTCCCCAGCAGCATATTAAACTCCCTGCCTGCTCTTCCTCACAGTGACATGCTAATCCTGGGGATCACCTAATGAAAGATTACTAGTCACCAAGCAATTGATTTTTTAACATTTTACTTGGATAATATGTCAAACCCACAGAAAAGTTGCAAGAACAAAAATAGCGCATAAAACACCTCAACACCACTTTTTTTTGTTTGCTTGCTTTTGCATTTTGTCCATCTGCTTTCTTCTTTGCTCCATCTTTTTTTTTTTTTTTGAGATGGGAGTCTCGCTCTGTTGCCCAGGCTAGAGTGCAGTGGTGCCATCTCGGCTCACTGCAAGCTCCGCCTCCCGGGTTCAAGTGATTCTCGTGCCTCAGCCTCCCGAGTAGCTGGGACTACAGGTGCCCACAACCACGCCCGGCTAACTTTTTGTATTTTTAGTAGAGACAGGGTTTCACCGTGTTAGCCAGGATGGTCTCGATCTCCTGACCTCGTGATCTGCCCTCCTCGGCCTCCCAGAGTACTGGGATTACAGGCATGAGCCACCGCGCCTGGCCTGCTCCATCTATATTTTTGTCATATCTACATGGTATTGTTAATAATATGTTTATTGAACCATTTGAAAGTAAGTTCCCCACATCATGGCCCTCAGCTTTCTAGGTGCACCTTTATTTTTGATTAATTGATTTTTTTTTTTTTGAGACAGGATCTTGCTCTGTTGCCCAGGCTGGAGTGCAGTGGTGCAATCGTAACTCACTGCAGACTTGACCTCCTGGGCTGAAGCAATCCTCCCGCCTCAGCCTCCTGAGTAGCTGGGACCACAGGTATGCACCACCGTGCCTGGCTAATTTTTTTATTTTTTGTAGAAATGTGGTCTCACTATGTTGCCCAGGCTGACCTCAAACTTCTGGGCTCAAACAATCCTCCTGCCTCAACCTCCCAAAGTGTTGAGATTACAGGTATGAGCCCACCATGACCAGCCTAGATGTCACTTTAGAATGTGGTGACCAGAAGGCTTAGCAGAAGACTCTCAGCCCAAGGAGGCTTAGCTGGGAGTTTCCATGAGGTTCCAGAGGTCTATGAGCCTCTGGGGCTTAGGTGCACTTTGAAGTGTTAAGTGTCCAACAATTTCATCAGCTTCTCAAAGGAATCCTTGACTCCTCTCCCTGCCCCTGCAAAAGGGTAGGAAGCTCTAAAGTAAACCAGTTGCCTCATTTTAGGATGGAAAGCCCAAGGAGACCCTAAACACATCGGTGTATAGATACTTAGAAGAAGGAGATTCTTACAGAACCACAGTTCAGTTCTCAGCTTCAGCACAATTAACTTCCATGCACTACTTTAATCTAATCTACTGTCAGTTCCAATTTTGTCGGCTGACCTAACAATATCCTTTGTAGCATTTTTTCCTCCAGTACAGGGTCCAGCCTAGGATGGGATACACCAGATATATGTACGGATCCTATCTCTGTAGTCTCCTGTAATCTGGACCATTTCCCCAGCTTTTGACTTAGATGGCATTGAAATTATGAGTCAAATATATCATGCACACAAGGACGCTCATTTTGGGTTTGTCCGCTGTCTCCTGGTGCTTTGAGGCCATGCATTCCTGGCCAGGACATTACATAAGTGAGGCTGTGTCCCTCTCAGGGCATTGTGTCTGGGAGTGCCATGTCCTACGAGTCGTTTATTTAGGAGGTGAGCCCAGGAGTATTGGGGAAGTGACCCCAGGACATGCTCGCGGGGTAGTGGAGATTGAGAGAGGGGAGGAAAGGGGGACTGGGGGAGTGCCAGCCTGGCCTAACGACATTCAAATAAAAAATGAAATTAATGTGCCTGCCCCCACTCCAGCAGGCAGATAGAATGTGACAGCAGGCCAGGTATGTGCCAGCCATCCAGACCATCTCTGAGGAGGACAGCATGACAGCATGTCCCCCTTGCAGATGAACAAGTCCCCAAGGCTCAGAGCATACATCATCTCTCTCCAGCTGTGACAAGGAGGGGACCCTCCGTTGTCCCTCCGGACCCTGGCCAGCTTAGGCACGACCTGCCTCACACATTCTTAGAGCTAAAAGGACCTTAATGGTCACTGGCTCCATCCTGCCCGTTTTACAGGTGTGGGTGTGGAGGCCCAGGGAGGACTCATAATTTGGCAAGCCACACTGCCAGGGGTGGCCATGCCAAGACTCAAAACCCAGTCTCTGAACACCTAGCCTGGTGTTCTCAGCTCTGTGCCACCCAACCCCCGCCCAGCGCCAGCCTCTATCCAGTGCTGAGGGCTGTACTTGACGTCTAAGCAAGGGGTACCTCCAGGAATCTAATGTTGGTTAAAAATAAAGCAAAGGGAAGCCGCTGTCCCCACGGGCCCTATGGCCTCCTTGTCATCCACAGCTGTCCGTTCTGAGGCGGACTTTGCTGAGTTGAGCAGAGCACAGCCCTGCCTCCACGGCAGCCTACTTCTAGATGACACGTGGAGAGCCATGGAGTCAGTGACTCAGCTGCTGCACGACTTTCGTAACTCACCTTTGCCATAAGGGGAACAAAGCCGAGGGGAACACTGGGGTCCATGTGACGTGAATTGGAATGAATTCAGGTGCCCTGAGCTAAAATTAGCCAATCTTGCCGCTTCCAAAGGCTTCCATTGTACTTGGCCAATGACCAGCCTGAAATAAGATCCCCTTTGGGAAGTTCAGAGCTTCACCTTGCACCTTCCTAACTAAGCATTCAGGGCCCCCACCTCCCTGCAAATCTCAGAGAAACATTAAACGATATTAAGAAGTGATGCTGTGGCATCTCTGGTGTACTGAGGTGGGGCCACTCATGAGGCCTGCTGGGGTTGACCTTGAGGATGTGAGAGATTCTTCCTAGAAAGGGGGTGGCAGGGGCCAGGTATCACTCACCTCAACCCACCACCAAGACTTGAGTCAAAAGTTGGGCCTATAGGCCGAGCACAGTGGCTCACGCCTGTAATCCCAGCACTTTGGGAGGCCGAGGCGGGCGGATCACGAGGTAAGGAGATCAAGACCATCCGGGCCAACGTGGTAAAACTCTGTCTCTACTAAAAATACAAAAAAAAATTAACTGAGCATAGTGGTGCATGCCTGTAGTCCCAGCTACTCAGGAGGCGGAGGCAGGAGAATTACTTGAACCCGGGAGGTGGAAGTTGCAGTGAGCCGAGATCACGCCACTGCACTCCAGCCTGGTGACAGAGCAAGACCCTGTCTCAAAAAAATAAAAATAAAAATAAAAAAGTTGGGCCTATAATCCCTATAATCCCAGCACTTCAGGAGGCCAAGGCAGGAGGATCACCTGGGCCCAGGAGTTTGAGACCAGCCTGGGCAACACAGCGAGACCCCCCTCTACAAAAAAAAAAAGTTATTTCTAATTAGCTGGGCATAGTGGTGCCCAGCTGTACCTGCAGGCCCTGTGGCCTCCTTGTCATAGTCCTAGCTACTCAAGAGACTGAGGTGGGAGGATCACTTGAGCCCAGGAGTTTGAAGCTGTAGTGAGCTGTGATCATGCCACTGCACTCCAATCTGGACGACAGAAAGAGACCTTGTCTCAAACAAAAAAAAAAGGTTGGTGGGGCAATGGTTGGTTTCTGGGGTAGTATCTCTTAAGTACCCACCATGCGCCAGATATTCTCACACTTTGGAGACCATAGTGAGCAAGACAGATGCCTGTGTGGACCTCGGGTGGCAGATGGAAGGGAGGTAGGAAGGCAGGGCACAAATACATAAAGAAGGCAATGGCTGGATGCAGTGACTCATACCTGTAAGCACTTTAGGAGGCCGAGGCAGGAGGATCACTTTAGCCCAGGAGTTGGAGACCCACCTGGGCAACATAGCAAGACTCATCTCTATTTTTAAAAATCATTTTTTTTATTTTAAAAAAGGCAATAAACAAGACAAGCAGCCAGGCACAGTGGTTCACGCCTGTAATCCCAGCACTTTGGAAGGTCGAGGACGGATCATGAGGTCAGGAGTTCGAGACCAGCCTGGCCAACATGGTGAAACCCCGTCTCTACTAAAGATGCAAAAATTAGCTGGGCATAGTGGCATGCACCTGTAATCCCAGCTACTTGGGAGGCTGAGGCAGGAGAATCGCTTCTTGAGCCCAGGAGGTGGAGGTTGCAGTAAGCTGAGATCACACCATTGCACTCTAGCCTGGGTGACAGGGCGAGACTCTGTCTCAAAAAAAAAAAAAAAAAAGACAAGCATGACTAGTGACAAGTCCTAGGAAGAAAGGAGGCCAAGTGATTAGGCAGAGTCATCATTTGTGGGGGCACAGGATTGCCACATTCGCACAGGCTCCTGAGGAGGTGCTTCTTGGTTCTCCCAGATCTTGGGGTTCCCCAAGAGGCAGACCCTGGGGCAAGGATTTGAGTGCAGGCATTTCACCTGAAGATGATCCCGGGAAACACTAGTAGGGGAGAGGGAACTGAGCCAGGTGCAGTAGTCTGTTCTCACATGAGACATACCTGCTAATGAAGACATACCTGAGACTGGGTAATTTATAAAGGAAAGAGGTTTAATTGACTCACAGTTCAGCATGGCTGGGGAAGCCTCAGGAAACTTACAATCATAGCAGAAGGGGAAGCAAACACATCGTTCTTCACATGGAGGCAGCAAGGAGAAGTGCCAAGCAACAGGGGGAAAAGCCTCTTATAAAACCATCAGATCTGGTGAGAACTCACTCACTATCATGAGAATAGCATGAGGGTAACTACCCCCATGATTCAATTACCTCCCACCAGGTCCCTCCCACAACACATAGGGATTATGGGGACTATAATTCAAGATACGATTTGGGTGGGAACATAGCCAAACTGTGTCAACAGGGCGAGGAAGGCAGTCAGGACACAAGGGGTGTGATCAACCCTGTAGACCACATGCGCAACTACAGTTCAAGCTCCTGTGGGGACTCTGGGAGACAGAATACACAGGAGAAATGCCAAGGGCTTGTGGCACAAAAGTAAATTTCACTCTCATACAAGACTCCCATTCCGACGTCCAAGGGTAATAGCTCTAAGAACTTTCTTTCTAAAATACACCTGTAAATATCACTTAGGAATGATTCGTTTCCAAGTTGAAGAAACTCTATTCAGACTTCATTAAACAAACAAATGAACAAACAACAAAAGAATTATTGGCTCTTGTAACTGAACATCCACATGGGAGTTCAGGTGTGGTTTAATCCAGGAGTTCAGCCAATGTCATCAATGTCAAACAAGCGAGCTTAGATTTGCATCTTTCCCCTGCCTCCCTGGGTGTGTCAGCTTCACCCCCAGTTTCTCCTCATGGCCACAAGATGACTGCACAAGCTCCAAGTCTCACAATCTCACTCCACAAAGACTTCTGGGAAGAGAAAGTCTCTCTTTCCAAGAATTCCAAGCATGTGATTTCGGCCTTATTGGTTCTGCAGTGGGTTACGAATACATCCTTGAACCAACCACTGTTGCTACACTGATTGATTTCTGGGAGTCAGCGTTCACCCTGGAGCAGGAAACAGGTTGAATCCCACCTAAACCCTGTGGTTAAGGATGGAGAGGGTGAGGCTGGGGGCGGTGGCTCACACCTGTAATCCCATCACTTTGGGAGGCTGCGGTGGGCGGATCCCCTGAGGTCAGGAGTTCGAGACCAGCCTGGCCAACATGGTAAAACTCCGATTGTACTAAAAATACAAAAATTAGCCAGGCTTGGTGGTTCACGCCTGTAATCCCAGCTACTTGGGAGGCTGAGGTGGGAGAATCACTTGAATCTGGGAGGCAGAGGTTGCAGTGAGCTGAGATTGCACCACTGCACTCCAGTCCAGGTGACAGAGCGAGACTCTGTCTCAAAAAAAAAAAAAAAAAAAAAAAAAAAGGAGAGAAATGGAGAAGGTGAAGTTTCCCAGTGGAAAATCAAGACATTGTCCCAAAAGAGAGGAAAACGAGCAGGGCAGCAACCCGGGGTGATGATCACAGAATCTGTGGAGCGCTGGCGGCATGTTGGGCCCTGTCTCATGGCTTCACAAGCATCACTTAATCCTACCAGCACCCGTCTGAGGAAGGTACTATTATCCCCACTTTACAGATGAAGAAACAGACACAGGCAGTTTAGGTAACTATCCCAAGGTCACCTGGCTGTCAGTGATGGATTCAGGATTCAAACCCAGCCTGTCTGGCTCCACACTCCCCACTCTTAACCTCTACTTCCTACTCCCTTTCGGAACCCCCCACCTCATCCACCTGTACTCCCCAGCAGGCTCTTTGGGGTTCTGTCTCTCGCTACAAAAATGATGTTAAGATTGGCCAGTCGTGGTGGCTCATGCCTAATCCCAGCAGGCAGGTGGATCACCTGAGGTCAGGAGTTCAAGACCAGCCTGGCTAACATGGTGAAACCCATCTCCACTACAAATAGAAAAATTAGCCAGGCATGGTAGTGCACACCTGTAATCCCAGCTCAGGAGGCTGAGGCAGAAGAATCGCTTGAATCTGGGAGACAGAGGTTGCAGTGAGCCGAGATCCCGCCACTGCACCCCAGCCTGGGTGAGAGACTGAGACTGTCTCAAAAAAAAAAAAAAAAAAAAAAAAAAGCCACCAGCCCAAAGGCATTGAAAACTTCTATCCACACTAAAGGTTGCACGCAGATGTTCAGATGTTTATAGCAGCTTTCTTCGTAATTGCCAGACTTGGGAACAAGGATCCCTTCGGTCGGAAGGATGTCCTTCGGTCAGTGATGGATTTAAAAACTGTGGCACATCCAGACAGTGGAATATTACTCAGCAATAAAAAGAAATAAGCTATCAAGCCTGAGAAGATATGGAGGAAACAAAAATGTGTTAAAAGATAAACTTGGGCACGTTAAAATTTTCATGTGTGTATTTGAGGAGACAATGATTCAGGAATCAGGCAGTTTCAGACCCCAGGTGGCTCAGGGCTCTGCCCAGGGGGCGCTGTGGGTAGGAAACTTTTTTAGAGATGTTCACAGAAGCAAAACAAAGAAAATATTTGATTGGCTAAAGTGGAAAGTCCTTAGTTAGAGGTTACTTGGAGGCATCTGATTGGTAAAATCTCCAGTTAGAGCCTAATTGGTGGTTTCTGATTAGTTAGGCCTAAGTTTCACTTTACTGTTTCCATTGAGTCAGGGTTTGGTTTGTTTATGTAGGAACCCCAAGCGCTGGAGCTGACTCGGCCTAGTGGCCTCACAATTAATTATTTTGACAAATGTGTTTTACCAAGTGAAAGAAGCCATTCTGAAAAGGCTACCTACTATACGATTCCAACTACAGGGCATTCTGGAAAAGGCAAAACTATGGCAACAGTAAAAAGGTCAGTGTTGGGCCGGGCACAGTGGCTCATGCCTATAATCCCAGCTTTGGGAGGCCAAGGCAGGTGGATCACCTGAGGTCAGGAGTTTAACACCAGCCTGGCCAACGTGGTGAAACCCCGTCTCTACTAAAAATACAAAAAATTAGCTGGGCGTGGTGTGCGCCTGTAACCCCAGCTACTAAGGAGGCTGAGGCAGGAGGATCTCTTGAACCTGGGAGGCGGAGGATGCAGTGAGCGAGACTCTGTCTCAAAAAAACAAAAGGTCAGCGTTGCCAGGGGTTGGTAGGAGGAAGGATGCATAGGCAGAGCACAGAGGGTTTTAGGCAGTGGAACTGCTCTGGAGGACACTATAATGGTGGGTCCATGTCTGTAGGTATTTATCCAAACCCATAGAAGGTACAACACCAGGAGTGAACCCAATCTCTGGGTAACAATGATATATCAATGTAGGTTCATGGATTGTGACAAATGTACCACCATGGTATGGGGGTATATGGGAAATCGCTATACCTGCCTGTCAGTTTTGCTGTGGTCCTAACACTGCTCCTATAAAGTCTTTTTAAAAAATGACCAATCTCTGAGAGTCTCCCATGCATAAAGCCCCAACACAAGACCTTTCACATGTTATTTCATTTCATCCACAAAGCAACTCTTCAAGGGAGGCCCTCATTTTACAAATGAGAAAATCGAGGCACAAAATGTTTCACTGATAGTAAGAGAAAAGTCAGGTTTCGAACCATGTTTGCTGGTTCCAGGGCCTGTCCTCTTGTTATCAAACTGCACTGCTGTATTAGCCCGTTTTCACATTGCCAATAAAGACATACCCGAGACTGGGTAATTTATAAAGAAAAAGAGGCTTAATGGACTCACAGTTTCACGTGGCTGGGGAGGCCTCACTATCATGGCGGAAAGCAAAAGGCACGTCTTACGTGGCAGCAGGCAAGAGAGAGAATGAGAACCAAGCGCAAGGGGAAACCCCTTATAAAACCATCAGATCTCATGAGACTTACTCACTACCATGAGAACAGTATGAGGGAAACTGCCCCCATGATTCAGTTATCTCCCACCAGGTGCCTCCCACAACCCATGGGAATTATGGGAGCTATAATTCAAGATGAGAATTGGGTGGGGACACAGCCAAACTGTATCAACTGCTATACACTGTGAGGCTGTTCTCTTCCCTTCCTGGTGGCAGAGACTGCAATGGGTTTGCCAATACCTGGTTCTTCTTCCTCTGTCCCAACCACTGGGCCACGGTTCCAGCCTCCCTGCAGGTAGGGGTTCTGGTCAGTGGGGTGTGTGGAAAGGGCACAGGGCACTGCCAGGTCTGGCCGCAAACATCTCTTGCATGACCCTCTGCCCTCTTCCTCCCCTCCACACCCCTTAGCTCAATGTAGAAGATCCCCCCAAATGCTCCAAAGCCCTAAGGCAGAGGTCAGCAAACTACCTCCCATCTGCAACCTGTTTTTATAAATACATCTTTCTTGAAACACAGCCAGGCTCTTCATTTGGGTATTGTCTCTGGCTGTGTTTGCGCTCCATTGGCTGAGCTGAGCAGTCACAACTTAGAGTCTTGCAGCCTGCGCTGCAAGCTGAAAATCTTTACTCTCTGGTCCTTTACAGAAACATCTGTGGGCCTGCCCTAAGGGAGGAGGGCTGCAGGAGGGAGGCAGCAGCCCCGCTGCTGATCCCCTGCACTGGTAGGTGGCCTGAGCAAGACGACACCTGTTGTAAGTCCCTGAAACTGTGGGCTGTCTGCTCCAGCAGCTGGTCCACCCTGACTAGCATGACCCTGCACGTCATGGATAAAGAGCTCACGTCCCACAGAGGCTCCAGGTGCTCCCAAACCAAAGCAAGGGTTGGGCTGATTACTTCTCGTGGCCCAATAACGAGATGCAGATAAACTGGAAGAGAAGGGAATTTTTATTTCTGTCACTGGTCACAGGGAGAAGGCCTGGAAATTATCGCCATACCAACTCAAAATTACAGTTTCCAGAGCTTATATACCTTCGAAGCTATATGTCTTTGTGTATGTGCATTCATCTAAAGACATAAGTGATGAACTTCTTTTCATTATAACTAAGATCTGAGTCCTGAAGCTCTTCCTCTGGAGCCTCAGTAAGTTTACTTAATCTAAATGGGTCCAGGTGCTGGGGTGATTACCCTTATCTTTCCTGCTAGATCATGGAGGTTTGGGTAGTTCATTTAGTCCCCAGGAAGCCTTGTTTGTGGAGGCCTGGGGAGCTTCTTCAGACCCGCAGTAAAACTTGCTTGAATCTAAATGGGTCCCGTTAAGAATTCCTTCATGATCCTGTCATGCTTCAAGGCCCAGGAAAGGCCCAGGCATTCCAGCCTTTGCAGAAGGGCACTGGCTCTCTCGGCTTTTAATATTTCACTGAACCACTTGGTCAGTGCTGAAACCGTTGTTATGGAGGCCTGCGTTAGTGAGACCTGGCCTGCCACACAGAGGCATCCAGACCAGCACAGGCTACTGGCCCTGGTAGGGGTGAGGAGCTTGGGCTTTCCACCTGCCTTGGCCGGCCCTGCTGGTCTGCCCTTCTGGGAGGGAGAATCTGCATCCAAAGCGCATTAGCAAATATTCAGAGGGAGAAACACGCACTCAGACCCAGTCACCACCTCACCCTGACATCCACATTTGATGTCTTCTCAGCCAACACCTCCTCTGTTATGCAGTGAAACGTCTCCTTTTCGTAGTGACCTTGGGAATCATTGTTCAGCCCTATGCGTGTGTCCTAAAGCCTTCTCCCTTCAGGACCCGACGCGCATGAGGTGTGCTGTGAATGTGAGCGCCCATCCCTTCCCTGGAGCGGCACCCGCTTCCCTCATCTTGCCAAGTGCCACTGTGCACCAGCCCCGTGGCCAGCAGCAGGGACAAGACAGTGAACAGGGGAATGGACACAGTCTCGCTCACAAGTAGTGTATGGCCCCTGCCTTCCTACCCACCTGCCTAGGAAGCCTCACACACACTCTTGCGTGCTGGATACCTGTGTTTGTGTTGGAGACCCTGGGATCTTTGGAAAATGAATGAGCCAGCTCCAGGGTCCCTGGGAGAGTGTCAGGACTAGCTGGCAAGAGGACTCCAGATTGGGAAGAGGATACTGGGCATGGGTGAGGCTGCAGAAAGTGGCTGGGGTGCCAGGCTGTGGCCACTGGGCTGCAGCATTCCCGGAACTGCCGGCTGGCGTTGCTCCCAAACATATTCTGCATTCGTTCACTCCGAGTCTTCACTGTGCCAGACACGGTTCCAGGCCCTGGGTGGTCCGGCCAGGAACAGAAGAGACAAGTAACCATGAGGAAGAAAGCAGGGACACGTGGGGGTTGCTAAGGAGAGGTTGCAATTTTGCAGAGGGTGACCCTGGAAAGCCTCACTAAGCCATGACATTCAAGAATTCCTGGAGGAGGGAGGGCAGTGAGGTGTGGGGACCTCTGGAGGACACACTTTGGGGAAGGAGGAACAGCACATGCAAAGGTTCAGAGGCAGGAACGTACTTGATCATGGCGGCCATTGTGTCTGGAGTAGAGAAAGTGACAGAGCAAAGTAAGGAGATGAGGTCAGGGCAGGAGGGGATAGAGGGTGGCACTCCCCAGGGTGACGCTGGGCATGCGGCCGGGGTCCGTGCAGCCAGAGGGTTCCCTTGCCATGGCCAGGCCTTTCTCTGGGGTCCAGCAGGGTAGGGCCTGGCAGTCCTTCCCAGCACCCTGTGAGAAAGACCACTGACCCTGCCAACACCATTCCCCAACACCCCGCACCGTCCTGTTAGTAATGAAACATACCGAGCTGCAGTTAGACTCATTTCCCAGCCACCTCTGCGGTGAGGTATGGCCTGTGACTAAGTCTGGACCAACGGGAAAGTGAACAAGGGGGGATGAGGAACCTGTGGGTCAGCTATAAGAGGAGGCCACCTCCTCTCAAGGTGATGGCGGCAGACACCCGTCCAGTCCCAGGCCGTCTACTCTGGACTGCCTTGTGGGGAATAAACTCCTATGAGAGCCTCAGCACCTGGCTTTTGTTGCTATAGCATCCGAGCATGCACCCAAGGCAGGCACAAGGACATCAGGAAGATCAGGTCTTTTTTCAATTTGAGACAGAGTCTCACTCACTCTTTTGCCCAGGCTGGAGTGCAGTGGTGTGATCCTGATTCACTGCAACCTCCGTCTCTCAAGTTCAGGTGATTCTCCTTCCTCAGCCCCCAAGTAGCTGGGACTAAAGGGACGTGCCACCACACCTGGCTAATTTTTGTACTTTTAGTAGAGATGGGGTTTCGCCACGTTGGCCAGGCTGATCTCAGGTGATCTGCCCACCTCGGCCTCCCAAAAGTGCTAGGATTACATGCGTGAGCCACTGCACCTGGCCAAGATCAGGTCTTTCAAGACAGCAATGGGTGGTAGTAGGAACCCTGGCTTTCAAGAAAATGGAATTTTAAGATGTTTTACATAACCACTTTACTGAGATATGATTCATATACCAGTCACCCAAGTGTACAAATCAATGGTTTGTTGTTGTTTGAGATGGAGTCTCGCTATGTCACCCAGGCTGGAGTGCAGTGGCATGATCTCAGTTCACTGCAACCTCCACCTCCCAGGTTCAAGTGATTCTCCTGCCTTAGGCTTCCGAGTAGCTGGGATTATAGGCACCTGCAACTGAGAGGTGACAGCGTGCTGGCAGTCCTCACAGCCCTCGCTCGCTCTCGGCTCCTCCTCTGCCTGCGCTCCCACTTTGGCGGCACCTAAGGAGGCCTTCAGCCCACCGCTACACTGTGGGAGCCCCTTTCTGGGCTGGCCAAGGCCAGAGCCAGCTCCCTCAGCTTGCAGGGAGGTGTGGAGGGAGAGGCGCGAGCCGGAACCCGGGCTGCGCCCGGCACTTGCGGACCAGCTGGAGTTCCGGGTAGGCGTGGGCTTGGCGGGCCCCAGACAATGAGGGGCTTAGCACCCGGGCCAGCGGCTGCGGAGGGTGTACTAGGTCCCCCAGCAGTGCCAGCCCACCGGCGCTGCACTCGATTTCTCACCCGGCCTTAGATGCCTTCCCGCGGGGCAGGGCTCAGGACCTGCAGCCCGCCATGCCTGAGCCTCCCACCCCCTCCATGGGATCCTGTGCTGCCGGAGCCTCCCCGATGAGCACCGCCCCCTGCTCCATGGCGCCCAGTCCCATGGACCACCCAAGGGCTGAGGAGTGAGGGCGCATGGCACGGGACTGGCAGGCAGCTCCACCTGCAGCCCCGGTGCGGGATCCACCAGGTGAAGCCAGCTAGGCTCCTGAGTCTGGTGAGGACGTGGAGAACATTTATGTCTAGCTCAAGGATTGTAAATACACCAATCGAAGCTCTGTATCTAGCTACTCTGGTGGGGCCTTGGAGAACCTTTATGTCTAGCTCAGGGATTGCAAATACACCAATCGGCACTCTGTATCTAGCTCAAGGTTTGTAAACACACCAATCAGCACCCTGTGTTTCGCTCAAGGTTTGTGAATGCACCAATCAACCCTCTATCTAGCTACTCTGGTAGGGCCTTGGAGAACCTTTGTGTCCACACTCTGTATCTAGCTAATCTGGTAAGGAGGTGGAGAACCTTTGGGTCTAGCTCAGGGATTGTAAACGCACCAATCAGCGCCCTGTCAAAACAGACCACTGGGCTCTACCAATCAGCAGGATGTAGGTGGGGGCCAGATAAGATAATAAAAGCAGGCTGCCCCAGCCAGCAGTGGCAGCCCACTCAGGTCCTTTTGTGCACTGTGGAAGCTCTGTTCTTTCGCTCTTTGCAATAAATCTTGCTACTGCTCACTCTTTAGGTCCACACTGCTTTTATGAGCTGTAACACTCACCACGAAGGTCTGCAGCTTCACTCCTGAAGCCAGGGAGCCCAGGAGCCCACCAGGAGGAACGAACAACTCCAGACGCGCCACCTTAAGAGCTGTAACACTCACTGCGAAGGTCTGCAGCTTCACTCCTAAGCCAGCGAGACCACGAACCCACCAGAAGGAAGAAACTCCGAACACATCCGAACATCAGAAGGAACAAACTCCAGACGCGCCACCTTAAAAGCTGTAACACTCACCGCGAAGGTCCGCGGCCTCATTCTTGAAGTCAGTAAGACCAAGAACCCACCAATTCCGGACACACAACCATGCCCAGCTAATTTTTGTTTTTGTTTGTTTTGTTTTGAGATGGAGTCTCGCTCTCTCAGCAGTTTGGAGTGCAATGGCACAATCTCGGTTCACCGCAACCTCCACCTCCTGGGTTCAAGCAATTCTCCTGCCTCAGCCTCCCAGGTAGCTGGGATTACAGGTTCGTGCCACCATACCCAGCTAATTTTTGTATTTTTAGTAGAGATGGGGTTTTACCGTGTTGGCTAGGATGGTCTCGATCTCTTGACTTCCTGGTCCACCCGCCTTGGCCTCCCAAAGTGCTAGGATTACAGGTGCGAGCCACCGCGCCCGGCCTGTTTGTTTTTCGAGACAGAGTCTTGCTCTGTCACCCAGGCTGGAGTGCAGTGGTGCAATCTTGGCTCACTGCAACCTCTGCCTCTCAGGTTCAAGCTAATCTTGTGCCTCAGCCTCCTGAGTAGCTGGGACTACAGGCGTGTGCCACCACACCTGGCTAGTTTTTTTGTATTTTTAGTAGAGATGGGGTTTCACCATATTGGCCAGGCTGGTCTCCAACTCCTGACCTTGTGGTGCGCCCGCCTTGGCCTCCCAAAGTTCTGGGGGTTACAGGTGTGAGCCACCATGCCAGGCCAATTTTTGTATTTTGTAGTAAAGACGGAGTTTCTCCATGTTGGTCTGGCTGGTCTTGAACTCCAGGTCAATGGTTTTTGCATATTCAGAGAGCTGTGCAGCCATCACCATGTTCAATTTTAGAACATTTTTCATTACTCTAAAAAGAAATCCCAGATCCATTAGCAGACACACACACACCATTCTTCCATTCCCCCCAGACCTAGGCCACCACAAATCTGTCTACTCTGAATATTGTATGTAAATGAAATCATCTAATACGTCGCCTTTTGTGTCTGGCTTTCTTCACTCAGCATGAAGTTTCCAAGGTTGACCCATGTTGTAGCATGTGTCGCTATTTCATTCCTTTTATGACTGGATAGTTTCCATGATATGGATGAACCGCATCTCCTTTTATCCGTTCATCAGTTGATGGCACTTGAATTGTTTCCATTTGAGGGCTATTATGAATAGTGCTTCTGTGAACTCTGGTGTATAGATCTGTGAGTGGACATATATTTTATTCTCTTGGGTTTACACCTAAGAGCGGAATGGCTGGGTCACATATTAACTACGTTTGATCATTTGAAAAACTGCCTAAGTCGGCCGGGCACGGTGGCTCACGCCTGTAATCCCAGCACTCTGGGAGGCCGAGGCGGGCGGATCACGAGGTCAGGAGATCGAGACCATCCTGGCTAACACGGTGAAACCGCGTCTCTACTAAAAATACAAAAAATTAGCCGGGTGAGGTGGCAGGCGCCTGTAGTCCCAGCTACTCGGGAGGCTGAGGCAGGAGAATGGCGTAAACCCCAGGGGGCGGAGCCTGCAATGAGCCGAGATCACGCCACTGCACTCCAACCTGGGCAACAGCGAGACTCCGTCTCAAAAAAAAAAAAAAAAAAAACCTGCCTAAGTGTTCTGCAGAGGCTGCCGCATTTTCCATTCCCACTAGCAGTGCACGAAGATTGTAATTTCTCCATATCTTTACCAACACTTGCTATTATCTGCCTTTTTTATTATAGCCATCCTAGTGGGGGTAAAGTGATACCACATTTTATTTAAGACAGGAGGTCACTTTGTCACCCAGGCTGGAGTACAGGGTGACAGAATCATAGCTCACCGCAGCCTTGACCCCCGGGGCTCAAGTGATCCTCCTGTCTCAGCCTCTCATGTAGCTGGGACCACATGTGCACACCAACACCCCCGGCTGTCATTAGCATGGTGATGTGCATTTCCCTGATGGCTAATGGTGCTGAGCGTCTTTGCATGTGTTTTATTGCCATTTGAGTATCGTCTTTGTTAATATTATTTGTTTTTGAGATGGAATGTTGCTCTTGTCACCCAGGCTAGAGTGCAGTGGCACGATCTCGGGTCTCTGCAACCTCTGCCTCCCAGGTTCAAGCGATTCTCCTGCCTCAGCCTCCCAAGTAGCTGGGATTACAGGCACCTGCCACCATGCCAGGCTAATTTTTTCTTGTATCTTTAGTAGAGATGGGGTTTCACCAAGTTGGCCAGGCTGGTCTCGAACTCCTGGCCTCAGGTGATCCACCTGCCTTGGCCTCCCAAAGTGCTGGGGTTACAAACCCGAGCCACCATGCCTGGCCTCAGTATCTTCTTTAGAGAAATGTCCATTCATATCCTTTGCCCATTCATTGGGCTGAATTTATTACTGAGCTGTAAGAGTTATTTATATATTGTTGGTATATGCCCCTTATCAGATATATGATTTGCAAGTATATCCTCCCATTCTGTGAGTTTTCTTTTCACTTTGTTGATGGTACCCTTTGAAACACAAAGGGTTTTATTTCGATGGAGTCCCAATTTCTCTATTTTTTCATTTATCATGATGCTTTTGATGACATATCTAAGAAAGTTTTGCCTAACTCAAGGTCATAAAATTTTACTATTATGTTTTCTTCTGAGAGTTTCGCAGTTTTGGCTCTTGTGTTAGGTGTGTGATCCAATTTGAGTTAATGTTTGTGCATGGCACAGAGGGAAGGGTACTTCATCCTGCTGCCTCTGGATACCCAGGAAAATCGATTTTAAAAATATCTTTTAGGTCGGGCGCGGTGGCGTATGCCTGTATTCCCAGCACTTTGGGAGGCCGAGGCGGGTGGATCACTTGAGGCCAGGAGCTTGAGAACAGCCTGGCCTACATGGTGAAAACCCATCTCTACTAAAAATACAAAAATTAGTCAGATATGGTGGCGGGCACCTGTAGTCCCAGCTACTCAGGAGGCTGAAGTAGGAGAATCACTTGAACCCGGGAGGCTGAGATTGCAATGAGACGAGATCGTTCCATTGTACCCCAGCCTGGGCGACAGATAGATAGATAAATCTCAAATATATATGTATCTTTTAAAACTATAATTTTTAAAAAGGTAATTTCACCACTAAACCATGAGGCAAGGTAACAATTTACTTTCCTCTAGACTCTCACTAACTTTTCTCTAGATTCTCACTGACTGCTCCAGGGCATAGGAAAAGGGCTCAGAGCACAGTGGAAATTTTCAAAGTGTCTTCTACAGGGTTTTGAGGACGGGGTTTCTGGTCTCTCTCTATATAGGGGTAGGTTACACTCCTGCAAGTGATCCTCTAACTAATTTTCCATTCAGTGCTTGTTTGTTGGGCACCTTCTATGTGGGAGACCCCCCCAGGAGGAGATGGAGATAAATGCACAAGGCCCCATGCTGGGAGCTGATGGCAGATAGGCCTGATGACAGTCACTGCTGAGGGCTGCCGAGAGAGCCAAGAACAGTGCCAGGCACGCTTCCCCCCTCATCTCACCATGGCCCTGCAGGCTGCATGTCTGTGATCCTGTCTCAGTTGGCAAGTGGGGAAGCTGAGGACTGGGGAGGCAGAGTGGCGCCTTGGCTTCCCAGAGACTTCCCAGGTCCACACTTCCACTCGGCACACTCTGTCCCAGAGTGAAGACAACACATGGGTCAGCACGGAACAGAGGGTGCCCTGAGCTGCAGGAGGAAGTGACGGGATGGCACTCGGAGGAGGCAGCACTTGTGCCAAGTGAGATTACATCACTTCCCAATTCAAATATGCTACTGTTGGTAAAACTTACACCCAGAGGAGATGCGGCCAACTAGACATTAACAGATCCGCATTTCAGAAGTAGCTTTCATCATCACCCCGCAGTAATGAACAAGCTGAGTCAAAAGAACTGAGCGACTCTGATGTCACGAAAAGACTGTCTTGGGAGGAAAGCACTGGACAAGCAGATGTATGCAACGTGGGGACAAATATTACTGATTTGGCGGAACACAACAGAGTTAATGTCGATTTGAAAAACTTGTTTATCCAGTGATTATGTGATTAATGAACACCAAAAGGCTCATTGCATCAAACTGAAATTGGAAATGGCTGGTATATTTCCAGATTTGGTTGTAGTTACTACTACAGTACAAAAAGTAAATCAATGTAAACTATTTCCTGGGGAAAACAATGTGTAATACACAGGCTAATAGGCTTGGGTGTTCTTAAACCCCCCTCTCTTAATCCCTGAAAAAAAAGAGCCACGAGAAATCATTATTTCAAGGTTGGCCTGAGAAGTGTTTTCTGTTTTTTTGTTTTTTTAAAAAACCAAAAACTAAAGGTAAAAATCCTTGTCTTCTCAAACAAGAAATCGGTGCTTTCCTGGCTTTCCCGGCCCCGCGGACCCTTCCTGCTGGTGCAAACGCCTCTCTCTGTAGTCCTCCTCCCTCAGCAAGGGCTCACCTCCTGTCCTTTGCACATGTGAATTGCAGCTCCTCCTGCCTCTCAGCTCCCCTCTCCGGCCCTCCCGCCTGCCGTTTTCCCAGCCTGATGCCCCCAGCTCCAGACTCGCCTCCCCGCAGGCTGCCAGCCTGCAGCTCTTCCCTGTAATAGCACTGGGCATCCTCCTGACCTCCTGCAGCAGTCGGGAAAGAGCAGAGCAGAGAACGCGAGGGAACCTTAGGAAGGATATCACCTAGTCCTTGTTTTATAAATGAGCAAACTGGGGCTCAGAGAGGTTCAGAGTTTCATCCAAGGTCACGTAAGGAAATCCAGCTGCAGCCCTGGGTGGTGGCTGCAATCGAAGGGCTTGGAAGCCTGGCGGCCTGCACATCACCACAGCTCCAGCCCACCTCAGGTGCTGGGTGTTCTAGAAGTTACCTAACTGCACCTTGCCAGTTTCCTCACCTGTACACTGAGGCAATGATCGCATCTATCATGGCAAGCTGTGGGAGGTTAAAACAGAACAGACACACCATGCTTCAGGCGTGCTGGAGTTGTCTAGTCTGTCCACTGGTGCTGTTTCCTCTACCCCACCTCCCTCAGATTCTCCCATTTCATCGTCACTGTGGGGAAAGGAGACAGGATGAGCCCAGCGAAAGCAGACGGAAAGCCCAGGCCTGCAGATGGGCAGGCTGGCCAAGAACACACCCCTGGGACCAGCCCTCTGATTATTTCTCTAGATGAGTCAACCTACAAGCACGGAGGTTAAGTGGCTGCCCGTGGCCACGGCCACACACACCCAGTGGCAGAGACAAAAGGGGGTTGGAGGGAGAGGACCCAATCGCACGACTTCAACATTAGGCCTGGCCCTGAGTGACAGCTCTGGAGTGAGCTGTCTGCATCGGTCAGGGTTCTCCAGAGAAACAGAACCAACAGGATATATAGAGATGTATTGCGAGGCATTGACCCACACGATACGGAGTCGAAGCAGTCCCACCATTTGCTGTGTGAGTGCTGGGGGCCCACGTGGTGGCGTTCTAGTCCAAACTCGAAGGCCTGAGAACTGGGAGAACCAATGTTATGAGTCCTGGTCCAAGTCTGAAGGCCAGAGACCCAGGAGTTGTGATGTCCCAGCTCAAGGGGAGAGAGCGAATTCACCTTCCTCTGCTTGCTTGTTGTTTGCAGGCCCTCAGTGGATTGGATGGTGCCTGCCTGCACTGGGGAGCGCCATCTTCTTACTCAGCCCCATAATTAGATGCTAATCCCTCCCAGAGACACCCCACATGGGAGAGTAGCCTGTGGTTCTGAACCCTGCAACTGCTAGGGATGCAGGGAGGGAGTCACAGGGTGGGGGTCACAGGGCTGGCCACGGTCCTCTACTGTCCCTGGCCCCAGGTCCCTGGACTTCAAAGCTGTTGTGCTCCTGGCTCAACGGCTATAGTGCCCATGCTGGTGAGGTTCCAGGTGTGTGTGCGAGTGTGCACGCACACATGCTTTTAGTGTTACCATCTTCTCTCCCCATCCAGAGTCAACAGAGTGCCTGAGTGCCATGTGGCCTTACTATGCTACCCTGGGGGAAACGGAGAGAGAACTGCCGAGCCCACACAGGGCAGGAGCACTGTCCCTCTCCATGGTGGAAGACGCAGGCTCTAGCGGTCCAATGCCTCGCCCAGGTCCAACAGCCGGGCGGCCCAGGGAAAGCACTGATGCTGCTCATGCCCTCCCCACGCCCTTCAACATGGGGCTGCCCAGACCCCACAGCACCCTCGAGGGCCAGGGCAGCTAAAGCTCTGACCAGGGAAGGGTGTTCTCTGCCCTCCCACACATCCTGGGGGCCCAGAAAGGCAAGGATTTGGAGCCCCAATAGCGGCCAGAGGACAAAATGCTCACACATCCAAGCAGCCTGCCCTCCCACCCTTTACAACACCCGCAACCCGTGGCCTCCGTGGTCTCCTCCAGCACACAGGCTGGAAAACAGGAGGAACCAGGGGAGGTCACCTCCCCTCCTAAACCTGCCTCCAGCCCTGTGAACAGGGGCGGGGGTGACAATTCAGTGGCTCAGTGAGAGGATCCAGGTGGGAACCCAGTGAACACAGGGCCTCCCAAAGGAGGAGTGAGGGGCTCTCTCCGCAAACAAAGGGCCCCTGGCCACCCCAACACATAAACACACACACACACACACACACAGCCAACTACACACACAGGAACCAGAAATACTTCTTTATTCAAGCCCAAACGTGCAGCAGCCGCCTCCCAACCACAGCAGGCTCCTCCTTCCCTCCAGCCCCAGTTTCACCCCGCACAACCCATGTTCTCCCCACAACGCTCCTCAGATAGGGCACTCCCCCAGCAGGGGTACAGCTTGGCTCCGGGACCTCGGTCCCGCCGAGGCTGGCTTCAGTTTCTGAATTTGCCCACCAGTGGCTTCGAGGGCCAAGCCCCCAGGCCCTGCTGGTCCAGGAGGAGAGACAGCTGCCTGCGAGCCTCCTGGTAGGGCCCAGCCTAGGGCGGGAGATGAGAGGTGGGGTGAGAGGAGGTACCTGCAGGGGGCAGGGACTGCAGGGCTGGAGAGGGACCGGGACGGGGGGAGGGTGGGGAACCAACCTTGGCAGCCTCGTAGGTCTTCAAGGCCAGGAGGTAGGGCTTCCCCACAGCCCTGGCCGCCTGGTGAAAGGCCCGGAGAAAGGAGGCCTTGCAGAGACGGGAGGGAGGCCCCAGGGCGGCACTGGATGAAGAGAGGATACCACTGAGATCAGAGAGATACAAGCTGGACCAGCAGGCCTGCTACACACCTCACACTACCTCCTCTCACACTGTGACAATGTCACAGGACTCACAGGGCAGACAGAGGTGTGGCCACCACTACGGAGCTAGGAAGGGGTTGAGCGAAGGGGTTGAGCGAAGGGGTTGCGCTGGGATTAGACTGAGGTGAGGAAGCTCATGCATGAGCCCTCCATCACCAGCACTGCTCCACAGCCCGGCCCCAGGGGGCCCTTCTCACTTGGCCTTCACACGCCCGGTGGCCACATCCACAACCTCGATGCCAGGGTCCCCCAGGCTCCAGTTGAGGCTCAGGCCACGGCAGGTGTCAGGGGTGGGTTCGGAAGGGGCCACCGGGGGCCCTGCAAACAGGTGCAGGGCGGTCCGGACGTAGGGAGGTGGCAGGCATGGCCCCAGGACACTGTCCAGGCAGGGCCGGGTGTGGATGGCCCTGCTCAGAGTCGGAGGGTCGTGGCATGAGTCAGCTGCAGGGCAGAAGGGACAGGACAAGGTGAGTGACCTCCCTGCCCTCCCTTCTCACCCCCCCAGCCCTCACCACGTGCTCACCCAGGATGAGGCTGGTGCTGTAGAGTGGGGACACCAGGTGGGCCAGCAGGGCACCACCCAGCCCCAGCACGGCCCAGCGTGCCAGCTTGTCACTGGCTGACAGGCAGCCCACGTGGGTGTCACAGAGCGAGGGCGCCACGTAGCACACAGGCTTCAGCTGCCCGAGCACATGGGCCTGCAGGCGCATGGGTGGGCTGTGCGGGAGGCCACCTTCCGAGGTGGGGGGCAGGCTGCGGGCCGGGTGGGGACAGACATCAGCTTCAGGGCTGCTCTTCTGACCCTGGCCCCCACCCAGCAGCCCAACCGAGGGAGCCCCATCCCCCGCCTGCCCCGGGGGCCCTGCATACTAGATGTCACGGGCCGCGCCCTTGGGGGTGTTGCTGATGTAGAGGTGCAGGAAGACGCGGGGCTTGAGGGTGAATGGGGGTCCGGGCCCTGGCTGGGGGGCCAGCACGGACTGCTCCTTGCCCTTGGGGCCCCCCTGTGTGGCCAGCAGGAGCTGCCGGAACAAGAACCTAGGAGCGACAGGCACAGGGTGGTTGGGAAGACCTTGTCCTGGCGAAGGCTGCTATCAGGCGCCCACCCCACTGCCCCTCACCTCAGCAGGGCCCTGCGGGCGATGACCAGGCCATGGCAGTCGTGGAGCTGCTGGCCCGAGAACTCCAGCCAGCCAGCACAGCAGCTGCTGCCGGTGCCCAGAGCCACCAGCTTGTAGATCTCCTTCACGTGGCCCCTGGCACGCGGGATCTCTGTGCAGGAGGGGGCAGAGACGGCCCAGCCTAAGGCAAGGAGCTTGAGGGGGCCCTTCCCAGGGGGCCGGGGCCAGGGCCAGGGCTGGGGCGATCCCTACCCCTCTCCAGGATGACTCCAGCCACAGTCCCCTTACAGGCCCAGTATGGCGAGCGCTCGTCCAACAGGAGGTCAAAGCCGGCGCTCACCAACGCTGCGCAGCGCTGCTCATGGGTCAGGATGTTCTCTGCGCCAGGGCGAGAGACTGCAGGTAGAAGGGGGCCCACGCCTCTCCCCTCGACACTACAAGCCTGGGTCCGGGAATGCTCACCTACCTACGCTCAGGGGGGCCAGTGGAGGCCGGCTGGAGGTCTGGGGGGACTCTGAAAGAGGCAAGGAGGGCGGGCTGGTGTGGGTGCCAAGGCCCACCCTCCGTCCCTCAGGAAGCCAAGGAGGCGGGGAGAGGAAGTTTTCATCTTCCAGACACAGGACATTACACGAGCTGCTCTTCTAGCGGTCCCTACCCCCGGTGTCCCCAGAGGACGTGAAAGCAGGGACCGGCACATGTACCCCGCCCCAGCTCCCTGCAGGTGACGTCCTGATGCTCAGATGGTTTGTACAGCAACCCACCTCCTGCTCACACGCACAGCCACTTCCGCCTCCCCACGGGACTGCCAGCCTCAGTCCTCTTGTCCCCAGCTGCGGCTCAGCTGCCTGGCCCTCCCTCCATTACCTGGGTTCTCCAGCTGACTCCGGATGTAGCAGAGGGCAGAGAGCGCTGCCTGCTGTTTGGCCTCCGTCTTGCTATTCGCAGTGCCCGCAGGGCAGACCACCCCATCCAGTTCCGCGCTCACCGAGAAGGGGAAGCAGGGACCTGGGGAAGGAGCCAGGTGAGGAAGCAGCCCCCTGGCCTTCGCCCTGTGACAGGTACCACCTCTGCCTCCTCCTGACACCTGATATCGAGGACGGTCAGAATAATGAGACCCTCACCACCCTTCCCTTCCTCCAGCAGGCTCCATCGCCACCCCATGCCGCGCACACCCTTGAGTGCCTCTGCAGGCTGTGACCCATCGCTGATTCAACCAAGTCCTCACCCAACTCCTCCACAGCAGGGATGCGTGACTCCATTTCACAGATGAGCAGAAACGGCAGGCGGTTTGCCCAACTTGAGTCAGGACCCAAATCCAGGTCCCCTCTCCAGAGCCCACGCCACCCTGTTCTCAGGAGGAAGGCTCTGAGCACTTCCACCTGCCACAGACACATTGCTTTCAATTCCTCTCCTCCAGGGGCTCTATATTTGAACACTTTTCCTATGAAACAGTATCATTTTGGGTGTTACTTATAACACAAAAGAGAGATGAAAAATCTGGAACTGGGATCACATGGTCAAAGGTGCAGGGTTAATTTCACAGTACTTGCTGCTAAATTGTTTCTCCCAAGGACTGCCCCTCTGGGGGTTTCCCTTTTGGAAGGGAACCCATTTCAGCACTCCCCACTGCGCTGAGATCTGTCTGCTCTAAACAGGCATCAAAACCAGCAACCACAGACAGACGTGGAAGGGATGTTGGCCTTAGAAAGCCAGCATGTGGCTGCCATCCTAACAGCGACTGAATCTGGGGAGAACCATCAAAGCATGATTTTCTAAAACCACAAGTGACAATGTTATAGGGACAGGATATCTACATGATCTCCAAATGCCTCCCCTGGATGACTTATTCAGCACAAAGGAGAAAGTGAAGACACCTGGTAGATGCCACCCTAGTCAAATCCCCACAGCTCGCATCGCCAGGGGACAAAGCAAGATCGCACACTTCCTGGTGAGATGCGTGCCAAAGACTCGACATCACTTCAATAACACATCACCTGAACTCAGTTCTGAGGAAACAGACAAACCCAAGCTGAAGGACATTCGCAAAACTACTGGCCCTTACTCTTCAAAGACATCAATGTTGTGAAAGACAAAGACAGGAACTGTTTCAGGTAAGAGATTAAAGAGGCATGACAGCTAACTGTAATGTCATACTGGGATGGGAAACAATGGCCATGAGGTCATTACTGGGACAACTGGCAAAATTTGAATGTGAATAGAAATTAGAAGATGGTATTATATCAATGTTAAATTTCCAGGATTTGATAATTGTATTGTAGTTACATAAGAGATGCCCTTGTTTTTAAGAAATATAGATGAGGCCGGGCACAGTGGCTCACTCCTGTAATCCCAGCACTTTGTGGGGCTGAGGACAGGAACTCAAGACCAGCATGGCCAACACGGTGAAACCCCATCTCTATTAAAACACAAAAAAATTAGCTGGGCACGGGGGCACAAGTCTGTCATTCCAGCTACTCGGGAGGCTGAGGCGCAAGAATCGTTTGAATTCGAAAGGCAAAGGTTGCAGTGAGTTGAGATCTCACCACTGCACTCCAGCCTGGGCCACAGAGCGAGACTCTGTCTCAAAGGAAAAAAAAAAAGAGGGCTGGGCAAGGTGGCTCTAACCTATAATCCCAGCACTTTGGGAGGCCAAGGCGGGCGGATCACTAGAGGTCAGGAGTTTGAGACCAGCCTGGCCAACATGGTGAAACCCCATCTGTACTAAAAATACAAAAATAAATTAGCCGGGCTTGGTGTGGACACCTGTAATCCCAGCTACTCAGGAGGCTGAGGTAGGAGAATCACTTGAACTTGGGAGGCAGAGGTTGCAGTGGGCTGAGATAGTGCCACTGAACTCCAGCCTGGGCCACAAGAGTGAAACTCCATCTCAAAAAGAAAGAAAAAAGAAAAACAAACAAACAAACAAACAAAAAACACGTGAATGTATTTACAGGTAAGGAGCATAATGTCTGCAATTAACTTTTAAATTAAAACTCTGGGCCAAGTGTGGTGGCTCACACCTGTAATCTCAGCACTTTGGAGGCCCAGGAGGTCAGATAGCTGGAGCCCAGGACTTCAAGAACAATCTTGGCAACATGGTAAAACCACATAATCTCTACAAAAAAAATACAAAAATTAGCCAGGTGTAGTGGAGTCCACCTGTAGTCCCAGCTCCTCGGGAGGCTGAGGCGGGAGTATCACTTGAGCCCAGGAGGCGGACGCTGCAGTGAGGCAAGCTTGTTCCACCGCATTCCAGTCTGGGCAACAGAGTAAGACCCTGTCTCAAAAAAAATCCAAAACACAAAACAACCACTCTGAGTTAAGGGATTTAAGGGGTATGTATTGAAGAAGAGGAAATAACGGTTTACCTCTGTATCATGTACACGGTATTACCCTTACCAAACTGTGCTTAATAATGTCTTTTAAGTCAGGGGAGTGGCTCCCATTTCGGTATCTCCAATGCTAGCACGGCAACTTAAATTGCATGTAAGTGGCTCTAAAAACGTATACAGAAATACCAGGGGGCCTTAACCTCCCTGGAAGTCAGGTGGGAAGAATGTTCACCTGCCATGACTCTTTCACAGTTGAGCATCTGGTGTGGCTGGTGATCCTTGGAGATCGCTGCTCACAGCAGGGTCCACCCCAAGGTCCCAAGCTCAGGCCAGGTCCTGCTCCGGCGGTGTCTCTGAGCATAGGGACCAAGGTCCACCTTCCCCAGACCCCCTGCTCCCCACGTCCTGGGACCCAGCCCTCCGTGGCTCTGCCCTCTGGCACAGCCATGCCCCGGCCCGGCCTCACCTGGTGGCTGGTCCTCCCGGAAGAGCAGGAAGATGCCCAGGCTGGCCGCGTACTCCGTGAGCAAGGACACGGCCTGGCTGGCAGGTGGGTCTTTGAGCGGCAGGCTGAGCCCTGCTGGGGGCACAGGGACCCTCGGGGCCTTCCCCATCTGTTCCCCCAAGTTTTCCCACGCCCGGGCTGCCCCCAGTTCCCCGACTCCGGCCCCTGCCCCAGGCCCACTGTCCCTCAACACCGAGACCTGGGGCCACCCGCCCTCCGCGCGATACGTCGCGGGCGCGGGCGCGGGCCCCCAGGCACTTTGGGCCTGGGCGGGTAGCGGTCGCCAGGGGCGGGGCTGGGGGCTGATCTGCAACGATGCAGCCAGGCGGGGCTTCCTACGACTGCCGTCGTCGTCAGCGCCCTGAGAAGCCGAAGCCATGGCCGCCAACGAAGATCTGAGGCGCTAGGCCCTATCTCGCGCTGCTCTCGCCCTTTCACACGCGCAGGGCGGGTGCCTTCACGTGGGGAGCACGCGGACGAAGCGTGGTGAGCTCCACCCCTGCCATACGATGGCCAATGAGAGCCCTGAGATCTGTGATGGACAGTGCACCCTGCCAATGGGAAGGCCAGTCTCCCAACGACGGCGGCTTGGATGCTTATGGCTGAGGCCAAGGTCCCACTGCCTGGACGGAAGTTCCGGCTGAGACCAACGTCCCATGGCCTGGAGGGAAGTTCCGGTGGGTGGGTGAGGGGTTGCTCTAGCAGCTGCTTCTTTAACCGTGGGTGGTCGCGGAGCCTGCAAGGCGGGGGAGGAGCATCTGGGGGCGTCAGGTCCAGTTTCACACTCTAGCTCCTGCCCTAGGCCCCTAGGCACCTCCACATCACAGGCTGCTCAGCTGCTTCACTGGCTGAGCCTGGAGACTTCAACACAGGAATTAGGGGTTCACACTGTCAGCAGGATCATTGGATATAAAATTTCACTGCAGGCCTTTCTGAAGCCAAACATAAGTGTTCCCCAGCCAAGAATTAGCCATTTGATGCAAAATGTAGGTGGGCGTGGTGGCGCACACCTGTAGTCCCAGCTACTCAGGAGGCTGAGGCAGGAGAATCGCTTGAACCTGGGAGGAAGAGGCTGCAGTGAACTGAGATTGCGCCACTGCACTCCAGCCTGGGCAACAGAGCGAGACTCTGCCTCAAAAAATAAATAAATAATTTTTTTTAAGAAAATAGCCATTTGATACTCTGCCTTTTTCCCCCCTAAGAAGGGATTTTGAGTTAATTCATACAAATAAGACAAGATAACAATTGTTTAAAGTGAAGAGCTAGAGATCAAGAGACATAGGAAAAATAAGATAAAGACAGGGATGAAGACAATTTACACAAGGCTTACTGTGATGCAACGCGTATTTGCTTGAAGGAGGCTGCAAGTTTAACGGAGTCTTACAGTAGCCACTAACTTGGGAAAGCATGACCAGTGTCTGTAAGATTTGTCACAGTGCTTGCTGCTGCTGCTGCTGAAGCTGGGCCTGGCAGCTCTCTCCAGGATTGTGACAGTGAGGATGCTGGGGCATATGAGGACCAGGTGGTGGAGTCCTCCCAGAACCTTTGACTTGGAAGAAGCAGGTGTGGTGGGCTGGGTAGTCAGCCTCCCCAACATGTCAAGAATTGACATCAGGAAGAACAATTCCATTTTGTGTGTGTGTGCAGCCCAGAGAGTGGGATGAGGCCCAGGAGAGTGAAGGGACAGCACAGCAGATGTCCAGAAATGGACTGAGGGCTGCACATATCCACAGAGAGACTTCCACAAAGTCATCAAACCCAGTAACGCCCCAAACGCTCACCAACAGGAGGTTGCGTGAACAAATCAATGGTATATTCATACAATGGAACACGACTCACTAATTTAAAAAGGAAACAACAGCTGCGTACACAACACAGGTGAATCTATTAGGCACATGGCGTGGAAGAAGCCAGACACATCCTCTCCATGATTCCACTTATGTAAAGTTCTTGAACTGGCAAAACTAATCTGTGGTGATAAGAGTCCAAATAGTGGTTCCTTCTTGAAGGAAGTATTGACTGGGAAGTGGCACCAGGGAATTTTCTTTTTAGAAAAAAATTTTGTAGAGATGGGGGTTTTGCTCTGTTGACCAGTCTGGTCTTGAACTCCTGGACTCAAGCAACCCTCCCACCTCGGCCTCCCAAAGTGCTGGAATTATAGGCATGAGCCACTGTGCCTGGCTGGAACTTTCTTGAGTGATAGAAATGTTCTCTGTCTTGATCTGGGTGGTGTTCATGTGGGTTTCTATGTATGAATAAAAATTCAATGAGCTGTACATTTAAGACTCGTGTGCTTTACTGCATGTTGAGTATATGTCAGTTACAAAAGCAAATTGATAATGGCTTATTCAGAGAAAGGAGGAAAGGAAGAAATGGAACTGGCCTCGCAGTGCCAAAGCTGGATAGGCGTTTTACAAGGGTAATGTAGAATATTAGTGTGGTAGGCAAAATAATGGTTCCCCCAAAGATGTCTACAGCCTAATCCCCAGAACCTATGAGTATATTATTTGGCAAGGGGGCATTAAGGTTGCAGGTGGAAGTAAGGTTGCTAATCAGCTGCCTTTAAAATAGGGCTCTCACCTGTAACCCCAGCACTTTGGGAGGCCCAGGTGGGAAGGTAGCTTGAGCCCAGGAGTTAGAGACCAACTTGGGCAACATGATGAAATCCCATCTCTACAAAAACTACAAAAATTAGGCCGGGCGTGGTGGCTCATGCCTGTAATCCCAGCACTTTGGGAGGCCAAGGCGGGTGGATCACATGGTCAGGAGTTCAAGACCAGCCTGGCCAATATGGTGAAACCCCGTCCCTACTACAAATACAAAAATTAGCTGGGTGTGGTGGCAGGCACCTGTAGTCTCAGCTACTCGGGAGGCTGAGGCAGGAAAATCGTTTGAACCTGGAAGGTGGAGGTTGTAGTGAGCCAAGATCACGCCACTGCACTCCAGCCTGGGTGACAGAGTGAAACTCTGTCTCAAAATAAAAAAAAAAAAAGAAAATTAGCCAGGCATGGTGGTGCTTGCATGTAATCCCAGCTACTCGAGAGACTGAGGTGGGAGAATCATCTCAGCCTGGGAAGTTGAGGCTGCAATGAGCCATGATGGTACCACTGCACCCTAGCCTGGGCGACAGAGTGAGACCCTGTCTCAAAAAAATAAATAAAACAAATAAAATAGGGAGATTATCCTGGATTACCTGGGCGGGCCTACTATAATCACATGGGTCCTTACATGGGAAAGAGGGAGACAGAAGAGTAAAAACCAGAGAGATGGCCTCATGAGAAGAATCCGACTGGCATTGCTGGCTTTGAAGATGGAAAGGGGTCATGAGCCAAGGAATGCAGGCAGCTTCCAGAAGCCAGAAAAGACAAGATAGTGGACTCTTCCTTAGAGCCTCTCAAAAGGAACACAGCCCTGCTGGCACTTTTAGTCCAGGTAAAAACTTCCAGATAAAAACAATATAGGCCAGGCGTGGTGGCTCATCCTGTAATCCCAGCAATTTGGGAGGCCTAGGCAGGCGGATCACTTGAGGTCAGGAGTTCAAGACTCAGCCTGACCAACATGGTGAAACCCCGTCTCTACTAAAAATACAAAAATTAGCCGGGCATGGTGGCGCAGGCCTGTAATCCCAGCTACTCGGGAGGCTGAGGCAGAAGAATTGCTTGAACCCAAGAGGCGGAGGTTGCAGTGTGCCAAGATCGTGCCACTGCACTCTAGCCTCCATCTCAAAAAAATAAATAAAGACATAGATGACAGCTGAGAATTTGGAAATTGATTCTTTAAAGCAACGGTTCTCAAAGTATGGCCCCTGGACCAGCATCATCTGGGAACTTGCTAGAAATGCAGACTCTTGGGCCACATCCCAGATCTACTGAATCAGCAACTCGGGGGGCAGAGGTAGGGTGGAGCCTAGCAAACTTGTAACAAGCCCCCCAGGTGGTTCTAAGGCTCACTGAAGTTTGAGAAGTACTATGTTAGGATAACGGTAAGGTTCATGACTGGACAGTGGTTCTTAAAGCATGGCCCCCAGATAAGCAGTTTCAGCATCACCTGGGAACTTAGGCAAATCATCAGGTCCCACCCCAGACTCACCGAATTGGAGACTGTGTTTTAACTAGCCCCCCAGGTGCTACTGCTGACGCACGCTAGCTAGAGTTTGAAGACCACTGCCTAAAGCTCTCCCTGCCTGACCACCCCTGGAAAAGCTTCACTCTTAGTAGGTATTTGTACCCTTATTTGTAAAGCCCGCTTCTTGGGATTTAAGGACAATCAGTAGGATACCTACTGACCAATACAGGTCTGGCTTATAGTAGGTGTTCTGTGGGAGTTCGTTAAATGATTAATTTAATACAACTCTGAGGAAATTGGTGAAGTAGATGTGGGATTCGAACCTAAGTCCACCCGGCCTCCACTATTGGGACTCAAGGGAGCTTTATTTCCGCTGCCCACGCGCCGCCTGCACGCCCGTTCCCTCTCCTCCCGGGAGGGGGCGCGCCAGGACCCTAAGAGGCCTGGCTGGGAGGCGGGACTTCCTGCCTCCGCAGGAGGCACTTCCGGTCCAAACCGGAAGACCGTGGGTAGCTGCGGCGGGGCTGACCCGTCCCGAGTGCCAAAGCTGGGGTTCTACTTGAGATTTCCCTCGTGGTGCCAGGGTCCGGCGAGCATCACGCCGAGGCCCATTTTCCAGACGACCACGACGAGGCCGGGGTCACGTAAGTGCACGCATGCGCCCCCTCCGCGCGGACTGCGCGTGTTCGAGGAGCGGACCCGCAGATGTAGGAGGGGAGGGACGCCCCCAATCCCCAGTCCCCGCGGCAGGCTCACGTTTCGCAGTCCCCGGCCTGTCGTTATTGCGGATCCGACTGAGTTCTGTAGCCTTGGAGGTCTAAAGGGTCCTGGAGAGCCCGCAGCGAGGGCGGGAAGCCGGCCGGGGAAGTCGAGGCTGCCTTGTCTGAGGGCTTTTGTGGGGTCGTGCTCTCCACCAGCGCCCTCCGCCTGTCTAGGATCGTTTCAGGCTATGCGGTTCCAAGAGAAAATATTTTTGTTTCTATTTTATTTTTGAGATAGAACCTTGCTCTGTCACCCAGGCTGGAGTGCTGTGGCATGATCTTGGCTCACTGCAACCTCTGCCTCCCAGATTCAAGCGATTTTCGTGCCCAGCCTCCTCGGTAGTTGCGATTACAGGTGTACACCACCACGCCCGGCTAATTTTTGTATTTTTAGTATTGACAGGGTTTCACTGTATTGGCCGGACTGGTCTCAAACTTCTGGCCTCAGGTGATCCGCCCGCCTTGGCCTCCCAAAGTGCTGGGATTGCAGGCGGGAGCCACCGCACCCGGCCAAAGGGAAAAGATTTTTGTATAGCGAGACTCTAATGCTAGCGTTTGCATTTCGGTGCATGCGAGAGCACTGGTTCGGAGCTCTGCCTCTGAATCGGATGGGAATCAAGTCTTGGCTGTGGCAGCTAAGAGCTGTTGGACTAAAGTTCTTGCTGAGCCTTCGTTTCCTGAACTCTGTTAACAGGGACGGCGATAGAAGAGTGCAGCATTTAGCATGTGCCTGGCAGATAGATGCTGGCGCTTGGTCAGCGAGCGCTGCTGTTATTTTTGCCCCTGTTATTTTTGTTAATTAAAAAGGAGGGATGCTATGGCTGCTCATACTTCTAGAGGACTGTATTTACCAAAGCCTTGTGATGTAATTTTTTTTTTTCTTGAGATGGAGTTTCGCTCTTGTTGCCCAGGCTACAGTGCAATGGCGCGATCTCAGCTCACCGCAACCTCCGCCTCCCGGCTTCAAGGAATTCTCCTGCCTCAGCCTCCCGAGTAGCTGGGATTACAGGCATGCGTCACCACGCCCGGCTAATTTTGTATTTTTAGTAGAGACCGGGTTTCTCCACATTGGTCAGGCCAGTCTCGAACTCCCGACCTCAGGTGATCCGCCTGCCTCGGCCTCCCAAAGTACTAGGATTACCGGCGTGAGCCACCGCGCCCGGCCCCTTGTGATAGAAATTTATTTTTTTCAACCCCTAGTGCATTTTCTGGGAGGCACTGTGCTTGACAGTAGGAAGACGATGCTCAGATGCAGTCCCTGGCTGTGGAGTAACTTGAGCGTCTTGGGGGTGTAGTCTGTAAATGTATGATGACGGTACTTACGAGCCGGGAGAGAGGCTGCCCCTTGCCGTCTTTCTGACTCCATCTCCACCGCTCTCCACCTCGCTCACTCTGGCTGCCTCATTTTCTCACACACTTCACTGCTCTAGGATTTTCACAGTTGTTGACCGTTCGGCCTGGAACCCTCTTCCCAGTTGCGTACATGGTTCTCTCCTTCACTAGGTTCAGGCTGTGCTCAAACGCCACCTTCTCAACGAGGCTTTTCCTGGCTGGCTTTGCTGAAACCACGCCCTCAGCCCACTACCAGATCCCCTTCTCCTGGACGGGTGGTTGGCTTTAATACAGTTCTCACTACTGCTTGGCCTTGGGCTACATATTTGTTTTTTGTTATCTGCTTCCTCAAAGAACATATGCTTCCCGTAGTGCACTTTTCACTCCTCAGGAACTCTGGCGCCCCTTACCAGCTTCCAGTCTCTCGAGGTGGCCAGTGTGGTGCTTGGTCCTTGTTTCCAGGATGGACTTCCCCAGCTCCCTCCGCCCTGCATTGTTTCTGACCGGCCCCCTTGGTCTGAGCGACGTCCCTGACCTCTCTTTCATGTGCAGCTGGCGAGACGCACTGACTCTGCCAGAGGCCCAGCCCCAGAACTCAGAGGTGAGGATGCAGGCAGGGGGCCCTGGCAGCTCCAGGGACATCCCTTCCCTGGGTCCCCCGTCTCACATTCACATCAGTTGACAAGGCCACAGAGTGGTGGCATTCACACGAGTCTGCTGAGACACAGGCTCTGCCACCTCCTCTGGGGTACATGGGCTACCCTGCCATCCCTAGACGGATGCCCCCACTATGCCGGGTCCCTTATGAGACCGTGAGAATGCTGCCTGAATCAGTCGGTTGACCCCTCCCTTCCTGGAACGGAGAGCTGAGTTGAGCGAGAATAAACAAGTGAACTTTATCCAATGGATAAGGTGTTTACAAAATGTGATCAGAGCTTGGAATGAAAGCAGAAGGATGCTGAAACAGCATAGTAGGGTTGGGAGAGGGGAGGATAGACCTGCAGGGTTTCTGCTGCCTCTGGAGGGACACTGGCCCTTTGCTTGGAATCCTCAGCCGCCTAGTTCCCCTTGGAAACACCCTGTCTGGGAATGAAGCCTGGCAGAGGCAAGTGGGTGAGCAAATAAAAAGAGAGACAGTGGAGCAGAGGCTTGGGGAACGGGGGTCAGGGATGGCATCCTTACGAGGGAGGGTCTGGCGTCAAATTGGGGCTCCTCTGGGAGTCTGGTTTCCTAGCTCTTTTGTCCCCTGAATGTCTGGGCCGAAACATCCCAGGCCAGCCCAGCAAAGGGAGGTGGAGCCGCCTGCCGGGCTCCCAGAGTGACTGCAAGGTCTCCTGAATGGAAGTGAGGTTACGTGAGATGTGGACCAGCCACTGGTGGCATGAGGGGCTTCCTTCTTTGAGAGCCAGCACAGGTGGAGGTCGGAAACAGGAGCTCTGGGGTCAGGCTGCCTGGGTTCACATCCCAGCTCTTCTCTTTACCGGCTCTGTCTTCTGGGGCAAATGGCAGTGTGCCTCAGTTTCTTCAGCAGTAAAATGACAATGCCAGTCATCCCAGCTTCGCAGGATTGTTGTGAGGATTGGATGAGTTGATAAGAGATGAATGCCTGTGCACAGCCTGGCCCAGGGAGGGCATTCATCATGATACTGTCCTTGCGATTGTCCTCCCTTCAGAATGGGGCACTGCATGTGACCAAGGACCTGCTGTGGGAGCCGGCAACCCCTGGGCCTCTCCCCATGCTGCCTCCCCTCATCGGTAAGGGTCTCATTCCCCCGGGCTCACTCCACACTGCTCCACCTATTCTTCCCACTGCTCCCGCTCCTGAGACCTTCCTCTCCCTGCTAAGCCTGTGCCTGCTCAGGACCCTTGGATACCTCCAGTCGCCCAGGGCATCTGGCCGCACTCCTGTGCCCTCCCCAGCCCTTTCCGTAACCTCCTTCTCAGATCCCTGGGACCCTGGCCTGACTGCCCGGGACCTGCTTTTCCGCGGAGGGTGCCGGTATCGGAAGCGGCCCCGAGTCGTGCTGGATGTGACTGAGCAGGTGAGTGGGCCCACGGGGGACAGTGCTGCGTAGCCTGGAGACTGTGCTTAGTGACCTGGCCTCCTCTTCTCCCCAGATCAGCCGGTTCCTCTTGGATCATGGAGACGTAGCCTTTGCGCCCCTGGGGAAGCTGATGCTGGAGAATTTCAAGCTGGAGGGAGCGGGGGTGAGTGGCCCGTGACTCCAGGGGTGGGGACTCCCTGCTGTCCTTCAGGGGTGAACTCGAGGGTGTGTGAGCCTGACAAGGCCTTTCCATGCAGAGCCGCACTAAGAAGAAGACAGTGGTCAGTGTGAAGAAGCTGCTCCAGGACCTCGGTGGACACCAGCCCTGGGGGCAAGTGGCTGATGAGAAAGGAGGAGATGGATAGGCATAGCTGGTGGTGGGGATGTAGGAGGTGCTAGGACGCACGTACAGCTTTCCGTCATACCCACTTCCCCCCTGCTCCATGCAGTCTGAGCTGTACTTTCTTATACCAGACTTCCAACTCCAAATCATCTCAGGGGAAAGCAGATTTACATTTGTGGAGTTCAGGCACAGCTGCATCCAGGTGTTCAAATAATGTTCATAGAGCTGTGTCTCTCTTTCCTGTCTCGTCCACTTGCCTCTCCCTGCACAGTTCCCTAGACAGGCTGTCTCTAGGTAGCAGCAAGATGGCTTATGATCTAAGGAAAGAGCCAGTGTCCTTCCTGCGGCACCAGAAGTCCCAGAAAGGACTTTGGTTGGCTTGGCTTGGGTCTCACACCCATCTGTGAACCAGTCACTGTGGCAAGGGCAATGGAATATTGTTGGTGGCCAGGTCTGGGTCACATGATTGCTTCCGGGGCATGGGAACAGGATGGGGTGGTCTCCCAAAGGAAGAAATTCTAGGTAAATAAGAAATGTGTCCACTGCACTTGGCCTCCTTGGGATGGGACCTGTCCTCCCCTGAGTGCCACCGAGTGATCCTCCTGCTGTTCTCTGGTCCCCAGGTGTCCCTGGGCTTACCTCAGCAACCGACAGCGCCGCTTCTCTATCCTCGGGGGCCCCATCCTGGGCACGTCGGTGGCGAGCCACTTGGCAGAGCTGCTGCACGAGGAGCTGGTGCTGCGGTGGGAGCAGCTGCTTCTGGATGAGGCCTGCACTGGGGGCGCGCTGGCCTGGGTTCCTGGAAGGACACCCCAGTTCGGGCAGCTGGTCTACCCTGCTGGAGGCGCCCAGGACAGGCTGCGTATCCTTTCTTGCGAGACAGGAGATTCCAGCGGGCTCGCCTCTGGTAGAGGAGGTGCTCTTGGCATGGTCCAGAGAAGGGCAGGAATTTGGGGGGCTTGCAGTGATCATAGCTCGTGCACTGATCCTTAGTGAGAGGCCCAGATTTCCAAGAGGTCGTTCTGACCCCAGGTGACAATCCCCAATTCCTTGGGAAACCTGGACGCATCCAGCTCCAGGGACCTGTCCGGCAAGTGGTGACATGCACCGTCCAGGGAGAAAGTAAGGCCCTTATATACACTTTCCTCCCTCACTGGCTGACCTGCTACCTGACCCCTGGCCCTTTCCATCCCTCCTCAGCTCTGCTGGCCGTCCGCTCTGACTACCACTGTGCCGTGTGGAAGTTTGGTAAACAGTGGCAGCCAACCCTTCTGCAGGCAATGCAGGTGGAGAAAGGGGCCACGGGGATCAGCCTCAGGTGAGGGGGGTCAGGTTGGTCGGTGAGGAGGGGCTGGAGGCAGGGCTGAGCAGCCCGATGTGAATGCATTCCTGCCCTGTAGCCCTCACCTGCCCGGGGAGCTGGCCATCTGCAGCCGCTCGGGAGCCGTCTGCCTGTGGAGCCCTGAGGATGGGTATCGCCGCTTCCTGTGAAACCCCCCACCCTAACGAACTGAACTCCGCCCTGTTGAGCATGTCGCGACCCTTGAGCCCCTTCCCCATCAGCCTGTCCCCCTGCCCACGGCTTGCCTGTCTCCCCAAGGCTGCGGCAAATCTACAGGGACCCTGAGACCCTCGTGTTCCGGGACTCCTCTTCGTGGCGTTGGGCAGACTTCACTGCGCACCCTCGGGTGCTGACCGTGGGTGACCGCACCGGAGTGAAGATGCTGGACACTCAGGTACGGGCTGGCGGCAGAGGACCCACCCCGACTGCGGGAGCGGCCGCAGAGCGGTGAGTCCCAGGCTGGCTGCGGCCTGGGCGAGGACAGCGTCACCGGCCTGGGACTGTGGGGAGGGCTGACCCTGTGTTTATCTTCCAGGGCCCGCCGGGCTGTGGTCTGTTGCTTTTTCGTTTGGGGGCAGAGGCTTCGTGCCAGAAAGGGGAACGTGTCCTGCTTACCCAGTACCTGGGGCACTCCAGCCCCAAATGCCTCCCCCCTACTCTTCATCTCGTCTGTACCCAGGTGAGTGGCACACAACACCGCCCCGCCCCACCTCTGCTCTGTCTCAGATGGTCACTAGAGGCTGCTGCTTACCAGCGGCTCTGCTGGGCCCAGACAACCACCCAGCAAACCAAACTCAACCCTGGATGAATCTGTGGCCCAAACACGCAGTGGATCCCACAGTCGGTGCTAACAGGCAGGTGGGGAAGCTCTCCCAGGGCCTCCCCTTAGTAGAGCTTCGAGGTGCAGCCAGGGGTGGAGCAGGGGAGGAGGGGCCTCGGGGTGGGGCTTCCGTGCAGAGCTGGAGAGTTTCTGCTGTGCAGGAGGCGGGGGCTCTGAGGAAGCAGGTCTGTCCTCCACCCGCCCTCCCGGGGACATTCGTAGGCGTGCCTCGAGCACAGGCTCCCGGGTCAGGAGAGTGGGGGTGGCTGCGAGAAGGCCAGGCAGGTTTCTGCTGGCAAGGCTCCCCCACACCTCTTCTGAGCACCCCTTTCCCACTTGTTCTGTCTGTCCACCGGACTGTCGGTCAGAATTGGTGAAGGAAGCGGCACCTGTTCAGGGCTGGCAGGTGAAGTCTGAGAGGCACGTGGAGGCTGATGGGAGATGCTGCTGCCCCTCAGGGCTCTGCACTCACCTGGAGAGCCACATGGGGCCTGGAGGGCCACTACACAGCTCAGCTCCCAAGTTCGGCCACATCCCCCTTCCTTCTCGGGCCCCAGTTCTCTCTCTACCTAGTGGACGAGCGCCTTCCCCTGGTGCCGATGCTGAAGTGGAACCATGGCCTCCCCTCCCCGCTCCTGCTGGCCCGACTGCTGCCTCCGCCCCGGCCCAGCTGCGTGCAGCCCCTGCTCCTCGGAGGCCAGGGTGGGCAGCTGCAGCTGCTGCACCTGGCAGGTGAGGGTCCAGGCCAGGGTGGGCGGCGTGTGGGAGATGGGGCGGTCGGGGCCTGGACAGGGCCTCAGCTGTCTGTCCTTCCTCAGGAGAAGGGGCGTCGGTGCCCCGCCTGGCAGGCCCCCCCCAGTCTCTTCCTTCCAGGATCGACTCCCTCCCTGCATTTCCTCTGCTGGAGCCTAAGATCCAGTGGCGGCTGCAGGAGCGCCTGAAAGCACCGACCATAGGTGTGCTGGGTGGGGGAGTGAGCTTGGGGGGCGCAGTGGAAAACATCCCCTCCCCCCGCTAGGCCCTGGAGGTCATTGTCATTCCCGTCACCAGGTCTGGCTGCCGTCGTCCCGCCCTTGCCCTCAGCGCCCACACCAGGCCTGGTGCTCTTCCAGCTCTCGGCGGCGGGAGATGTCTTCTACCAGCAGCTCCGCCCCCAGGTGGACTCCAGCCTCCGCAGAGATGCTGGGCCTCCTGGCGACACCCAACCTGACTGCCATGCCCCCACAGCTTCCTGGACCTCCCAGGACACTGCCGGCTGCAGCCAGTGGCTGAAGGCCCTGCTAAAAGTGCCCCTGGCTCCTCCTGTGTGGACAGCACCCACCTTCACCCACCGCCAGATGCTGGGCAGCACAGAGCTGCGGAGGGAGGAAGAGGAAGGGCAGCGGCTGGGTGTGCTCCGCAAGGCCATGGCCCGAGGGCAGCTCCTGCTGCAGAGAGACCTGGGCTCCCTCCCTGCGGCAGAGCCACCCCCTGCACCCGAGTCAGGCCTAGAGGACAAGCTCAGTGAGCGCCTGGGGGAAGCCTGGGCAGGCCGAGGGGCTGCCTGGTGGGAGAGGCAGCAGGGCAGGACCTCGGAGCCCGGGAGACAGACCAGGCGGCCCAAGCGCCGGACCCAGCTGTCCAGCAGCTTTTCGCTCAGTGGCCATGTGGATCCCTCAGAGGACACCAGCTCCCCTCATAGCCCTGAGTGGCCACCTGCTGATGCTCTGCCCCTGCCCCCCACGACCCCGCCCTCCCAGGAGTTGACTCCGGATGCATGCGCCCAGGGCGTCCCATCAGAGCAGCGGCAGATGCTCCGTGACTACATGGCCAAGCTACCACCCCAGAGGGACACCCCAGGCTGTGCCACCACACCTCCCCACTCCCAGGCCTCCAGCGTCCGGGCCACTCGCTCCCAGCAGCACACACCCGTCCTCTCTAGCTCTCAGCCCCTCCGGAAGAAGCCTCGAATGGGCTTCTGAGGACACAAGGTGGGCTGCCCTCAAGCCCCAGAGAGCCCCTCATCCTTCCTCTGGGACCAGATGTGCCTTCCACAGTTGAAACTTGAGAAGCAGAGCTCGCCACCTTCTGGAGGCCACTGTGATGATGAGCCAAGCAATTTGGAGCCAAGTTGAAGGGACAGGGCAACAAAATACAGTAGTAGTTTCTTTTGTATTTTGTATATTCGCCTGAAGATCATCCCGCAAGGCAGGCTGGAGGTGCCGGTGGGCCTGTGTTGCTGGGATTTTAGTCTGTGCTGGGAGGCAGGGCTCCGCTGCGCCTCAGCTGTGGGGGCCTCAGGCAGGTCCCTCAGTTCTCACGCCTTCCTGTCCAGTGGAATGGGGGCCAGGAGTGCTGGCTCCTCGTGTTTGGTGAGGGTGGAGTGAGGCCCCTGCAGAGCTGCTGATGAGGTGGGCACAGCGGCCGTTGGCAGCTGCTGTTGTGGGTTGCTTTGTCAATCTCTGCCCCGGTCTGATGTTTCCTACAGGGAGATGCCTTGGATCCAGGTTCAGGGACTAAATACACTTGGCAGCTGAAGATGAATTGGAATGGTCACGTTTTTTAGGCTGGACAGCGTCCCGCCACAGCTACTACCTGACACTGAGCTCATGCAGAGAGATGATGGCTGATGTTCCTTCTCCCTTGGGACATGGGTCTGGCACCTGTGGGCTGTCGATAGTGCCCTCTGAGCAGAGGGTCACGGTCATGTCAGTTTGGGGGAATTCTCTGTTGTGCCTCACAGACTCCCCCCTTTCTTTCCTCCCTCCCCTTCTCATTTTGATGTCTAAAGCATCAAGTCCCTCTTCCTCGGAGTTTCTCTAGCTGCAGTGGAAGATTCTGTTTTCCTGTGGGGAAAATGCTCACTTGAGATTTTGCAGGGACCCGGGTCTGTCTGGTTTCTGATGACATAGTAAGAGAAAGGTCTTTTTTCAGGTTGGCTGGTGAAAGGAATTGCATGTGACTCACACAAACAGGAGCTAGCCCAATCATACACTGACTCGCGTGGGTGTTAAAATGTTTATCATGCCTAAGGGAGACATTTATGATTAAACCATTTATGCTACATATAACTGGGGAAAACTATGATGCTTTCGGTGCTGGGAATGCAGTGAGGTCCCACGTGGGCAGAGCTTGGCTGGGCTGGGCAACTCCGACACACGTCTCTGGGGGTGTGGCGGCGCTCTCAGTCGGCACTGTGGAAGGAAGGGTGACCTGTGCTTTCTCCCTGTCACTGTGACTGCAAGGACAGGGGGGCAGCCTTGGGGTTCAGTCCAGGCCAAATTCAGTGTCCTCAACTGGGCGTGGTGGCTCATACCTGTAATCCCAGCACTTTGGGAGGCCGAGGCAAACAGATCACCTGAGGTCAGGAGTTCGAGACCAGCCTGGTCAACATGGTGAAACCCCATCTCTACTAAAAATACAAAGATTAGCTGGGCGTGGTGGCAGGCCCCTATAATACCAGCTACTGGGGAGGCTGAGGCAGGAAAATCCCTTGACGGGTGCCTGTAATCCCAGCTACTTCAGAGGCGGAGGCAGGAGAATTGCTTGAACCTAGGAGGCAGAGGTTGCAGTGAGCCAAGATCACATGACTGCATTCCAGCCTAGGCCACAGTGCGAGACTGTCTCAAACAAAACAAACAAAAACAAATTATTCAACGTCCTCCAGGCCTGCCCCCGCCCGAGGCTGCACGGGCTCCAGCTCAGACTGCACTTTTCTGTGCTGGTTCCTAGAGTGGAAGAGAAGGCCACTCAGTGTTCCCGGGAAATGCACTCAGGCCACTCCCTGCTTCCTGCCTGCAAGTCTGGAGTCAGCCAGGCAGCTGTCTTCAGGAAAAAGCCTGGCCACCGATGCGTGCTGGATGAGAGTAGCACGGTCTGGGCTCCACACAGCCCCCAATTTGGGAGTGCACCTGAAGGCAGATGCTGAATGAAAAAACAGTCCCAGCTTGCTTGTTCTCAGCACTAACCGGCTGCTCCCCAAAACCGCATCTGCCAGGCACATGTACCAGCCTGCAGTATGAGGGGAGGCCCCGGTACATTCAGCATGTTTTTCTGGGTCTTCTGCAGCCAGGCCTCTGGCTGCCGTCCCTGCCTGGTGCCCCTTTGCCCCTTTGCCTTCCCTGCCTTGAAGGCCACTAGGACTGGCCTGTGATTCACCCGGGCCTGGGTCACTGTGAAGCAGCCACGCCCTTGTGTGGCTGTCACCTCGCTTGCCCCACACTCCCCAGCAGTGGTGTTGGTGGTCCCCTCCAAAAGCCCTGGTCTAGAAAGGCTGAGGCCAGGGATGGTGAGGAGGGGGTGGAAATGCACGGTCATTAGGCCCCCGCCCCAGGAGATCTGCATGACCACAGGGGGATTGTGACCCCCACACACAGTCAGACTCGGCTGCCCAAGAGGAGGCTGGCTCGGTGGCTTCCTGGCCCAGGCTGGCTACCAGCAAGTGGCAGCTTCAGACCCGTGAACTCAGGAATGGGACCTTCAGAGGATCTGTGTGGTCTGTCCTGGGTGACCCCTCCAGCAACATGAAAGCTCAGGGTAAGGCTGAGTGACTGCCCTGCCCCACCCATCCCAGGCCGGGGAGCCAACATTGTCTCCACTGTGCTCTCGGCCCCACGCTCTTACCCGGAGAAGAGGCTGCAAGGAAGTCGCTGTCCCTGTCTCCACTGGAAGTGAGTGGTGCAGCATCTCTTTGGCAGGTGGGGGGCATCAGTAGCTGGCCAGAGGGGTCCTCGTCGCTGAGCTCCTGGATCAGGGGTCTTGGGGACTTGGTGTCTTGTTTTCGGATTTCCAAGTCCCTCTTAGCTTCTTTTTTAAAGATGTCTGTGAAGGGCACCCGAGCCGCCTTTGAGGTGTCTTTAGAGACTGCAAATATATTTGACAGAGTGTCTGTGGGGAGGTTTTCCAGCACAGGGAGTGACGTGTAGTCCAGTTCAGGGTCACTGTCATCACTCAAGCTCGAGATGACCTCAATCTTCGGAAAGCACATATTCTATTTACAGAAGAAAAGGTGTCTGAAAGTTTCTGTTTTCACAACAGAATCGCTCTACAATGCACCATGCCAGTTCTGCTTTTTCACCCAATGTCACAAAGTATTCTGTTGCCACATCCAAGAAAGGCCCAAGGGAACACAGGACTCTGAAAGTTAGGCCTGGGGGTGGCCACTCCCTGGGCACAGCTCATGTCTATGCCCTTCTCTCTGCCCTCTGCTCCCCCAGCCACTGGCTATTCCTCACCCTCCTGGTACCTGAGAGGGCGCACCCCTGAGCCCTGGGCTCTGCTTGGCATGCCCCTGAACCCCGTTTCCTTCACAGACTCTCTGGGACTTAGCTCCTTGGACAGCAGGCCCCCCACAGTAACTGTGTCTGTTTTCTTTGCTGCTGAGCTCGTGCTCAGAGATGATGGCTGATGCCTCCTTCTCCCTCAGGGTACGGGTCTGGCACGTGTGGGCTCCTGGTAATGCCAGTAATGGCCTCTGGGTGGAGTAGGGTCACGTCACTCTGAGAGAATTCCCCATTGTGCCTCACAGACTCACCCCTTTCTTTCCCCTCTCCTGTTTTCATTTCCTTCCCCTATATTCAGACAGACATTCATAGGATGGACATAGAAATACATCTTAATGACAGAAAGTACTTTCAGCTAACTATGCACTGTACTCAGCTGTTACAAACCAGCAATAGATTTTCAAGTGGTTCATCATAAAATCTTAAAGAAATTGAACAAGAACAAATGGCATTTCCTTCAGCAAGGTGAAAATATGGGGGATGTGGGCTGGGTGCGGTGGCTCACGCCTGTAATCCCAGCACTTTGGGAGGCTGAGGCGGGTGGATCACTTGAGGTCAGGAGTTCGAGACCAGCCTGGCCAACATGGAGAAACCCCATCTCTACTAAAAATACAAAAATTAGCTGGGCGTGGTGGCTCATGCCTGTAATCCCAGCTACTTGGGAGGCTGAGACAGGAGAATTGCTTGAACCCAGGAGGTGGAGGTTGCAGTGAGCCAAGAACACACTATTGCACTGCAGCCTGGGTGACAGAGCCAGACTCTGCCTGAAAAGAAAAGAAAAGAAAAAGAATATGGGGGAATTCAATGCTTTATGCACAGGGAACATTTTACTTTCAAGTTTAGGAGAGAAACGGTAAACGACAAGAACGAAGGTGGAATTAAGCTGCCTGTGGGAAAATGGTTTCTAATGACCTTAACCTGGTCTTCCAGAGATTTGCCTGTTTCATCATCATCTTCCAAGTCAGGTAGGTCCTGAAAGAGCAAGTGAGCCGCACATCACCAGGGAGGTACACGCACTGTCAACGTTCTGATAGGCACGATAAAGGCAAACACGCAGTCAACCCAGCCTTAGTTACAGTTACTCAAATCACTCAGGTGACTCGCCTGCCTGTTCCCCACCAAAAGGAACTCTAGATACACACAAAGCAAGCGTTGCCACCTCAGGTGTCTGGATCTAATAAATGAAAGGGAACTTGCAAGGTGTGACGTGTTTAAAGAATTTCCACATCTTTTTTCTGCTTTTTTATTAAGAGACACAGCCAGTTCATCTTGGGGGAAATAATGGGACCCAAACCAAATGCACCTCTGTACAAACTAGTCCGAAAACTCTATGTGGTATAAAAGTAATATATTTTGTACCTCCCCAAAACTTGTAGGACTTTTTTGTTTTGTATTGTGGGTGTTTGTTCGGTATCTTTGTCCATAACAACCAGTGCGTGGTTGGGGAGGCAGCATAGTGTGTGGTTGGATGCATGAACTGGAGCCACGGTGCCTAGGTTGTTACTCCCCCACCACCATTTTCTAGCTGTCTGGCTTTGGGCAAGTTGCCTAACCTCTCTGTTTCTCATTTTCCTCATCTGGGAAATTGGGATGATAATAGTATGTACTGCTTAGAGTTGTAGGAAGGGTTACATCAATCAATACAAGTCATGCTTAGAATGGTGTCACCCATATAATAAGAAACCAATTAACATTAGCTATTAGTGTTGTAGTTATCTATATGGTCAGTTCTCAAATGTGAGAGATAAATTGCCCAATTATGTCCCTTTCTTTTTCTTTTTTTTGAGACAGAGTCTCGCTGTGTTGCCCAGGCTGGAGTGCAGTGGTGAGATCTTGGCTCACTGCAACCTCCGCCTCCCAGGTTCAAGCAGTTCTCCTGCCTCAGCCTCCCGAGTAGCTGGGATTATAGGCACCTGCCACCACGCCCAGCTAATTTTATTTTTTTTATTTTTTATGTTTTTGTATTTTTAGTAGAGATGGGGTTTCACCATGTTGGCCAGGCTGGTCTCAAACTCCTGACTTCATGTGATCCACCCACCTTGGCCTCCCAAAGTGCTGGGATTACAGGTGTAAGCCTCCACACCTGGCCTTTGTTTCTTTTTTTTACATAGCTCCAGAAAACTAGAAACCCACTGTGAATTCTGACCGTGATCACTTTAACTCTTTTTTTCTTTTTTGAGATGGAGTCTCGCTCTGTCGCCCAGGTTGGAGTGCAGTGGCGTGATCTCGGCTCACTGCAAGCTCCACCTCCCAGGTTCCTGCCATTCTCCTGCCTCAGCCTCCCAAGTAGCTGGGACTACAGGTGCCCATCACCACACCTGGCTAATTTTTTTCTATTTTTAGTAGAGATGGGTTTTCACCATGTTAGCCAGGATGGTCTCGATCTCCTGACCTCGTGATCCAGCCACCTCGGCCTCCCAAAGTGCTGGGATTACAGGCGTAAGCCACCATGCCTGGCCGATCACTTTAACTCCTACTGGGCCATGTGAAATTCTGAAGTTTGAACATTAGAAACACCAGTTTAGAAGAAGTTTAACAAGGAAGTGGGCAGGGGACCACCTCTCCAAGGTATAAGGTCAGAGGTACCCAGAAATGCCTCTCCTATTCGTGCCCCATCAAAGGACAGTTCTTGGGGGGTTGTGAGACAATGTGTGAATTCCCATGGTACCATTCTTGTGGGCCTAAGCATTTGAGACTGTCAACAAAATGGGAAGAGCTTCAGGGAAGAGTGACAGGCAAGGCTGCGATCAAACATTCACTCAAGGGGATGGGACACTGAACCGTCACACCTCCATGAGCCAGAAGGCCAGTGAGAGCCTAAGCTACCTGCTGGGCGGTGTCCACGGAGGGGGGAAAAGATACAATGTATAAAGATACAATGTAACTGATGATACAATGTAACTCTCACCACGAATTTGGATAAGGCAACTAGTCAGAACCACTTAGCAAGATAGCTTCTTTGGCAAAAAGGAATCAAGAGTTTGGTAGACATGGTTCAAGGGTAGCGATTTGGGTCAGGGCTCCCCAAACTTGAGCATGCATGTGCACGAATCACCTAGGGCAGTGCATGAAAGTTGGATTCTAATCAGTGGGCCTGGGGTGAGGCCTGGGAGTCTGCATTTCTAACCAGCGCCCCAGAAATGCCAGGCCTGCCGGCCCAAGGACCACACTTGGGGTATCGAGGGTCTCCAAAGTCTGCATCTGATTACCTATTTTACTAACAGTAAAACTGATACTTATCTCCAAGATTAAATACTTCATGTACATCAATGCAGAATGTCTCCTTTGTCTCCAGTCTAATGGTTTCTAAATCTTCCGTTCTCGTTCCATCAAGTTCTGTAACGAATACACCCTCAGTGGCCACAGCCTGGGGAGTCGGTTCTAAAGAGCAACAACAAGTCTTGGAGTTAGTTTAACACACGGCAGGCAGATGGACGAGCCTACGGTGAAGATGGGCTCCCAAGGGCCGGGCTCGGTGGCTCATGCCTGTAATCCCAACACTTTGGGGGGCCAAGGTGGGCGGATCACAAGGTCAGAAGTTTGAGTCCAGCCTGGCCAACACAGTGAAACCCCCGTGTCTATTAAAAATGCAAAAATTAGCCAGGTGTGGTGGCGGGCACCTGTAGTCTCAGCTACTTGGGAGGCTGAGGCAGGAGAATAGCTTGAACCTGGGAGAGGGAGGTTGCAATGAGCCGAGATTGTGCCACTGCACTCCAGCCTGGGTGATAGAGCGAGACTTCATCTCAAAAAAAAAAAAAAAAGACAAAAACCCTCCTCAGGGCCCAAAGGCCAGCCTCCATGACAAACACGGCAGCTCACCACAGGCTTCTGTCTGCTGGAAAAAGAACGGAACGGCTGCCCTTTTCTGTAATCTGGAGGCGAATCCCATGAGATGAAGAGCACCGGCCAGGAGTCAAAGCAGCAGCCGCAGGAATCTTGGAAATGGCAGCCGACTGCAGGGTGACAAGGGATGCCAGCAGGGGCGACTCGCTCAGAGACGGAGGGGCAGGCTTCACAGCCCACCGCCAGCCTGTCCCTCAGCCAGGCACACGCCCCTCCTGCTGCACCAGGGTCAGAGCTTGTGCAGTTTCATAACTGTGAGATCGCCTGAGGAATGTGGAATCGCGAGGAGCCCCTTCCTCATCCAGGCCCCTACTTTTCCTTTTTATTTACTTATTTTTATTTTGTTGATACAGGGTCTCACTCTGTCACCCCGGCTGGAGTGCAGTGGTGCAATCTCAGCTCACTGCAGCCTCGACCTCCCATCCCCTTCCCCTCCCACCTCAGCCTCCCAAGTAGCTGGGACTACAAGTGGTCACCACTATGCCCAGCTAATTTATTGTTTTTTGTAGAGGCTTGGGGGTTGCGGGGAAGGGGGCTTCTCACTATGTTGGCCAGGCTGGTCTCGAACTCCCGGCCTCAAGCAATCTGCCTGCCTCGGCCTCCCACAGTGCTGGGATTACATGTGTGAGCCACCTCGCAAGGCCTGCCCCTACTTTTCCCCCGGGCTGTATCCTTGGGTCCTGTGCTCTGATCCCTCCATTGCTCTCGGGGCTTCGTTTATGTCAGAGATGAATGGCCTACCTTTCACCAGTAAAAAGTTACCGTTCAGCCATGTCAAATACATACTGGATTTTGATGACTTAATTTTTGAAAAAAGTAAAATAGCTCACTGATAATTTTTATATTGATTCCATGTTAACATGATTATATTTTTTATATATTGCGTTAAATTAAACATGTCATTAATAGTTTTACTGTTTTTTTACTTTTTACTTTTTAATTAATTTATTAATCAATTTATTTTTTGAGGGAGGGTCTCACTCTGTCACCCAGGCTGGAGTGCAGTGGCACAATCTTGGCTCACTGCAGCCTCAACCTCTGGGGCTCAAGCAATCCTCTTGCCTCAGCCTCCTGAGTAGCTGGGACTACAGGGGCACACCACAATTCCCAGCTAATTTTTGTAGTTTTGGTAGGGATGAGGTCTCTGTATTTCTGAGGCTGGTCTGAAACTCCTGGCCTCAATCAGTCCTTCTGCCTTGGCCTCCCAAAGTTCCTTTTGCTTTTTTAAATAGAGCTATTAGAGAATCTAGTAGTGGCTCCTGTTCCATTTCTGTTGGGCAGCCCTGTTCTAGAAAACAAGATAACTAGTGTCCATTATCTTCTAGAAACAGCAATACAGAAGAAGTGAAACTCAGGCCCCAGGTCCCACAGAGACGTGAGTCGAAGGCTGGGGCTCCCTGAGAGGTGTGTGTGTCTGTGTGTGTTTCTCCGCTCACATTACCTTCCCTGGCAGCTCCCAGGGGCGGTGGTGGTGGGGCCTCAGCTGGGAGGGTCCCCTCTGGCTCTCGATCTCCATCCTCTCCTTTAACCTTCACAGGCGGTGACAGTAGCAGGGTCTCAGCTGGGAGGGTCCCCTCTGGCTCTTGATCTCCATCCTCTCCTTTAACCTCCACAGGTGGCGGGGGTGGTGGGGCCTCAGCTGGGAGGGTCCCCTCTGGCTCTCCATCTCCGTCCTCTCCTTTAACCTCCACAGGTGACGACAGTAGCAGGGTCTCAGCTGGGAGGGTCCCCTCTGGCTCTGGACCTCCATCCTCTCTTTTAGCCTCCACAGGCGGCTCCTCTCCACTTGGCTTTTCCGGGCAGAGCTCGTCCTTGGCCTCAAAGCTTTCCTTAACAAATAGCTCCATCTTCTGCCTTGTTTCTCTGTCCCCGGGAGGCTCCTCCTTGCCTTCCGCACTGGCGGGCACATTCTCACCATCATCTGAAGATGTCATCTCCCCTAATGGCAGAAAATGCAAAGGTGAATGTGGGAGTGTCCTGGGAGGACAAGGGTGTTTGTGGGTACATCAAGGGCTCACAGCAAACTTCTGAGACCAGGGAAAAGGTCAGGAACACAGTTAAAAAAGTGTCCTCAAGGGGCTGGGCGCGGTGGCTCGTGCCTGTAATCCCAGCACTTTGGGAGGCCGAGGAGGGTGGATCACTTGAGGCCAGGAGTTCAAAACCAGGCTGGCCAACATGACGAAACCCCATCTCCACTAAAAATACAAAAAATTACTCGGATGTGGTGGCACGTGCCTGTAGCCCCAGCTACTCAAGAGGCTGAGGCAGGAGAATCGCTTGAACCTGGGAGGTGGAGGCTGCAGTGAGCCAAGATCGCGCCACTGCACTCCAGCCTGGGAGACAGAGCGAGACTCTGTCTCCAAAAAAAATTATAAATAAATAAGGAACATAGTTTAAAAAGTGTCCTCGAGGCGCTGGGCATGGTAGCTCATGCTTGTAATCCCAGCATTTTGGGAGGCCCAGGCAGGTGGATCATTTGACATCAGGAGTTCAAAACCAGCCTGACAAACATGGTGAAACCTCATCTCTAGTGAAAAAAAAATACAAAAAAATAATAATAGCTGGGCGGGGTGGCACATGCCTATAATCCCAGCTACTAGAGAGACTGAGGCAGGAGAAGCGCTTGAACCCAGGAGACAGAGGTTGCAGTGAGTCACCGCATTGTAGTCTGGGTGATGAAGTGAGACTCTCTAAAAAAAAAAAAAAAAAAAAAAAAAAAAGTATCCTTGAGGGATGTTCATTAGTGTTGTTTATAATGGATAATAATGGGAGCCAAATGCCTACGGAAGGCACTGCCAAGCACAGCCCTTTAATGGAACAGGTCACAGCTATCAAGAAAATAGAATGCAGGCAGTTCTTAGGAGATGCACGCTGAAGCACTGGGGGTTTAAGGGCTGTGACGTTTGCCTTTATCTTCAAATGGTTCAGGGGAAAAGCAAAGTGTGTGTGTGTGTGTGTGTGTGTGTGTGTATGTGGCAAATGTGTAGCAAATTATGAAAAACCACAGAATCTATTAATAAATGCAGACATACAGCTATCCGTTTTACTATTCTTTCAGCTTTTCTGAAAATTTTTAACATTTCAAAACAAAAAGTTAGGAAAAGACAATATATGCAGTAAGAAAATGTCTATTGTATGGAAAATAGTTATAGTATGCTAATTCAAAAGACTAGACAGGAAGCAACATATTTCTGCCATTTTTATATAAAAATGTATGTGTGGCCAGGTGCAGTGGCTCACGTCTGTAATCCCAGCACTTTGGGAGGCCGAGGCGGGAGGACTGCTTGAGGCCAGGAGTTCGAGACCAGCTTGGCCAACATAGCAAGGCCCTGTCTCTAAAAAATAAAAATAAAAATATTAGTCAAAGGTGTTCACACCTTAATGTCAGAATATGAATACGTTACCTTACACGGACAAAGGAACTGTGCAGATGTGATTAGGATCTAGAACCCTGAGATCAGGAAATTGTCCTGGGTTATCCAGGCAGGTTCAAAAGAATCACAAGAGCCCTCAGAATAGGGAGGCAGGAGCGTCAGAGTCAGAATGAGGCTGGAAGATGCCACACTGCTGGCATGGAAGTTGGAAGAAGGGGCCACGAGCCAGGGAACGCAGGCGGCCTCTAGGAGGTGAGAAAGGCAAGGAAGCGGGTTCTCCCCTGGGGCCCCCAGAAGGTACACAACCCTGAGACACCTCGATTTTAGCTCAGTGAAACCCATTTTGGGCTTCTGACCCACAGAACTGCAATAGGGTAAAACAGATTTGTGGGGTTTTTTTTTTTTTGAGATGGAGTTTCGCTCTTGTCGCCCAGGCTGGAGTGCGATGGTGCGATCTCGGCTCGCTGCAACCTCTGCCTCCCAGGTTCAAGCAATTCTCCTGCCTCAGCCTCCCAAGTAGCTGGGATTATAGGCTTGTGCCACCACGCCCAGCTAATTTTTTCTATTTTTAGTAGAGACGGGGTTTCTCCATGTTGTTCAGGCTGGTCTCCAACTCCTTACCTCAGGTGATCCACCCGCCTCAGCCTCCCAAAGTGCTGGGATTACAGGCATGAGCCACCACACCCGGCCAGATTTGTATTCTTTTAAGCCACTAATTTTGTGGTAATTTGTTGTGGCAGCTGTGAAATTACAAGATACATAGATCTCTGAAACAGAGCTCCTAAAACCCCTGTACATAGGGGTGCTAGGAGGCTCTTTTGTTCTAATATTTGGTCTTCAACCCCAGTTTCCTGACACAGAGCTCCTAAGACCTGCATCCAGAGTGACAGGCACATCTTTTGTTCGAATGGGGCGGCTCTTGGGGGTGGGGTGGCTTCTGGAGCACAGAGACCAAGCCATGATAAGAGGCTTGGAGCTTTCAGCTGGGGCTTCAGAGAGGGCAGAGGGGCTGGAAATGGAGCTAATCATCCATCATGCCCACGTGCTGGAGCTTCTGGAAAACCCCCTAAACTGTGGGGTTCAGAGAGCTTCCAAGTTGCTGAACACTGGAGTTACCTGGAGCGGGGTGTGGCCAGAGAGGGTATGAAGCTCCGCCCCTTCCCACAGACCCTTCCCTAAGCTCCACTTCATCTTGCTGTTCATCTGCATCCCTTATTTTATCCTTTATTAATATAATAACCCAGAAAATATAAGTGTTCTCTGGAGTTCTGTGAGCCATCATAGCAAATTATCAAACCCAAAGAGAGGGTCATGGGAACCCTAATTTTATAGCCATTCTGTTAGAAGTACAGGCGACACCCTGAGACTCGCGGTTGGCATTGGAAGTGGAGAGTCATCTTGCGAGACCATTGCCCATCACTTGTGCGGTTAGTGTCAGGATGGAAATGAATTGCAGGACAGCCGGCTGGTGTCAGAGAATTGGTGGGTGTGGGGACACCCTGCACATTGCGTGACCACAAGTGTGCTGAGTGTTGAGAGTGTGGGAGAAGAAAACAACCTATTTGAGTTTTCCTACTTTCAGCAGCCGCAGAAAACTAATACATCATTTATTTTGAAAAACTGTTCCAATCAGTAAAAGTGGTTTGAAACAGCTCATCACTGTTTGAGGTTCTCACTGGTGCTGGCAGGTAGGTGAGGCCAACTGCAGATGGATCTGCAGGTTGTGAGGAAATGGTTTTAAAAAAATCCCTGGCCAGGTGCAGCAGCTCATGCCTATAATCCCAGCACTTTGGGAAGCCAAGGTGGGTGGAGCACTTGAGCCCAGGAGTTTGAGACCAGCGTGGGCAACATAGTAAGACCCCATCTCTACAGAAATTCTTTTTTTTAATTAGCTAAGCATGGTGGTGCACACCTGTAGTCCCAGCCACTTAGGAAGCTGAGGTGAGAGGATCACTTGAGGCAGAGGTTGCAGTGAGCCAAGATTGTGCCACTGCACTCTAGCCTGGGCAACAGAGTAAGATCCTGTCCCAACCAAAAAAAAAAAAAAAAAAAAGAAAAAAAGAAAATCCAAGGCTGGGCACAGTGGCTCACGCCTGTAATCCCAGCACTTTGGGAAGCCAAGGCAGGCAGATCACTTGAAGCCAGGAGTTCGAGACGAGCCTGGACAACATGGCGAAATCCCATCTCTACTAAAAATACAAAAACTAGCCAGGCATGGTGGTACGTGCCCATAATCCCAGCTCTGGGGAGGCTGAGGCACGAGAATTGCTTGAACCCGGGAGACAGAAGTTGCAGTGAGCCAAGATCACACTGCTGCACTCCAACTTTGCAACCTCAGTGACAGAGCAAGACTCTGTCTAAAAAAAAAAAAAAAAAAAAAAAAAAATTCCCAAGATTAAAGACTGGGTTTGAGAGCTTAGACTTGCCTAATCTCAAAGGAACTCTGGGGCTGTTGTCTTCGGCCGAGCGCATACCTCTCTCTTGACTCTCTCTCTGTCTTTTCCTCTCCTCTGCCCGCTGCTTGATCATGGCCAAGGCTTCAATGCTGTCTGTGATCTTCTTCCGCTCCCTGCTCTCCCACTGCTGTCTCTCCTCCTTTTCAGCTGCGTACCCTCCCCTAGCCCAGGCCTCCGCACAAGCTCTGTTTAAAAAACAAAGAAACATAAATAGGGGAGGTGAACTCCAAACATACACTGTCTGATCAACTTGCTCATTTTCTTCAAAATCAAAGCAAAGTGAGCATCAGACATGTGACTGCAAGGATAAAAGTTCCACATGTAAATTTTATTATTTAAGGTGGAACAGTCTGCAAAGCCTTCTTAGATGTGGCACCAAAAGCACAAGTGACAAGAGAAAAAATAGAGAAATCGGACTCCATCAAAATTAAAAATTTTTGTCATGCAAAGTATACCATAAATAAAGTATTATTTTAAAAAACCAGCAGGGCACAGTGGCTCATGCCTGTAATCCTAGCACTTTGGAGGCCAAAGTGGGAGGACCACTTGAGCCCAGGAGTTCGAGATCAGCCTGGGCAACATAGCAAAACCCTGTCTCTACTGAAAAAAAGTAAAAAGACAACTCAAAGAATGTGAGAAGATACTTGCAAATCATATATTTGATAAGGGTCTTGTACCTGGAAAATATAAATAAGCCTCACAACTCATTAATAAAAAGATGACACAATTTCAAAATGAGCAAAGTTTTAAAAAAATGAAAAGGCAGGCTACAGACTGGGAGAAAATATTTGCAAAAAAAGATAACTGGGAAAGGGCTTGGATCCAAAACATACAAAGAACTTTTGAAATTCAAAGATAAGGAAACAACGCAATAAAAAACTGGGCAAATGATCAGGGTACCTCACCAAAAAAGATATAGAGATGGCAAATAAGCCTGTGAAAAGATGCTCCACATCACGTGTCCTCAGGGAAATGCAAATTAGAACAATAAGATAACATGATATGGCTACAAGATGGCTAAAATCCAAAACACGGCAACGCTGCGCTAATGAGGATGTGGAGTCCCGGCAACGCTCACTTGTTCTAGGTGGGAATGCGAAATGGTACAGCCACTTTGGAAAATGGTGTGGCGGATTCTTACGGGACTAAAAATACTCTCACCATATGATCCAGCAATTGTGCTCCTGAGTATTTACTCAAATGAGTTGAAGACTTATGTCCACACGCAAACCTGCACATGGACGTTTACAGCAGTTTTATTCTAATTGGCAAAAACTAGAAGTGACCAAGATGTCTTTTAGTAGGTGAATGGATAAACAAACTCTGGCACACCCAGACGGAGGAATATCACTCAGCAATGAAAAGAAACAAGCTGTCAAGCCACACAAAGTCATGGAAGAAGCCTAACTTCCTTGCTAAGTGAAAGAAGCCAGTCCATAAAGGCTATATGCTGTAGGATTCCAGCTATATGACTTTCTAGATAAGGCAAAACCATGGAGACAGCAAAAAGATCAGTGTTGCCAGAAGTTGGGGCTGAGGAGGTAGGAGGGATGAAGAAGCAGAGCACAGAGGGTTTTAGGGCAGTAAAACTATTCTGTGAGATACTGTGATGGGGGATACAGGACATGATACCTTTGTCCGAACCCATACAGTGTGCAACACCAAGTGTGAGCCCTAAAGAAATGATGGACTTCAGTCAATAATAAGGTACCAGCATTGCTTGATCGCTTGTCACAAACGTACCACACGAATGTAAGACGTTACAAATAGGGGAAACAGTGAGGGCGGGTGGTATATGGAAACTCTCTCTACTTTCTGCTCAATTTTTCAGTAAATCTAAAACTGCTCTGAAAATAAAGTCTAGGCCAGATGCAGTGGCTCATGCCTGTAATCTCAGCACTCTGGGAGGCCAAGATGGGCAGATGGCTTGAGCCCAGGAGTTCCAGACCAGCCTGGGCAACATGGCAAGACCCCGTCTCTACAAAAAGCACAAAAACTAGCCAGGCATGGTGGTGCACACCTGCAGTCCCAGCTACTCAGGAGGCTGAGAGGTGGGAGGGTTGCTTGGTGACAGAGCAAAACGCTGTCCCCCACAAAAAAAAAAAAAAGTCTATTAATTTTTTAAAAATCAGCAAAGAAACTGAACAGGCATTTATCCAAAGAAGATATAAAAACTGCCAATAAGTACATGAAACGTGCTCAACATCATTATCTACCAGGGAAAAGCAGATGGAAACCACAATGAGACACCACTGCATACCATCCAGAGGACTAGAAATAAAAAGACAGGGCTGGGTGCGGTGGCTCACACCTGTAATCCTAGCACTTTGGGAGGCCGAGGTGGGTGGATCATGAGGTCAAGAGATTGAGACCATCCTGGCCAACATGGTGAAACCCTGTCTCTACTAAAAATAGAAAAATTAGCTGGGTGTGGTGGCAGATGCCTGTAATCCCAGCTACTAGGGAGGCTGAGGCAGGAGAATTGCTTGAACCTGGGAGACAGAGGTTGCAGTGAGCTCAGATCTCACCACTGCACTCCTGCCTGGGCGACAGGGCAAGACTCCATCTTAAAAAAAAAAAAAAAGAAAAAGAGAGAGAGAGAGGAAAAAAAAGACAGGCAACCCGAAGTGTTGGTGAGGATACGGGAAAATTGGAACCTTCCTACACTGCTGATGGGGATGTAAAATGGTGCAGCTGCTTTGGAAAACCATGTGGTGTCTCCTCAAAAATTAAATGTAAAGTCCCTGTATGACCCAGAAATTTCACTCCTAGATACATACCCAGGAGAAGACAACAGCTGTCCACACAAAAACTTCATTATTCACAACAGGCAAAAAGTGAAAACAACCCTAATTTCTGAAAGTTGATGGACAAATACAATGTAGTGTATCAAAATGCAGTATCATTTGGCAATAAAAAGGAATGAAGTACTGGATGGAACACGCTGCATCGCAGATGAACCTTGACAACAGGATGCTGAGTGAAAGAAACACAGGGCCACATGGTGAGTGACTCCATTTATATGAAATGTCCAGAACGAGCAAATCAACAGAGAGGGAAAGCAGAGGAGTGGCTGCCAGGGCCTTCAGGGAGCGAGAAATAGGGGGTTGGCTGCTAATGGGGATGGTATTTCTTTTTTTTTTGTTTTTTTGAGACAGTCTCCCACTGTCACCCAGGCTGGAGTGCAGTGGCGTGATCTTGGCTCACTACAACCTCCGCCTCCCGGGTTCAAGCGATTCTCTTGCCTCAGCCTCCCAAGTAGCTGGGACTACAGGCGCCCGCCACCACACCCAGCTAATTTTTGTATTTTTAGTAGAGATGAGGTTTCACCGTGTTGGCCAGGATGGTCTCAATCTCTTGACCTGGTGATCTGCCCGCCCCCGCCTCCCAAAGTGCTGGGATTATAGGTGTGAGCCACCATGCCCATCCAGTATTTCCTTTTTAGGGTGATGAGAATGTTCTAAAATTGATTGTGGTGATGGTTGCACAACTCTGTGAATATACTCAAAGCCATTGCATTGTACACTTTGTTTTTTATTTTTATTTATTTATTTTTTTTTGAGAGGGAGTCTCCTGACCTCAAGTGATCCACCCACCTCAGCCTCCCAAAGTGCTGGGATTACAGCCGTGAGCCACCACATCCAGCCACATTGTACACTTTAAATACGTAAACTGTATGGTATGTGAATTATGCCTCAACAAAGTTGTTATTTGAAAAACAAAGTCTGGTGGTTTAAAAACAGGAGGCTTACCTTAAGAGAGAAGAAGCAGATCCCTGCTGTAAAATCAAAGGTACAGGTGTTTGGAAATAGTCAGACAGGGTGTTGCAAAGTATACTATAGCAGAGAAAGACCACGAGTCACTGAGACAGAATATGCCAAGGAGAATAAACCATGTTCCAGTCCATTTACCACACAGTAAGAAATCCTCAGACCCTTTGATCTCAGAGCAGACAGCCAGCAAAGGCCTATCTGTTGCCTGCTACATGCCAGTCACCATTCTAGAGGCTGGGGACCCAGCAGTGAATGTAAGAGCTGATCTCTGTTAGAGGAGCCCTTTTAGTCGGGGAAGACAGACCCTAAACAAAGAAATGAGTATATGTCAGAGACTCATGTGTCCTAAAAGGAAATCAAATCAGGCCGAAGAGACATCAAGTGGAGAAGGTACTATTTAGATAGGTCATGGAGAGTGCTCTAATAAAACGACAGATGAGCAGATACCTGCTGCATCCTAGATGACAGCAAGTGCCCAGTGTCAAACAATTAGTCAGTGGCTGGATTAAGATTCAATGCCAGGGGTGTGGTGGCTCATGCCTGTGAGGCTTTCGGAGCCTCAGAGCTTTGGGAGGCCAACGCAGGAGGATCACTTGAGGCCAGAAATTTGAGACTGGCCTTGACAACATAGTGAGACCCCCATCTCTACAAAAAACTTAAAAATTAGCTGGGTTTGGTGGTGCACGCCTGTAATCTCAGTTACTTGGGAGGCTTGTGTGAACCCAGAGTTTGAAGCTGCAGTGATTGCACCACTGCACTCCTGCCTGGGTGACAGAGTGCAACCCCGTCTCTAAAAAGAGACTCAAGCCAGGTTAATCTGACTCCTGAGCTGGAGTCTTGGGCTATGCTCTAAAGGGCGGTGGCTCCTATTGCTAACATCCATGTTACTTTCCTCAGCATGGCCCCTGGGGCGGGAGCAGGATCTTCAGTGGCAGCTGCTCCTACTGGTTCACTCCTAGGAGCCCAGCACCTGCTCGGAGTCCTGCATGTTGCTCACAGGCGCTCACAGGGACCCTGTGGCAACAGTATTCTCATCCCCACGCTGCAGATGAGGAACGTGCGCCCAGGGAGGTGAGGGAGCTCCCCCAAGGGTGTAACGTAGCTCGTGGCTGCAGAGCTGGCTTGGGAGTCAGACCCCTGCACACTGGCTGCTCTCCCCGTCCTTACCACCCCCAGACCTGGGGCCCAGGGAGCTGCGTCAATTTCTGTTGAACCTCCCAGGAGCAGGCCTTCTGGTTTTCTTTTTTTTTTTTTTTTTGAGACGGAGTCTCGCTCTGTTGCCCAGGCTGGAGTGCAGTGGCGCGATCTCAGCTCACTGCAAGCTCTGCCTCCCGGGTTTATGCCATTCTCCTCCTCAGCCTCCACTCGAGTAGCTGGGACTACAGGCGCCCACCACCACGCCCGGCTAATTTTTGTGTACTTTTAGTAGCGACGCGGTTTCACCGTGTTAGCCAGGGTGGTCTCGATCTCCTGACCTCGTGATCCGCCCGCCTTGGCCTCCCAAAGTGCTGGGATTACAGACATGAGCCACCACGCCCGGCCCTGGTTTTCTTACCTGGCTAAAGTGGAAGCTCTATTTGAAATATTTGTTAGTTTGATTTAAATTTGTGAGTTTAAAAACACATTACAAGCTACATTTATTTTAAATGTTGTATAATGCAAAATTCGGATTATACATCTCGTCAAGTAGCCTATATGACTGATATTTTATTCTAATTAGAATTACTAAATTGATCTAAATTTAAAAGTAAGTTAAAAACACATATAAAAGCAGTGATGATAAACATGGCAGTCCAGGGTACGATGTTCCTGATATTAAAGAAGCCCTTACAAATCGGTAAGAGAAGCACTTCAAAAAGAAACTTGGAAAAAGTCACTGACAGAATATTCATAAAGGAGGAACTATAAGTGTCCAATAACAATGAAGAAAATGCCCAACTTCATCAATTATCCAAAAATGGCAATTTAAAACAATGGGGTACGATCTTCACCCATCAACAAACTTGGCAAAGATTTCCTTTCATGGTTATGTTATGTGAGGTTGTAAATTGGTACAAACTCTCTAGAAAACAACTAGAAAATATTTGTAAGGGTTTTTACAAAGTCTGAAACCACTTTCTTCAATGCAGTGATACTACTCCAAAAATTCCATTCCAAGGAACTCATCAGCAAAGAGGTAAACGACTGATACAAAGATATTTATCAAAGGAATATAAAAAAATCTATGAATAAGTGCTCAAATTCCCATTATAGTCAATTATGTAGCCATCAAGCCTATTTCCAAAGAACATTTTTGATATGTGAAATTTCTCAAGAATCAGAAATTTAAAAAGTTTAATATTAAGCATGGTCAACTACTAAATATTAAAATGTGATCAGAAGGCTTTTCTCTTCTTACCTGTCCTTTGGAAACACTGGTCTATCATCCAGGTATGTTAAGTGCTTTAGTCGTACAGTGACTGTCCTTCTGTAATTAGGAATCTGTCTGATAACCGGGTTTCCCATCAAATTCAGTACACGCTGCAAGAAGACAAGCAGAACCAAAATGATTACTGAAAGATGCGATTGAATTATTTTATATGTGCTGTGCACTAAGAATAAATGAACAAAATCTATTTTTTGAGCAAAATAGAAGTGCCAATATCCTGTCCTGGTGACTTGATGGGAGAAATCGGAAGGTTTCCATTGCTCTCACGCTATCAGAGCTGTCTAGATCATTCAGCAGCCCTTTCTTCCACATGAACTTCAGATCTTAGATCTCATCGTCCCTCCAGAACAATACTGGAAAACATTTCCTGAGGCTTTTTCTGAGTGCAGTTGATTATATTAGTTTTGCTACCCAACCTCTTTTACTGAAATGAATCTCTGCCTAATTGATTGTTTTCTTTTCTTCCCAGCCAGGATCCATTTTACCAAAACGCACACAGCCGCTAGACAGAGAAGCAGCAGTGACTAAGGGAAAGGATGGGGAGTGCCCGCTTACCTCTGCTGAGTGCCGCAGGATGGACGGCCCTTCTTCCTCGGCTTACAGCTCTCCCCGCTGTCACTTAGGACCAGGGAGGAGGAAGGGGCTCGGCAATCCGACCTGCCATCCTCCCCCATCTTTAAATACTGTCTCTTCCTCTACTGCCTTAAGAAACTCAAAGAAGTTTAATGCTTAGTGGGGCTGGGCATGGTGGCTCACTCCTGTAATCTCAGCACTTTGGGAGGCTGAGGTGGGTGGATCACTTGAGGTCAGGAGTTCGAGACCAGCCTGGCCAACATGGTGAAACCCCATCTCTACTAAAAATACAAAAATTAGCTGGGCGTCATGGTGAGCACCTGTAATCCCAGCTATTCATGGGGCCTGAGGCAGAAAAATCACTTGAACCCAGGAGGGGGAGGCTGTAGTGAGCTGAGATTATGCCACTGCACTCCAGCCTGGGTGACTAAGCGAGACTCCATCTCAGAAAATAAAAAAAGAAGTTGAATGCTTAAGGCAACATGAGGGTGAACCATTTCAAAATGTGGTTACCCTGCACAGGGTGGGGTGGTGGGAGCAATACACCCAGGCAGCAATAAAGGGGTAAACGGTGTTGGGAGGATTTAAAAGCAGTCACGAAACAACTATTAACATAAAGCAACCTGCTTTCGTTCTGGGCTGAATTGTGTCCTAATCAAAATTCACATGTTAAAGTCCAAACCCTCAGCACCTCAGAATGTGACTGTATTTGGAGATAAGACTTTTAAAACCACGATGAAGTTGAAATGAGCCCATTAGGGTGGGCCGTAATCCAATCTGACTGGTGTCCTTAGAAGAAAAAAGTAGGACACAGAGAACACACGGCACAGAGGGAGGGACCATGTGAGGACCCAGGGAGAAGACGGCCATCTACCAGCCAAGGAGATGCCTCAGGAGAACCCAGCCCTGCCCACACCTTGCTCTTGACTTTCAGTCTCCAGAATCATGAGAAAATAAGTTTCTTTTTTGTTTTTGTTTTTTTTTGGAGACAGAGCCAGACTCTGCCTGTCTCCCAGGCTGGAGTGTAGTGGCGCGATCTCGGGTCGCTGCAAGCTCTGCCTCCCAGGTTCGCGCCATTCTCCTGCCTCAGCCACCAGAGTAGCTGGGACTACAGGTGCATGCCACCACGCCCGGCTAATTTTTTGTATTTTTAGTAGAGACGGTTTCACCATGTTAGCCAGGAAGGTCTCGATCTCCCGACCTCGTGATCTGCCCACCTTGGCCTCCCAGAGCGCTGGGATTACAGGCGTGAGCCACTGTGCCTGGCCACGAGAAAATAAATTTGTATTGGTTAAGCCACCCGGTACTTATGGCAACCCCAGCCAAAACAAAAACGAACAAACGGGGGGATTATAATATAATAGAGCTTTCTATTCTCACCGTGTGCTGCAGTTCTAAACTAGTCTTTTGATAGTACACACTACAGATTGTTCCTGAACTATGATTTGCTTTCAGTTGACTCACTTTTCTCCATGTTTATCAATAGCCTAAGCGGTATACAATAAACTCAAGGTTTTTGTGTGCTAGTTTTAGTATTTTTTTCCTAGTACACACGACAACACATAGACACTAAGAAGCAAGGAGGCTGTCAAAGGCTACTAGCGAGGACTCAAAAGGACATAGGAAGCAACCTGACGGGTTCTCAAGCCCAAAGGACGGGAATTTTTTTTTTTTTTTTTTTTTGACACAGTGTCTCATTCTGTCTGGAGTGCAGTGGTGAGATCTCGGCTCACTGCAATGCCTCCTGGGTTCAAGCAATTCTCATGCCTCAGCCTCCCAAGTAGCTGAGATCACAGACGTGCACCACCATGCCCAGCTAATTTTTGTATTGTTAGTAGAGATGGGGTTTTGCCATGTTGACCAGGCTGGTCTCAAACTCCTGGCCTCAAGTGACCTGCCCACCTGGGCCTCCCAAAGTGCTGGGATTACAGGTGTGGGCCACCATACCTCACCTGGATGGGAAAATTTGAACATGAAAAATTAAAGTGATAGCGAGAGTTAAATCATGTCAAATACTGTATATATAAATGTATGCGTTCATAATGATACTGAAAAAAAGAAAGGTTTCACTGTCACCATGAGAGGTTGCCAGGTTTCAATTCATTTTACTGAAAATTGATAAATAACCAGCCTGAGCAATATGGCAAAACCCATCTCTACAAAAAATATAAAAATTAGCTGGACGTGGTGGTGCACACCTGTGCTCCCAGCTACTTGTGAGGCTAAGGTGGGAGGATCGCTTGAGCCCAGGAGGTTGAGGCTGCAGTGAGCCATGATTATACCACTGCACTCCAGCCTGGGTGACAGAGCAAGACCCTGTCTCAAAAAAAAAAAAAAAAAAAGAAAGAAAGAAAGAAAAGGAAAGGAAAGAAAAGAAAAGAAAAGAAAAATGATAAATAAAAGGGTCAAACATTGATCCTGGCCTTTTCTGCATGAACTGCATGAACCACTAGTTGGCGAATGAAAGCTCTTTGTAGAAGTGTAGAAGCATTCTAGCTAACAGATGCTGAGAGAGTGAGAAAACTGGAAAGTTGTCATTGTGTGACTCATCATTAAATAATTAATCTAGGCAATGTTCATCAGTGACTGCTAAAATAACTGGGAGAAGGACTGACGGGGAACTTCATAATGGCTAGACCAGGCTGACAATATCTGAACCCACTAGTGAATCTTAAAACAACAAAAGGAGAAGCAAGCAGGCATCACACGCTCCCGGATGTGAGGAGCTGGCAGTGGAAGGACCTGACACACCTCAAGGTGAAATATGGAGCCTGGATACCATCCAGCCTCTGGCTCCGATATCATTTTACAGGAAATACCAGGGCCAGCAGAACATGTTAAGTGGCACCACAAGGATGCAATCAGCTAAATCCAGAATGTGGGTAACACCAGACAGAGGACCTGGTTTCCTTGAAAAATTAATTGAGTGGTGGTTGGGCACAATGGCTCTTGCCTGTAATCCCAGCACTTTGGGAGGTTGAGGCGGGTGGATCACTCAAGGTCAGGAGTTCAAGACCAGCCTGGACAACATGATGAAACCCTGAATCTACTAAGAATACAAAAATTAGCTGGGTGTGATGGCAGGCACCTGAAATCCCAGCTACTCGGGATGCTGAGGCAGGAGAATTCCTTGAACCCAGAGGCAGAGGTTGCAGTGGGCGGAGTTCATGCCACAGCACTCTAGCCTGATCAAGAAGAGCGAAACTCTATATCAAAAAAAAAAAGTCCTTATCTGTTAGAGGCACACACTGAACTATTTGTGGGTAAAATAATACGATAACTGGCATTTCAGATACTCCAGCTAAAAACACAAAGAGGAAAAAAGTGTGAAAAAGGGAAGGAAGGCAGGAAGGAGAGAAAAGACAAAAGGACTTGATATTTGATGAAAATAATAGAAGCGGTTTCCTGTGGTGCTTTTTCGTTGTTTTTGTTTTTGTTTTTTACCAAATCGGGCATGCTTTCCAGAATGCTCAGGATCTCCGGGTCACTCAGCTTGTTGTGCGAAAGGTCAAGGACACAAAGCCTCAAACACTCTTGTAGATGCTGAATGTCCTCCACGGTCTCCAGGTGATTGTGGGCCATCTGCAATGTGTTCAGGACTGGGAGGCAGGCTGGAAGGTAAGGTCAGCAGAAGTCAAAAACAAAGGCATAAAAATGCTTCTTGGGCCAGGCACAGTGGTTCATACCTGTAATCCCAGCACTTTGGAAGGCTAAAGCGGGAGAATCTTTCGAGCCCAGGAGGTTTGAGACCAGCCTGGGCAACACAGTGAGACCCCATATCCACAAAAAGTAGAAAAACTTGCCAGGTCTGGTGGCACATGCCTGTGGTCTCAGCCACCTGGGAGGCTGACGTGGGAGGATCGCTTGAGACCAGGAGGTCAAGGCTGCAGTGAGCTCTAACTGCACCACTGCATTTCAGCCTGGGTGACAGAGCAAGACCCCATCTCAAAAAGAAGCAAAGCAAAACAAAACCAAAAACACTTCTTGGCTGGGCATGGTGGCTCACGCCTGTAATCCCAGCACTTTGGGAGGCCAAGGCGGGCGGATCACGAGGTCAGGAGATCGAGACCATCCTGGCTAACACGGTGAAACCCCGTCTCTACTAAAAATACAAAAAATTAGCCAGGTGTGGTGGTGGGTGCCTGTAGTCCCAGCTATTTTGGAGGCTAAGGCAGGAGAATGGCATGAACCCGGGAGGCAGAGCTTGCAGTGAGCTGAGATCGCGCCACTGCACTCCAGCCTGGGCGACAGAGCAAGACTCTGTCTCAAAAAAAAACAAAAAAAAGACAAAAAAAAACACCACTTCTTGCCCATAATATAAAAGCTTAGAACATCCCTCAGGGGAAGGTGATGGACATATGGCAAACAGACACACTGCTTGCTGGGTACCCTTACAGAGGTTTTCAATGGTCTTGATGTAATTGTTGCTGAGGTTAAGAGCATCCAGTTTCTGCAGAGGTTCCAGGTTCTCAATTTTACGGAGCAAGTTCATTTGCAAGAAGAGGCAACGCAACTCAGTTTGGGCCTCCAGGTTTTCGATTTTCTGTATTCCATTGCTCTGCAGCCAGAGACAGCGCAGCCCTGTGTACTCTTCCAGGTTCTCAATGCGATCAAAACCTAACAAAAAGGAAGCACGTGGGAATTAAGCTCCTACTCCCAGGGCAGAGGGGTCACGGTCACCCTTGTTTTTGCCTACTATTAGGAACTGAATGTCTGTGTCCCTTCAAAATTCATACATTGAAATCCTAACCCCTAATGTGATGGTATTAGGAGGTGGGACTTTTGGGAGGTGATAAGGTCATGAGAGAAGAACCCTCAGGAATGGGATTAGTGGTCTCATAAATGAGGCCCCAGAGAGCTTCTTTGCCATCTTCACCCCATGAGGATACAGCAAGAAAGTGCCATCTGCGAATAAAAAAGCAAGCTCTCACCAGTCACCAAATCTGCCAGTAGCTTGACCTTGGACTTCCTAGCCTCCAGAACTGTGAGAAATACATTTTTGTTGTCTACAAGCCACCCAGGCTACGGTTTCTTGTTACAGCAGCTCAAAACGGACTAAGACACCTGCCTACCTGGCATCCACACCTCCTTCCTCCAGTAGCAACTTTTCTTGGAGGAACCATCCTTTTCCTAATATCACCCAACGGCTCTCTGGCAGCCTATCAGAGTCACGGTGACTCATTCGGGGGTGGCCACACTTAGCCAAGCAAGGCGAACTTTGATGAATCCTAGGGGGTCTTGCTGAAAAGACTGGTAGTCTTTCTGCTGGAATTACCCACCTGGGAGGGTGGAGCCTACTGCTGCCTTCATGGTGGGGAGTGGGTGGAGGTGGGGGTGCAGTGGGGGTAACCCTGCCTTGAAAATGTTCCCACCAGGCCTGACCCTAGTGCAAACTGTGGGCCTTGTTTTGTTCTCTTTTTCAGTTTTATGAGCCAAATTTACGGTTAGGAAAACAAATCTTTTAGTTTCCTTTAGTAACTCGTCATCAATGTGTAATTCATGCCTTGACCTACTATTACCAACACTTTTTAAAGTTCTTTATTTTGTTGCCTGAAAAAGTTTTTATTAAAAAATTCTAATATCAATGGTGAGCAAAATAAAAAGAAATGCACCCATGTTCCTGCCAACAGATAATCCGTTTTCATTTTTCTCTCTCGCCTTCCAAGCTTGCTATAAGCACAAGTAATATTTAACATAGTTATAGAATACACTTAAACACAGGCATTGTATAGATAGACTTTTTAAAATCCTATATTTTTTCCACAAAAATTTTGGTTATTTTATTTCTTCAAGTTTTATTTTAAGTTGATGGGTTCCTGTGCTGGATGTGCTGGTTTGTGGCATAGGTAAATGTGTGCCATGTGGTTTGCTGCATAGGTCATCCCATCACCTAGGTATTAAGCCTAGCATCATTAGCTGTTCCTCCTGATGCTCTCCCTCCTTGCAAACCCTCTCCACAAAAATTTTTATAGTGGAAGTATTTGCCATATTGCTCCAAGGTCTTCATGCTGAAGTCAGTATCTATAAAAGATAGGATTTTTTTTTTCTTTAAGATAGCCACAACACCACTGTGACGTCTAAACAACAGTTCCTCAACGTCATCATCAAACAGCCAGTAACTGGTCACATTTCTTTGTTGTCTTTGTTTCCAAACTGTTTACTGTCTGAATCAACATACAAATAAGGTCCAAACCTTGTAATTAGTGGATGTCTCTTAAGTCACTTTTTTTTTTTTTTCAGATGGAGTCTGGCTCTGTTGCCCAGGCTGGAGTGCAATTGCACAATCTCGGCTCACTGTAACCTACACCTCCTGAGTTCAAGTGATTCTCCTGTCTCAGCCTCCTGAGTAGCTGAGATTACAGGTACCCGCCATCACCACACCTGGCTAATTTTTGTATTTTTAGTAGAGATGGGGTTTTACCATGTTGGCCAGGTTGGTCTCGAACTCCTTACCTCAGGTGATCCACCTGCCTTGGCCTCCCAAAGTGCTGGGATTACAGGTGTGAGCCACCGCGCCCAGCCAACTTTTTTTTTTTTTTTTTTTTTGAGACAGAATCTTGCTCTGTCGCCTAGGCTGGAGCGCGGTAGCACAATCTTGGCTCACTGCAAACAGCCTCCTGGGTTCAAGCGATTCTCCTGCCTCAGCCTCACAAGTAACTAGGATTACAGGCATGCACCATCACACCTGGCCAATTTTTGTGTGTGTTATTTTTAGTAGAGATGGGGTTTCACCATGTTGGCCAGACTGGTCTCAAACTCCTGATCTGCCTGCCTTGGCCTCCCACATTGCTGGGATCACAGGCGTGAGCCACCACGCCTGGCCTTAAGTCACTTTTAACCTAAGAGTGTGTGTATGTCTCTCTCTCTTTCTTACATTGTAATTTTTTGTTGAAGAAACTGGATTATTTGTCCCCTTGGGTTTCTGACATTCTGGTTTTTCTCCCTGGTCTTTGCTCTAGCTCTTACCCCATCTCCTCCCCCTTTGCTGTTCAAGCCATCTCCAACTTGTTGCTCTCCCCTGGATCCCACCATCACTGCAACCACCTGGCTAAAGTCTCCCTAAGATCCTAACTGCTACACGCTACGGTCAGTCCTCTTAGCCCTTGACCATTCCAAGGCATCTGGCCCACAGGCCCTGCGCCCCTTTCCCAGCTTCCTCCTCAGGCTCTCTGGATCACCCTCCTAGTCAATGCCTTCATGTTAGCGATGCAGTAAGACAGGAGTGGATCCAGACACCAACAGCATACAATGGAGTGATGAAGTGTCACCTCCACTTTTGTCTTGGCCTTGCTTCCTTTCTTGGGTAACTTGCTCTGAGGGAAGCCAGCTGCCATGGGGAGGCTCATGTGGTGAGAAATTAAGGCCTCTGGCTGACAGCTATGAGGGTCTGAGGCCTAGAGCCTGGAAGTGGATTCTCTAGCCCTCGTCAAGCCATCGAATGAGTGAGACTGCGCTGACAGTCTGGCTACTGCCTCATGAGAGACCCTGAGCCAGAACCGCCCAGCTGATGACTCCCGAGTTCCCGGCCCTCAGAAACTGGGTGAGATCATGAGTTGAAGTTGCTAAGTTTCAGGGCAGTTAATTATGTAGCAATAGATAACTAATATGGGCACCTCTCTCTCCCAGCTCTTCTACCTCTCTGACTGTCTCTACTCAGTCAAACTTACTGGTTCCTTTCTTCTTCCCACCTCTTAAGTATCAGTCCCCCGGCAGTCTGTCCTCCTACATCATCTTACTCACTGCTATGCTTAGATGCTGGGTAGAGAATTTTGGAGTGGGCAAAAGTGGAGGTGAGGAGACCCATAGGAGTCGTTCCAACCCCTTAAGGCATTTGTGCTCCTGGATCCCTTTGGGCGTCTCCCTGGCGTGGCACCGTCCTCATAATAGCTGCTCCCATCCCCCAGGACACCAAAGGCACCTTTGCCGGTTCCCTCTGTGCATTTTCAGCACTGAGCAGTGCTGGGCACACAGTAGACTCTCAGCAAGCAGCTACTGAAGAGACAAATGAACAATGAGAGGACTGATGAGCAAGCTGGTCACCCCATCAGCACAGACTGGAAGCCCTCAGGCTGGGAAAAGCCCTGTCTGTGAACCTGAGCTTCCATTGATATGTGATACTGGCCTCCAACCCTGGCTCCTGCTCACGCCTCTCCATTCTAAGAGGCATCCAAAGATCCTCATCATTTGTTTCCAACATCAAGCTGCAATCCTTCCCAACATATACCTCCCAACCCCAAAGTACTTACAAACTAACTTTCTGGTATGAAAAATTAAAGTCCTGGCTGGGTGCAGTGGCTCACACTTGTAAGCCCAGTACTTTGGGAGGCTGAGGCAGCTGGATCGACTGGGTTCAGGAGTTTGAGACCAGAATGGCCAACATGGCGAAACCCCGCCTTTACTAAAAATACAAAAATTAGCAAGGCGTGGTGGTGGGCACCTGTAACCCAGCTACTCAGGAGGCTGAGGTAGGAGAATTGCTTGAACCTGGAGACAGAGGTTGCAGTGAGCAGAGATTGCACCACTGCACTTCAGCTTGGGCAACAGAGCAAGACACCATCTCAAAAAAAAAAAAAAAAAGAAAGAAAAGAAAAAAAAATTCCTTAGGAAACAAAAATGAAAGATAATGTGTTTCCTTGGTATTCCTATAGCCAGTGGCTCCTTTGTAAACTGGTCAGGCAAGACTTTTTCTTGAAATAAATGTTATTCCTTTTCCATAAATCTCCACTAAACTTTGAAATTTCCTGCTTAGATACATTCTGAGAACTAAAGGTGATCCCTGCAAGTAATTTTTTATACCGCTAGACAGAATCTTTCCACCTGACGTGAAGCACTTCCTCTCTTAGGTCCTTACCTTTAAAGTGTAAATACAGCGTATCATTCAATGCTGGGGTAATATAAAGCTTGTGCTGCTTGCAGAGTTTTTGCAGGGAACTTTTAGTCATTCTGTTAAAATGGAAAAATATGAATAAGCTTATTGCAAATTGTCAGCTGTAAAACATATTCTCACAGTTCTTTACCACATCCATTCCTGCCCAAAATTCTATAACATCCTATATCCCTGATACCTATTTTAAGTTCGTCTTTTTCTCTTTCTCCTTTCCTTTTTCTTCTTCTTTTTTGTACAGATTTTAGGGCCTCATCGAATATTATTTTCAGCATTTTTTTTTTTGAGACAGAGTCTCACTCTATTGCCCAGGCTGGAGTGCAATGGCACAATCTCAGCTCACTGCAAACTCTGCCTCCCAGGTTCAAGCGATTCTCCTGCCTCAGCCTCCCGAGTAGCTGGGATTACAGGCATGCGCCACCACACCTGGCTAATTTTTGTATTTTTAGTAGAGGGGGGGTTTCACCATGTTGGTCAGGCTGGTCTTGAACTCCTGACGTCAGGTGATCCACCCACCTTGGCCTCCCAAAGTACTGGGATTACAGGCAAGGGCCACCACGCTTGGCTTATTTTCAGCATTCTTAAAAATTGCAATGTATGTTTTTTTTTTTTTTTTTTTGAGATGGAGTCTCACTCTGCCGCCCGGGCTGGAGTGCAGTGGTATGATCTCGGCTCACTGCAACCTTCGCCTCCCGGGTTCAAGCGATCCTCCTGCCTCAGCCTCCCAAGTAGCTGGGATTACAGGTGCCCGCCACTACGCCCAGCTAATTTTTTGTATTTTTAGTAGAGATGGGGTTTCACCATATTGTGCAGGCTGGTCTCGAACTCCTGACCTTGTGATTCGCCCACCTCAGCCTCCCAAAGTGCTGGGATTACAGGCATGAGCCACTGCGCCCGGCCTAAAAATTGCATTGTATGTTCTAATAAAAATACTTTAAATGGTGTCATGAGGAACTACTGCTGTTCCTCTCTGCAGTCTGGCATTAAAGTTTAATAGAATGTGCGCTCAGCTGTGCGGCAGAGGCAGTGCCATCCTCACTCCATTCTCAGACATTGGGCAGGCAATTCAATCTCTACCAGCCTCTATTTCATTATCCGTACAAGGGGGTGATTACGCCATCTACCTTACTCCATAAATGTGCACTAATTAGGAGTATGCCCACATACCTGGGGCCCCGATCTTCCCTGTCTTCTCTTGGGTGTGCGAAGTGACCACCTGACCCATTATCACCACTCTGTTTCTGCTGGCTGTGGTAGGATGTGTCAGAAGAACCCACACATATTTCCTTAGGATCATTAATTTCTGTAAAATAAAAGAGATCAGGTCTGTAGAGATCAAGATATATGCCAAAAAATACCCCCAACTTCAGCTTGGTTAATGACCATCCACTTTTAGTATAGAACACCAGTATTCTTTAGTGGCTGGGTATGGTGGCTCAGGCCTGTAATCCCAGCTCTTTGGGAGGCTGAGGCAGGTAGATTGCTCGAGCCCAGGTGTTTGAGACCAGCCTGAGCAACATGACAAAACCCCATCTCTACAAAAATTAGCCAGATGTAGTGGTGCGTGCCTGTATTCCCAGCTACTTGTGGGGCTGAGGCAGGTTGATCACTCGAGCTTGGGAAGTCAAGGCTGCAGTGAGCTGTGTTCACACCACTGTACTCCAGCCTGGCAACAAAGTGAGACCCCGTCTCACCAAAAAAAAAAAAAAAAAAGAGAGAGAGAGAGAACAGTAATCTTTAAATGTGTAACAATTTTTAAAGCATTGGCAAAGACTATGTAAATTTCACTTCTAGGTAGATCCTCTATAAAAACTCTTGTACAGGTGCACAAGAAAACATGGACAAAGAGATTTGTTTCTGCGTTTTTTTTTATAAAAGCCAAAAACTGTTAACAACGTAAATGTCCATCCATAGGGGCTGGTTACATAAAACAATGACTTGCTTTTCTACCTTTGAGAAGAATGCACTAGAACTACATCTATCCATAGGGATAATTCTCAGAAACGTATATGGAGTGAAAAAAGCAAGTTTCAAAATAAGCACAGGATACCATATATAAATTAAAAATATGCAAAGCAATACTATACACTGTTTCAGGGCATACATGTATAGAGAAGTGCTTGCAAGAATTCATATAAAATTCTGGACAAGGGAGGAAAGGAATGGGATTAGAAACGGGGTGGGGTACAGGGGAGAAAAGGAACACCAACTCTATGTGAAATGTTTTATTTCTTTTTTTTTTTGGAGACCGTCTTGGTCTATCCCCCAGGTTGGAGTGCAGTGGCGGGATCTCAGCTCACTGCAACCTCCGCCTCCCGGGTTCAAGCGATTCTCATGCCTCAGCCTCCCAAGTAGCTAGGATTACCAGCGCCTGTCACCATGCCTAGCTAATTTTTTTGTATTTTTAGTAGAGACGGGGTTTCCCCATGTTGGCCAGGCTGTCCTCAAACTCCTGACCTCAGGTGACCCACCCGCCTTGGCCTTCCAAAGTGCTGGGATTACAGGCGTGAGCCACCGTGCCCACCCTTATTTATTTTTATTTTTTTTTTGGGGGGGGCTTATTTCTTTAATTAAAAAAGACTTCAAATAAATATGATAAAATGTTACTCATTTTCAATTCTTGCTGGCAAAACACGGGTATTTGTTTTAATGTTCTTTGTTCTTTTGTCTTTTAAAAAATTTCTGAAGCCAGGTGTAGTGGAGCATGCCTGTAGTCCCAGCTACTCAGGAGGCTGAGGCAGGAAGATCTAGCCTGGGTAACATAGTGAGATTCCATCTCTTAAAAAAAAAATCATAAAAAGGAAAATCACATGAAAAGAAACAAAAATAGTGAGAATATCTATGATAACAATAACATGAGCACATTCAAATGAATAATTTTTTTAAAGGTCATTCAAAATTGGCCAATTCAACCGCACTTAACTTTAAGAGCTGTTGTCTGCTGCTTTCTGTGTTTGTGTGGTCTATTGAACAAGACTAAAGGCTGTGCGTGTGGGGACTGGTTCTTAAACTCATCAATTTTGCATAGAATGCCCAGCCACAGGAAGCAACAGATAAATGTTTGTGGAAAAAATAAAGAATAAGCGCTCAATATATAAATATTAATATGTAATTAATAACAAGAGCTACCATTTAATAATGGCCCACTATATGCTGGGACATTTAATTATAATTCTCTCCTTATACTCCTGTATAATTATTCCAGCTTACAGATGAGGAGACTAAGGCTCCGAGAGGTTAAGCTCTGGGCCAACAGCCATAAAGCTGGCCAGCTGCTGAGCCTCAACTTGAACCCAGTGTCAATGGCTCCAAGACCAGTGTCTTTCCACTGAGTAATGCCAGTTCCCTATGGCTCCTCATACAAGGTTCATCTGGACAGTTGATGCTTAAGATATATTTGTTGCCTGGAACACAAATCAGCTGGTTTATTTGTTGCCTGCGTTCAGAAACTGGAACACAAATCAAGTGGTTTTTTAATGTAATCACTAAAAGGTTTCCTTTAGGGCACCAAGTCTAGTGGGAGCAGAAGCTGAAGCCAGGCTTCCTTCTTTCCTTTTTTTTTTTTGAGACGGAGTCTTGCTCCATTGCCCAGGCTGGGGTGCAGTGGTGTGATCTTGGCTCACTGCAGCCTCAGCCTCCCCCTTGGCTCACTGCAACCTCTGCCTCCGGGGTTCAGGGAATTCTCCTGCCTTAGCCTCCCAAGTAAGTGGAATTACAGGAGCACGTCACCACGCCCTGCTAATTTTTGTGTTTTTAGCAAAGACAGGGTTTCAATATGTTGGCCAGACTGGTCTCGAACTCCTGACTTCAGGTGACCCACCTGCCTCTGCCTCCCAAATTGCTGGGATTACAGGCGTGAGCCACCGTGCCTGGCCATGAAGGTTATCTTTCAAGTCCATTCTGGCAAACTTTGGTGAGGGGATCACACACTGACCCCAGAACCAAGTCTTCATTCGGACTCTCTACCCTAGGTCAGGCACTGGACTAGACTCCAAATTCAATCAAGATGTCTTGCCCTGACACAACATGCAGTCTGGAGGGAGAGAAAGCCTTTGATCTTACATAGTGATAGCAATAAAGGGACACATTTAAAGCATCAAAGTTGGGACCAGGGAGAATAGCGTGGTGGGTTAGGGCTGGGGCTCTGGAGACCCAGACTGTCTGGGCCTGAGTCTGGTGGGTTTTGTTTGCTTGTTTGTTTGTTTGTTTGTTTGAGACGGAGTCTCCCACTGTCGTCCGGGCTGGAATGCAATGGCGAGATCTTGGCTCACTGCAACCTCCGCCTCCCGGGTTCAAGCGATTCTCCTGCCTCAGCCTCCCAAGTAGCTGAGACTACAGGCGCCCGCCACCACGCCCAGCTCATTTTTTGTATTTTTAGTAGAGACAGGGTTTCACTATGTTGGCCAGGCTGGTCTCGAACTCCTGACTGACCTGATGATCCGCCCGCCTCGGCCTCCCAAAGTGCTGGAATTACAGGCGTTGAGCCACCGCACCCGGCCAAGTCTCTTCTGTCACTGACTAGCCGAGGGTTATCTGTTTGGTGCAAGTTTTGTAACCTCTTAAGTATGTTTCCTCCTCAGTACGAAATGGCGAGAGAAGCCCCTACTGCAGAGCGTTGCTTGCTACCATTATTATTATTGTTATTATTTGGCTGTGAAGATCGGGTATGTGGTGTGGGAAGGGGGCTGGAGCGCCTAGCCGTGTCTGCCCCTCGCCCACCGCCCTCCCTGGGGGGCAGTCGGCACCTTCCTTGCAGCCCCCTCGGCCTGCGCTCCCGTGGTCACCCGCAGACTCCTCCACGCCGGGCTCCTGCGCGCAATCCAGCTCTGCTGCACCACCTGTCGCAGGCTCCGAGGGCTCAGGGTGCATGTTTACTTCGGCGACACCGAACGCCCCGCAGCTTTGGGGGGCCCAGGTTCGCGGCGGACGTCGCTACGGCCCCAGCCCAGCCAGAGAGTACCCTCTTTCCTTCTTCGCCAGCCGCTGGCGCCCTAGTCTTTACAGCCCAACGCTTCCCCGGTCGCCCAGGCAACCGCTGCGCACGCGCACTCGGGACGGACCGGCGCGCTGGGGACGCCGGGGGGTGGGGGCGGGTCTGAGACGGCTCCGCCCCCGGCGCGTACGCGGGTCACGTGAGGGCGCGGCGCGGCAGCAGCTCCGGCGGCCGAGACGGGGGCGGCGGCCGCGCGGGTCTGGCGGGACCGGTTTGGAAGACTTTGCCGGCCTGCAGGTACCGCGCCCCCCGCGCCCTGGGCGCCCTCTCGCGGTCCTTTCGCCCCAGACCCCTCCTCGGTCCCCTCAGCGCCAGCCGGCTGCTTGGCGAGACCCCTCTGAGCTCTCACCACGCCCCCCAGGCCCCGGGCCCCCTCCGCTGCATCCGGCCCCGAAGCCCCTTGGCGCCCCTGACCCCAGGAAATCTTCGTCCCTCCGTCCCGTGAGACTCCTTCCTTCAGACCAAAAAGCCCCAGCCCCGCCCCTTCACATCTCAGAGCCCCCCTTCCCCCGGCTCCATCCTCACGCCCCCCGCCGCGGCGCTGCACCCCTGTTCTCTCTCTTCCCCCGGGCCTTGCCCCCCAAACCGCGAACCCCGTTGTCGCCGGCGCATGCCCTGCCCTCCCTGCAGCCTCTCACCCGGCTCCTCCCCCGAGCGGCCCCAGCAATCGCCTCCTTTGTCGGTGCTTCTTTATTCTCATTTCTGAACGATTTGGTTTGAGTTGTTGTTGCCGTGTTTTTCTAAAATGGAAATATGCAGCGGTCGTGGGTTCAGCCAGGATTTCCGAGTTTGCTCGTGTTGACTGGGCCTTGCCGGGTGCTGGAGGGGAAGGGCTGGGAAGAAGAACCAGGCAGGTCCCCGTTCTGAACGTGCCACCCAGACGCAGCCCCAGAAACCGGATCGCTGCAGCGCCCCTCGGCGATCCCAACATGATGTGTACAGGTGACTGCGAGGCAGTCGGGGGGTCTCACAGTGGGCTCCCTGGACAGGACTCTGCGCCTTGCTATACCTCCATCTGAATTGCAGGTAGCCCCTTTCTGAGTTGTGGGGTCTTGGGTGTGCGACTTTACATCTATAAGACTCAATTTCCCCATCTATAAACGGGAGAGTCTGACTGCGCTTTATAAGATTAATGAGAGAATAAAGTGAGACAATAGGAATAAAGCACTTAGCAGAGTCTTTTGCATAAAGTGAGCTCTCAATTTTACTCTGACCGCCACAGGAGAGAGAGAGAGAGAGAGAGGGAGGGAGGGAGAGGGAGAGGGAGGGGGAGGGGGAGGGTGTTGATTGATTGATTGATTCAGACAATCTCGCTCTGTCGCCCGGGCTGTAGTGCAATGGTGCCTGCGATCTCAGCTCCTGCTACCTCTGCCCGCCATCCCGCACCCCGGGCCCAAGTGATTCTCCTGCCTCAGCCTTCCGAGTAGCTGGGATTACAGGCACGTTCTACCACACCCAGCTAATTTTTTTTTTTTTTTTTTTAGTAGAGACGGGGTTTCGCTGTGTTGGTCAGGGTAGCCTTGAACTCCTGGCCTCAAGTGATCTGCCCGCCTTGGCCTCCCAAAGTTCTGGGGTTACAGACATGAGCCACTGTACCCGGCCAAGTTTGTGGTTTTAATCACTGCTGGAATATTCTAGGGCAACAGAGTTGAACATATTGGTGCTACTTTTTTTTAAAGTAGGTTTTCAAAAATCGAAATGACTTACGCATGACATAAAATTTATCATTTTAGCCATTTTACAGTGTATAACTCAGTAGTTCTTGCTATAGTCACAATGCTATGCAACCATCACCAGTAACTAATTCCAGAACATTTAATCACCTACAAAAGAAACCCCAACCCCATTAACAGTCATACCTCTTTTCTCCCCCTGTCCCTCAGCAGCCCTAAGTTATCTTCTGTCTCTATGGATTTGCTTATGCTGGACATTTCATACAAGTGGAAACATACAACATACGGCCTTTTGTATTTGGTTTCTGTCCTTTAGCATAATGTTTTCAAAGTTTATCCATGTTGTAGTATGTATCAGTACTTCATGCTTTTTTATGGCTGAATAATACTCCTTTGTGTGGATAACACCACATTTTGCTTATTCATTCATTTGTTGATGGACATTTTGTTTGTTTCTGCCTTCTGGCAGTTGTGAGTAGGCCACTGTGAACATGCAAGCAGGAGTTTTTATGTGAGCAAAAGTTTCTAATTATCTTGGGTATCTGCCTAGGAGTGGGGTACTCTGAATATTTTAATTCTTACTGCATAAATACAGACATGATGGTGAAGAGTGTTGGATCTTGGATGAGAATCCAGGTTTCTAATTCCATGTTGCTGCTCTTTAGGCTCAGCTTCATTGTGCGTTTAGTCCTATACCAAAAATTGGCAGTGAAGGTAAAGACATCCCAAAAAGTCTTGATACACCAATGCTAACTTTGTCATAGTGCTGACGCAGAGTATGAAAAGCTTAAGTTTTTTTCTCAAGAGTGAAATTTGAGCTTTGAACACAAAGCAGTATTTGATTCTGTTTATTAAATAAAGTTGTCTACAGCAGCATGTCAGGTGCTGAGGAGGAATATTAAAGATGTGTGAGATCCGGCCGGTCACATCCCAGTGCTTTGGGAGGCCAAAGTGGGCGGATCACAAGGTCAGGAGTTCAAGACCAGCCTGGCCAATATGGTGAAACCCCCGTCTCTACTAAAAAAGAAAAAAATACAAAAATTAGCCAGGCATGGTGGCACACGCCTGTAGTCCCAGTTACTTGGGAGGCTGAGGCAGAAGAATTGCTTGAACTTGGAAGGAGGAGGTTGCAGTGAGCTAAGATCGCGCCATTGCACTCCAGCCTGGGTGACAGAGTGAGACTCTGTCTCAAAAAAAAAAAAAAAAAAAAAAAGATGTGTGAGATCCCAGCCTCACACCATCACAAAACGCCAGGAGGATTAAAGACTTAAACTGAAAAAGCAAAAATGTAAAATTTCTAGAAAATAATTCGAAAAAATTTCTTCATGACCTGAGGCTAAGGAGGGATTTCTGAAATAAAACAAACCCTAAAGCAGAAAGATTGATATATTTGTCTCTTTCAAAATTAAGACATTCAGCCAGGTGCAGTGGCTCCCACCTGTAATCCCAGCACTTTGGGAGGCCAAGGCAGGTGAATGGTTTGAGCTTACGAGTTTGAGACCAGCCTGGGCAACATGGTGAAACCTCATCTCTACACACACAAAAAAAATTTAACTGGGCTTGGTGGTACATGCCTGTGTCCCAGCTACTTGAGATGCTGAGGTGGGAGGATGGCTTGAGCCCGGAAGGCGGAGGTTGCAGTGAGCTGTGATCATGCCACTGCACATCAGGCTGGGCAATAGAGCCAGACCTTGTCTCAATAATAATAACAACACATTTAGTTCATGAAAGACACTATAATGAGACACAAAACATACAGAGAGCTAGTATCTAGAATATTTAAAGAATTCTTACAATTCTGAGAGAAAAAAAAGGAAAGGACAAAAGATAGGAACGGGCATTTCATAGATTACAAAACACAGAAAGCACATACATATAAAAAGGACTGCAGCCTTACTAGTAACCAGGGAAATGTAAATTAAAACCATAATGAGATACCATTTCACAGCCACCCTGTTGGCAGAAGGTGAAGCTTTGGACGCTACCAGCCAGTGACATTGAGGAGTGGCACGAACCTGCTGCTGGCGGGAGTGTGAATGGGTTCTGCCGCTTTGCAAAAGCATTTGGCAGTGGAATGCATGTGGACCAGCAGTTAAACCATGGGCAAATCCCTTTGCGAACTCTTGCACAGGTGTGCAGGAGATGGGGACAAGCGCTCCCTGCAGCACTGTTCCTAACTGTAAATCAAAACCAGCAGAAACAGTGCACGTGCCTAGCACCAGCAGCAGGGGGACCTGTGAATCGTGGTGTATCTGAACCAGCAGCAGGGGGACCTGTGAATCGTGGTGTATCTGAACCAGCAGCAGGGGGACCTGTGAATCGTGGTGTATCTGAACCAGCAGCAGGGGGACCTGTGAACTGCAGTGCATCTGAACCGTGAGATACTGTGCAGCTGCCGAGGAGGATGGACTATATAGCTGCAGGGGCATGGATGAGTCTCGGGAATGATGTTGAGTGAAAGAAACAAGTCACCAAAGGGTCCATGTGGTGTGGTTCCTTTATGTGAGGTTCAAAACCAGGCGAAACTTAGCAATACTGTTTTTTTTTTTGTTTGAGACGGAGTCTCGTTCTGTCGCCCAGGCGGGAGTGCTGTGGCGCGATCTCCGCTCACTGCAAGCTCCGCCTTCCGGGTTCACGCCATTCTCCTGCCTCAGCCTCCCGAGTAGCTGGGACTACAGGCGCCCACCACTGCGCCCGGCTAATTTTTTGTATTTTTAGTAGAGACGGGGTTTCACCGTGGTCTCGATCTCCTGACCTCGTGATCCGCCCGCCTCGGCCTCCCAAAGTGCTGGGATTACAGGCGTGAGCCACCGCGCCCGGCCAGCAATACTGTTACTGTTTCAGAATACATGCTTGGGGTATACAGCTGTTTTGTTAAAAGAGTCAGGGAGTGACTACCCCAGAATTTAGGAGAGAGGCTGCCTCCAGGATAGAGGAGGGGCTGTAATCAGAGGAACAGCATACAGGACTTCCACGACACTGGTTTTGTTAAGTAGGCTGGTGGCTAAGTGGCTGTTTTATTATTCTTTGAACTGTGCATAATAGGTTTTACATACTTTTGTATATATTTAAACATTTTTGCCAGGTGCAGTGGCTCACGCCTGTAATCCCAGCACTTTGGGAGGCCGAGGTGGGTGGATCACTTGAGGTCAGGAGTTCAAGACCAGCCTGACCACCATGATGAAACCCCATCTCTACTAAAAATACAAAAATTAGCTGGGCATGGTGGAGGGCACCTGTAGTCCCAGCTACTCGGGAGGCTGAGGCAGGAGAAACGCTTGAACCCAGGAGGCGGAGGTTGCAGTGAGCAGAAATTGCACCATTGCACTCCAGCCTGGAAGACAGAACAAGACTCGGCCTAAAAACAAAAATTTCTTTTAGTTACAGAAAAATTCGTTTTCTATACATCTCCTGCCCTCCAGAGGCCTGTGCTCTCCTTGGACAACCAAGAAACCAAGATATAAGCAAGTTGAGTGTTTAAATAGAATCCAAAGCAGTGTGTGCTAAGTGCCACATGGGTAAGAGAGGTGGAGAGGAATTCAGAGGTGGGGGCAGTGCCACGGCCTGGGAAGGGAAGGGACAGGAAGGGAAGTTTCTCCCCAGGGCTGACATGTTGTTGGTGCTTGTTAGGAAGTGATTGAACGGAGGAGAAGACATGGGACTTGAAACGTCAGGAAGAACAGAGGATTTGGAGTACTGAGCACAAGACAGATTCACACTCTGAAAAAATTAAGATTTATTTGGAAAAATGTTTTCATCAATGAAAACAGCCATCGCCCTGGAGCCTTACTGAAAAGCTGGATAATCCCAGCTGGTGAGGAGGAGGACCTCAGGTCTACCCTGGTCAGTCAAAGATGGCAGGAACCTCTGAGACTTTCTGGCTCCTGAATACACATAGTGGTTTTGGCTTAAGGGAGGTTGCAGAGTTTTCAGCTTGTCTCTTCGCTGTCCTGAAAGCTGAACTGACTGTTCATCCATCCCTTCCTCCCACTGTTTATCCTTATCCCCTGTGGCTGATGTAACAAATTGCCACAAAGGTAGTGGCTTAAAATGACACAGATGTCTCTTCCTTCTGGAGATGGGAATCTGAAGTCATTGTGACTGCGCTAAAGTCAAGGTGTCAGCAGGGCTGTGTTCCTCTGGAGGCTCCAGGGGAGAATCCTTTTCCTTGCCTCTGCCAGCTTCTAGAGGCCACCCCCCGTCCTTCACTGGTGACCCACCCCTCTCTCTATTATCGAAACCAGCAGCACAGAGCACCCTCAACTCGAGCTCTCTCTGACCTCTCCCTTTGTAGTCACATGGCTCTCTCTCTTTGATCTTCCTGCCCCCCTTACAAGGACACATGATGACATTGGACCCACCCTCCCCAGCTCGGAGTCTTTAACTCAGTCACATCTACGGAGTCCCTTTGGCCACATAAGGTGACGTATTTACAGGGTCTGGGGATTAGGCTGTAGATATCCCTGGAGGCCATTACTGTGCCCACCACACTGTCGTTCGCTAATGCTTTGATTGTCTTTTTTTCCATCCTGCTTGCTTTGTCTTCTTTAAAACCCTGGCCAGTCTGCCTTGTGTTCTTTCACCACCCGCCCCACGTCACACGCATTTGGATAGCTTGGTAATGTCCATGTTTCAGCCAAGACTTTCCTCCCAGAACTCTTGGTACATGAAGGTTTTTCTATTTGAGTTGATTGCCCTTTACACTGCTAGGTGGAGTCCCCTTCACTGTGGAGTGGGATCATGTTACAGGCCACAGCAGTGGTGCTTTGAAGAGGTGACTTTGCTACTTGCAGTTTTGACCATAATTGTCCCGTGACGCTTTTGTAGTTGTAACGTTTCCTGTAGGTTTTTGATGACTCCTGCCCTGTAGAAGTAGAAAATGCTTAAAAGATAATAGGGACTTGCTCTTCTTTTCCTAGTTTGGGGACAGTTGTGGTTTTGTTTTGTTCACAGATGTTTTAGTTTTCTGCAGAGATGAGAAAACAAAGCTTAAAAATTTTTTTAAATTATTTTATATTTTTCCAACTTCATCGAAGTATAATTGACAAATAAAATTATATAAATTTAAGGTGTACAACATGATTTGATATATGTATACTTTGTGAAATGATCACCACAACCAAATTAGTTAACACATTCATCACCTCAGTTACTTTTTTATTTCTTTATGGTGAGAACACTTGAGATCTACCCTCTAAGCAGATTTTAAGCCTACAATTTGGTATTGCTCACTATGGTCACTGTACTGTACATTAGCTCTCCAGACGTATGCATTTTATATTTGAAAGTTTATACCCCTTTGACCAAAACTTCCCACCCATGACCCCACCTCTAGCAACCACCATTCTACTCTCTGTTTAAGAAAATAAAGCTTTAGAATAAGTTCTTGCAGGTAGATTGTACATGAATCAGAATTTTACTGTGTTTTAGTATTGCTTTCCACATCATGGGTTTCTCTAGGTTGCAGGCTGCCTTAGTTGGTTTTGAGCTGCTATAACAAAATACCATGAACTGGGTGGCTTGGAAACAGCAAACACTTACTTTTCGCAGTTTGGGAGGCTGAATGGTCCAAGATCAAGGTGGTGGAGCCCTCATTATCTGATCGCCTCCCAAAGGCCCTCCCTTCTAAACCATCACCTGGGGGGTTAAGATTCAAGACAAGAATCAGGGAGTGGGGCGGAACGCTCAGACCGTAGCACAGGTTAATAGCTTTCGCTAATCAAGCCACAAAACAGTAACTAGTCAGATACCTAAAGTAACTTTGACGAGGCTTGTTATCTACATATGCCTAAGTGGACTTCTAGGCTTAAATGTGTGATAAATTCCTTTGAAAGTTTCAGTGAGAGGCTATGAGCTTTTGAAATTTGGTGGCTCTGGGGAAAGTACTGATTTCTTTTGTCATGAGAAAAATGTTATTTTCCATCATGTACAGAAGGGTGGGGAAGAAGATTGAGAGCAGGGAATGAGTTTTAATTTCCAGTTCTCTAACATCTTTGGCCCATCAGGGTGTGAGTGAATGTGTGAAGTGTCTGGCAAGGCTGAGGAGCAGCAGAGGCCACAGAGCCTTGGCTCTCCGTGTGGCCCTCCTTCATCCCCAGCTGAGTAACCAGGGCTCAGGAGCCCCCCTCCTCCCCTGCTGCGTTACCTTCCTAAACAAGCCCCACCAGCTCCCTCCCTTGGTGCTCAAGGAGGAGGTCCATGCACTCCAGTCTGGCGTGAAGGCATCTCCAGTCTGCCTCTCCCAGTCTCCTTCACGCCTGTGCGCCTGCACACATGGGGCGTCACACAGGACAGCACAGCCTGTGCTGTGCATGCGGGGGACTTCCTAATGTTTCCCGAGTAGGCCAGACCCTTGACGGTGCCGAGCCTTTCTCCATGGGCCCGGGCCAGGGAGGTCCCTTCCCTCCTCTCTGCCCAGAAATTCTGCTCACACTTCAAGACCCATTTCACCCCAGTGGCGCCCTTGCCACCTCATGTTGCAGTTGCTCCGTTTATCTTTCTCTGACTTCTGTGTATACCGGGTGGCACGGAGTCCTGGTTTATTCATGATGGTGTCCTCAGTCTCTGACACTTTGTATTTTTCATTGCTGTTCTAGAAGTTTGGTTTTCCATGTAGATCTCGAGAGACTGTAGGACCAGTGACCGTGTGTGTTTAGGCCTCTTCGCTGTGTTGTTCACTATCCATTCCTAACTTGGCATTTGAATGTATCAGTCTTCTGTGGGTTTTGTGGATGTGAGTCAGATTTCTTTGTCTTGAGCTGCCTCTAAGGAATGAAGAACTTGGGTTTCTATCCATCAAGGCTGAGGACCAGACCTTGAATGCCATCAGCCCCCCTGATGCTCTGTGATTTTTAAAATATACATAGCAACAATAATATTAACACACGTTTAAGGTACTTGCACACGATGGCGCTCCCCTGACAAGAGGTGAGGGGTGTCTAGTGGGGGCGTTGAGAAGCTGGGCCATGATGGGCTTGAAGCCCCTCAGCCCCAGGTTCCTGTACTCACCTCTGCAGTGGGTGCATCTCCTCTGCTGGCCTGAGTGGGAGGTCCCTGGTGGGTTTAGCACACAAGCTTTTCTTTCTGTAAAGGATCAAAGGAATTTGTGGGTGGTCCGCTCCTGAGCTGAGGGCTGAGCGCTGGACAGGAAGACTGCCTGTGAGCTGCAGCCAGAGACTTGGTAGTGTTGAGCTTCTTTGTGCCAGGAATTGTGGAAGGTGCTGGAGAAACAGAGAGGAGTAGAATCTGGCCTCTGCCCTGGAGGACTATAGCCTGCTGGGGTGGTCAGAGACAGAACAGTTGCAATGCAGTGTGTGTGGTGGAGGAGAGGGAAAATGTGGACCAGGGGTTTCCTTTCATTTCCTCCTTAAAGCATCTGACCCACTCACAGCCTAGGGGGGCTGCCCCCAAACACTGTAGGACGCCTTCCTCCCTGCCACCCTGCCAGGAGATTAGACAGGTGGTGGGCACCTGAACTAAGGTGGGCGAGCCAGAATCCCTGCCAGGAATTTGGAAAGAGAAGCCAGGGCAGCCCGTGGCAATGTGGATGTTCCAGGGAACGCTGCAGGTGGAGCTGAAGAAGGGGTGTGCAGAGTGAGGCAGTGGGAGGCCCAGGTGAAACCCAGACAGGCACCAGGCAGAAAAAGGCACCGAGGACAGCTGTGGCTGCTCTCTTCCCCGATGCCGGCCTGGTGCCTGGGCGGTGTTTCCCCAAGGGCTCCTGGGATTGGAATGGGCTTTTGTCCCATTTGATGAAATGTTCCCTAGGAAAAAAGGCATAGGAAAAGGGGGCACCCTCCAGCTGTGCCTGAGGACGCATGGACTGTGCCCCCAGCAGACGCCAGGCGCTTTTCTTATTCTGAGAGGAGGGTACTTGGTGCCTAGTACATGGTTTGCTGCCTCTACAGAGATTCATGGCGTAAGAATTGTTGTGTTTTCTTAATTTTTGAGCACTTGGATGTTACTTTAATGTAAAGTTTTCCCAGCTGAACTATGAGGAAGAGGAAAGGCATTTGTTTCTTGTTGGTTTTATTCACAGATTGGCCTTAAGAGAAGGACGGAGCCACATACTGCTGACGGCCCAGAACTGGCAGAGAGAAGGTAAGAGACCCCAGGGCAGGGAACGACCACAGCAGAAAAACTGGGGCCCCCTTTGTGGTCAGGCGCCTTTTGCTAGACATTTACTTCAAAAAGGTTCAGATTCTTGAAAAAAATCGGGCTTAAGGAGGAAGCTTCCATCTGTGTGGGTTCCTCCATGAGGCATGCCTGACCTCCTTTTTGTAGCGAGAGCCTTACTCTATAGGCTTGGAGCAACTCATTTCCCCACAAATACTGCTTTGGCTACAACCCATTGATCTTGATATGTAGTATCTGTTTTTTCTTTCTTTTTTTTTTTTTCTTTTTTCTTTTTTGAGACGGAGTCTCCCTCTGTCGTCCAGGCTGGAGTGCAGTGGCGCGATCTTGGCTCACTGCAAGCTCTGCCTCCCCGGTTCATGCCATTCTCCTGCCTCAGCCTCCTGAGTAGCTGGGACTACAGGTGCCCGCCACCACGCCCTGCTAATTTTTTGTATTTTTAGTAGAGACAGGGTTTCACCCTGTTGGCCAGGATGGTTTTGATCTCCTGACCTCGTGATCCGCCCGTCTCGGCCTCCCAAAGTGCTGGGACTACAGGCGCGAGCCACCGTGGCTGGCCTGTAGTATCTATTTTTTCATTGAAAACACTGTTTTAACAGCCTAGATGTATGCCTACCTGTTATTAGAAGAATAAGCTTAATATTCCAAGTGTCTAGGTTTCTTTAGTCATAGCTTGTTATTCCCAATTTTATTACATTTTGCTTGAGAGGTCCTGGTACATACAGGTAATTACATACAGGTAATTGTTTTTGCATTTACTTTCCTCATGGCCTTGTGTTTGATTAGTTATGACAAAAGGCACCCACACTTTTTATGAGTTATTTCCGGAACTCACAATTTAGGATGGTCTAACATAGAATCTCGGTTGTTTTTTTTGTTTGTTTTTTGGGGTTTTTCTTGAGATGGAGTCTAACTCTGTCGCCCAGGCTGGAGTGCAGTGGTGCAATCTTGGCTCACTGTTACTTCCGCCTGCTTGATTCAAGTGATTCTCCTTCCTCAGCCACCCAAGCTGGGCAGTCACCACCATACCCGGCTAATTTTTGTGTTTTTAGTAGAGATCAGGTTTCACCATGTTGGCCAGGCTGGTCTTGAACTCCTGACCTCAAGTGATCTGCCCACCTCGGCCTCCCAAAGTGCTGGGATTACAGGTGTGAGCCACCGTCCCTGGCTGGAATGTCAGTTTTTAATGTTCTTATAGGATATTAATGTTTTGGGCCTGTCTTTGGGAGTCCAGTACTTATGACTGTTCAAGGGCTACAGCCAGTGTGAAAACTCTGATACCGTGCCCGTCATCAGCATATCCAGCAGCAGGAGGGTTGTGGGAGGGGTGGTGGCGCGGCTTCCTCTCATGCAGATCTGGAAACAGGTATGCTCGTTCGCTACACTGAAGGGGGGGCCCTAACTTTGAATATATTTCAAAGGATTGTCAATCAAAGGATTTGGGAGCAGTAAGGGGTATTGGTGACTGCTGTACGGAAGATTGCTCAGAAAAAAGAAAGACTTTGTTGAACTAGACAGCTCATATTTTAGGTCATCTCAGCCAATCTGGTTCATAAAGAAAAATTACCCCAAAGGAGCATTTATTTTAGTTGTTTTTAGCTTAAGTATTTGGTTTATGTACTTAGTCAAATTTAAAATGTTTCCTTTTCATGATGAACTTTGGCATTCTCATTGTGGGAGGTGAGTTTCTGTGCACAGAGCCCCAGTGGACAGCATTTTACCTGTAGGGAATAAAGGGGCCCAACTTTTCATTTGAGGAAAACTTTTTTGTTTGTTTGTTTCGAGATGGAGTCTCACTCTGTCGCCCAGGCTGGAGCGCAGTGGCATGATCTCGGCTCACTGTAACTTCCTCCTCCCGGGTTCAAGCAGTTCTGTGCCTCAGCCTCCCAAGTAGCTGGGATTACATGTGCCCACCACCATGCCCAGCTAATTTTTGTATTTTTAATAGAGACGAGGTTTCACCATCTTGGCCAGACTGGTCTTGAACTCCTGACCACCTGCCTTGGCCTCCCAAAGTGCTGGGATTATAGGCATGAGCCACCGCGCCCGGCTGAGGAAAACATTTTTTAAACTTAATGCCACATTGGCTTAATTTGGTAACTTAATATAGCAGCAATATCAACTTAATACGGTACCAGTATGAAACTTTCTTTTTTAGAGAGATTGTTTCCTTATCGTAGGGCATTTAGGAATCCTACTGCTTCTCCATTTCTTCAGTTTTCAGTCATATTTCTTGTGTACGTTTTGTTGATTTGTAATTCACACTACACATTTATATATATTTATTCAATAGTTTTAAAATTATTTTATATGCCTTTTATCACAATATGGTGCCATTCTTGTATGTGTTCCGTTTCAGTGGTTCATTTGTTTTCTTCTGCTTGGTTCCTTTTTTACTTTGCAAAACTTTGTTGAGCTCAGATTACACTGCAGTGGAGTAGGAGGGAATTCCCCATTCTTTCTCAAACTTAGGCTAATTTGTGCTGCTATTGTTGGGTATTTTCTTAGTATCCAGACTTTTTTTTTTTTTTCTATTTTAAAGGGATTTCTTCAAAAGTTGCCACCCCCAGAAGTTTTATATTTCTTTTTCTTTTGGCTTAAAATCATGTTCTTTTTAGAATATAAGCTGTGTCCTTGGGTTTGTGTGTATCTGAGTTCCCTGTAATATAAGTGTAGTCTATTGCAGTTGTTTTGATATTTTGTCTTTCGCAGGATGCACACGGTTGGTTTAGCCTGATATGAAGTCCACTCACTCGGTCTGTGGCCAGACCCCCCATGCCTGGCCTTTGTCTACTTCTGCAGGGTTATCTCTGATTGCAGGCACACACCTACCACATCATGTGGCATTTTACATTATTTTGTTAAATGTCTGCGTCTTCACCTAGGGACGGTCATTTAGTTCATCTGTGAATCCTTTGAATCACAGTACATAGAACATAGTAGGTGCTTAGTATATACTTGCTATGTGGACACTCAACAGAGTTGTGTTGGACTTTTCTTTCCTCAAATGTAAGAGACCAGGCAACATAATGGTTACAAATTAAGTTAGAAGATGGAGGAGTGCTCCCTCTATTGTCATTTGAGAAGCCATTTTTCCAAGCTTGGAGGGTATCTCTTTAAAAAAAATTTTTTTTTTAATTGATGTAAAGGTTTTTGAAAGCTGAGTTTTGTCTCCAGTGGATTGTAAGCTTTTGAGGCCAAGGCCATGTCTTAGTGCCACCTCTGTTTCATCTCCTTTGTCCCTACACAGGTAGTAGGTCCTCCATTCTTGCTGATTATGAATAAAGCAAAGAAATACATGTACCTCTGCTGTATGAATTAGAAGCTTTGTGTTTGTTATTATTAGACTAGGAGCATGTTACAGGCACAGAGCATATTGTGTTTATCTCTGTAGCCACAGCATGTAGTGTAGTACCTGAATTTTAGTGGGAATTTGGTAACTTCTGGTAGTTATGTTGATTAGTCTCCTTGGAAGAAAGTAACTTTATAAGCTACGGATGTTAAATGGTGAGATCATAAATTGGCTGAATCTCCAGGCATGGTGGCTCACACCTGTAATCCCAGCACTTTGGGAGGCCAAGGGTGGCGGATCACCTGAGGTCAGGAGTTTGAGACCATCCTGGCTAACGCGGTGAAACCCTGTCTCTACTAAAAATACAAAAAATTAGCCGGGCGAGGTGGCGGGCGCCTGTAGTCCCAGCTACTCCGGAGGCTGAGGCAGGAGAATGGCGTGAACCCCAGGGGGCGGAGCCTGCAGTGAGCCGAGATTGCGCCACTGCACTCCAGCCTGGGCGACAGCGAGACTCCGTCTCAAAAAAAAAAAAAAAAATTAGCCGGGCGTGGTGGCATGTGCCTGTAGTCCCAGCTACTTGGGAGGCTGAGGCAGGAGAATCGCTTGAACCCGGGAGGTGGAGGTTGCAGTGAGCCAAAATCGCACCACTGCACTCCAGCCTGGGCGACAGGGTGAGACTCTGTCTGATAGATAGATAGATAGATAGATAGATAGATAGATAGATAGATAGATAGACTGAAACTGTGAGCCACGTACATTTGAAAAGTTAGTGTTATTTGAACGTACAATTGACAAGATCTGATGCCCTCAGCTGGATGTCTTCACTCAGACTGTGTATGTTCCTTTAATTTATTAATCAAAGAGGCTCTCTCTCTTTCCCTCTCCCTGCAGGTTGCCATGGCTGCTGTTGACAGTTTCTACCTCTTGTACAGGGAAATCGCCAGGTCTTGCAATTGCTATATGGAAGCTCTAGCTTTGGTTGGAGCCTGGTATACGGCCAGAAAAAGCATCACTGTCATCTGTGACTTTTACAGCCTGATCAGGCTGCATTTTATCCCCCGCCTGGGGAGCAGAGCAGACTTGATCAAGCAGTATGGAAGATGGGCCGTTGTCAGCGGTAACCTACTTTATAATCAAAATAATCTTTTCTGTGAAGTCGGATGCATTATTCAAGGAGCTATTGAATTTAATGTGGTGTTTTTATGGGAACATGCTGATAAAAAAATAAAACTTATGGCTCCTGCCGTGATTATGTTCACATTTCATTTTCTTACTGCTCTCATCTTAGGAAGAACTGGCCTCATGATTGGTATCCTTCCTATTCTGCTCTCTCCTGTTCCCAGTCCTCCTCCAGACCCACTTCCTACTATGTGCTTTTCCTTTTTGTTCTCTGTTTTAAAATTGTCTTGAAAGTGTTGCCACTTTCAGAAATGCTTCACCTATTTTGAATTTCATTTTAATTTATGAAGATTTCCCAGAAAAGCACCTCCTGCCACTCATTCAAGCCAGATAGTAGTTTGAAAACAAATTCCTACTGTGTCTCCTAACCAATATGGTGAATGTAAAATAACTCCCTGTCCGTGTGTCAGGATGTCTGGGAGAGTGTATAGCATGCGCCCTTCACATTCCTCATTCAGCAACAGTGTCCTTGACTTGTAGATACTAGAACCGACTTGATTTCTAGTGTGAATTTTTCTCTGACTAAACCTGACAGGGGGTACTTTGGGTCCATTTTAAGGGTCACACCGTGAAATACACATGCTCACTTTTCCTGACTTGCATCCTAGGTGCAACAGATGGGATTGGAAAAGCCTACGCTGAAGAGTTAGCAAGCCGAGGTCTCAATATAATCCTGATTAGTCGGAACGAGGAGAAGTTGCAGGTTGTTGCTAAAGACATAGCCGACACGTACAAAGTGGAAACTGATATTATAGTTGCGGACTTCAGCAGCGGTCGTGAGATCTACCTTCCAATTCGAGAAGCCCTGAAGGACAAAGACGTTGGCATCTTGGTAAATAACGTGGGTGTGTTTTATCCCTACCCGCAGTATTTCACTCAGCTGTCCGAGGACAAGCTCTGGGACATCATAAATGTGAACATTGCCGCCGCTAGTTTGATGGTCCATGTTGTGTTACCGGGAATGGTGGAGAGAAAGAAAGGTGCCATCGTCACGATCTCTTCTGGCTCCTGCTGCAAACCCACTCCTCAGCTGGCTGCATTTTCTGCTTCTAAGGTCAGATGTTACTTACTGGAAGATGAAATCCTAATGCCACAGAACATTTATTAACAGTTGTTTGGTCTGATTTGTTGAACTCTTTGTCAGCAACTCACATATGCTTATCCTGTATTTTTTCCTGAATTGATAATAAGCAAGTCTTTTTTTCTCCTGAATTTTCAAGTTCACCCAGAATTAAAAGTCTTTTCCTCCCCTCTGTCTCAACAGGCTTATTTAGACCACTTCAGCAGAGCCTTGCAATATGAATATGCCTCTAAAGGAATCTTTGTACAGAGTCTAATCCCTTTCTATGTAGCCACCAGCATGACAGCACCCAGCAACTTTCTGCACAGGTGCTCGTGGTTGGTGCCTTCGCCAAAAGTCTATGCACATCATGCTGTTTCTACTCTTGGGATTTCCAAAAGGACCACAGGATATTGGTCCCATTCTATTCAGGTAGGAGTGTGCTTCAGGTCTCATAATTAGATTAATGCATCATGAACCTATCTCAGTGATACAGAGAAATCTGATTAAAGCCTAAGATGAGAATTGTAAATTCTGACTCTTAAGCCTGACACTTAATAATTTTGGTTAAGACACTAAATTTTCTTTCTTTTTTTTTTTGAGATGGAGTCTGGCTCTGTCACCCAGGCTGGAGTGCAGTGGTGCGATCTCAGCTCACTGCAAGCTCCGCCTCCCGGGTTCATGCCATTCTCCTGCCTCAGCTTCCCGAGTAGCTGGGACTACAGGCACCTGCCACCACGCCTGGCTAATTTTTGTATTTTTAGTAGAGACGGGGTTTCACCGTGTTAGCCAGGATGGTCTTGATCTCCGGCCTCATGATCTGCCTGCCTCAGCCTCCCAAAGTGCTGAGATTACAGGCGTGAGCCACCGTGCCTGACCAAAGACACTAAATTTTCTTTTGTGAAATTATTACCTTAAGAATTTTCAAAAGTTCAATCTATGTGGCACCTTAAAGTGAAATATACTACTTTGGCTGGGGTGTGGTGGCTCACATCTGTAATCCCAGCACTTTGGGAAGCTGAGGTGGGTGGATCACCTAAGGTCAGGAGTTCGAGACCAACCTGGCCAATATGGTGAAACCCTGTCTGTACTAAAAATACAAAAATTAGCTAGGCTTAGTGGTGTGTGCCTGTAGTCCCAGCTACTTGGGAGGCTGAGGCAGGAGAATCGCTTGAACCCTGGAGGCGGAGGTTGCAGTGAGCCAAGATCACGCTACTGCACTCCAGCCTAGGCGACAGAGCAAGGCTCTGTTTCCAAAAAAAAAAAAAGAAATATGCTGCTGTAAGTGGATGTTAGGACTATAAAAATACTAAGTATTTACATGGGAATTTCAAAGTAAAAGATTCTAGTACTGCTTGAGGGTTACCTCTCAGTGAAAAATATAATCCAAAAAAACCACAAAACCACAAGATAGGGCTATATTTCATGCAACCATTTTATCAAATAATATCTCTGTATAGTCTTAGACTAATTTTTTCAAGAAGCATAGAATTTTTATTTTAAGCTTATTGTTTAGGCATGACAAAGGATTGGTACCTTTTAGTACTGTAGAAAGTAACTTTCTTAGATATTTGAAATTGTGATCGTAAGTATTAATTTGAGAATGCATAATTATCTATTACAATATATTTCAGTTCCTTTATCTGGTGTAGTAAAGAGATGTGCCCTAGTTTAGAATTTTTTTTTTTTTGAGATGGAATTCCGCTCTTGTTGCCCAGGCTGGAGTGTAATGGTGCGATCTTGGCTCACTGCAACCTCCACCTCTCGGGTTCAAGTGATGCTCCTGCCTCAGCCTCCGGAGTAGCTGGGACTACAGGTGCCTGCCACCACGCCCAGCAAATTTTTGTGTTTTTAGTAGAGATGGAGTTTCACCATGTTGGTCAGGCTGGTCTCGAACTCCTGATCTCAGGTGATCCACCCGCCTTGGCCTCCCAAAGTGCTGGGATTTACAAGCGTGAGCTGGCAGGGCGTGGTGGCTCAAGCCTGTAATCCCAGCACTTTGGGAGGCCAAGGCGGGCGGATCACGAGGTCAGGAGATCGAGACCATCCTGGCTAACACCGTGAAACCCCGTCTCTATTAAAAATACAAAAAAATTAGCTAGGCGTGGTGGTGGGCGCCTGTAGTCCCAGCTACTCAGGAGGCTGAGGCAGGAGAATGGCGTGAACCCGGGAGGCAGAGCTTGCAGTGAGCCGAGATCACACCACTGCACTCCAGCCTGGACGACAGAGCAAGACTCCGTCTCACAAAAAAAAAAAAAAAAAATACCAGTGTGAGTCACTGTACCTGGTCCGAATTTTTTTTTTTTTTTAATATTCGGAGTTTTCTTAATTATCAAACAGATATTTTTGGGACTGTTTGCATGAAGAGTATTAGATTTGCCACTACCAAATAAACATGTAAGTATATCAACAGTTAATTATGACTTTTATGAAAAGTGAGAGATTAATAAGAAGCAGTTTTGGTCGGGCGTGGTGGTGGCTCACATCTCTAATCCCAGCAGTTTGGGAGGCTGAGGCTGGTGGATCACCTGAGGTCAGGAGTTCGAGACCAGCCTTGCCAACATGGTGAAACCCCATCTCTACTAAAAATATAAAAATTAACTGGTCATGGTGGTGCACGCCTGTAGTCCCAGCTACCTGGGAGTCTGAGGCATGAGAATCGCTTGAACCCAGGATGCGGAGGTGGCAGTGAGCTGATCACGTCACTGTACTCCAGCCTGGGTGACAGAGCTAGACTCTTATCTCAAAAAAAAAAAAAAAAAAAAAAAAAGAAGAAACAGTTTTATTTAAGTAGTTGTTTCCAGGTCCTTTAATTACTTGAGAAAAGCAGAGAAACCTAAAAAGTAGTCTTAGAAGTCACTGACCATAAAATTTTTTTAGAAATAAAGATATGAGGATCAGGTTTAGGTGCAGTAGATGTTTTGACTGTGTTTATAAAACACGAACAGTTTACTCAAAATTAAATTTTGTTCACATTGATAAACTTTCCTTGAGAATGTATTTTTCTGCCAAGAAATTCTGTTAAGCTGATTTAATTCCTGGAGTAGTTTTCTGTATAAAGTTGTTAAAACTTTCTGTTTTCATTTTATGTTACTCAAATTATTTTCAACACTATCATTTTTTATTTCCAATTTTACATCAAAGATTTGATTCATCCTTTGCTGTTTTGTCCATGGCATATTTCTCTGATAGCTTTTGCTGCTGTGATTTTGTTCACAAAGTGCGTGAGTGTGTGTGTGTGTGGGTGTGGGTGTGTCCTCCCTGGAGAGTAACCTGTGTCCATTTATTGACAAGAGGATTGAATGACCTCTATTATCATTCATCAGTTCAGTTCAAGACTAGAATGTCAGTACTTGCCAAGGGCCTGTCTCTCTTCTCTTTCGTATACACGGTGTTAGAACTTTCATTCGGTTCTGAACAAATCTGTTAGAGGAGTGTAGGCTTTCTCCACCTCAGCACTGTTGGCATTGAGAGCAGGTAATTCCTTGACATGGGGAGCGTCCTGTGTATTGTAGGATGTTGAACACCATCCTGGGCCTCCACCCACTAGATACCAGTAGCATCCACTCCCAGTGTGACGACCAAATTTGTTTTCAGACATTGCCCTATGTCTGCTGCTAGCACAAAGGCCCTGAGTGAGACCCTGAAGCAGAGCAGCATCAGCAGGACTCCCTTCCCTGGTCCCCTGAGCACCCCCATCATAGGTCAAGATACCATCCCAAGGTACTGGTGTTTCTGACCTGTTTTCTTGTTGAACTTTGTTCCATACTACCCCTCAAGCCCCAGTTTTCTCATAGAGTACTAACCACGTATGCGTCTGTCTGTTCCAACTGATTTATTCCTATAATGATTTTGTGGTGTTTTTTTTTTTTTTTTTGAGACAGAGTTTTGCTCTGTTGCCCAGGCTGGAGTGCAGTGCCGCGATCTCGGCTCACTGCAAGCTCCGCCTCCCCGGTTCACACCATTTTCCTGCCTCTGCCTCCTGAGTAGCTGGGACTACAGGCTCCCGCCACCACGCCTGGCTAATTTTTTGTATTTTTAGTAGAGATGGGGTTTCACCCTGTTAGCCAGGATGGTCTCGATCTCCTGACCTCATGATCCACCCGCCTCGGCCTCCCAAAGTGTTGGGATTACAGGCATGAGCCAGCGTGCCCAGCCGATTTTGTGGTTCTTAACCAGTGAACATTTTGTTCATATCACGTTAAGTAAAGACAGAATTGTATTTACATGCAGGACAGTCCAGCCTCATTACAGAAAGTCGGGTAGGTGGGTGGTGGTCATGTTTCTGTTCCATGTAGAATCTAGGGTAAGATCTTAGGCAAAAGTAGGTATTCAGTACAGTAGTACCTGGAGGCTTTTTCCTTTGTTGTATTTAATGTGATTGGTGGGTATTTGTTGTGACTGGTGGGTATTTGTTGTGATTGATTGGTGGGTATTTGTTGTGATTGATCGGTGGGTATTTATTGTGATTGGTGGGTATTTGTTGGGATCGATTGGTGGGTATTTATTGTGATTGATTGGTGGGTATTGTGATTGGTGGGTATTTATTGTGATTGATTGGTGGGTAATGTGATTGGTGGGTATTTGTTGTGATTGATTGGTGGGTATTGTGATTGATTGGTGGGTGTTTGTGATTGGTAGGTATTTGTTGTGATTGATTGGTGGGTATTTGTTGTGATTGGTGGGTATTTGTTGTGACTGGTGGGTATTTGTTGTGATTGATTGGTGGGTATTTGTTGTGATTGGTGGGTATTTGTTGTGATTGGTGGGTATTTGTTGTGATTGGTGGGTATTTGTTGTGATTGATTGGTGGGTATTTGTTGTGATTGCTTGGTGGGTATTTGTTGTGATTGGTGGGTATTTGTTGTGATTGGTGGGTATTTGTTGTGATTGATTGGTGGGTATTTGTTGTGATTGCTTGGTGGGTATTTGTTGTGATTGGTGGGTATTTGTTTGATTGGTGGGTATTGTGATTGGTGGGTATTTGTTTGATTGGTGTGTATTGTGATTGGTGGGTATTTGTTATGATTGATTGGTGGGTATTTGTTGTGATTGGTGGGTATTTGTTGTGATTGGTGGGTATTTGTTGTGATTGATTGGTGGGTATTTGTTGTGATTGGTGGGTATTTGTTGTGATTGATTGGTGGGTATTTGTTGTGATTGGTGGGTTTCATGTGCTGGTCTGTGTACTTGTTCCTTCAGTGTTGATTTTGGGTTCTAACCTTACAACCTTTTTCTCTTTCATTTTTAGTTTCTTTTTGCACAGTATATGCCTGAATGGCTCTGGGTGTGGGGAGCAAATATTCTCAACCGTTCACTACGTAAGGAAGCCTTATCCTGCACAGCCTGAGTCTGGATGGCCACTTGAGAAGTTTTGCCAACTCCTGGGAACCTCGATATTCTGACATTTGGAAAAACACATTTAATTTATCTCCTGTGTTTCATTGCTGATTATTCAGCATACTGTTGATTCGTCATTTGCAAAACACACATAATACCGTCAGAGTGCTGTGAAAAACCTTAAGGGTGTGTGGATGGCACAGGATCAATAATGCCTGAGGCTGATTGACGACATCTACATTTCAGTGCTTTTTCCCTAAGCTGTTTGAAAGTTACGCTTTTCTGTTGTTCTAGAGCCACAGCAGTCTAATATTGAAATATAATATGATTTGTCAGGTCTTATAATTTCAGATGTTGTTTTTTAAGGGAAATTGACCATTTCACTAGAGGAGTTGTGCTGGTTTTTAAATGTGCATCAAGAAAGACTACTGAAAAGTATTATTTTGTAACTAAGATTGCTGGTACTATTAGGAAAAATCTGTGTGTATTGTATAGCTCTAGCTGTTTGACTATCTGTAATGAAAATGCTGCACTTCAACTGGTATTTCATTAGAGAACCGTGTGTGTGCGTGTGTGTGGTGCCTTTGAGCAACTTTATTTATGGTTACCATATTTTTAAAAAGATTTTTTGTCAGGGTGACTTAACATGGACTCTTATAGGGTATTAAAACAATCTAGATTATTCCTTTTCATCCTAAATAAGCCTACCAAATTTCATGCTGTTGGTTTGCCATGAATGATATTACTTCCTACATTATATTTGTGTTTTTTCAAATCTGCTATGGAATGAACTTATTCCTAGATTTGGATATGTAAGAGAAACCTGCAGTCATCTTTTGATTTATAAGGCAATTCTTGTGGATAAATAGTGATTTCTCAGCCTCTGACCCATTTTATAACTGAAATTTAGCCCTTTAGAGCTTGTTATATCTGGTTTTCCTACGTTTTTCTATGTAATATTATTCCATTCCAGTAGCATTATTGATAGAAATAGTAAGTATTTATGGAATAGTAAAATATGGACAAATTACGTGTGTGACATATCTGTCAATATAAGTTAGAAGCTTATTCTTGGTTTGTGTAATGAATTTATGTATTGTAGTGAATACCTTTACTGGTGTGAAGATAATTATGCACAAACCCTCACAATACGCGTTAACATTGAAACCTGTGAAATGTCCTTAGTTTGGGTCATATAAAGCCAACCATTTTTGAGGACCATGTACCTAGTGCTTTGAAAACTCTAAGTCACTATATGAATATGACAATATGTGCACATTTAAAATTCAGAGCTCGGCATTGTGATACTGATGCAGAAGCTAGTAGATTGGTTAAAAGTCTGGACTTCTGTGGCATTTTTTTCGTGACGTGATAATCTATCATAAGCAGACCTAAGCACAGTTTTATGAACACAATTTTGCCCATGACATTGCCTACAGGATTTCCAGATGTGACTTGCACTCAGAAGATCAGTGGTCAACTTCAGAAGCTCTTCCACGCTTAGATCATGTCTTCAGAACTTAGATGTGAAAATCTACACACTGGGAGATGCTGTGAGCCCCAAGGTTTTGATGGAGTTTGCTTGGAATCCTCTTGACTTCATGCCACATTGACGTGAACTTTGATGTATAATAAGCAGCAGCAACTTCATGTGAAAATATGGTCAGGTAGTTATATGTAAGGTTACGTGGTCCAGTAATGTCTTAGATTGATAAATTAGGTATGGAATCCATCAGTGTTACGTGATGAGAATAGGTGAACACACCTTGTCAGTGATGATGTAAACTTCTCTCCTTGGCAGGACATGGGCAAACATGCTGATTGGTGCAAATGTGGTGCCGAGCTGTCCATAGCTGCAGTGAAAGATGAAGAGCAAGACCTTCTCTAGGTTTTCTAGCTTTCATTAAATGTATTTTTTTCCCCAGAGCTAATTTGAAAGTTGATTGGACCACTGTGGATGGGGTGTCATTAAGAATGTGGGAAATAGGGGCCGAGTGCGGTGGCTCACACCTGTAATCCCAGCAGTTTGGAAGGCCAGGGCAGGTGGATCGCTTGATCCCAGGAGGTCGAGACCAGCCTGGGGAACACATCCTGTCTCTACAAAAAATACAAAAATTAGCCAGGCAGGGTGGTGCATGCCTGTAGTCCCAGCTACTTGGGAGGCTGAGGCAGGAGAATTTTTTGAGCCCAGGATGCAGAGGTTGAAGTGAGCCAAGATCGTGCCACTGCACTCCAGCCTTGAGACAGAGCGAGACCCTGTCTCAAAAAAAAAAAAAGAACGTGGGAAATATGAACCTTTGAAAGTTAATCTGTGAATTGAAAGTTTAACAATAAAAGTAGTTGTTTGTTTCCTTTGGAAGAGTTTTGTTCCAGATGTTTGTAATTTGGTTGTTTGTAATTTGGAATGAGAGAATTTTTTTTTCTTAGGAGTGATTGCAAGAAATTAACATGAACAACAGTGGTCATAACTGATTAAAAGCTGACACGTCAGTAACAAAATTGTTTATAACTATGTGCCTAGTCTTTGGAAGCTACTGGGTTGACTTCTGGATCTCTTTCTCTTGGTAGGTTGAGTAAGGTGAGGATTGATTTGAGCATGGAATTTGGCTGTGTGGATGGAGATCATTGGTGATTTTTTTCCATGAGCCATTTCAGTCTTCAGGCTAGAATTGTAATGGATTCAAGAAAGAGTGGGAAGAAGAAAAAAAGGGAAGAGAGCAGATAGAGACAGCTCCTAGGAGACTTTCCTGTGTTTTCCTATCCTCAATTACTTAAAATCTAATCACATTTGGGAACCAGAGGGTTAGATGGTTATGTCCTCAAAACCTATTCCAGTCAATTTATGTCTCAGTCTCAGTATTGGCTTATGTGTTATTTATCTTTTTAAAAATTCATATATGTTTAATGAGTATAAAGCCAAGCACAGGACAGTCGTGAATTCAGTAGAAATATTCTCTGTTATTCCTGGCCGCGTGCAGTGGCTCACGCCTGTAATACCAGCACTTTGTGAAGCCGAGGCGGGCGGATCATGAGGTCAGGAGTTTGAGACCAGCCTGACCAACGTAGTGAAACCCCGTCTCTACTAAAAATACTAAAATTAGCCGGGCGTGGTGGCGCGCCCCTGTAATGCCCGTTGCTCAGGAGGCTGAGGCAGGAAAATCACTTGAACCCGGGAGGCGGAAGTTGCAGTGAGCTGAGATCGCACCACGACACTCCAGCCTGGGAGACAGAGCAAAACTTTGTCACAAAAGAAAAAAAAAAAAATATTCTGTGTAATTCCTATGGTGAGACTGAAAGGGAAGGGAGGCAGCTCTAGAACCCACTCTGGAACGTGCACAAATAGAACTTCCACTTCCACAGCAAGCCCCCCTGCGAGGGCGATGTGCTCTGGCCAGCCCCGCACAGCGCCACTGTTGAGGGCGGGATGATGGTGCTGCAGGCATGGAGACAGGTGCTCCCGGGGGAGGGGGTGGGCAGGCTCATGGCCTTCCCGTGGCGTGACGTTGACACCCTTCTTCAGTAAGTGTTTGCTCAGGTGGTTGTGGAAATACTTAGGGGGGTGACCTCCATCAGTGAGTTGGATGGGAACACACAGTGGGGCAGGACTTGTGTCATCATGCTTTGTGGACAGTAGTTTCCGCTTATCCACAGTTTTGTTTTCTGAGGTTTCAGTTACCTATGATCAATCGAGGTCCGAAAATATTCAATGGAAAATTCCATAAATAAACAGTTAATAAGTTTTAAATTGCACACAGTTCTGAGGAGTGTGATGACATCTCGCACCATCCCACTCCCTCCTGCCTGGGATTGGAATTCTCCCCATGTCCACAGCTTCTGTTCAGGTAACCCTTATTTTACTTCGTAATGTCCCCAAAGCCCAAGAGTAGTGATGCTGGCACTATGGATATACCAAGAAGCTGTAAAGTGCTCTTTTAAGTGAAAAGGTAAAACTTCTCCACTTAATAAGGAAAGAAAAACATTGTATGCTGAAGTTGCTGAGATCTGCAGTAAAACAAATCTCTCCATGACATTGGAAAGAAGGAAAAAGAAATTCATGCTAGTTTTGCTGTCACACCTCAAACTGCCAAAGTTCCAGCCACGGTGAGTCCCAAGACCATCCACCGGAGGTCTTGGAACATGTCCCCTCGGATAAGGGAGCACTACCGTAGGCACTGCAGGCTGTCACGGTGTTGTCGAGGATAAGGCATGTGTGACACTGTTGTCACACAGCTGATACCCTAGGCTGTGCTTGTTGGAACAGTTTACCTGCTCACTGACCCAGAAGCTGGGGATGCAGGTGGCATCCTCAGCCTCCTCTTGCCTCACCAGCCCGTGCTGTGTAGCTGCTGCAGCATGTCACCACAGTGGCATTGACCGTCTGTCCCATTCCCTAAGCCACTGGTTCCTCTTTTTCCTGGGGCTGCTCAGGCAGGGGTTCTCCATGCCTTGAGGATCACAAGAAGCTTGCAGTTGCCAGGGTCCAGGCTGTTGGCAGGGATTGAGAACCTCAGTGCGATGGGAGGCAGATGATGGGGAGATGGGAGGGGCTGGAGCCAGATGTGAAAAACCCGTTATTCAGCAGCTTCTCAGGGGTTTGGGAGTGCTGTCGGATTTGAAGTATCTTCTGGATGAGGGAGGTGGCCATTGGGTAGCTGTGCTTGGGAACAGTGTGTGTGTTCTTGACCAGAGGTAGGTCTCTTAGACAAGAGGTTTCAGAAGGTGGTTTGCCCACTAACAAGGTATATGTGATGTACCCAAGGGACCACACATCCACCTTGAAACGGTGCCCTTTCTTTCCCAGCACCCTGGGAGTTACATAATCAGGAGTCCCACCCAGGGTCTTCCTCTGCCTTCCATCATGTTCGACTTTGGTTGCCAGTCCAGATCTTCCCGTTTTCACCTCCAGGTCATCATTCAGGAAGAGGGGGTACAGCTTGAGGTCCCGGTGACTAATCCAGTTTCAGGCAGGTGCCGGCAGCCAAGGATGATCTACTGCGGGCAGTAGTGCCCTCAGGCTTAGCGCTCTCCCCGTGTGCAACTCCATGAGAGGTCTCAGGTGGCAGAGCTCCAGCACCAGGAGCATGAAGTTGTCCTTGAAAAAGCCACTGACACCTGAGATGTGCTGGTGGGCGAGGCTGCAGTGAGTATAGCGAGAGGCTGGAGACGTCTCCAGGGACGTCTCCTCTGGGTGCGGATTGAGCAGCAGTGACTCAGGTGCGATCTTGCCCGAGAACACCTCCTTGGTGTTTGCCTCCAAGATTTTGATGCTCTCAGCAAAGCCACCCTTGCCAAAAAAGCAGCCTGCCTGTAGTGCCACCGGCAGGTTTACTAGGACCTCCAAGATCTCTGCAGAGTGGCTGCTGGGACTCCAGGAGCCACAACTCCAGGGAGGCTTTCCCAGGGTTGGCTAGTGCCTGTGCCATCAGCTATTACTCTTTAAAATAACATTTCATTTGAATAAAGATTTACCTTCCCATGGAATTACAGATGCTTTATTCTGTATGTGAAGCACAAGTTTAGGAAGTTATTTTAGAACCAGAGTGGTGGGAATCCACCAGTGGTAGACCAGGATCCTGTAGCTCAGGCTGTCTTGGTAGCTCTCCAAGTAACTTCTCTCCCACACACCAGTCCCCTCAGTGTATAGGCATTCTCTGAAACTGGTGGTGGTGGCATTCTCTCCCCTTCTTTGGGGCCTCGCTGTCACATGATGGATGCCTGCAATCACTGTTCTACCCCAGTTTCCAGCTGTAGGGCCATGTATTCAATGGCATAGTGACTAAAGGGCTGTTCAGAGAACCCTGACCAAGATTAATTTACCTAAAGTTGGAACAGAAGGACATAGTCAAGTTTAAAATCAAATGCTTTGTGTGGTGGCAGAAGGGAGTGCCTTTGACGGTTTGCAAATGCAGAGAGGCAAGGATTCTCCAAAAGTTCAGAAAATCGTATGAGATCTGAGTCAGGAAAGGATTCAAGAATCCACCACCACATATTGAATCATATAGGAGCCGAGCACTTTATGAGTATGCTTTTTGTTTGTTTTTGAGACAAGGTCTTGCTGTGTTGCCCAGGCTGGAGTGCAGTGGCACAATCATGGCTCACTGCAGCCTCGACCTCCTGGGCTCAGGCAGTCCTCCCACCTCAGCCTCCCTAGTAGCTGGGACTGCAGGTGCACACCACCACACCTGGTAAAAACAAAACCAAACACAACTATAGAGACATGTCTCTGTTGCCCAGACTAGTCTCAAACTCCTGGGCTCAAGTGATCCTCCCGCCACAGACTCCCAAAGTGTTGAGATTACAGGCATAAGCCACTGCGCTAGGGCTTATGTGTGTACTTAATTTAACCCTCATCCTTTAAGGTAGATATTAGTACCCCTATTTTTTAAAAAAATTATTTATTTATTTTTAAGGCAGAGTCTCGCTCTGTCGCCCAAGCTGGAGTGCAGTGGTACGATCTCAGCTCACTGCAACCTCCGCCTCCCAGGTTCAAGCGATTCTCTGCCTCAGCCTCCTGAGTTGCTGGGATTACAGTCATGCGCTACCACACTCAGCTAAGTTTTTATATTTTTGGTAGAGCCGGCGTTTCACCCATGTTGACCAGGCTGGTCTGAAACTTCTGACCTCAAGTGATCCGGCTGCCTCGGCCTCCCCAAGTGCTGGGATTACAGGCGCGAGCCACCCCGCCTGGCTAGTACCCCTATTTTTGTAATGAAGAAGCTGAGGTACAAAGAGGTTAAACAACCTGCTCAAAATTACGAAGTAGAAGCCTGAGGTGGGGTATGGTAATTTGTGATTCTACATTTATCCACCATATTAAGTCAACTGTGTTAAATCATGTTGAAGGAAGATGATGCGCTGTGATCTGTAATATTGGTGCAGTTCAGCATTACCGTGGTGCAGTGTCAAGTTCCAAAAGACACAAAACTGTCTGATCGGCCTGTAGCGCATCACCGCCCACCAGCAGTACCTGAAGACGCTTTCAGTCCCCTGCTAGTGCCGTACGGAGTCCGGGCTGGTCCATTTACATTGAAAACAAACTGATCCTAGCATCTAAGTCACCCAGACATCTTTTAGGCGGCAAGCTTTTCAGACAGTTTAACACATTTATTCTTGTTTTTTCAAAAAGAGCAAACACGTGGCGTTACAAAGGTCCTCCGTTTCGCACGCACCGGTGTCCCGGCAGCGCGCTGCGCGTCGGGAGGCCCAGTCTGTCGTCCCGTGGGGCCGGGGGTCAGGAGGTCGGGCAGGCGGGATTTGGGGTTTCGCGTGTTCCGGACCGGACACTTCGCCATCTTAACGAGCTACCGCCCGGGTTAAGGGGCACCCAGGGCAGGTGCCCGGCCGGGGGTGGGGTGTCCGAGCCGCCGGTGCCTGGACGTGGACCCCTGCAGGAAGGGTCCGCGCGGGAAGCGAGCTCTCCACGAGTCCATGACAGCAGGCCCGCGGGGGCAGGGAGCCTGCGCCAGGCAGTCTTTCTAGATCCTGGCCCAGCCTGGCCGCTTTCGCGCCCGTGCTCCTTTTCGGGGATCCTAGAGCGACGCGCAGAGCGGACCAAGGGTTCCCCCAGCGCGTTCTCGCCGCCTGGCAGCTCGCTGGCCACGCCCCTCCGCTTCCACCCTGCCACCGGCCCCCGCCGCCGCAAATGTCGCGAGACCTTCGTCCATCCTCCCGGCGTGGTCCCGCTGCCCACGGCGTCCAGAGCGCGCACGCAAGCCCCGGGAGCGCGGGACAGACAGGGCACGCTGGGTCGGCGGAGCTGAGGCTCCCAGCTGTGGGCCTCGCTGGCCCGGTCGCCCAGTCTCGCGAGAGTTGGGAGTAAACAGCCCCGAATGGAGTGCCCAGGCGTGTTCGCCGCGGAGGCGCCGTTATCCCGGGCCCGCCGGCCCTGAGCTCCCGGCGGCGCAGGTACGTCAGCCGCCCGCGCGCGGCCTCCCCGACCCGCTCCGCCTAGCGGCGGCGGCCCGCTCGCTCAGGTGTGCCGGTTGCGTCCGAGGCCCCGAGGCGAGGGCTGCGGGGGCCGGGCCGGGTCGGGGGAGGTGGGCGCGGGGCCTCCGGCGCTTGTTTGGACACAGCGTGCCTGTACCGCGGCCCTGCGGGGGTCTGCGCGCTCCGGCAGCTTGTTCCGTTGCCTGGTTTTCTTTACGTGAAATGAGCATTCACCGAGTGAAACAATACGCCCTGCTCTGGCCCGGAGCCTCCAGACAGACTCAATTCTAGGTGCGCTTCCGGGGCAGTGCTGGCGTCAGGTTTAAAAGACGTCGATTCTTTGCCTTATCTCGGTCTGTGCATATTGCGCTGCTGGTTTTTGGAAATGCGGGGATTCTGTTCGGCGAACTCTCAGAACCAGATTGCCTTTTAAACCTGTAGCTTCTTAAAAATCTTGCCTCGCCTTGGCATGGTTGCGCTACCTAAGACCGTTGTGGATCGTCAGTATTTTTATTAAGATGTTTACCTTTCATATTGGGTTGAGCCCCTGAGAATCTTGGCCTATTTGTCTACACAAATTAAGTTATTAGATTCTGATTGACACTTCGAAATTACGTGGAGTGGAATACGACCTGCGTTGAATTCTGGAGACTCATCCTTTAGTCTGAACTGTGTAGGTAAGCCCTCCTAACGTCAAGGTCTCCAATTGTATGTCTACGAAAAGGAGGGCTTGCAGAAGAGAAGTAATTCCTCTCATTTTTTTTTTTTTCAATCTGGAGAATCCGCTTTTATTATTTATACTTATTTTTTAATGTAAGAGCTTCATTGAAGTAGAATTTACATACCATAAAATCCACCTGTTTTAAGTGTACTATTCAGTGGTTTTTAGTAAATTTACAGCAGCACAGCCACTACCAAATCCACTTTTAGAACATTTCCGTTACCCCAAGACCTCTGATGCCCAGTTGTAGTCAATGCCCATTTCCAGGCCCCGCCACAGGCAACCTTTCATCTACTTTGTCTTTCTAGATTTGCCTTTAATGACTATTTCGTATATTCAGATGGAAACATATGATATGCGGCCTTTTGTGTCAGGCTTCTTTCACTTAGCATGTTTTCACAGTTCATCCATGTTGTAGCATGAATCAGGATTTCATTCCTTTTATGACCAAATAATATTCAGTTGTATGGCTATACCACATTTTGTTTAAGCATTTATGCAGAACACTTTTGACAAATAAAAGTTTATTTTATGCTCTAATGTGTGATGCGGATGACAGCAAAACTGTTGATTGAGAATGGGAGCTGGGACCTGACCCAGACACGTGTCAAACGACTGCACTCCCCAGGCACCCCGTATAATCAAGAGTTGGTCCTTTCTATATAAAAAGGGAAAATTCCAATGCAGAGCTTGCGGAACCTTTGAAGCACCTAGGGAAGAAGTGGGAGCTCTTCTAGTCAGGAGGTTAACAAGAACTAGGAAGGCTGGGCCGGGCGCGGTGGCTCACGCCTGTAATCCCACAATTTGGGAGGCCGAGGCGGGCGGATCACAAGGTCAGGTGTTCAAGACCAGCCTGGCCAACGTGGTGAAATCCCGTCTCTACTGAAAATACAAAAATTAGCTGGGCGCAATGGCAGGCGCCTGTAATCCCAGCTACTCGGGAGGCTGAGGCAGGAGAATCCCTTGAACCCAGGCGGCAGAGGTTGTAGTGAGCCAAGATCACGCCGCTGCATTCCAGCCTGGGCGACAGAGTGAGACTATGTCTCAAAAAACAAAAAACAAAAAAAAACTTGGAAGACTGAAGGCTAAGGTGAACTGTACATTGCTGCCATCAGTGCTGCGGAATTCTGCTTGAGGAAACGCTTTATTTATTTTTATTTTTTTGAGACAGAGTCTCGCTCTGTCGCCCAGGCTGGAGTGCAGTGGTGGATCTCGGCTCACTGCAACTTCTGCCTCCCGGGTTCAAGCGATTCTCCTGCCTCAGCCTCCCGAGTAGCCGGGACTGCAGGTGCCCGCCACCACACCCGGCTAATTTTTGTATTTTTAGTAGAGACGGGTTTTTACCATGTTGGTCAGGCTGGTTTCAGACTCCTTGACCTCATGATCCGCCCGCGTCGGCCTCCCAAAGTGCTGGGATTACAGGCGTGAGCTACCGCGCCCAGCTGAGGAAAGGCATTTTAAAGTAAAATAAGGAAGTTAGAAGTTTGGAGGTGCCCTATGTGTGGCCAGCTAATACTGCATGACTAAGGGGTAAGAATAAAAGGAGACAAGAGTGATGTGTGTGAAACAGTAGGCAGTGAAGACACCACAGACCAAGGTTTCTCACTCTTGACTGTAGTGATACATTGGGATGAATTTTTTTTCTTTTTAATACAAGACCACCTGATGGATGGAGTGTGCCAGAATAAATGGTTGCATCGGATGTAAGAATACACCCGAATACACCTTTGTCGACCGGGCGTGATGGCTCACGCCTGTAATCCCAGCACTTTGGGAGGCCGAGGCGGGCAGATCACGAGGTCAGGAGATTGAGACCATCCTGGCTAACACAGTGAAACCCCGTCTCTAAAATACAAAAAAATTAGCCGGGCGTGGTGGCATGCGCCTGTAGTCCCAGCTACTTGGGAGGCTGAGGCAGGAGAATCGCTTGAACCCCGGAGGCAGAGGTTGCAGTGAGCTGAGATCGCGCCATTGCACTCCACCCTGGCGGCAGAGCGAGACTCCGTCTCAAAAAAAGAAAAAAAAAAAAAAAAAAAAGGGAAGACACCTTTGTTTTACCATAGTTTGGTCTGGCATGACTTAATTGTTAGCCTGTTAAACAATGGTAATATAGCCAAGTATGCAATTAGTTCTGAAGGTGGTAGTTTTTCAGCCGACTTTTAATTGGACTGGATAGTAACCTTTCGTGGTCTAAACACAATTCAGTCTCCTTTGGAGCTATTTTAGTAAACTAGTTTATTACAAAGCAAGGCATAGCTGCATAATTAGATGATTGTCGGGTGATACAAGTCATTTTCACTCACCTAAATTATGTTCTAATTATTTTTAAAGAGATAATTTCAGATGTATTTTAGTTATGCCCAGAATTATAATCTTTGTGATATTCTTTTATTGTGAAAATTGTAAGTGGGAGACTCCAAGAGCTGCAAAGAATGCTAGCCACCAGCTAGGCCAGTTGCTTGCGCAAGTAATACATTTCTTCTACTGAGTCTCCCTTCTACTCAAATCCCATTAAATACTATTTTCTATTTCTATAATTTGAACGGTGTCTTTTTCAGTTAGTACTTGATGTCAAAAATTTTTAATTATACGTGTATTAGAGGTGTAATCATTCTCATGAAAAACCCATAGGTACGGGAATACCATCTTTGAACGTTATGCCTTTATATGGAAAGATAACCAGGTCTTCTGCATAAAGAATTTATAGAAATTAAATCCAGTTAACATTTAGTGGATACAGTAACAGCCCTAAGTAGGCTCTCTAAGTTAAGTGATATTACAAATGATAATAAGCCTTTCAGAATGAACTAGCCAAAAGTTTAATATTTTCAAAGGCTATCTTTTCCTTAGGCTGGCAAGTAGCTGTAGACAGATCTTTGAGAACAATTTGTAGGAGATAGATCCCTTTTAAGCTCTAGTATATATACAAATAAAATTAAATCTAGCATATATATTTGAATTTTTGTGCCACTCTCTTACCAGAAAGTATGATTTATTCTTTTTTTTTTTTTTTTTTTTGAGATGGCATCTCGCTCTGTCTCCCAGGCTGGAGTGCAGTGGCTTGATCTCAGCTCACTGCAACCTCTGTCTCCCAGGTTCAAGCGATTCTCCCACCTCAACCTCCTGAGTAGCTGGGATTACAGGTGTGTGCCACCACACCCAGCTAATTTTTGTATTTTTAGTAGAGATGGGGTTTCACCATGTTGGCCAGGCTGGTCTTGAACTCCTGACCTCGGGTGATCTGCCCGTCTCGGCCTCCCACAGTGCTGGGGTTATAGCTGTGAGCCACCGAGCCCGGCGTATTCTTTTTTTGTTTTTTTTTGTTTTTTTTGAGACCGAGTCTCGCTCTGTTGCCCGGGCTGGAGTGCAGTGGCGTGATCTCAGCTCCCTGGAAGCTCCGCCTCCCAGATTCACGCCATTCTCATGTCTCAGCCTCCTGAGTATCTGGGACTACAGGAGCCCACCACCACGCCCAGCTAATTTTTTTTGTATTTTTTAGTGGAAACGGGGTTTCAGTGTGTTAGCCAGGATGGTCTCGATCTCCTGACCTCATGATCCGCCTGCCTCGGCCTCCCAAAGTGCCGGGATTACAGGAGTGAACCAATTTATTTGAAAAGTTTTTAAAAATACTAAAATATGTTTTATCTAAGTATAAAAGTAACATATGCTCCCTATAAACAAATAAATTAAAGCAGAAATTAACTATCTGTAATCATACAATTGAAAGGTAGAACCACTGTAACCATTTTGGTATGTGTCTTTCAGTGGTTTTTTTTGTTGTCATTGTTTCCATTTGAGACAGTCTCTCCATTGCCCAGGCTGGAATGCAGTGGCTTTATCTCCGCCCACTGCAACCTCCACCTCCTTGGTTCAAGCGATTCTCCTGCCTCAGCCTCCTGAGTAGCTGGGATTACAGGCATGTGTCACCATGCACAGCTAATTTTTTGTATTTTTAGTAGAGACAGGGTTTTGCTATGTTGGCCAGGCTGGTCTTGAACTCCTGGCCTCAAGTGATCCGCCTGCCTTGGCTTCCCAAAGTGCTGGGATTACAGGAATGAGCCACCGCACCCAGCTGCATTTTTTTTTTTTTTTGCTCATAGACACATTTTAAAATTGAAATGTAAAAATTTGGATTATGTGGTGCATGAACTGTTTTACTTAACATTTCATTAGCATTTCCCCATATTTCTATTGTAACAAATGACCACAAACAGTGGCCTAGAACAACATGAATTTACTGTCTCACAGTTCTGGATATCAGAAGTCCAGAATCCGCCTCACTGAGCTCAAGTCAAAGTTTCAGCAGGGTTGTCTCCGTCTGGAGGCTCTGTGGAGAGAATCAGTTTCCTTTTGTTTTTCAGTTTCTACAGGCCACCTGCGTTCCTTGGCTCCTGACTTCTTCCTCAAATTATCTCAACCTCTTGATTGCTTTCTTTTTTCTTTTTTTTTTTTGAGATGGAGTCTCTCTCTGTTGCCCAGGCTGGAGTGCAGTGGCACAGTCTTGGCTCACTGCAACCTCTGCCTCCCGGGTTCAAGTGATTCTCCTGCCTCAGCCTTCCGGGTAGCTAGGATTACAGGCACCCACCACCATTACCTAGCTAATTTTTGTATTTTTTGTAGAGACGGGGTTTCACCATGTTGGCCAGGCTGGTCTCGAACGCCTGACCTCAGGTGATCTGCCCGACTTGGCCTCCCACAGTGCTGGGATTACAGGCGTGAGCCACTGTGCCCAGCCAGCCTGTTGCTTTCATCATCACATCTATTACTACCTGTTGTCATCTCCTGCCTCTCTCTTATAGACACCCTTGTGATGACACCTGGCCCACCTGGATCACCGAGGATACTGTCTCAGTGCCTTCATTTAGTCACAGCTGCAAAGTCCCTTTGGCCTGTATGCTTTTGTGTGTAAAGTAACATTCCCAGGTTCTAGGAATGAGGATGTGAGCATCTTTGTGGGGACCATTTTTCAGCCTACTGCAGGAGGAGCATTTGAAATTGCTGCGTGGCGTTCTGTGGTGTGCACCGACCATAATTATTGAGCCAGTCTCCTTGTTTATGCACATTCAGATGGTCTCCAGCTTTTCCTGCTCATAATCTTGCAGTGTGTATCTTTGGACATAAAGCCTTATGTGCTTCCAGATTCATACTTCTTGGATTGAATCCCTAGGGGAGATTTTAGGAAAGCAGGCGACCTGCCTCTGAAGAGTGTGGCCTCTGGAGCCAGGCTGACCACCTGAGTTCTCAGCCCAGCTGTTCTACTTGCTGGTGTTGTGGCCCCAGGCAAGTTGCTTAGCTACTCTGGGTCTCAGTTCTCATCTGAAAGTGGGGGTAGTAACGGGTTGTTGGGAGGATTAAATTAGTTAATATTTGCAGACTACTTAGAATGGCACCTGCTACATCATAAATGCTCAGTGAGTGTTTTTCTTATTTTGGATTTGTTAGACGAAAAGTTTTTAATGTTCATTTTTAAGCGTTTTAATACATATGTGAAAATTGCCATTCTAAAAGGTTGTTTTTTTTTAATATTCACCAGCAACATATGAGAGTACTTATTTTATTGGATTTGTTAACTTAATAAACATAATTTTTATTCTAGAGGGGGTGCCTCAGGTTTTTCTGTCAAAATGTTACTTGATTTGTTTAATGTAAATCATAGAAACACAGGTTAATGTTAGCAGAAATTTACCATGAATCCTTTCAGGAATTCTGTCAATTTCCTAGAATGAGATATGCTTTTAGTTTCCCTTTAACTAGCTCAGTCCCATCTTTGGATGTCCTTCTACGTAACAATTGATGAGTGTAAATCTGTCTGACGTGTGTGGTCTGGTTATGTATGCAGTGATCAGCACTGACTGAATCTGAATAAGAGGCTTAGAATGTGCCTGTCACCACATTTAAAATAGCCCAGCCTCATGCGTCCTTGGCAGGTGAGGGTAAATAAAGAACTTATTTTTTCTGCCTGTTTTGGAAACAGGCTGAACCTAACAGGAAGGTTGCACGAACAGTATGAAACCATTTTTTCTCTAAAGCATTTGAGAGTAAATTGCAGACCTGATACTCCATTATCCCCCGGTGTTTTAGTGGGTGTATTTTCCAAGCAAGGACCTTCTTACATAATCACAGCACAGTTGTCAAAATCAGGAAATTAGTCTTGATACATCACTACCATCTGATCCACGGGCAGGCTTACTTGGGTTTTGCCAGTTGTCCCTGAGTGCCTGTTACAGCAGATGGATCCAGTTTGGATTCATGAGTTGCACTGACTCTGGAGTCTCCTTCAATCTGGGGCAGTAGCTCAGTCATTCTTGCCTTTCATTACCTTGGTGCTTAGGAAAATTCTAGGCCAGTTGATTCTGTAGAATGTCCCTCAATTTGGGTTGGTCTGATGTTTCTCATGATTTGATTTCAGGTTGTGCATCTTTGTCAGGAACCTCCCAGAAGTGATGCCGGCTCTTCTCAGTGCATCTGCTCTCGTAGACCTGGCTCCGTGTGTCCCATTACTGCTTCCCTTGGACAACTTGGTGGAGCTTCTCCACTGTAAAATGACTTTTCCCTTTGAAAAGAGATATTTTGTTGGCAGTTGGGCATTTTGACATGATGTAAATATCTCATTCTTTTTCAAACTTCATGTCATTGTGGACTCCTGTTTTCCTGTTTTATTCCACGGGTTGGGATCTGTTATTATTTATCGTGATGCTCAGATTGTCCCGGATTTTGTTAGTGGGGGCCCCACCAAACTGGCTTCCATGTTCCTTGGACACTTCCCCATCATTCTGTGAGCCTTTCCTCATTGAGTGACACTGTTCCAAACCCATCTTGTTCTTACCGTACCCAGACTGGAACTAGTTCTTTGTCCAAAGAGCCTAGGTTCTTTTAGTGGAGAGTGATATTTAGAACCAATTGTGGGCAGTAGGTGGGCTCCTTGCTGTTGGGATTTCACTGCTGCCACACCCTTTTGGAGATAGCTAGGAAATGTGTGTAGCACGTACACGTGCACTTAGATTTCTTTCTTTCTACATCTGTTAGTCTATGTATTGAAAACCTTAAATTCAGACCAGCATTTATCATTTTGTTCTGATACTGAATGGTTCATTTATTTTTTCTCTTTCATATTTCTAACTTTCTTCTCTGACAGTAAGAAAGCCGCATCCCATTATATGTAAAATATTTATTTGATCAAACAGTTTTACCTTCACTGCTATCACCCCACTGCCTGCCTGGTGCCTTCTTCACTTGCCAGGCTCTGACCCCCTCACCTGGTGCCTCTCCCTTCACATACCTTCCTCACTCCGCTCAGACTCTTAAGACCCTGTAGTGGGCTTCTGCCATTCTCCCATGAACGCCTGCCTTCTTGTCTTCAGCAGAATTCTTCAGGAAGGGAAGAAGAAAAGGCAGAGTTAGCACTCTTTAGAAAGTGCTTTTCTTGGGCTGGGCGCAGTGGCTCACACCTGTAATCCCAGCACTTTGGGAGGCTGAGGCAGGTGCTGGATCACCTGAGGTCAGGAGTTCGAGACCAGCCTGGCCAGCATGGCAAAATCCTGTCTCTACTAAAAATACAAAAATTAGCTGGGTGTGGTGGCGTGTGCCTGTAATTCCAGCTACTCAGGAGGCTGAGGCAGGAGAATCGCTTCAGCTGGGAGTTGGAGGTTGCAGTGAGCAGAGGTCGTGCCATTGCACTCCAGCCTGGGCAGCAAAGTGAGACTCCATCTAAAAAGAAGAAAACAGTGCTTTTCCTTAGGTTTGTGTGTCTGTATCTGTGTGTGCATGCTCTGTCTGCCTGTCCTGCTGCTGCTTGTCTGCTTACCTCTCAGTGGTGAGCCCATCTTGGGAAGTGTGCCCATCGGGTTTGCATTGTATAGTGAGAACCAGGAGGGACCATTCGTCACAGCTGAATAGATGTATTAGACCCTGGAAAGTGCAGTCTGTGCTTGCAAAGCCTCACTGACTTGTCTAGTGAGTCTGTGGGGACAAGATCTCTTTAGGCCCAGGCCAGACACAGTGGCTCATGCCTATAATCCCAACACTCTGAGAGGCTGAGGCAGGAGGATATCTTGAGCCTGGGAGTTTGAGACCAGCCTGGGCAACAAGGTGAGACCCCCATCTCTACAAAAAAAAAAAAAAAAATTAGCTGGACATAGTGCCGTATTGTAGTCCGTGCAACTTGGTAGGCTGAGGTAGGAGGATCACTTGAGCCTCAGAGGTTGAGGCTGCAGTGAACCATGATTGTGCCACTGTCCTCCACCCTGGGTGACCAAGCGGGACCCTGTCTCAAAAAAAAAAAAAATAGGCCCAGGAGTTCGGGGGTTGGTAATAAGCTCAGCCTTGGGGACCCCAGTCCCTCTGCCATCATTTACTGGTCTCTTGCCCCCGTTATGGCATTTTTGTTTTCCTTAAAGGAAATTTATATTTTGAAACCACCTTATTCTAGGATTGGGAAACTATAGAAACCTCAGGATCTGTTGCCATATTTTTTGAGCCATAAATCCTTTGAAATAGTCTTGATAGAGCCTGGATTTTAGCTCACCTTTTAGGAACGCAAGCAAGTCCACGAGATCCAAACACAGCAAGGGGGTGTGTCCTTGTCCCTGTCATTTCCAGCCTTATCATTCATCCCCATGGGATTTTTACACTTGAAGGCACCTTCCTTCCAGCCACTGGTGGCTTGGTGACTAGAGCAGGTGGGCTGGAGTTGACAGGCTTGGTAAGGTACAGTCTGGCGGCCAGGCTCACCCGCTCACTAGTGTGGCCCTTTTCTGGAAGGGGCCAGTTACTAAGCTAGTGGTCTCTGTCTCTTCAGCTTGCCCACCTTCCTTTTGCAAATTATTTCCCACTGATTTTGGTTTCCTTCTGACTTTCCTGTGCCCTCTGTCTTTTGCCATCTCTGAAAGAAAAGGTACTGGATTGCCCGGGATTCTGCCCTAAGCCGTGCCCTTGACCCTGAGGCTCATCCGAAATTGAACATGCTCAGAGCTCAGCTCCTGCTGGTGTCTCCCAAGTCAGCTTTCCTGCTGTCTTCCCCATCTCAATTAGGGGCAAGCACCACTGGTCCAGTCGGGCAACCAGCCTTGGTGTTGCCTTGAATCCTCACTTGTGTGCCCCCACATCTGGTGGACAGCCCATCTGTCACTTCTGCCTTCGTATCTGTAATGTCATCGCCTCTTATCACCTCCCCTGCCCGCCCTGGTCCAAGCCAGCATCTTCTCTCCCTTGGCTCTTGTACGGAAGTCCTCCAGATGCTCCCTGCCTCAGCCTGTGCCCCCTTCCACACCGAAGCCAGAGCGATCTGGCTAAAACACAAGCCACACGTGCTCAGGACTGCCTCATGCTTTCTCTTCCCAGTCAGAATCAAAGCTGAAGTCCTTTCTGTGACCTGCAGGCCTTCCCTGGGCTGTCTCCCGGTTTCCTCAGATTTCATCTTTGGCTTTCCCTTGCTTCCCGCTGGCCTCTTTGCCTTTCTTTCCTCACACACACACCAGGAATGGTCCTTGCCCCAGGGCCTTTTCACTTGCTTTCCCACTGCCTGGATCCTGTTTCCCCAGACCCTTGGCCAGCTTCCTGCATCCTTCAGGCCTTCACTGAAAAGACCCCTTCTCAGCAGCTGCTGTAGGTAGTGCTGTAGCAGAAACCCAGCCCTCTCCTGACTTGTCATATTCCTTTTCTTTGTGTTTTCTTATTTATTTATTATTATTATTATTTTGAGATGGAGTTTTGCTCTTGTTGCCCAGGCTGGAGTGTAGTGGCACGATCTCAACTCACTGCAACCTCTGCCTCCTGGGTTCAAGTGATTCTTCTGCCTGAGCCTACTGAGTAGCTGGAGCTACAGGCGCCTGTCGCCACGCACGACTAATTTTTTTGTTTTTAGTAGAGGTGGGGTTTCACCATTTTGGCCAGGATGGTCTCGAATTCCTGGCCTCAGGTGATCCACCCGCCTTGGCCTCCCAAAGTGCTGAGATTACAGGTGTGACCCATCGTGCCTAGCTGTTTTCTCTCCTTCCCAAATGTAGTTTTTATCACCAGCTAAATACTGTATGTTTTACTTGTCTTAGTTACGGTCTGTCTCCCTGCACTGGAAGGTAAGCTCCGTGAGGTCAGAGATTTCTATGGTATTTTGTTCATTACTCTATCCCTACTCCTAGAACAGTGCCTGGCTTTTAGTAGTTTCTCACTAGATGAGTTGGATGGGTGAACACAGGAGCTCAGCAGTCTCGTCGTTGGGCTGTGTTTTATCTCTGTGCTCTTCACTGCCATTGGATGGAAGAGGTCCGTATTTCCGGCTGTTGGCTGGGGTGTACCTGCTTGAGGTCCTCTCTTCCCCCCTCGTCTTTCAGCCTCGCTAGACGGACACCTCCTTGCCTCCCTCCTCAGGCTGGGCAGTGCTGATCCTTGTGCACATCTGTGTCTTCCTGTGGTTCCAGTGTTGCCACGCTTGGGATGCTCTGCTCCTCCCTCCCTCACGCCCATCTTTCAGTGCTACTGAGCTCAGATTCTTCCAGAGCTGCTGCAGTGCCCCCTCCCCAGCAGAAGCCGCCTCTTCACAGCCCGGAGAGAACTGTGTGTCAGTTCAGCATCTGTGGCCTGGATGCCTGCCTCTCCTTTCACATTTTCATTTCCTGCATTTTGTTTAGTTGTCCTTAAATTTAACTACATCACACTTGGAAGGTTGTGCCCTGACTAGCTAATAGTCCGTGTTTGTTCTGTAGTACCTGATAGTATCTTAACTTGGTAAGTATTCTAAAATTGCCTGATCTAATGAATGAGTTAAGGTAAAATGTCTTATGATAATAATTGCCTTCTCTGTTTTCCACATACCCCACATTTATTATTATTTTTAATTTGGGGAAGAACTGATTACCTTAGAGAGTTTTTTTCATTTATTTATTTTTTTTTTTTGAGACAGAGTCTCGCTGTCACCCAGGCGGGACTGCTGCAGTGTCCCAATCTCAGCTCACTGCAACCTCTGCCTCCTGGGTTCAAACGATTATCCTGCCTCACCCTCCGGAGTAGTTGGGATTACAGGCATGCACCACAATGCCCAACTAATTTTTGTATTTTTTTTTTTGGGTCGGTTGGTTGGTTTTTAGTAGATATGGGGTTTCACCATGTTGGCCAGGCTGGTCTCTAACTCCTGGCCTCAAGTGATCCGCCGGCCTCAGCCTCCTAAAGTGGAATCACACCCAGGATTACAGGTGTGAGCCACCGCGCCTGGCCTTTTTTTCATTTGAAAACCGCCAAATCCTTTCTTTTCATTTCTTTTAAAGGCAAGTACCTGCCTAAGTTGTAAGAGAACATCAGCCATCTCTTCTGCATGGGCTGTGTTAAAATTTCTTACCTAAGAGTCTTTACCTTTGAGTGAATTATTTTAGAACAGGTTGAATTAAAGTTGATTTAACCCAGTTAGGTCTAAGATTTTCTCAGTACTATTACTTAATTATATTTGTGTTATATGGAGCCCACATGTGTCATAGATTCTTTAGCTTGAGGCAGAAAAGTTTTAAGAGGCTTTTTTGTTTGTTTGTTTGTTTTTTAAGTGGAGAGAGAGTCTCACTGTGTCACCCAGGCTGGAATGTAGTGGTGCACTCTTGGCCCACTGCAACCCTCCAGGCTAAAGCAATCTTCCTGAGTAGCTGGGACTATAGGCGCGCCACCATGCCTAGCTAATTTTTAATGTTTTTTTTGTAGAGATGAGGTTTCTCCACGTTGCCCAGGCTGGTCTCAAACCTCTGGGCTCAAATGATTGTTCCTTCCTTTTTAACAACAACAACAAAAAGCCTGCCTTGAGTGAGAAACGCATTTAATAAATATCTTTTAAATATATATTCATTTACTGTGATATGAGAACTGTTATTACTGGCTTTTATCTTCTTCGGCCAGTAGTCTTTAATTAAGCTAGATACATGCTTCATGTCATTATTTTCTTTGGTACTCCATTGCTGGATGTATCAAGCATAAAGAAACTAAGAAGTAGGGGCTTACTCCTGAGCAAACTTCTGTCAAACCTGTTAGGGTGGCTTTAGGTGCCCTCTGCTTTTCTGATCTTTCTGTTTGGCTCTTTGTTTTTGCTCTTGCAGTTGGCATTGTTATTGTTGTTCTTGTCGAGGTGGATGTAACTGCTTTAAACTTTGACTCATTTCTGATGAGTTCCACGCCCCTTAGTTGCCAGTGCCAGTGCCAGAGATGGGCTTGTTTTTCAGGATCAGTTGTTAGTACAGCAGTGAAAGTCCCTCTTTAGTAAAAGTAAAAACGTTTTTTGGATATTTTAACCCCTCACGGTACTTTATCAATGTTTTTCTACTCGTAGAAGCACATATTGATATTTCCAGAAACCAAAAACTCAGAAGCACCAGTTTCTGCCAGAAGAATGAGTTTTACAGCTTGAAGTACCTTTTGTAATAGATGACTTAACTCCTTGTCCTTAATGTTTTCTTTTTAAAAACAAGTAGTGGGCGGACATGGCGGCTCTTGTCTGTAATCTCAACACTTTGGGAGGCCAAGGTGGCTGGATCACCTGAGTTTGAGACCAGCCTGGACAAAATGCCGAGACTGCTTCTCTATATTAAAATCCAAAAATTAGCTGGGTGTGGTGATGCATGCCTATAGTCCCAGCTACTCGGGAGGCTGAGGCTGGAGGATTGCTTGAGCCCAGGAAGTTGAGGCTGCAGTGAACTGTGCAGAGATTGCGCCACCCACTCCAGCCTGGGTGTCAGAGTGAGACCCTTCCTCAAAAAAAAAAAAAAAATAATAATAATAATAAAATCCTAAGTAGCACTGGAAGGCCTCTCTTGCTTCATTTACCCATCCCCTACCCTGCTGGATTATTTACGCCCCGGGTATGGTCTGTGCAACTGTTTTTCTGGTTATGCTACAGCCAGCATTGTTCTTTACTATCGCTCTGTTTTCATTGTGAAGAATGGCAGTTTTTCTTACAATTCAGATGTTTTGGAAGATATCTGTGCGCATGCTTAATTTAATATTCAGGTGACATTTTTCTTTAGCAGTAGTTTCCCTCACAAACTGTCTTCTCATGTCACTCCAGTAAAGAGATAATCTGGTTTTATAACACATTTAGCAGGTTACATTTCTTTAAGTGTGAGGTTTCAGGTAAAATAAATTTCAGGACAGTAAACCCTTTTATGCTCTTTTCATAGAATTGGTAGAAAATATTTCAAACTATGTAATATTAAAGCATAGTGTTTCTTAAAGAAGGTGTTAAATATCACTGATAGGGAAATTACTTTGCTGTTAGGTATTAATGTTACAGCAGAAAGTAAGGCTTTATACCAAGCTTTTGCCTGAAAAATTGATGAAATTTGTGGGAAGTAAAAGTGCCAACTGGGGAAATGCTCTGGGGATTGAGTTGCAAATGATAGGAAATACAGAATCTGAAACAGAACAAAGGATCATCCTGATGCCTTCTTCTCTTTGGCTGCTAGAATGCTCAGGTCCAGTGTGCTTAATATTTTTGGTGTTATTTTGTTGTCCTTACTTTTTTCCATTTTTCTCATTGATTTTATTGTTTTATTTTTGAAGATGCCTAAAAAAAATTTTCCCGTGAAAGCAGTGAGTAATAAGTAAATAAAAATGAAATAATATGTTTCATGGTTGTATGGCACATTAATTTGTCTTAAAACCAGGATATCTCTTTTACCCTCTTATTTATTTTATTATTTTATTATTTTAGACATAGGGTCTCACTTTGTTGCTCAGGCTGGACTCAGACTCCTGGGCTCAAGTGATCTTCCCACCTCAGCCTCCCAAGCAGCTGATCTACAGGCACCTGCCACCTTGCCTGGCTGACCCACTTGCTTAAATTATAAATACAACTAAATCATACCTGGCTATGTCAGTTTGCTACTAATGTCTGTGTGCACTGTTTTTTGTTTCATAGATTGGCTCACAGTGGTTGATTGATCAACCCCATTGGACGTTGGTTCTGTGGTACAAATGGAGTACAGGACTCAGTCGTCACGGCCTGAGTGAGAGAAGCCTTATTTCCAAGATGGAGAAGAAGCGGAGAAAGAAATGAAAGCCTCTCTTCAGGCTGAACCACAAAAGGCCATGGGATTTAACTTTTATTTATGTTGGGCAAGACTGTAAGATGGCTGATTAGTAATGTTGCAGCTTTTAGCTGAAACAAAAATTCACTTTTAATCAAGAAGAAAAAAGTGTGATTTGAATATATGCAATTTTATGATCATATTCGCTTGTGACCATGAAGCTTGTCAACATCTGGCTGCTTCTGCTCGTGGTTTTGCTCTGTGGGAAGAAACATCTGGGCGACAGACTGGAAAAGAAATCTTTTGAAAAGGCCCCATGCCCTGGCTGTTCCCACCTGACTTTGAAGGTGGAATTCTCATCAACAGTTGTGGAATATGGTAATGATGTTGTCTTAAGTATTAGGAACTCCCATCCTATTTTTTTAAAGCTTACTTAATATAAAATTAGCTATTGCTGAATAACATGTTCCTCTTTTCTACAGTAAATTTCTTTCTTTTTTTTTTTTTTGAGACAGAGTCTCACTCTGTCACCCAGGCTGGAGTGCAGTGGCATGATCTCGGCTCACTGTAACCTCCACCTCCTGGATTCAAGCAATTCTCATGCCTCAGCCTCCCAAGTAGCTGGGATTATAGGTGACTGCCACCGTCCCTGGCTAATTTTTTGTTTTGATTTGTTCTGTTTTGTTTTGTTTTGTTTTTGAGATGGAGTCTCACTCTGTTGCTGAGGCTGGAGTGCAATGGCACGATCTCGGTTCACTGCAACTTCCACCTCCCAGGTTCAAGCAGTTCTCCTGCCTCAGCCTCCTGAGCAGCTGGGACTACAGGCACCCGCCACAACTCCCAGTTAATTTTTTCTATTTTTAGTAGAGATGGGGTTTCACCACATTGGCCAGGCTGGTCTCGAGCTCCTGACCTCGTGATCCGCCTGCCTTGGCCTCCCAGAGTGTTGGGACTACAGGCATGAACTATCGTGCCAGGCCTTTTTTTTTTTTTTTTTTTGTATTTTTAGTAGAGACGGGGTTTCAGCATGTTAGCCAGGCTGGTCTTGAACTCCTGACCTCAAGTGATCACCCTCCTTGGCCTCCCAAAGTGCTGGGATTACAGGCATGAGCCACCGTGCCTGGCCTTCTGTAGTAAATTTCCAATGGGTTGAGTGCACAGCACATGAATGTTAACTTTGCTTAAGTTTGTTTTCCCAGTAGAGTAAGCTTATATGATAAAAGGAAATTGACATGAATTATTTACCTACACCTTCTTTTCTTTTTCTTTTGGAGACAGAGTTTTGCTCTTGTCGCCCAGGCTGGAGTGCAGTGGTGCCATCTCAGCTCATTGCAGCCTTGGCCTCCCAGGCACAAGTGGTCTCCCACTTCAGCCTCCTGAGTAGCTGGGACTACAGGCACCTGCCACCGTGCCCAGCTAATTTTTTTATTTTTGTTTTTTCTTTTTTCTTTTTTGAGATGGAGATTCACTCTTGTTGCCCAGGCTGGAGTGCAATGGCACCATCTCAGCTCACCGCAACCTCCACCTCCCAGGTTCAAGCGATTCTCCTGCCTCAGCCTCCCGAGTAGCTGGGATTACAGGCATGTGCCACCATGCCCGGCTAATTTTGTCTTTTTAGTAGAGACTGCGTTTCTCCATGTTGGTCAGGCTGGTCTTGCACTCTTGACCTCAGGTGATCCTCCTGCATTGGCCTCCCAAAGTGTTGGGATTACAGGCATGAGCCACTGTGCCCGGCCTGCCCAGCTAATTTTTTTATTTTTTGTTTCACCATGTTGCCCAGGCTGGTCTTAAACTCCTGAGCTCAAGCAATCCATCCACTTCGACCTCCCAGAATGCTGGGATTATAGGCATGAGCCACTGTGCCCAGCCTACACCTTGATTCTTTGGAACAGGTGCCATTGTAATTGGTGAAGGTGGGGAGCTGGGAGGTGCAGAATGTTTATGTTCTAAAGTTTGAGTGACCAGATGTGAAGAACTGAGCAAATAGTCTCACATAATCCACTCTGGAATTTTGTTACTGTTTTCGTTTTAAGAAACACTAACTGAGCATTCAGTTCTCTGAATTTCTTTTTCCTACTTGATAAAAATTATATACATTTCTTTGTTGTGTATTCAAACTTCTGTAGGTATTTGCTTTTTAAAAAAATATCACGGGTATCTGGTTTCGAATGATGTATTCTTTGTGGTTAGGTGATTCATAGAGATCTTTTTTTTTTTTTTTTTGAGACGGAGGCTTGCTCTGTCACCAGGCAGGAGTGCAGTGGTGCAATCTCTGCTTACTGCAATCTCCGCCTCCCAGGTTCAAGTGATTCTCCTGCCTTAGCCTCCCAGGATTATAGGCGCCCACCACCACACCCAGCTAATTTTTTGTATTTTTAGTAGAGATGGGGTTTCACTATGTTGGCCAGGCTGGTCTCAAACTCCTCACCTCGTAATCTGCCCACGTCAGCCTCCCAAAGTGCTGGGATTACAGGCGTGAGCCACCGCGCCCAGCCCCATATAGATCATTTTTCCTCAAAGCTCTGCAGACAGCTGTCTAGGTACTTAAACTAGTCTTTGTGTTTTCTCTCGTCTGCTGTGGGCTTTAAGATAATTTTTCTTTTGCCAGATTTTAGATTAGATACAATATAGTATATGTTATAATGTATGTGCGTAAATCTTATTTTTGTTTGTGGTGATTGGTTTCAGAATATATTGTGGCTTTCAATGGATACTTTACAGCCAAAGCTAGAAATTCATTTATTTCAAGTGCCCTGAAGAGCAGTGAAGTAGACAATTGGAGAATTATACCTCGAAACAATCCATCCAGTGACTACCCTAGTGATTTTGAGGTGATTCAGATAAAAGAAAAACAGAAAGCGGGGCTGCTAACACTTGAAGATCATCCAAACATCAAACGGGTCACGCCCCAACGAAAAGTCTTTCGTTCCCTCAAGTATGCTGAATGTGAGTATTGTGACTGTAGGCAAATTTCTCTCTGCTGTTTACTTTGAAAATCTCAAACTGCAGAGTAGTTGAAAAATAGTACAGTGAGTATCCGCATCCTTCCATCTAGTTTGCTAATTGTGAACATTTTCCTGGTAGGAATTTTTTAGTTTAGTTTTGTTTAGTGCGCAGGGTCGGTGTTGGGGGGGCAGAATTATTTTTTAAAAAGAGACTTCGTACTGTTCTGGTAGAAGAAAATCTGAGGGTTTGCAGTAGTAGATGGTAGTGATCTTTGTTTCTGTTGGAAGCGATTTTCGCCAGCTTCATCTCAAAGCCTTCAGACTTCAAGGCTGCGGCCGCCTTCTCGTGCTGAAAGACGCGTCCTTGTGTCTGCTTCTTCCTTGCATTTCGCTTCTCTCAGTGTGTGTTTTATTTTTTCTTTTCCTTTTTATTTATTTATTTTTTTGAGACGGAGTTTCGCTCTTGTTGCCCAGGCTGGAGTGCAGTGGCGCGATCTTGGCTCACCTCAACCTCCACCCAGGTTCAAGTGATTCTCCTGCCTTAGCCTCCCAAGTAGCTGGGATTACAGGCATGCGCCACCATGCCTGGCTAATTTTGTATTTTTAGTAGAGACAGGGTTTCTCCATATTGGTCAGGCTGGTCTTGAACTCCTGACCTCAGGTGATCTGCCTGCCTCAGCCTCCCAAAGTGCTGGGATTACAGGCGTGAGTCACTGCACCCAGCCCGATTTTTAAAGGCACTCTTGCAAAACATGTTTTCCTGGGGTTTCGTTTTGTTTTTGTCAAAGCCTCCTGACCAGGAATGGTCATGCATCAGCTGGGTTCGTTGAAGTCATCAGCTGTGCAGGTGTGAGCATGGAAGCAACTTGGCTTTTCCTTTTCTTCTCCAGGGCTTAGTCTTTCCTACTTCATTACAATTGGGCTTGTCAAAATAGAGTTTAGTCTCAAATAGTAAATTGCATATTTATTAAATGATATTTTCCAAAGATATGTGTTACCAAAGGAAAAGGGTTTTTTTTCCCTGTTTATCTTAAATCAGGTTAACAAATTTCTAGTTCTGTTATTATTTACGATCATTTCTTTCATCAGAAGGAAGAAGAAATTAAAATTTTACTCTTCTTTGTCTATCATATTTTAGGCCTAAGAGCCTCTGAGGTTTTGCTGCATTAAACACACACACAAACACACACACACACACACACACACACACACACACGAAGAGAAGTTTAATTTTCATAGTAAAACCAGGTGTAAACTTAAGGCGTCTGACTTTTTCAGAGCCTTTTCTGCTACTCCAGATGTTATGTATTATTCTCCTTAAAAAGCAGTAACACTTCAAAATAATCCAGGAAGATAAAAGCCAATCAAACCTGATACAGTTAGCCAAATGTATACATTGCGGTATTTTAGTTGACTTTATTTTTTACTTCAGTTATCTTAAAGAGCTCTAGAATGCTTTAGGAGACACGGAGTTGCCTAATTTTAGCACAAGAATCCTAGACTCTCTGGAGATGGGATTCCCATGGACACCATCTCCACTGCGTGTGTTCCGGGTGCCTGACACCCCTGTGAGGGGAGACTTGCCCACTGCGTTCCCATGCCCCTTGAAGTTAGCTGTGACCTTCAGCAGTAAGCGTCTTTTCCATCTTGAAGCCTCAGTTTTTCTCATTCATAAAATGGAGATGATACTCCCTACCTCGTGGGGCTGTCATGAAGATAACATGAAATAATGCATATGAAGAAAGCTTAGTAGAGTGTTCAAGATGTTGTAAGTAACCAAATGTTAACAGTTTCTCTGGCTGTTACTCGTAGAAGGTTTTGCTTTATTTTGGGCTGACACCATTCTCACTCTGCATCCCACCCATTTGGTTCTATCCCATGGGCCATAAGACAAAGCCTATCTGTTTTCTGCGTGACAGTAGTTAAAGATGTGGTGAAGATAGCTGTCTTTTTGATATTTGAAGATACCCATGGTGTGTCCCTTTTGGCAATTTTTTCTCTCCAGGCTAATCCTCAGTTCTTGCCATAGTTACTCAGGTGACTTGATTTCAAGTCCCCTCATCATTTTAAGTGTTTTCCTTTGAATGTACTAATTTTTCTAAATTGTTTGAAAGCTGTGAAGCCCTGAACTGAGTATAATACTGGAGGTGGAGTCTGGCCTGTGCAGGGTCAAGCAGAGCAGGCCCATTCCTGGTCTCAGTGTTGCTCTTCAGTCAGCACCTGCAGCATTGTCCCATGCTGTTGACTTAAAGATCAGACTCAGCAGAGGAATTTCAATTAAGAACCGTTTCAGTTGGACTGTGCAAATATTTACTTACCAGAATTGACGTGACTGTATGTGTTTCCAGGTCCCTGTACTTAACATGGGTGTAGGTTGGTAAGGCTAGAATAAAAATGACAGTGATTTGCTTTAGAAAGAGAACTGTATTGGTATTACAGATTTTCTCTTCTTAAAACTGATTTGAAATATGACTTGTTCATTATAACATGGTCTTTGAAAGGTTAAGGGAAAACCCTTAGGCCATTTCTGTGGTACTGCCTTTTTCCTCCGCTTTTTAAAAATAAAGAGACTTACAGATAGTAAAATTCGTCCTTTTTAGAGTATAGTTTGGCAAGTTTTGGCAAAAGTATACCATCAAATATCCACCAACAAAATCAAGATATGGAATAATTCCATCACCCTCAGAAATTCCCTGTCTCTCACTCCTGTGTAGTCCTTTTGTTTTTGAAAGGTGAAATTCTAGCAGATAAGAATATTGAGAATATTGAGCAATATACAGTTGTTTTAAGTCCTGTTGATATTTGATGGCTTTTGCCTGCCCAAGAAATCTAGTGAAACTTATAGTAAAAATAAAACTCAATGAATGCTTAGGGTCATTTTCTTTAACTTTTCCCCCTTCTGGTTCAGTGAGAACAAGTTGCTGATGAAAATCAGGTTTTTCTTTATTTTTATTATCACAATTAGCTTTTTAAAATTATTATTATTTAATTTAATCAGTCTTTCTTTGCCTTACCTTGGTTAGAAAATTTCAAGTAGAGAACTATTTGGGAGTAATATGACAGCTAAATAACGTCCTATAATTATAATTGCATTGAGACTGTCCTTCCAGAAAAAGAAGATAATCCCACTTTCCTTCAAACAGAGTGGCAAATGGTAATCCTCCCTGTGTTTAGGATAGTTTTGCCTGGCGGGTATCGTGTAGTTCGTTTTGCTCTTCTGTTCTGATCTTTCTCTCCCTTGCCTGTAGCTGACCCCACAGTACCCTGCAATGAAACCCGGTGGAGCCAGAAGTGGCAATCATCACGTCCCCTGCGAAGAGCCAGCCTCTCCCTGGGCTCTGGCTTCTGGCATGCTACGGGAAGGCATTCGAGCAGACGGCTGCTGAGAGCCATCCCGCGCCAGGTTGCCCAGACACTGCAGGCAGATGTGCTCTGGCAGATGGGATATACAGGTGTGTGCTATTACCCAGGGAAGGTGCTTATGGGATATACAGGTGTGTGCTATTACCCAGGGAAGGCGCGGAAAGTCCAGACATGCAGGAATTCCATGTTCGGGACTGCCTAGTGCTAAAGCCCTGCAGCCTTCCACATCTAACCTTCTTACTATTTGTTTAGCTGGAGGTAGCCAAGTACTCCTCATCTTTGACTCCTGTGATGCCAGGCATCTGTTTCTGTGGCTTTCCTAATTGTCACCATTTGTGTCTTATTTTTGTTACCATTTCTGAGGTTAGAAGGGAAGGCTGTGGAGCACTTCTCTCCTATTGACACATACACAAACGAGCACAGCGCTGCCGGCCACTGGCGCTGACCGACAGGCCTGCAGAAGTCTGTCACTTCTTGGGGAAAGATGGTCCCTGATCTGGGCAATTCCACGGAAATTAGTTTATCACTTGAGTTTGGTGTCCTGAATGCAGAGTGACTAAGTAATTGACTATCACACCTGCTGATGATTTGTTTCAGAACAGGAAGCAGTGTTAATGATCATGTCCTGTGAAATAAAATTCAGAACAATAAGGATTTTTCCCTTGCTGATTCATCATGACCAAACCTTCATGTTTTATCTAATGTGAAGATTTTTACCTTGACTTCTAAATGTAAGCCAGTTTCACCTGCTCCCAGGACAGCGCAGTTTGCCTCGGTGTCTTTCGTATATCCTTGACTTAGGGACCCTTACCTCTCCTTTGATCTCCTTGGCGCCCTGCCCTCCAAAATATCTGAGATACTTCAACTTTTAATACCCGGTGGACTGGCATTTCATTAAAATGTGTGTCTCCCCATGGTTTTACCTTTTTATGAGAACTCCTTGACAAAACAAATTTTCTAGTCATGAGAAATAATTTTTTATTCCCCCCAAACCAAATGATTTCTGATTTTGTGTGTGCATTTTTTAAAAGTAGCATTGATTTTTATATTTATCTCAGTTTAATAGATTATTTAACATAGTATTGATATGTACACAGCCCTTTTGCCAGAAAGACATTACCCTCTTTACATTGGTTAGCTGTTAAGTCATATAGGTATTCTGTATTTTTTTTCTAGATGCTTTCTAGAATTTTTGGTCAGACAGGCCAGTTGTATTTCACATTGGTGTTGATGGCTTTGGCCAGTATCTGGAATAGACTTACTATTATAGAAAAGTGCACACTGCAGTGATTTTTCTTAGGTGTGATTAGCCGCATGTGGTGTTAATTGTTCCTTGCGGCAGAGTTTGCTGTATTATAAATGAGCAGCATTGAATAAATTGCTGTCCTTATTGGGAATAGGAATGGTTCCCCCTTTTCCCATTTTTGTGTCCCGCTCCTTGGGTGTGTGGTTTGTGAGTGTTTTGCAGGGCCTCCGAGAAGGTGGGGGGTGGAGACCTGTGATAAATTGCCAGAAGGGGAGTATCAGTAGGTGCCAGCCTGGAGCCTTGAGAAGCCCGCTAGGAGTGGAAGGGGTGGTTCTATCCTGAGTGCTGGTGGCAATTGAGGAGGGTCTAGAAGGATTTTCTGCTTATCCTTAAATCTTATTTGGCGGCAGATGATGGCATTGCTCCTGCTGTCCTCTTTTCTTAGCCTTGGCTCAGCCAGCTGACCCTGGGAGCAGCTGACCTAACTTATTTGCTCTGAGCAGCTTTGGCCTTCCACAATATGTCATTTTCTGTGGGTCCCAGGAAGGAATGTATTTTATAGGCAAAATCCAAAATGATGATTTCTTCAAACATAATTGTGTTTGCTTTCTTTTCCGAATAAGGTGCTAATGTAAGAGTTGCTGTTTTTGACACTGGGCTGAGCGAGAAGCATCCCCACTTCAAAAATGTGAAGGAGAGAACCAACTGGACCAACGAGCGAACGCTGGACGATGGTGGGTCTCAGCAGCAGTGAGAACGTGGTCATGTGATCGACTGAGAGTGTGTTTAGTGCATGATTCCACAGTCTGTCCAGCAATTATTCAGACAAGCCCAAGGTGTTATTGTGCTTTTTGTTGTGGCAGAAACTGCTCTGAATACCTCATAGGATGTCGGGAGGTAGCACTTCAGGAGAGAGTGGGCATGCCTGGTGTGGGGGCAGCTCCCTGTCCCGGAGAGCGTGGAGTGGCTAGACCTGGAAGGGGTGCTTGTGCCAGTGACGTCTAAGGGGATCGTAGAGCAGCAGCAGAGGCCCTCCTCTATCCAGCACTTGGAAATGGAAGGCCGTGGAACTCATGGCCTGGAATGTTGCGTCCTGGCACTTGCTATTCAGTGTGTTTTATGGGATTGTTTTCTTTATGGACTGCAGGGTTGGGCCATGGCACATTCGTGGCAGGTGTGATAGCCAGCATGAGGGAGTGCCAAGGATTTGCTCCAGATGCAGAACTTCACATTTTCAGGGTCTTTACCAATAATCAGGTAGGTGTTTTGAGGACTCCTGAAACTTGAGGAATTCATACTGAAATGTAAAAAGCAGAATCACTGGACTGTACACACTTGTGTAAAAGGAGTGCACGTCAGTGACGCTGAGCCATTCATACTGCAGCACGCATGCTCAGTTTACTGTTCCTCTGCCTCCTGGGTGGCTCCGCCCTTCTCCCACCAACCACTGTGTCGACCTAAGTTGAACCCTGAAGACCCTGCCGAGGCTACTACTTACGACGATTCTTTGATTTCCCTTGTTTCTTCTCTACCTCCAGGCTTCCCCAGGCCTCTGTACCCTGGGTCGGTTGTCTGCATGATAGAACAGAACAATTGCAGATAGAATAAGTGTGCTTGCCTCCCTGATTGGGTTCCTACCACCTTGAGCTGTTTTATTTACCTCTGTGTCCCGACACCTGGCATTGTGTTGGGTAATGGGAGTTTACAAGCCTTGTTCCTTCACTCTTCATTTGGAAACTATAGAAAAGGGAGAGGGTCCTAGTATTTGTTTCTTTTTTCGTTATTTATTTTTTAAGGTTAATTTTTGAATAGGTAATGCATAGCTCAGAAATGTCAGAAGGTAACACAGTGAGACCCCCACCCCTGTCCCCGTCCAGCAGGTTCTTTCCTCACTGGCCCGTGTGTCCTGTGTGATGATGTTCCTTTCTTATACCTCCTCGTAGAATTTCTTTGGTGTATATGAGAAAATATAAGTACCTGGTCTTTTAAAAACCTTTAAAAACATAATCTTAATCATTACATTGCTTCTCTTCCTACCATAAACTTAATTTTATATTTTTTAAAAAAGCAACAGCTAAAGGTGATCCACAAAGTAATGAAGCTTTTGTAAGGAACATAGGAGCACTTGAACATCAGAAGACTAATACTGTGAAATAACTGTTACTGCTGCCATTTGTCCTTCAGTCTGTTTAGGAATGAAGAAGGTTAGATAGATAAGTTGAACTATTCCAAAATGCTTAACTTAATAGAAGTGCCTTGGGATAAGTCCTTTTGTAGGAGAGGGGCGGTTGGGAGCTTGGGTGTTATCTAGGAAGGCATTCTTTGTGTAGAGAGCTGTGCATTTCACCTAGAGAGATAGGCCACCTGCAGAACACAGCTGCCTCTTCCTTAGGTTCAGCTCCAAGGACTTAGAACTTCTACGTGTTGTATTTTACTCTCCAGAGCATTATGCATGCTCAGGATTCATTTCTGGTTTTAAGTAAAAAAAAATTAAGAGAACTACTTGTAATTTTAAAAGAGCCTTAGAAATAAAAACTGTCCTAGCACTTTAAAACTTGATTGAAACACTAAGCAGACTGTTATAATATTTAACTAGGTATCTTACACATCTTGGTTTTTGGACGCCTTCAACTATGCCATTTTAAAGAAGATCGACGTGTTAAACCTCAGCATCGGCGGCCCGGACTTCATGGATCATCCGTTTGTTGACAAGGTTTGTGGAGTCACTGCACACGGGGTTTGGGTGACAGCTCCTGCTCTTTCGCAGCCCAACTTTGCATCATATCTAGTGTGTTGGTGGCTTTTCATCCAGGTGGTGACAGCTTTGTGAGAACAGATGGCTAATGACGTGAGCTTCAGTGATTTGCATGTCATAAATTGAGTGGGTTAGAGGCCTCAGAGTAGGTGTTGATAAGGAGCACATGGTGCCTTGCTGATTTTTTTTTTTTTTTTTTTTTTGAGATGGAGTTTTATTCTTGTTGGCCAGGCTGGAGTACAATGGCACAGTCTTGGCTCACTGCAACCTCCGCCTCCCAGGTTCAAGCGGTTCTCCTGCCTCAGCCTCCCAAGTAGCCGGGATTACAGGTGCACACCACCATGCCCGGCTAATTTTGCTATTTTTAGTAGAGACGGGGTTTCACCGAATTGGCCAGGCTGGTCTCCAACTCCTGACCTCAGGTGATCCACCCACCTCAGCCTTTCAAAGTGCTGGGATTACAGGCGTGAGCCACCATGCCCTGCCAATTCTTTCTTACCTAAACATGCAATTCGTGTTTTCCTCAAAGTGACTAGAAAGTCAGCATCTGCTCTGTGCACTGCGTGCTTCTCCGTCCCGGGTGGTATCCTCTAAAAATGCAAGTTGCCAGCACATCCGCCTTTATAATGGGCCAGTGCTGCTTTTTTAGAACTGTTTTTAGACGTTGTGTATGGTTTTTTTTTTTTTTTTGACAGTTATATGTTTAATGAAAGGGATACTTTCATTAAATAAATGCTCCTTTTGTAGGTGTGGGAATTAACAGCTAACAATGTAATCATGGTTTCTGCTATTGGCAATGACGGACCTCTTTATGGGTAAGTAGCCCCAGCAGGGATGACCTCGGGGATTTTTTCCCCCTTAAATAACTGAAAAATTGTTATCTGTTTGTGTATCTACCTATGGTTACTTGTTTATGTCTGTCTAAAACTTGTCTTAAGGATGTTTTCCTCATGTAAAAAAATACTATAGGATGTAGATGAACACCCAGGTACTCACCACTCACCTCAGCAGTTGTCACCTCAAGGCCGGTCTTCCTTCTATTTATATATTTTTAAAATTTTGTTACAAATAGTAATTTAGAGGCCTAAAGTTTTTATTCTAACTACTTTTTTTCCCCAAAAATCAATCAGAAAAGTGAATCTATTAGGGATTCTGCAGTGTTGATGAGATCTGTGTGCAAAGCATCCGGGTAAAGAGGCAAACGGAAGAGGTTTCTGCCTCTCTCTGAAAGAGCAGGTGCGAGCACAGTGACACTCATTCACAGGGGAAGTGCTGGCGGGCCTAACGGCAACATGGCCGGTGCTTTGGGAGTTGATGAGAGGGATCATTTAGGAGGGAGGCAGGGAGGACAGTGTCACAGGGGGGCCTTTGTGCTAAACTTAAGCAGCGTGAGATGCGAAACATTTGCCACTGAATCCCAGCCAGTACGCTCCTGTCTGGTTAGAGGTCTCAGTTTTCTTTCCACCAGCAGCTTCATTTTATTCTCTAGATAATGTTTATAAGTCATTTCTTGTGCTCGAAGTTTCTGTAGGATGCTTTACACAAATCCAGGGCATAAGACAAGGTGAAGCTATGTGAAGTTCATGTTTGCATATCAGAAAACGTGAATATTGGCATTCATAGGACTCTAGCCTAATAGTTGAGTAAATGATCGTGAACCTTGTTAGAGGTCCAGGGTTCTGGATTTTGCTGTCGCATCAGTGATACGTATCATGAGCCATAGATGTAAGTGGCATGAACATACCCTCGCTATAGCTCTGCCATGACAAACACCAGTTATTAAGTCATCTCGTCAGGTGTTCTTGTCTCCCTTTTAAATGTTCCTCCCATTTCTGATGTCCCCACTCAAGGCTGGCACTCATCGGTTCAGAGTCACCAGGTGTCAGTGTTTCCTAGCCTGTTTTCCAATCTTGAGTCTTTTCCCACCCCAGCTCTTCCAGCATGGACATGGGTGAAACTAGGTGTGGAAGCAGACAGGTCCGACCTGCCACTTACGGCTGAGGCACCGTCACTTCTCTGAGCCTCAGCTCCCTCACCTGTGATGGGAGTAGAGAGCAGCCTGCAGAGTACCTATGAGACTGAAATCAGACAGCAGGGGGAGAGCACCATGAATGCTGATGATGCTCTTTGAATGGAAGCTGCTCTTTTTCTTTTTTGTGCGTATTTCTACTGTTCAAACATATATTGTAGCAGTTTTCTAATCAAGAATCTGCAGCAGTTTATTATTGCCTAATAGATGAAATCCACATTTTTCTTTTGTTTTTCAAGGTCTTCAGTATTCTAGGCTGAATTGCAAACTTTTTCTGTAAAGGGTCAGATAATAAATATTTTAGGCGTTATTGTGTGAAAGCAGCTGCGGGTGATATATGTGTAAATGAACATGACTGTGTTCCAGGAACGCTGTATTTGCAAAAACAGGTGTGGGCCTGGTTTGGCCCATGGGCCGTAGTTGGCCAACTCCAGCCACAATCTCAGTTCACCTTGATCTTCCACTTCCCCATGTACACCTTCCTGGAATGAGTGTCCTCCTTCTGTTTCTCTCAGGTCTTCCGCACCCCATCCCTCTGCCCATCCTCCTGGCCATACCTGTCTGGATTCCCAGCTCTTTCGCATGCTGTTCGGACTGTTTTGTCACACGCTGGCTGCCGTTCTGAAACCCTGTGGCTTTTGTGGGTGGTTGCACTCCGTAGCTTCTTACCAGAGTTGTGAGTTTATGGTGTGTTGAAGGAGCAGAGCCTTGCCAGGAAGGCCCCATCTCCACCTTGTGTGTACGCTCATGCTGCCTCACACAGACCTGGCCACCTGCTGGCTGTTGAAGTGACAGAACGTGGCATGTGATCACGGCAGCCCAGCTTGTGGTGGGTGTGGTTTTTTCTGCTTGGGCATCTGGTGGGACTGCTTCCAGGGCTGGTCTGAGGACAGTAACATGCATACGTCAGCCCCTCTGGGAATGAGGCACACATCCTCCGGTCCCCTTTGCTGTGGTCTCTTTGTCTGGGTCCTGTGCCCTTGGTGCTCCTAGACTCTGTGGTGCCAGCAAGCCTGCAGCCTCACGTCCCTCCTTTTCAATACCAGCAATGATTTCTTGATGCGTTCCCTTATTTTTTAAGGGTTTAAAGTACACTAAGCATTATAGGGCTTAGCAGGTAGAGGAGGGTGGGAAGGTGGTATTTTTTTGGTCAACTTCAGTGGGAGTTTCTGTCAGTGACTTCTGTACCAGCCTCTGCTCCTTGAGTTCCTGGGAATGTGTAAACATCTAGCATCAGTCATCAGAAAATCATTATTCGTTCCTCTGAATGACCAGCTGGTAGGATATTGGTGGCCAGTGGGCTGAGGAGGCAGTACCACTTTTTCTCGGTGTGTTGGGAATTGTCAGTTAAAAACACACTCTAGAAGGAGAACTTCATGCTGCTATTATCTCTTAAGCCACTTGGAATCAGTTGTATGTAGTTGTTGATTTGTCAAAGAGTTCATTTTTTTTGGTAGTGGAGCCATAATAAAGCTTAGCAATGCAGTTTTATAACTGAGTGTCTCATATTTTCAAATGGTTCATCTTTATCTTGACTTTACGGTTTACACATTTTTGCCATTATTTATTTCACTATAATTTCTTTGCAGATCTAGTGCACTTAAGGTATTGGAGAGACTCTAAGGAGCTCAAGATTACAGAGTAATGATAGTCCTTCTACAGTTCCCTATGAGGAGGGTAGAACACCACCACAGGTCAATCGAAAACTTACCACTTCCTGACCTTGGCAGATGTAAATGTGTGGTTATGGTTTCTTCCAGGAGAAGTGTGTGATTTAGCTGGGGAGTTAAGATGAATGTGCTGGGAACAATTTGAAAGTGATGTGAGAATGTGTCGTTAGGTGATAAATTGTGATTGTGTTAAGTGTTGTGAGGTTCAAGGCAAGTACAGATGCTTAAGGCTTGGATTGCTGGAGGGAAAACGTGAGCCTTGAGCCCCAGTGTGCCAAGTTGACAGGGAGGAGAAGAAAGGAGGGGCGTTGCAGGTGAGAGGGCGTAATGTGAGCACAGCATGAACGTGGCAGGATCATGCGTTTCACAGGACAGCCGTGAGGAGCTGCACACGTCTTCCCACAGAAGCAGCTCATACAGTGTTAGATTGTTCTGGGAGTATTCGCCCTGGTTTGAATCATCCATTTTAAATTATTTCTCTTGTTTTTTTCTTTTTCTTTTCTTTTTTTTTTTTTTTGGTCTCAATATAGCACTCTGAATAACCCTGCTGATCAAATGGATGTGATTGGAGTAGGCGGCATTGACTTTGAAGATAACATCGCCCGCTTTTCTTCAAGGGGAATGACTACCTGGGTACGCTCTTCTTTGCTAAATAATTGTATTTAGCTGGACAAACTACTGTGGCTAGTGGCACCGGTTGTTGACGAGCCTTGGGGTGTATTTGTAAGTGCACAGACACCCTCACATTCACATGGGAATAGCCGGGGCTGTGAGTGCCTGCCCAGCCGTGAGGACGAGAGATCTGGGCCCCGTCAGCATCTGCCACTTCACTCTGGCAAGTCCACAGCTGCTGTGATGAGCACCGGCTGATTCTAAGCGGTGTTTCCCAGTTTAACTTATTAATTGATTTCTGAGGAACTCACCTTTAGGTGAATTGGGTTCCTGCCCGTTTACCCTATCTAGTAGTGGTAAGCAGTCCTCCTCAGTGGTAGGTGAGATGATATTTTTTGGGGGAGGGGAGCCTTAAGAAGTTGGAGAAACCATTGAGAACAGCTTAATATCAACTCTGCTAACACAGAAACAATTGTATTTAGCTGGACAAATTCAAAATAACTGCTACAGTTAATAATTCAGCTGTTTGGGGTTTAATTATGCAGCACATTCACCCACCTTTACCTGTCAAAGTTTGATGAAAAATTAGACGCTCGTGCAGAACAGCAGTTGGGCACCTTTGCCCTCGCTGTGGCCGAGGGGAGCATCTGCCCTTCTCATTCTTCAGGGTCAGAGCATCTCTTGGTGTTTAACGTCACATGCCACACTCGGAGGCCTCAGATAAGTCCCTGGAAAGATTCCCAACTGCCTGGGAACACTGTGGGCCTCGTCCACACTGTAGCCACTTTACAGGATAGCCTTCTGCCTGAGCCTTTGTCCTGTGACAGCGTCAGCCCCCAGCGTCCCCGCCACTCAGCCCCACCAGGGGTCCCCGCCTCCCACACTCACGTGCCTCTTCCTGGAGCTGACCTGTTGGCTGGGGACCATTCTCTCATGTGACAGTCTGTGCAGGGCAGGCTGCGTGTCCTCCCATCCACGCTCCCTCAGCATGTTCCTTGTGCTGCCGGATAATGGGAAACTGCATCCACCACTTTGTCCCCAGCTCCCTGTGTAAATGCTCTCACCGAACTGTGGTGAGATGTCATCCACTTTGTCCCCAGCTCCCCGTGTAAACGCTTTCACCAAACCGTGATGAGATGTCACGTCCATGGCCTTCATCACCAGCCAGCTTTTTAATGGCATTTGAGAAATGTCCTTCCATCATCACAGCTGCAGTGGAGGATGCCTTTACTCGGTATCCCAGTATGTGCATCCATGGTCCTTGGGTTTGATGGTCAGAAAAGGGCTTCCCTTCAAATTGGGCTCCTGTTTTCTGACAGAATATGAGATCCTATTCTAATTTTCGTTTTGCCCCAATTCTTAAGAAGCTTAAGCAAGTACTTATTAAAACGTTATCCCAAGTTAGTCGTGTGGTTATCTTGTTCCTTCTCAGTGGTTTCTTATTTCCTCTTTTACAACCGTTTGAAACATCCACTCATACCGTGTACTTTTTTCCTTGTAAAGAAACATGTTTGGGTTTTTTTACATTTTAATTTTCTAATTTTTCTAACATATTTCTAATTTTAACTTATCTAGAGATAAAGCAGTTTCCAGTTTCTGGTCTTGGTGATAAGCCAGTGTCCACTTTCCAGTCTGGCATGTCAGCAAAATTAAAATACTTATCTTTTAATTGCTTTATGCCTTTGCCATTGTTCTGGTTGTTATAAAATATATTTTTAAAAATTTACTTTCTACATTATCGTTTAAGCTTATTTTCTGTATTGTAGTGAATTTCTTTGTTTTTTTCTCTTTTTTTTTGGGGGGGGGGCGGGTGCGGGGCTGAGGGGGACAGGATCTCACTGTGTTGCCCAGGCTGGAGTGCAGTGGCACAATCACGGCTCCCTGCAGCCTTGACCTCCCGGGCTCAGGTGATCCTCCTGAGTAGCCGGGACTACAGGCTTGTGCCACTACATCTGGCTAATTTTTGTATTTTTTGTGGAGATGGGGGTCTTACTGTGTAGCCCAGGCTAGTCTGGAACTCCTGGGCTCAAGCAGTCCACCTGCCTCGGCCTCCCAGAGTGTTGGGATTACAGGTGTGAGCCTTGCGCCTGGCCTGGAGTGAATTTCAGACTAAAACCAGTACCTTCCTAAGGTTATACAGTTTTTAACTAACCCATATCTCTGTTCTGATTTGATTCACTCATGATTGCATGCGGCTGTATGCCAATGTGCGAGATGTAGCAACCAAGCTGCTTTTATTCATAGGAGCTACCAGGAGGCTACGGTCGCATGAAACCTGACATTGTCACCTATGGTGCTGGCGTGCGGGGTTCTGGCGTGAAAGGGGGGTGCCGGGCCCTCTCAGGGACCAGTGTTGCTTCTCCAGTGGTTGCAGGTGCTGTCACCTTGTTAGTGAGGTGAGTGCTGCCCCCTAGAGACCAGTAGCTCCCACGTCAGGACAGGAGCACTCGGTGCCAGCAGAGCAGGAGTCGTGTCTTGCTTCTGCCCTGTCTTGGGTTTGAGAGCTTAGGCCCTTCACAGCCTTGCTCTGTCTCTCCTTCTTCATCTCTGCAAAGAGGTAGGAGTCACTTCTTTTATAGTTAGATGAAGTGAATGTGAACACACTTTATAAGCCTAAGTAAACAAAGTGCTGATAGGCAAAATAACCTGTTTCTTTATGTTTGTGTTCTGTTTTCTAATATCCCATTTATGTGCTAGAACTGTGATTTTTATATCCAAGCAAGCATAAATATCAGGCAGGGAACAAATAGTAAGATATTTCCCTGCCATATATCCTCCATTTCCTTGGGGATTCACTTTAAAAAAGAAAAACAAAAAACAAATCCTACTGCGTATATGTAAGATATACAACATGATGTTATGGAATACATATAGATAGTAAAAAGGAGGTTACTCTAGTGAAACGAATGAACACATCCATCTTCTCACAGTGTTACCCATTTGTTGTTTTTGTGAAGGGGACTCACCTTTTAATGTTCTCTATAGCAAAGGATGTCAGAGCCACCAGGGACTGACAGTCACCACTCTGCTTTGTCTCACTGAATCTCATGCAGTTGGAATGGAGCTTAGTGACTGGCCCTTAATCTTGCAGATAATGAAACTGGAAGAAAGTTCTCAAGGAGGCCGGGTGCGGTGGCTCACACCTGTAATCCCAGCATTTTGGGAGGCTGAGGCAGCAGGTCACCTGAGGTCAGGAGTTCAAGACCAGCCTGATCAACATGGTGAAACCCTGTCTCTACTAAAAATTACAAGTTAGCCAGGTGTGGTGGTGGGCGGCTGTAATCCCAGCTACTCAGGAGATTGAGGCAGGAAAATTGCTTGAACCCGGGAGGAGGAGGCTGCAGTGAACTGAGATCGTGCCACTGCACTCCAGCCTGGGTGACAGAGCAACACTCTGTCTCAATCAGCCAATCAATCAATAAAGTTCTCCAAGCGAGTAGACCAGAGTTGATGTTCACATGTTCTCACTTTCATCGGTGGCCCGTGTTTCTTTACTCTCAGTTGTAAAAGGATGTCTTTGGGGCTGGCATTTATCTTGTTACTGTATTTTCCCCAAAAATAAATTGTACTTCTTCTATCTAGATGAAGTTTTAGTTGAGTGTTGTGATAACACACAAAACTCTGCGTATTTGGAAGTTATTCTATGCTAATTTAAAAATTAATTAATATAGGCAAATAGTATTAAATGTCTTTATATTTTAAGTTCTCTTTAAGTAAATTGAATATTGATTTCAGCTTCTGATGCCAGATATTATTTTGTTAGTAATCCTTAATAAAGCTAGATACTTGGCTGGTTGTGGTAGCTCACACCTGTAATCCCAGCACTTTGGGAGGCCAAGGCAGGAGGATTGTTTGAGGCTAGTAGTTTGAGAGCAGCTGGGGCAACATAGTGAGACCTCATCTCTACCAAAAAAAAAAAAGGGGTAGATATCCATCTCTTTCCTCCTTTCTCTGTTCTTCCCTTACAGTTTGCAGCCAAATTCTTGAGAATGTTGACATTGGCCAGACTGGCCTTTGGAGAATAACCATGTGCTTGCTGGAAACACTGTCTTCTCTTGCCGTTGTTTTCCTCTCTCCAGTGTTATATCAAGTGAGGAACAGAGTGGAGGGAAGGTGGATAGTGGGCTACCTGGCCTGTTTGCACACTTGTATTTGCCAGGTGGAGAGAATTCAGTTAGGGCTGCAGCTTCTAATGTTGTTGATTCTGGAAACAGAAAATACTGGTTCATTTCTCCTAAACGCCATGATTGTTAGCAGGAAGTGAGGGCTCTGCCTTCACTGTTGAGCCCGTCAGCTCTCTGCTGTTGAGTAAGCGGGCAGCCGAGGGGTTGTTCCTTTTCCCAGCAGCTTCTTTAAGTACAGATATTTTCAGCAACAAGGAAGCCTTTCAGTCTCCTCATCTCCCTGCAGCAGATGAAACTGCCGTTGTGATCTCTGTGTGTGACAGTCGCTCATAATGGAAGCCGAGCAGCAGTGGCGGGCCTCCCGAGCTCCAGCCTGATGATGCTGTGAAAGGCAGTGGAACGCAACCCTTGAGTTCACTTTATAGGCAGGAAGAGGAGGAAGATTGTTGACCCATAGCTTTGAGCACTTCTTTTCTTCTGTCATTAAGAATCTACTTTATCTCCTCTACTTATGTCAGATTTCCCATTTAGAAAACCTGCCTAGACTCCAACACCAAACATCATCACATACGAATATTTAGGAACTTAGGAGAGTTAAGTTTTCCTTTTTTGTGTACTGATATTCCCACCTCAATTTTAGGAATTAAAATTCACTTGTATTTATAATACATAAATACACAAAAATGGATGTTGTAACGCTAGTATCACCAGGCTAAGTTCCTAGCCAGGTCACACTGTGTGTTAAAGCTTGTTCAGATGCATTCTCATGGTGAAACTGAAGGTGGCCTTAGGTCTATGTCGTTCTGAAAGGCATCATCCATCAGGGTGGCTCATCCCAGACAAGCCTCCCAATCTGGAAACAAAAAGGCAAGGATTGGCTTTGGAGGCGGCGGTCCTCACTCAGACCTGTGCCTCCTGCTAGTCCTGTGTCGTGGCCCCTCCCCAGGATCTGAATGTGCTCCTCCTTCTCCCAGCCAGGCGGTGTCCCATGGCATCTTCTTCCTGTGACCAGCAGGCTTCCTCTCCCCAGAGGAGTCAGTACCTCCTATACATTCATGCCTTCTGCAGCCTATGTGGTTGTTTAGTTGAATTATCACAAAAATATGTGTTACTGATGCATTTAGCATAAGTGGGTCCCGTAGAAGGTTGCGGAGTGGTCAGTCCTGGATTGGGTACAGAGATGAGTGTGCACTCATTCTCTCATGCAGGCTGTGCCAGACAAGCACCTGTTGGATACTAAACAAGACTGCAGGCCTCTTGTGTGCACGTTTGTAGGTTAGGTTTTAGTGGTCCAATTTCCATTCTTTTACTGAGAGAAAATAGGCAATTCTTGATTTTTCCTCCAGCACAGTCCAGAAGCGTGAGCTGGTGAATCCCGCCAGTATGAAGCAGGCCCTGATCGCGTCAGCCCGGAGGCTCCCCGGGGTCAACATGTTTGAGCAAGGCCACGGCAAGCTCGATCTGCTCAGAGCCTATCAGATCCTCAACAGCTACAAGCCACAGGCAAGGTCAGTGCACCGCCCTGCCGATGGGTCTTTCTCTCCTTCACTGGGCTCTGGGCGAATTTTCCCTCTGCACAAAATACAAGCCTCAAAACAGAAAATGATGACTAAGCACAGAATTCTCGGGGTGCTTGGAGAGGTTTTGCTGCTGCTTCTACAGGGTGCTGCTGGCAGAACTGGTAGCTGCTTTCGCTTACTGATGTGATCTTTAATATAAATGGTTAAAAGTAATGATTTCTGAGTGGTTTTTTTGCTTTTGTTGTTTACTTTCTTAGACTCTTGAAATAATCTTAGGTTTACAGAAATTTTGCAGAAATAGGAGAGAGTTGTCCTACAAGGTTGCCCAGTTTCCCCTGATGCCACCATTTCAGATGAGTGGAGTACAGCTGTTAAAACTGTCATACAAACACTGACACTGTGCTGTAATTCACCTGCAGACCACATACATCTCGCCAGCTCCTGTGGTACTCCCGTCCGGCCTGGGCCCTGCTTTGTTTTCACCCTTATTTTGAAATGATTTTAGATTTACAGCAAAGTTTCACAAATAGTTCATGAGAACCCCTGAGTCCTTCACCCAGCTTTCCCTCACCTTAGTATCTTCCATAACCTCAGTATGAGCGTCAGAGTCTGGAAATGAACCTTGATGTAGCACTGCTGACTGACCTGCAGGCTTCACGCAGATTCCGCCCATTGTCCCACAGGTCCATTCTCTGGGATCCAGTCCAGGATCCCACATTGGATTTCATTGTCCTGTCTTCTTGGTTTCCTCTAATCACAGACGGTTCCTCCGTTTTCCTTCATCTTGTTATTGGGGGTATTCATTTTCATCATTTGATTAATGTGGTCTGTCAGTCTGGGTCCTCCAAGAAGCAGACGTCAAGCTAGGATTACATGTTCAAAAGATATGTGGGGAGTGAGGGCCTCTGAAGGATAAAGGGAAGGGTGTGGGAATAGGCAGGAACTGCAGTGCTGATCTGACACCGAAAAGTTAGGAGGACTGGGGAGGAAGAGGCTCGCACAGGCCTGAAAAAGTTTTGGCTGATGGGAAATCCTTGAACCAGATTGCCTGTTGGAGGAGTCCTGTGTCCCCCCAGAATGGGCCTGCCCTGGTGCCTCCTGTGTGCTTAGTCATTGGCTGGGAGCAGCCCCAGGGGAAGCGTGGCCTTGGCACAGACGTGTGAGGACCTGAGGGTGGCAGCTGCGGGTGTCAGCCAGCAGTGTCCTGCAGAGGAGACCTGAGCTGCTGGCCCTGTGGGGCCAGAGGTGGCTCCTGCCAGGTGTCTCCACTGTGCAGCCCGTGTTTCCTTTGTGACTTCTCAGTGTCTTGTGGGGGCATGTTTCGAGATGGCCTTGTTTCGTCACATACTTCCACTCACTCATGTTAGCATGCCTTGATGGTTCTTGCCTTTGGTGATTACTCCTGACAACTTTGACACGTGATGATTTTCTTTTTCCTTCATTCCATTTACATTGATTAATTGGAACTCTCCTGGAAGGAAGAGCTGTCCTTTCTGTCCCATTTATTTATTCAGTTCTTTACATCAGTGTGGACACATAGATATTTATTTTACTCTGTGGATTATAATTAATATCATTTAGTGGGTCGTTCAAATTGTCCCCGAGTTGGCTGTTGGGAGCTCCATCTAGTTGGCTTATGTGTGTTTTCAGCATGTGTCCAGCCTTTTCTGAGCACTTTCTGTCTTCCTGGCAGCACAGGATGTCCTGTCATGCACCTCTGTGCTCTAGCCTTGGTATCAGTTCTGTCTCCAAGCAGCTCTTTGCTGATGGCCTCTTCTAAAGAAATCAAGACCTGGGCACTCGGGGTGCTCCAAGCTGCTGTGCTCACAGTGGTTACTGCGCTCTTCGGACAGAGCTAGGCAACGTGTGGACACGTGCACAGACACATACGACTGCTTCTGTATCTGCCTATCTGTGTATGTACTGGAAACATGAGTTCATGCCACCTCCAGGTTCCAGCCAGTATCTCAGTGTTCATTCCAGCCTTTCCCTATCCTTGTTTCTATTTATTTATTTATTTCTTATTTACAGAGATGGTCATGTTACCTCTGTTTCTAACTCCATTCTCCAACAGTGAGAAGCCTGGCTCTCATTATCCACAATATGTTGGCTTATTTGCTTAGTTGTAGTGTATACGTACTGAGCAGCTTTGGAACTGCTAGCCCATGTCCTTGTGAGTTTTTTGAATATAGTATTTGTGACAGTGCGTCATTATCTTTGGCCCTACAGAATACAGTTATAGTGTTTTTTTCAGTTACTTAGGTTAATTCTTTCCTTGGTGTCTTTTTAATACAGTTGGACTCATTTATTCGTGTTTGTATTCCTTTTTAGATTTCCCCCACATCCTCGTTGATTATAACTTGTTATTGGGTGTGTGAAACATGACTGTGGTTCTAAGGATGTGTTCGTTTGTTCTTGCACTGCTATAAAAAAATACCTGAGACTGGGTAATTTATAAAGAAAAGAGGTTCAGTTGGCTCCTGGTTCTGCAGGCTGTACAGGAAGCATAGCACCAGCACCTGCTTCTGGGGAGGCCTCAGGGAGCTTCCAATCATGGCAGAAGGTGAAGGGGAGCCAGCACATCACATGGCAAGAGAGGGAGCAAGAGAGCGGGGAGGTCCCAGACTGTTAAACACCCAGATCTTGCCTGAGCTGAGTGAGAACTCAGTTACCACCAGAGGGATGGTGCTAAACCACCCATGAGGGGTCTCCCCCAGGACCCAGTCCCTCCCACTAGGCCCACCTCCAACATGGGGGATTACACGTCAGCGTGAGATTGGGAGGGGGCGAGCATCCAAACCATGTCAGTTCCCACTCGCCCATTCTTTCTACCAGGCTTCCGCACACGCCTTAGGTAACCATGACATCAGGTTTGGGTTTATCCTTCCCCCTGCCCCCACCACCCCACAAATGAGCACATACATAGAAGGATAGCATCGCTGTGGATATTGTTTTGGATTCTGCTTTTTTCACTTAACGTCCTGGAAATCTCTCCACGTCAGTGCGTAGAGATTCTCCTTTTTCACAGCCGTATCCTGTGAATGTACAATCGTTTAAGCCACTACTTGTCTACATATGGGCTTTTAAGTTGTTTCCAGTATTTTGTAATTATAAACTTGCAGTGAATAACCTCAGGCCTGTGTGTCTTAGTTTTGTTGGAGGTGTTCCTTCAGGGTAAATTGCTAAAAATTTACCCTGCTCAGCATTGAGAGCGTCTGGTAGCTCTGTTAGGTAAGGTGGCACTGCTGGTCTGGGTTGAGAGCATCGGGTAGCTCTGTTAGGTAAGGTGGCACTGCTGGTCTGGGTTGAGAGCATCGGGTAGCTCTGTTAGGTAAGGTGGCACTGCTGGTCTGGGTTGAGAGCATCGGGTAGCTCTGTTAGGTAAGGTGGCACTGCTGGTCTGGGTTGAGAGCATCGGGTAGCTCTGTTAGGTAAGGTGGCACTGCTGGTCCGGGTTGAGAGCGTCAGGTAACTTAGGTAAGGTGGCACTGCTGGTCCGGGTCGAGAGCGCCCGGTAGCTCTGTTAGGTAAGGTAGCACTGCTGGTCAGCGTTGAGAGCATCGGGTAGCTCTGTTAGGCATTGCTTTGTTTCTCTGTGAAAGGGTTGTGCCTTTTGGTATTGCGTGAGCAGTGTGCGTGAGTGCCGGTTTCCCCAAAGCCTCACTGACAGAGTGCTCTGTCTTGTTATTTTTACAAATCTGATTGGTAAGAAATGGTATTTCAGTATTGTTTAATTTGTGTTTCTCTATTTATGAGTGAGTTTGAACACCTAAGTCCATGTTTAAGAGCTTTTTTTTTTTAAGCTTTCTTGTGAATTGTCTGTTCATTTCTTTTTCAATGGGGTTTTTGGTCCCTCTTTAGAGTTCTCGATATATGAGTGTTAGTAACCCTCCGTCAGGGATGCATGTTGCGGATTTTTCTGCCACTTTGTCAGTTGTCTTTTGACTTAGTGTAAGGTGTTTTTGCCATGCAGTTGTTTTTTAATAGTCACATTTGTTACTCTTCAGCTGATGCCTCTGTATTTTGAGTCCTTAGAAAGTCTTTTTCTGCACTGAGGGAGGTAAAAGAGAAATTCACCTGTGTTTTCTTCTAATATTTGTTTGCTTTCTTTTATTTACTTGAAATTCCTTGATCCATTTGGAGTTAATTTTTGTGTATTGTTTGGAGGTAGGGATGTAATTTTTTCTTTTGCCAAATGGCCACCCATTTGTTAAAGCTCTTGTGATTAAAAAGTCCATCTTTGCCCCAGTGATTTGAGATACTGTCTTTATTATGTACTAAGTTTTCATATGTATTATGTCTATCCCTGAGCTTTCCATTCTGTTCCACTGGTCTGTCTGTCCATGTACTGGTACCACACTGTTTTGATTATAAAGACTTTATAGCATGTTTTAATATCTGTTAGTGCTAGTTCCCCTTGTAATTTTTTTTTTCGTTGTTTTCTTGGGTATTCTTTTCTTTCTTTCTTTTCTTTTCTCTCTCTCTTTTTTTTTTTTTTTTCTTTTTTAATGCAGCAGGGTCTTGCTCTGTGGCTCAGGCTGGAGTGTAGTTGCATGATCTCAGCTCACTGTAACCTCTGCCATCTGGGCTCAGGTGACTGTCCCGTCTCAGCCTCCCAAGTAGGTGGACTGCAGGTACATACCCCCATGCCCCGCTAATTTTTCTATTTTTAGTAGAGACAGGGTTTTGCCATGTTGCCCAGGCTGGTCTTCAACTCCTGGGCTCAAGCCGTCCTCCCGCCTCGGCCTCCCAAAGTGCTGGGATGACACGCGTGAGTCACTTCACCCGGCCCTTCTTGGCTATTCTTGCATGTTTGTTTTCTTCATATGAATTTTCATATCATCTTACTTAATTCTATGAAAGAAGCTTGTTGGAATTTTTGTTGCAATTGCATCAAATTTTAAATGAACTTAGAAGTAATATTTTTATAATGCTGTTATTTTGTCTAAGAGCAAAGGATATGTTTCCATTTGCTCTTGTGTGTCTTCCAGGAGGTTTTACAGTTGTCTTCATATAGGTTTTACACATTTCTTGGTAAGTTTAAGTATTTAATCTTTTTGTTGCTGCTGTAGATGGGGCTTTCTCTTCTTGTATATTCTCTAACTGGTTGATTTTATTTCTATATGTTAATTTTATATGCTGCTACCTATCTGAATTATTGTTTGAGTTAGTTTTATTATTGCTTCTCTAGGGTTTTCCAGGTGTACTAACCTACCATATGGAAATAAAGATAGTTTTACATCTTCCTTGCCAATTCTTAAGGCTTCATTGATTATTTTCTGTCTAGTTGCATGGGCTGGTATATCTAGCACAGTGTTGAACAGCAGGGGAGAGAGTGGCTATCCTTACGTTGTTCCTAATCTTAATGGAAATGCCTCTTGTATTTCTCCGTTAAGTAAGATGCTGGATTTATCCCTAAGGTGTGTATATCTATATATATATGTATATATTTTTTATTGTGTTAGATTATCTGTCTAGTGCTGTTTTTCTGAGCGTTTTCATGAGGACTGTGGATTGAATTTTGTATGTTTTTTCAGCATCTAGAAAGGTAATCATATGAATACTTTAGACCTATTAATATATATGGTTTATGATATTAATGAGTTTCCCAATATTGAACCAATCTGTAATAAATGCCACTGGTCTTGCTATTTTGTTTTCTTAATATGATGTTGAATTCTGTTTGCTAATAATGGTTTCCTAGTTAAATCATGTTGAATTAGTAGTCGAATTAAACTGATTACAGAGCACAATTACCAGCAAAGTTTACAAACACATTTCAAGTAGAACAGATACCTTTGCTGATGCATACAATTGTAGTCACATGGCCGATCCATTCAGGATTTTTAAAACTAGGTAGTACCTATTTCCTTTTCTTTTTCTTTTTTTGGTGAACTTCAGACTTGTGAAGGTGGTATCTGTTGAGATAACTTAACTGTGATATGTGTTGATTATAACTGCCTGTGAAAGTCACAGTATCCCTAAAGATATTCCATTTGGTTTCTTAAATAGCAATTCAGTTGGCCCAGATACATCTTTGTTATTACAAACTAATAAAAAGTACTCCTTATACCGTAGTTGCTGTTTGAGAAAGGCTGGCATCTCCTGTAATGAGGTGAAGCAGTTGCGCAGAGCCGCCCGCCCACTGCACGTGGGTGCAGCTTGAGAAGCAGGATCCACGTATGCCTGGTGCTCTCAGGGAGGCCATCGTGGGTCACGTCTTGTCTGAAACATTTGTCTGTTCCTGTCTTTTCACCTGTTCGGGCGTAGCTGACACCGCTGCTGCACTAGGAGTGATGTGAACCCAACACAAACTCAGTTCAGATAAGGGGAAACCATGAAACCAACATAATTGCCAGAGCACTTGTGTCAGCACTTCTGACACAAATTATGTCAGGGTCCCCAGCACCTCTCCCAGGCTCGGTGCTTTAGGGCTCACGGGACTCAGCCTGTGGTCATACTCCCAGCTAAGATTCATTATAGTGGCACAGCAAGGATGCACAGCGGCTCTGTAAGGGAAAAAGATGCCTCACACGGAGAAAGCCTGGAGAAATCCAGGCGCAGCTTCCTAAGCTCTCCCCTCTCTCCTGCCAGGCAGGGTCTCACAGAGCTGGCCCCTTTCCTAGCAGCAAGCTGCATTGACATGTGTACGTGTTTTTGCCCAGGGAAGCCCTCTAGAGACTCAAGTCCAAGTTTCCATTAGGGCTGGTCACGTACTCATTCTCTGCCAGTGACAACTCCCAAAGCTCCAGACTTGCAAAAGCAGAGGTGTCCCTGCACATCACACTGTCTGTATAGACAGCAGGCTGGCACAGAGGCCTTATCTGTGCAGGAGCATTCCAGAGCCAAGTTCCCAGATGCCAGCCTAGGGCAGCGCTGTAAGCAAGCCCTTCTGAAGCTAGGTCTGCTTTGTTAACTCTGTCTTGTACAGTTGTGTTGCTTCATTGTAGTTTTCTCATATGATCTACTCTAACACTGTATTCTTTATTTCAGTTTGAGCCCCAGCTACATAGATCTGACTGAGTGTCCCTACATGTGGCCCTACTGCTCCCAGCCCATCTACTATGGAGGAATGCCGACAGTTGTTAATGTCACCATCCTCAACGGCATGGGAGTCACAGGAAGAATTGTAGATAAGGTGAAACTTCTCTCTGACTTGGTCTCTGACTTGATGGTGAACTTAGACACAGCCCAGACCTTTAGGCCATAGTTACTTCTGCTGAAGTTAAAAAAGGAAAAGTTCTAGGCCGAGGAGAGAGGATCACTTGAGCCCAGGACTTTAAGACCAGCCTGAGCAACAAAGTGAGACCTGTCTCTACAAATAATAAAGAAATTAGCCAGGGATGGTGGTGTGTGCCCGTGGTCCCAGATACACAGGAGGCTGACGTGGGAGGATCACTTGAGTCTAGGAGGTTGAGGCTGCAGTGAGCCAAGATCATGCCATTGCACTCCAGCCTGGATGACAGAGCAAGACCTTGTCTGGGAAAAAAAAAAAAAGGAAATAGCCCTGTCTAGGGTACCAGGGCTATTGGAAGTAGTGATTTGTTATATGCTAAGTCTGTTACAGAATAAGTCAGGGTATAAATTAATGAAACCAATTTTACTTTTTTGCTTTGGCATCTTGAGTTTGGCTCCTGAGTCAGCTAATTACATTTGATTTTTCATCTATACAATTTTGCGCCTATAATTAAAGGCCCAGTTGTAGTATTTCATTCTTTATTTTTTTTTGAGACAGAGTGTCACTCTTGTTGCCCAGGCTGGAGGGCAATGGCATGATCTTGGCTCACTGCAACCTCCGCCTCCCAGGTTCAAGCGATTCTACTGGCTCAGCCTCCCAGGTATCTGGGATTACAGGTGCCTGCCACCACGTCTGGCTAATTTTTTGCATTTTTAGTGGAGACAGGGTTTCACCATGTTGGCCAGGCTGGTCTCGAATTCCTGACTTCAGGTGATCCAGCTACCTCAGCCTCCCAGAGTCCTGGGATTACAGGTGTGAGCCACCGCACCAGCCAGTATTCTATCCTTTAATGTGTTTGGAAGATACGGTCTTTTTTTTTTAATATTGTTTTGTAAATTTTTAAAAATCTTAACTATGTAGACACTATCACAATAATAAAAAATAGGGAAAAACCATAGAAAACTCGCTTCCAGCCTCAGCATACTAACTTGGCCACTGTTTTTTAAATATTCTTTTCCAGCCCTTATCTGCAATACTTATTTTTTTTGTTATCATTGTGCACTTGGCAAAAATTCACAACTTTTTTGGTGGTTCTCATTATATCATAAATATTGAAAAATTCAGCTGCCAGGCGTGTTGGCTCAAGCCTGTAATCCCAGCACTTTGAGAGGCTGAGGCAGGAGGATCACGAGGTCAAGAGATCGAGACCATCCTGGCAAACATGGTGAAACCCCGTCTCTACTAAAAATACAAAAATCAGCTGGGCGTGGTGACACACGCTTGTAATCCCAGCTACTCGGGAGGCTGAAGCAGGAGAATCGCTTGAACCTGGGAGGCGGAGGTTGCAGTGGGCCGAGATCATGCCACTGTACTCCAACCTGGTGACAGAGCAACACTCCATCTCAAAAAGAAAAGAAAAATTCAACTATATGCATGGCACCAGTATACTTCTTAATGGTTGTTTATATAGAAATAGTAAATTATAATTTGTTTGCTATTTTCCTTTGAACTGTTAGGTAGTTTTCAATTATAAACATTTCACTGAATATTATTGCATATATGGTTTTCTTTTATTTTGAATTATTTCCTTAACATAAACTCCCTGGATTTGCTCCCTGAATCAGAGGGTGTGAACAGTCAAGGATGGCTCTTGGCACATCCTACCAAATTCTGTCCAGTGGAGTTATGTCAGCTTAGACTGCTGCCAGTGGGGTTCAGGAGAAGATGGCTCCACCACACCTTCACTGGGTGATTTGCCTTTTTTTTTCTGAGACGGAGTCTCGCTCTCTCCCAGGCTTGAGTGCAGTGGCACGATCTCGGCTCACTGCAAGCTCCGTCTCCCGGGTTCACGCCATTTTCCTGCCTCAGCCTCCCGAGTAGCTGGGACTACAGGCGCCCACCACCATGCCCGGCTAATTTTTTGTATTTTTAGTAGAGACGGGTTTCACCATGTTAGCCAGGATGGTCTCGATCTCCTCACCTCATGACCCTCCCGCCTTGCCCTCCCAAAGTGCTGGGATTACAGGTGTGAGCCATCGCGCCTGACCTGATTTGCCTTTTAAAGTGTTTTTATTCCATTAGTGTTTTAAAAAATTGAGATAAAATCCACGTATCGTGAAATTCACCCTTTTAGGTCGCACAGTTTGGTGGGTTTTAGTATATTCAGAAGGCTGTGCCAACATCTCCTTCAGGAACATTCCCTAAAAGAAACCTTATACCCATTATCAGCCACTCCTTCTTCCTTCCACCAGCCCTTGGCAACCAGCCTGCTTTCTGTCTCTGTGGGCTTGCCTGTTCTGGACTTCTCACATCAATGGAATCCTATAGCATCTGTCCTTTTGTGCCCGGCTTCCTTCCCTCAGCCTCAGGTTTTCACAGTTTGTCCACGCCGTAGTGCTGTCAGTGCCGCGCTGCTTCCTGTGTTGGAGTAGTGCTCCACTGGGCGGGTCGGCCACATGGCGTTTCTCCGTTCATCTCTTGCTGGGCATTTGGCTATTCTAGGTGGTACATCTTTCAGCTTTCAGCTTAGATGGGGGTAAAACGGGCGCCTTGTGTAATGTGCACTTCAGTTCTTTGTGGGGTGGGTATCTTTGGTTGTGTTTACGAATTCTGTTTCCTCTTGTATGAGTTACACGTTGATTTCGTTGGCCCATTTTTCTCCTGGAATTGGGATTTTCTCTATCAATCCTAACATGATCGCCCTGTCATAGAGAAATTCACCATTGCTGTGTGTTCAGCAAAATGTTCCTCCAGGTGATGCTCTTTTCCCTTTAATATTACTTACTGTGGTGGGGATTTTTTTCCTTCTGTAAAAGTTTTACATTTCATGTAGTTGAATTTTTATGTTTTGTGACTTTTATTGTTTTGCAGATGGAAACATCATTCCAGAGAGATAATAAAATTTCCATTTTATTTTTCTACTAATTTTTATGTATATGATTGTTAAATATTTAATTGTTTCATCTGTGTTAATTTGATGTGTTACAAGAGATGGGCGAAAGTTTTTCACTTGGGAACCAGTGGCTCCAAGAGCATTCTTTAAAAATCCCTTTTCTTCCTCATTATTTGGGACACCGTATCCTACAGATATTTTTCTTTTTCATACTTTTTTCTTAACCCACTGGCTTACTTGGGAAGTAAGTTCTGGCTGTGTGGATTGTGGAGGGAAATGAGTAATTTAGATTCGTCTGAAATACCGGTTAGTTGCAAGCTCTCATTGACGTCTCTTCCAGATGGCCTCTGCTCACGCTTCCCTTTCTGCTTTTCTCCCACCTGGAGGGTAGAAGGGTGGTCATCTCGCAGCTGAGCCAGTCCTCCCTCCGGCCACCTCTTTCCAGCTTCAGAATGTGACTCGGGACAGCTGGTGTCCCTGTCATGTTACTGCTTTCAATTAATGGGATTTTTTTAAAGCATACAACTAATTGGGAAATAACCTTAAATCTGAGAGTTTTCATCTATATAAGTTCTCTTAGTCAGATGAAGTTTTTCATCAAAGAACTTTTGACAAAAGTTCCTGTTTTATAATAGAAAAAAAATGTCTCCATAAAATTGGAAGCTGTCAGAAATAGTGGTTTCTAGACTTTTCTAGTGATACGTCCGAGGCAGTCCATAGGCTACTTTGGTTGTAGTTACTTAGTATCTGTGTATAAATTTTATTTTTCCCTATTTAGTGAAGTATTTCTCGGAACCAGTTTTGGTAAGAATTGAGTTTTTCTGGTTTCCACGTGTTTTCTCCTGGAGCTTTTCACTTTAGCCTTTGTCTGATTTCTTTTTCCTGCAGCCTGACTGGCAGCCCTATTTGCCACAGAACGGAGACAACATTGAAGTTGCCTTCTCCTACTCCTCGGTCTTATGGCCTTGGTCGGGCTACCTGGCCATCTCCATTTCTGTGACCAAGAAAGCGGCTTCCTGGGAAGGCATTGCTCAGGGCCATGTCATGATCACTGTGGCTTCCCCAGCAGAGACAGAGGTAGGGATATGCGGGAAAGTGGCTTGTTTTCTTAGCTGTTTGACATCACCTTTCAGGGAGGGACAGGCCAAATGCCTGGGGTCTCCATTGGAAGTACAGTTGACAGATAGGCTTATCCTCGATGGCCACAATTGATGGTTCCAGGGCCTCCGGAGCAGCTGGAGTTTGAAGAAGTAGCTCAGTCAGTGAGTGCTAGGGCTTGCCGTTCTGTGGCCACACAACAGCAGAGAAGACTGTTTTCTACCAGATTTCAAGCTCAAAAGGAGTGCACCAAAAATATACATTCTCTAAAAGGAAATGTAGGGTTAATCCTATGAGGCTCTAGTAGTTTTTATTGATAGAATATGCCTTAAATTTTAACTGTTAAACTCTTTAAGTGTTTGAATGGACTTAGTTATGATACATGAATCTTTCATCAGACATTTGTTATTGGAAATTCTTGTGTTCAAATTATTTAGGTTAAGTTGATAAATAGAAATGATGTTTTCAAACCTGAAAGTTTCTTTCTGCACAATGAGGGCGTTTCAAGTTTCTTTTCTTTTTTTTTAGTCAAAAAATGGTGCAGAACAGACTTCAACAGTAAAGCTCCCCATTAAGGTGAAGATAATTCCTACTCCCCCGCGAAGCAAGAGAGTTCTCTGGGATCAGTACCACAACCTCCGCTATCCACCTGGCTATTTCCCCAGGGATAATTTAAGGATGAAGAATGACCCTTTAGACTGGTAAGCACCTCACAGGATGCACTTCACCTCCCCAGCCTCCGTGGTGGGAGGAGGCACCACTGTTCCCGCAACTCTTGGAAAGATGTTGCTCAGCTTCTCGTGGAGCCTGGACTCTGATGACGCTGAGATGTTCAGGCTTTTGCCATGCACTTAGGGCAGCCTGACTTCTCTTTTGAAACTTTCACAAGTATGATTATGCAGTAAAAAGCTTGAAGTTCTCTTTTCCTTCCTTCTCCCATTGCGCCAGTCAGCAAAGCTGTCAGTCTTACCCTCAAACTGCATCCTGGATCCTTCCATCTCTGGCCTTCTCCCTGCTCCCACCCTAGTCCATGCCATTGTCATCTCTTGCCTGGACCACATCAGCAGCTCCTGAGTGCCACTGCTGTTGCTGTTGTTGCCCTAAATTCCACTCCTCTTCTGGCAACCTTGGTAATCTTAAAACAAATTCTAACACAGTTTGCCTCAAGCTCTCCAGTGACTGCCTATTCTGACTTCCTCACCCGGCCAAGCCCCCTGGTGTGACCCATGCAGCCCTTCAGAAGCTGGCACTGCTTCCCCCGCAGTCCCCATAGCCGCTCTCCCTGTGCCTGTTCCCTGCAGGGCAGCTGGGCTGACTTTCTCTTGGTGCATTAGCCAAGCTCATTTCTGCTTTTATGTTTGGACTACGTTTGAACTCCATGCTGAAAGTAGGGGAAGGGGAAGCATTGAAAGATGTGACCAGGATAGTTACAGAGTCAGACTTGCCTTTTAAAATAAGATGTCTCTGGCAGCCAGATTGGAGGGGCTCAGACCAGAGACGGGTAGACAGGAAGTGGTGGGAAGTTCATAGACCAAGGCAAGCCCGTTGGCCTGCAGGAGAGGACCTGGAGTCTGTGCTGCTGGGAGGTGAGAATGAGGTGACCCCTAGAGGGTGTATACAGTGTCCCATAGGAAAGTGAGCTCATTTGGGAGGGACGGGGATGGAAAGTTGACCAGTGGCAGTGATATCAGTTAGCTGTGCCGCTGTCTTAGCACCGTGGCCCTGCGTGGCTTGTTCCAGCGTCCCTGCACTCCCGCGGCTATTTGCTAAGCTCTTCTGTCAGACACAGATGGTTGCCAGCAATTTACTTGAACGCGACTGCTACAGTGATGGTCCAGGACACATTAAACATGTCTTTGGCCATTTCTTCTGGTCATTTTGTCTCTTTCATGCACCTGCCAGGCACATGGTTTCTTCTTATCAGCCATTTCCGTGTGTCCAGACCAGAGCACACAGGTCTCCTAAGCTGATGCCTGTGCCAGTGGGCCAGCCATCCAGGCCTTCTCTGTGGGCCATGGCATGGTGCTCTTGCAGAGCCGGCCCTGTGGCCAGATATGCCTTTATTGCCAGTAAAGATCGATCATTTTAATGCTGTGGCCTATTGTTTTTCAGGAATGGTGATCACATCCACACCAATTTCAGGGATATGTACCAGCATCTGAGAAGCATGGGCTACTTTGTAGAGGTCCTCGGGGCCCCCTTCACGTGTTTTGATGCCAGTCAGTATGGTAAGTGGCACTGCTGTGCTAGCCAGATGGTCTTTCCGCCCACTTTGGATGTTTGTTAAATGTCTGAGGAGTGAATCCCAGTTTTCAGTGATAGCTACCAAGGGAGTATGCGCCGTGGGCCCCACAGCTGGGTGAGCCTGGGGCGAGGCTCTGAAACAGGTGGTGGCGGTGTGACATTCAGCTGAAATACAAGACAGGCTGATTGGAGACAGGGACATTCGTACTCTTTTTTCTTTAAGTTAAAAGCAGCTCTGCTATATATTTTGCTCCTTCTCAAGTGAATGAAAATCTTTATCCTGAGCACCACAAGTGAAATCAGATCACAGTTAGTCGCTGTGTATTGCTGGATCCTGGTCCTCTACTTTTTAGTCCCTTTTAAAGTGGTACAGGGTGGCACAAACCAGACTGTTAGGTGTCAGTAACCTGAGACATGTACCTGGTGACACTGTTTCTGCCGTGGTGGTGTCCTGTCATTCAGAAGTGACAGTTCCCAGCTTTGGTTCTTTGTTCATCAGGCACTTTGCTGATGGTGGACAGTGAGGAGGAGTACTTCCCTGAAGAGATCGCCAAGCTCCGGAGGGACGTGGACAACGGCCTCTCGCTCGTCATCTTCAGTGACTGGTACAACACTTCTGTTATGAGAAAAGTGAAGTTTTATGATGAAAACACAAGGTACTGTTGATACGCATTGGTATTTGGATAAGACTTTTGGGGAATCAAATTCTACCCAGCAAATACTTAAGTGATGATTTGACCTGTTGGTGGTCTTTCCAGTTGGCACAGACACATTCAGAGAGCTTGATTAGAAAAAAAGCCCTTTCGACTGAGTGCGGTTGCTCACGCCTGTAATCCCAGCACTTTGGAAGGCTGAGTTGGGCAGATCGGTTGAACCTGGGAGGCCAAGGCTGCAGTGAGCTGAGATCAAGCCACTGTACTCCAGCCTGGGTGTCAGAGAGACCCTATCTCAAAGAGAAAAAATAAAACACAAAAAAGAAAATAGTCCTTTATACAGTAGAGAGGTTCTTGAAAGTTGCTCATAGAGTAAGATGTTTATTGAGTATGAGTACTGTTAATAATATAGAGGGTTCATTGTCTTTCCTTGTTAATCTTAGATATGAGATACTTCAGGTTTAAACTTCTGTTTAATTCTTTTCCACTCTCTGTTACTGAGTATATATAAATTTAAATGCACCAAAGGAACTGTTTCTTAAAGAATATTTCGAGTAAATTATTGTATATTTAAATATTGTATATTTACAATAATTAATTTACTTATATTTATAGTAATTAATTTACTCAAAGGGAATAATGTCCTTCCCTTTATTGGGATCAAGGACTCCCAATGTATTATAAACATAATCACCTTTATGTTTTGAATCGGTTTCTTTAGAATCTGTGACTGAACATTTCTATGCTTCTTTCTCATCTCCTTCTCCTTCACTGAACCTTGCTGGGTCTAGGCTAAGCAGTTATCTCTGGTGCATTTCGGTAAAGTACTGATTTTCATTTCATAAAATAAATTTTGCTTTAATTAATTCTACACATCAGCCGAAGCACTTAAATTTGCAGTTTTACCCAAACCCAGACAGTTGGTTTCAGTTGAAGCCTTAGTGTGGAAGGACTGGATTGTGGCAGGAGAAATTGAGTTTTGTCACAGAGACTAAATAACTGTGTATGGAGTGTCTTCATTCCCTGTTCCCTGTGTGTCTGTTACCACTTTCCCAGGCAGTGGTGGATGCCGGATACCGGAGGAGCTAACATCCCAGCTCTGAATGAGCTGCTGTCTGTGTGGAACATGGGGTTCAGCGATGGCCTGTATGAAGGGGAGTTCACCCTGGCCAACCATGACAGTAAGGCTCTGTTTCCTGAGGGCGTGGTCTTAGGTGTGAGAGCAGAAGCTCTACACCTCTGAAGTCTAGATTTCTTGAGAAAGAGAATGGTGATCCCTCAGTTAGCTGGAGTCTGTGGAAAGAACTCACCAGTATTTTCAAAAGTACATCTGTGAGGCTCTAGTTTTGTCCAGATTTTTTTTAAATGAAAATATTTTATGTAGCCATTCCTAATTTTAGTGCCACCTATTAGAGTCTTTATGTAGTAGTCCCAAATAGGAACTACCTCACAGCTTCTTAATTATTTACAAAGTGCTATTCATGAAATAACTTTGTGTTTCCCGTGTAGGAAGTTCCCCCACAGGTAAGGTTTTGGTAGCTGGTTTTGAGAACAACGTCGTAAGCATTCTTACTACCCATTCTGCAGGTCTGGACAGCTTGTTTTGAGCCTTTCACTGCTCTGAGTTATAACATCTATTCAGAAACCTAATGTTAATAGTATTTTTCTTTGATTATAAAATGTATTCAGAAACCTGATGTTAGTAGTGTTTTTTACTTGAATTTTGAGGAGATTACTTGTACTTTATGTGTGACAAGGCAATAGCAGCTCCTCCCTCAAGATTAAAAACAATTAAAAAAATACATAGCATCTGAAGAATGTATTTTGGGTAAACGAGTAGCTATTATTTATTAAAGTGTTCGGCGTTCCTGTGTTCCCTTGACTTTGAACACTCTTTCCTAGTGTATTATGCGTCAGGGTGCAGCATCGCGAAGTTTCCAGAAGATGGCGTCGTGATAACACAGACTTTCAAGGACCAAGGTAAAGGATGCCATTCATGGGCCTTTTGCTTCTTCTTTCTCTCGCTCCCTTTTCCCCCGCTTCTCTCTCTGTCTCTCATCTCTGTCTCTTTTTTAATAAAAGCTTTATTGCATATAATTTACATACCATAACAGTTGCCCTTTTAAAGTGTACAATTCGGTGGTTTTTAGTGTATTTACAAAATTGTGGAACCATCACCATTGTCTACTTCCAGAACAATTTTATCACCGCAATAAGAAATCCCATGCCCATTCGACATTTTGGTTTCTTTTAAAATTTATTGCAATATTACTTGAATGGTACCCACCACTTTGAGAGGCTGAGGCAGGCAGATCATGAGGTCAGGAGATCGAGACCATCCTGGCTAACACAGTGAAACCCTGTCTCTACTAAAAATACAAAAATTTAGCCGGGCATGATGGCACGCGCCTGTAGTCCCAGCTACTCAGGAGGCTGAGGCAGGAGAATCGCTTGAACCTGGGAGGCAGAGGTTGCAGTTACCCAAGATCATGCCACTGCACTCCAGCCTGGGCAACAGAGGGAGACCATCTCAAAAAAAAAAAAAAAACTACCTTCAAGGTTACTTGATGAATTTTTTTGTTACCCTTTATAAATTGTTCTGCTTCTGTGATTGCCAGATTACCAAGGTTTTAGAAAAATGAAAATGTACAAGATTCGTTTCTGTCATGCAAGTTTGATACTGTGTATTTCAGAATGAGAGGCCCCCTCCCTTCTAAAGTTGCCATTTTCTGTACGTGGACGTTAAGGATAGTTTTATTAGTTGAAAACGATGAAAAGAGAGGATTTCTCACCTTATCTACTTGCAACTGGAATATAGAACTTATTTTTATATTACCTGGAAGGGATTTTTTCCTTTTATCAAAAGCAAGTTTGATCAGTAACTGGATCTGTGTTTAATAGGTTATATTTCACCTTTAGGCACATAATGATTGTTTTCACAGTCACTTGGCCATGGGTTAGTGATTCTTTCTAAAAGCATTTCTCATAGACAGTATCACTTCAGGTTCTAGCTGTAAACAAGGGATCAAAGCGGTGGTCTCATTGGCTTGTACCCTCTGGGAGATCCTTGTTTTTGGTAGGTGGGTGGGGAGAATCAGAAGTAGATTTAAGGATATGTGCTTTCTTTAGGTGTTCTACTACAGTGTGAAAACGAAATTTTTTAAAGGGGCATTTTATTCCCATAAAGACTTTAAGTTGAATAATCTTTTGGGTACAAAATAAGAATTTGAAAATAGGAATTTGGGTTATGCCTGATCAGAAAAGACCCTGATGGCAGAAATAAAACTCCCATCAAATACCACAAGGCAAATGGCGGTGAATGTGTTCCAGTTTTTCCTGACTGCTTCCCTCTTCCAAAGAATGGCCTATTTTTTCTTCTACTCAGCTCCTAGTAGGATTCCTGCACAGAGAGCAGGGAATGTCACGTTTATAGAGCTACAGACATTTCAGATGTTATCAACACGGACAATACTAGATTCTGCTGAAGACGTACATCATGTTCTAGTGCTGAGGAAAGCAATTGAATTAGGGGCAGAGACTCCTAGATTATCTGGTGGTGCCACTGATGATGCTGCCTGTGGCATTTATACATTTTTGACTTCTTGATTCATTACAAATTTTAAATTATGTCATCTGGGCAAAGATAGGAGGCTGTGCTATTGGAACATGTGTCTTTGTGAAATTAATGTAACCGATGTCTTAAACCTAAATATAAATATGTGGACATACTTTTAAAAATTAGTTACATTTGTCCTAGCTTTTCATAATAAAACGTGAAACCTGGGTATTAGTATATATGACTGTATTCATAGAGAAACCTGTGTGTTTAGCAAGATCTGCTGGCTGCCCTTTGTGTAGGTGTCTGAAAACATAGGCCTTTCAGGATAATAAGAGGGGACACAATTTAGGTTTTTTTTTTAAGATAGAGGCAGCACCTTTGCAATTGTAAATATTATGTACTGCCATGGCAAGTAAAAATGAAAGTGGATAGATACGGAAATACACACAAAGTGAATTTTGCTAAAACAAATCAATGGCACTTAAGACATTTCTATTCTAAAAGGCTTATTCTTAAGGCTTTTCTATTCTAAAAATTTGCAATGTTTTAATTGAATATTAGATTTTGTAAATGTGGTTTATTTGTCACGTGGATGAAATATCAGGAAATAACTCACTGCTCAGTGGAAACTCTCATGGCTGTTGTTTTTTGTTGTGTTGTTTCAGGATTGGAGGTTTTAAAGCAGGAAACAGCAGTTGTTGAAAACGTCCCCATTTTGGGACTTTATCAGATTCCAGCTGAGGGTGGAGGCCGGATTGTACTGTATGGGGACTCCAATTGCTTGGATGACAGTCACCGACAGAAGGGTAGGAAAAACGCAGATGGACTTTGTGACTTCGGCACTCAGATCCTTTCTTCCCTTTGTCTCTGGAAAGGCGCCCGTGAGATGCTGGCAGATCAGCCGACATCTGTTCACTTGAGCCAGGCTCAGCTGGAGATGTTGCAGTCACTTTGATTGCTTGGAATATTTTGATAGGTGTCTGAGTGTGCACACATTTAATAAGCAAAACAAAGCTACTTGTTGGGGCCATGATGCCTCTTCTCCATCTTCACCTTCCTGAGGCCAGCGGAGGCGGGACTCCCGCGTTGTGGTGGAGAGTCCCTTCCCTGACTTCCTTGGGGCCTGCCCCTCCCAGGCTTCCTACGCCGTGCTGCCTGGACTTTGTGGGCACTGCCACGAGGGGGCGCCCTTCTCTGGTCTGACTCACTCTTTTACTGGAGGGCTGGCTCTTGGCTGTCCTTCCAGACCTGGAATTCGGGCTTTTCTTAGCCTTTATCAGTGAAGAGCGTTTGTTATCTCGAGGCGTGAAGGGGAGGCAAATAGGCATGCCAGTCCTCTTCCCTCCGCGTCTTTATGTCAGTCTCTCGATGCATCCGTTGGATTTGGGGGCTTGAGGTTGGGCACAGACTATTTTTCTCATTTTGTAAAGGGGAGAAAGAATGGTAAAAGTGCTCCATGTTTTTACCTGGTGAGATGATAATGACACCAGGACTGAAAGGCAACCTTCTAATGCGCTGTGACCACTGGGGAACTCGAGGCACAGGGCGGGTGGTGAGTGACAAGAATGAGGCACTAACAGCGTGCGCTGAGAGGTGTGTGTGTGCCCCTCCGTTTCAGGCTGAAGTTGACTACATTCCTGGCATTTATGTAAATCCCTAGACTGGGATGGGTCTTTTTAAAAATCAAAAATGGGCCGGGCGCGGTGGCTCACGCCTGTGATCCCAGCACTTTGGTAGGCCGAGGTGAGTGGGTCACAAGGTCAGGAGTTCATGACCAGCCTGGCCAACACAGTGAAACCGCGTCTCTACTAAAAATACAAAAATTAGCCAGGCGTGGTGGCGTGTGCCTGTAGTCCCAGCTGCTTGGGAGGCTGAGGTGGGAGAGTTGCTTGAACCCGGGAGGCAGAGGTTGCAGTGAGCCGAGATCGTGCCACTGCACTCCAGCCTGGGTGACAGAGCAAGACACTGTTTTAAAAAATAATAATAAAATAAAATTAAAATTAAAAGTGAGGGTTAAAGTCACAGTTAAAGGAGGTTAATGTTTTATTTCCACAGAGATTTTAAGACCTGAGATCTCCTGGTAAGAGTCTTTATTAAATTGTAAATGCCTGAGAGGGTGGTCCTAGGCCTTACATTTAAAATGGCAGCTTTTTTCATCTTTCAGGGGCATTAAGCACTTGACCAGAAGTGCCCTTTAATGAGAGGAAAGTACTTAATGGCATTTTTCTCACACGGATCTTGTCTAGTCCAGGTTGATGTTAATGGAACTTGAAGGGGCAGACACAGGAGAAACAAGATGGAAACAGAAGCTCCAGGTTTCAATACCAGGTTGCGCCTTCCCTCTCAGAAAGGATCCTTTGTGAACGGGAGCTGTTGCTAGCCCAGTGCCTCGACTCTGAGGTGTCCCTGAAAACAAATTGCCCTTTCTCTGCTGTCACACTTCCAGTGGTCAGGGCCCTGCCGACTCGAAGCCCAGCTCAAGTGAACAGATGCTGCATGGGTGTTGAGCCTTGCCTCCACCCCCTGGGGTGTCAGTACAGTTCCTTCTCCCCAGGAGAGCCTCTGGGATGCAGCAGGAGCCATGGCCCTCCGTTCTCCTCTCCCTGTTGCCCCTGAGACCCCGCTCTCAGGCCCTTCTTTTCTCAGTGGGTGTCACATGGTCTCACTGTCTCTGAATGAGCTCCATTCTGCCCCCATCCATGAGGAGCTGAGTGTGGCACTCAGGCAGTTGGTGCAACCTGGTGGACAGTGGTGCTGACCACCTGGAACCCTGGGGCACTGGGAGTGGAGCCCTGGTCAGGTCATGGCTGTGTGTGCTTATCTGGCTGGGCTGGGCCACTGAGAATGCATGTCTTATGAGAATAGGGGAATCTGGAACATGTTGGATTTACTTTGACCTAAACTCGTGACTTCTGAACTCCCATTTCCCCCACTTTTGGGGACTAACTTAAAAAAAATTCCTTTAGAGATTTCTTCTTAAAAGCTAAATTCCGGGCCACGTGTGGTGGCTCACACCTATAATCCCAGCACTTTGGGAGGCTGAGGCAAGAAGATCACTTGAGCCCAGGAGTTTGAGACCAGCCAGACCCATTTCTGCAAAAAATAAAAAATTAGCCGGGCATGCTGTCATGTGCCTTCAGTCTCAGCTACTTGGGAGGCTGAGGCAGGAGGATCACTTGAGCCCAGGAGCTCAAGGCTGCAGTGAGCTATGATTGCGCCACTGCACTGGGTGACAAGAGCGTGACTCTGTCTGGAAAAAAAAAAAGGAATTCCTAAACAGGCTTGTTGACTTCGCAGACTGCTTTTGGCTTCTGGATGCCCTCCTCCAGTACACATCGTATGGGGTGACACCGCCTAGCCTCAGTCACTCTGGGAACCGCCAGCGCCCTCCCAGTGGAGCAGGCTCAGTCACTCCAGAGAGGATGGAAGGTGAGTGGATGGGCAGGATGCCTTGGGGAGGGAATTGGATCCAGCTGAACATGATGCTACTTCAGCCAGTGGCTGTGCCTGCCAGCAAGTGGGGCCAGTTTGTGTGCGCCGCTGAGTGGTTTTCGTAATGGCTGCGGGTAGAGCAGCACTCAGCGGCTCTAACCTGCCGAGAGGCCATCCTTAGTCCCCAGAGGGCCATGATCGAGGACCCAGTGTGCAGCTGCTTTCCCACGTGCACCCCGACCCTCACGCCACTCTGAGTGTGTTTACCGTCCCGCTCTCACAGGTGAGGACAGTGGCTCCTACAGATCTTCAGGAAGAATCACCAACATTCTAGAGCACTTGCCAGGTCCCATGCAGCAGGCTGGGATGCTCCCATGGATTACCTCACTGTCCCCTCTCAGTAATCCTGTGAAAATAGATGTTATTATTCCCAGTTTCCAGATGAGGAAATGAGAGCTGAGAGAAATTAGATAACTGCCTGAGATCGCCTGGGCGGTATGTGGTGGTGGAGCCTCAACCCGCCTCTGGGGCCTGTGCTGGTGCCGTGGGGCCGCCAGCTGCTTGGCACTTAGTGGGGTGGGTATCAGTGCGTCTAAGTCCCTGGTGTGCTGGTCCTTACAGCGCTGCCCGTAGAAGGCTCATGGGAACCACAGGCATCATTTAAAATTTTCCAGGAGCTGCGTTTAAAAAGTAAAAAGAAACACAGATGAAACTATTTTAATAATATACTTGAGCCCAAGACATGAAGAATATTAGAATTTAAACACGTGATACCTTATTTCACTTGCTCAGTAGCTACGTGTGGTTGGCACAATGGTGCAGATCTAAGAAATAGAAAGAATTTTGAAAATGCAGAGTGGTTTTTTATTTGGCCAGAGAATTAAATATTTTAGAAGAGAAGTATTTTTTCCATGAAACCGGTCTGTAGCTTAGATTTCGCAGGTGTAGCCTTGCGTGTGTCAGTGGTGGTCAGCAAAGTTTGACCAGCCAGTGCTGTGCACACATCTGCCCATCTTCAAGGGAACGGTTCTGATTTTCTCACCCACCTTCAGCAATGGAAACACACATTGTCCGGGAGGAACCAATCAGGCGTGGCTCCTGCGGCTCATGGAGGATAGCTTAATAGAGCACAGGGGCTCTGTGCTGTGTTGTGGGAAAGCAGACAGACTCATAATAAGGCCCTCCTTTTTCCTTTGCATTTTAGTAATAGAGATGATTTTCCTTTTTGTTGATGTTGCTGCTAACCACAGGAAACCATCTTCATCGGTACTCCAAGGTTCTGGAGGCCCATTTGGGAGACCCAAAACCTCGGCCTCTACCAGCCTGTCCACGCTTGTCTTGGGCCAAGCCACAGCCTTTAAACGAGACGGCGCCCAGGTTAGTGTCCGCCTGTGCCCTTCCACTCTTTCCACGGGGCTTGTGAGTCATTGCTTTTCTTATAGGAGAGAATGGAATTTTACTGACATCACTATCGAATTGTCAGATCTTCAAGCTTGTCATTTGCGACAGTTATTTAGTGAACCTCGTATTGGCCTTTGGAAATAGGCTCTTTGGTGGTATCCTGCATAAAAAGTGCTTTGGATAATTAGCATTTTGTTACATTTGGTTAATTCTTTTTTAAAAAGCTGGGATCCAACAGAGTGATTTCATGGGAGCTGGAGCTCTAAGTCCTGTGGTTGGGGAGTTAAGAGCTGCCGGCTGCAGTGTGTTCCCTGTTTCAGACATTGATGATAAGATACAGATAGTTCCCTTCTTCTGTCATCCCCGGGGGCCGCGGTTGCAGCCTGTCCAAGAAGAGCATGCTTCTGTGTCATTACGTCCTGTGCTGACTGTGACTGGGGGTGAAAGCACCCGCCTCCGATGGCAGGCTGTGACCTCTGCTGCTGTCTCCACACTCCTGTTTGCAGTGCCGCCTGGATCCCTTCTCCAGCTCACTAACTCGGCTTCTTCATTTGCATCGTTTCCTTTCCGTACCCAGTGTTTGAGGTGGACCTGCTGTTTCCCTCTGTGGCTAGGACCAGCTCGGCATGGCTGGTCCCCTTTTTCTCCAGATGCCACCCCCTTACTTTTTCTGTGACGTCCCTGGCCCAAACAGGACAATATAAGAAGAAAGGGGGAGCTTCTCCTGAGAAAGGGGATGAAGCCAGGGACAGCTGTCAGAGCTGTGTCCGTGGCCGGGCAGGCACACCTCCCACCCCATCAAGCAGGAGTCTTGCCCTCCGAGGCCCCCTGGCCGCCTGGTACCCGGCCCCTCTCCCCAGCCCCTCAGGCAGGAGGCTACCCTCTTGACAGGCCCCCTGCCTGCCTTCTTTTCCTCCAGTGATGGTATGGGGCCAGGGACGGAGGCCACCTTCCGTCCTGTAAGGCGAAGAGGAGAGTGCCCGTGTGAAGGTGGCGAGGCTGCCTTCCGCCTTTACTCCTCATCATAAACCGAAAGTGCTGAACACACCACGCACTGACCGTATGTCTTCATTTCGAATATGCTTAATAGAACACAGGAAAATGGTAGAATCATCACATTGTCTCATCAGTAGCTTTCTTCCTGAACCTTAATCACTGGGTACTTTTCCATTCCAGTTCACATCTCATCATTTAAACATTTCTGATAAGTTTCCATTTTTGCATCTTATTTATTTATAACCTTCTATTAGCCTAGCATTCAAACCAGCATTTATATTCCAGCCATGGTCAGCAATTCATACTCAGTGAACAGTGTTAGCTGAATTTCCAGAAACCCAATTATTCTCCACAGTGTTGTTCAGGACTTGAAGCAGATAACAATATCCTTTCTATCCTTGGCTATCTACCTGTTCACATCAAATAATCCATCACATACTGAACCGGCCCATCCAGCATGTTGATAATGGACAGCTCCTGGAATTTGATTTTCACAATCACTCAGTAATTCCTTCTTCTCAGTACGCTGCTGGGTTTTACATTTATCTTGCTTTTCATATCTTGTTGAAAATTATTCTCGGTCCCCAGAGACCTAGATCGACGCATATTCTGAGTCTCCAAAAGAGATTTGAGACCAGGAGACAGCTCCAGATGCTGTCAGCCCAGTGCTGGGGGCAGGCTTCCATCTGTGAAGTGGAGAGGCGCTTTGGGCTTCTTCGTTGGCATCAGGTGCCCATACCTAGGGCAGCTGTGGAAGTGTCAGCGTCCTCCCTGAGAGGAACTCCTGCTCCGGTGGCTCCTCAGTCCTTCCGTCAGTATGCTGTAAAGCACCCACATGGTAATGGGTGTGGACTGTTACCATGACTGCTCCACTAGAAAGTGCCATCACCAAAGAATGAGATTCTGGAACAGGATATCACTGTTAGAATGGAAATATAGCCCATAGATATTCAGCTACAAAGTCATAAAGCCTAAATGTCATTGATTCCGTAACTTAACACTGTCAGTTTAACTTTCAGACTGATTAAGCCTGAAGTGTAAAATTAAATCCTATAAAATAGGGCGGGTTATAATGAGTGCTCATTGGCATTCAGGCAGTTGCCGAGCTGGGAGTATCGAGTGGGAGTCTCTCTCTTGCCTGCCTAGGGAACCTCTACTCAGACCAGCCCTTGCCCGCCAGCTTGGCGTTGACTTTCAGCCTAATTGCTGATAGGACTGGACGTCTTTGCTTTCACTTGCCCAAAGTGAAAGAGACAGGCTGACAGTTTCCAAATGAATAAATAACAGAAAAATAGAGAAATTTTAATTTGCAAACTTACTGTATTCTTCCCCCTCACTTAAGCCAGAGTAGTGTTTTTCCCATCGCGCTCTTCGCTCTAGCTCCGGTGTCCTCCCAAGCTCTGTGCTGCTGTTGCCAGCGTATCAACCTCTCTGTCTTCTTCGGGTCTAAGTTGTATTGGCCTGAACGAGTTTTTCAGATCCCAGAGTTAATAATGATACTGTGCACCACAGAGTGCAGGAATCGCACACGTTCATTTGATCGTCCCCCGCCTGCAGGCAAGGCAGATGGGGACCCCACGTTTTGCTGCTCAGACTCTCTCCCACTGTTGGTTCCTTGTATGTTTCGTATTCTCCCTGGAGACAGTGGTTTCTTCAGAGACAAAGATGCTGTCTGGTTCCCGGCACCAGTTTGCCCACTTCCTTATATGCAGTGGTTCTGGAATCACCATTGCCTCCGACTGCTCCAGGCCTTAGGGAGAGGACCTCGATAGCCCCAGGCTCAGGTCCACTCAGCAGGCTTCAGCTCCTCCCCCTGACAGGCTCCTTCCAGGGCCTCGCTTGGAGTGTCCTCCCGAGGCGCTTGGTCATGTTTAGCTTTATGCAAAAACAGGCTCCTGCTGGTCATATTGTAAACTCAGTAGAATCTCATGAACAGGGACTTGATTTTGATCTTTCTCCCTCGGGACGTGGAAACGGCCACCATAGTTGCTGTCAGTGGCATTTAGGTGGCCGTGGACGCAAATGGCATTTCACATCTCCCCGTAGATCACTTGCTCTGTCTTGAGTTTCAGTTGAACTTCCTAGACTAGTACCTAGACTAGTACAATGGCTTATTTTTGTTTTGTTTTAATCCATTTTCCTGAAGTAACCTTTGGAAACATCAGAAGCTACTCTCCATTGACCTGGACAAGGTGGTGTTACCCAACTTTCGATCGAATCGCCCTCAAGTGAGGCCCTTGTCCCCTGGAGAGAGCGGCGCCTGGGACATTCCTGGAGGTGAGTTCTCGGCTGCTTTGTGATTGTGCTCAGTCATCCTGTATTTTGTTCAAAGGAGTCTCCCTCCCTCCCCAGGAGGCGGGCCAGACTCTCCCTGTCTCTGCCTTCCTGGGAGCTGTGGTGGCCTTGGCTCTTGGCTTCTTTTGTGGCACAAACCAGCATGAGCAAGGGCAGGCCTGACAGATTAAGAGATTGTTGTTTCCCTTAGAAAATGCTACCTAGATTTTCACATTTGAATTTATTTTACAACGGCTGGGTGATCTACTTAAACATGTTCAAAGTAACTTGCACGCTCTTTATGAAAGTTCTGCCAGCCACCTATTAACGTCCCTTACAGGATGCCTGTCTGCTGGTTTGGGTCCCAGCCAATGGCAGCAGCCGCCCTGGCTCCCAGCCCTCAGCCCAGAAGGCCCCTTCAGTTCTCTGCCCTGCCCCCCTGGGAGGGACTTGACTGAGCTGGGGTGTGTCCCTTAGGTGGTCTCATCCTGTCTGTCTCTCCAGGGATCCTGACTGGCTACATAGACTGCCTAGGGCAGGTTCTTCTCCACTACCCAAGGCAATTGGTACCAGGCCTTTCCAGCCGAGCCTGGGCAGTTCTTTTGCTCTAGAGTCCCCTGTACTCTTCCAAAGAGTTTATAGCTACCAAGAGGAGTTTCTCTGGGTTCCAGGAATTGTCCAGAAATGGGATCAGGAAGGGGCACCCCTGTCTGTGCAGTCCAGCCCTGGACACCACGTGGTGGTGCCAGGGTCCTGAGGGCCTTGCGCATAGGTCACGGGGTGCGCTGAAGGTAAATTCCAGAGCCCTTGGCCTTGCCCAGTCGTATTGACATTCTGAACCAGGGTCCTCTGATGGCCTCTCCTGGCTTTCAGCCACACGTCCCCTCCATGAAGGGCTTTCCCAGAGGCGGGGCACTGCCAGCGGTGCTTCTTCCGCCACGCCCCCTTTCTCCTCCTCCCACTCAGCTGGAACCACAGGCCCCTCCTTCTCCCCTGGATAGAGACGTGCCCATCTTCCCTTGTGTTTAGAGAAACACAGAGCGCCTCTGGGCCTCCCTTCGGTAGGTTGTGACAGAAGCATAGCTGGGCCTGATCATCCGTCTGCGGGGATCCCAGGGAGGAAGGGCAGCAGAGATCCACCGAGCCTCCACCCCACAGGAAGTGGCTGCTCTTTGCTCTCATCCACTCTTTATTAATAGCCTGGGTTACTTTAGCTAAGGCTTAAAAATGATGTATGCCCTGCAAGCCCAGCTAGTGAAATTAGCTCGCATTTAGTTTCTGATGAATCCAGCCGTCATAGAAAAAGGCCGTCATGGTAGCTCTGTGGCGTTCCTGCCTGTTCAACCGGCTGTCCTCTTACAGGGATCATGCCTGGCCGCTACAACCAGGAGGTGGGCCAGACCATTCCTGTCTTTGCCTTCCTGGGAGCCATGGTGGTCCTGGCCTTCTTTGTGGTACAAATCAACAAGGCCAAGAGCAGGCCGAAGCGGAGGAAGCCCAGGGTGAAGCGCCCGCAGCTCATGCAGCAGGTTCACCCGCCAAAGACCCCTTCGGTGTGACCGGCAGCCTGGCTGACCGTGAGGGCCAGAGAGAGCCTTCACGGACGGCGCTGGTGGGTGAGCCGAGCTGTGGTGGCGGCTGGTTTAAAAGGGATCCAGTTTCCAGCTGCAGGTTTGTTAGAGTCTGTTCTACATGGGCCTGCCCTCCTGTGATGGGCAGAGGCTCCTGGTACATCGAGAAGATTCCTGTGGATCCCGTCAGGAGGGACTTAGTGGCTCTGCCGCCAGTGAGACTTCCCGCCGGCAGCTGTGCGCACCAAAGACTCGGGAGAACTGGAAAGGCTGTCTGGGGTCTTCTGACTGCAGGGGAAGGATGTACTTTCCAAACAAATGATACAACCCTGACCAAGCTAAAAGACGCTTGTTAAAGGCTATTTTCTATATTTATTGTTGGGAAAAGTCACTTTAAAGACTTGTGCTATTTGGAAGCAAAGCTATTTTTTTTGTCAGTGGAATGCAGTTTTTTTACTATTCCATCATGAGGAACAACATAGATTCCATGATCTTTTTAATGACAGTACAGACTGAGATTTGAAGGAAACATGCACAAATCTGTAAAACATAGACCTTCGCTTTATTTTTGTAAGTATCACCTGCCACCATGTTTTGTAATTTGAGGTCTTGATTTCACCATTGTCGGTGAAGAAAATTTTCAATAAATATGTATTACCCGTCTGAAGCTTAAAGATACTGTGTAACGGACTCTTTCCACTTGTCCCATTTCTCTTTGATGACGGTCTGGAATGGGTTCTGAATCAACCTGCTAATTTTGTGTTCACTGAGACGTAATTCACATAACATTCTCCACTTTATAGTGTAGAGCGCAGTGGTTTTTGGTGTATTCACAAGGCTGTGCAGGTTCCGGAACATTTCCATCACCCTAGAGCAAAACCCCACTCCCACCAGCAGTCACCCGCGTTCATCACCTGCCCCTAGGCTGCTGGCGGCCGGGCTGCTCTGTGGATCGGCCTGTTCTGGACATGTCCTTTCAATGGGATCGCACAGTACGAGTGGGTCCTTGGCGTCCAACTCTTTTCACTCAGTGTCGTCTTTTCAGGGTTCATTGACCAGCGCTGTAGCAGGTATCAAGACTCATTCCTGCTTGTGGCTGAGCAGTGTCCTGTGGTGTGGCTAGACCAGTTGTGTTTCTGTCTTCCTCAGCTGGTGGGCGTTTGTGGTGGTCCCACTTTTTGGCTGTTGTGAACAGCACTGCTCTGAGTATTTGGGTATGGGGTTTGTGCGACGTAGTTTTTTTTTTCGTTTTTTTTTTTTTTTTCTGTTGGGAGTGTACCTATGTGTGAAATACCGCTTTGTGTTTAAGTTTTTGAGGAGTTGCCAGACTTTTTTTCTAAAGCCGCTGCACCATCTTGCATTCCTGCCAGCAGCGTGCAAGAGCCCCCCTTTCTCCACATCCTCGTCAGTACCTGCAGTTCCCCGTCTTACAAATGCTAGCCATCCTGGTGGGTGTGCAGCACTGTCTCACTGCAGCTTTCACTTGCACCTCCCTGAAGACTCACGACATTGAGTGTCTTTCCATGTGTCTGTTGCCCGTTTGTCTTCTTTGGAGAAATGTCTGTTCAGAGCCTTTGTCCATATTTTAATTGGGTTGTCTTTTTATTGAATTGTAGGAGTTCTTAGGCGAGTCCCTTATCAGCGATGGAACTTGCAGATATTGTCTCTTGTTCTTTGGGCTGTCCTTTCACTCTCTTGATGCCATCCTTTGAAATAGAAAAGGTTTTCATCTTGAAGTCCATTTTTTCTGTTTTTTTTTTTTTCTTCGGTTGCTTGTGCATTAGGGGTCATATTGGAAAAAGCATTGCCTGATCCCAGGCAGCCTGTTCATCGTCGATCCCCACCTGAACAGGGTGTTGTATGCTGACTGGCCGAGCACCAGCCCACACAGCAAAGGCGAGGGTGACTGGGAAGGAGGGCAGAGGCCGTGCGGGGACTGACAAGGGTGCTGCTGAGGTCACGGGCAGAAAACATCTCGGCCCACGCAGGGGAGGAGCCACTGGGCCGACTGTCCCTTGCAGTTCTTTTCGTCCGCGGCAGGTCACGTGCTCATCTTGCAGCTCTCACTGCACTCTGCCCACATTGCTTCGAGAATCCGAATGTGTTGCTGAGGTCCCCTGAGGCATTCGTTGCTGTCCCAAGGGTGTAGGGCGTCACACGCAGCCCGGGGGCGCGAGCATCTGCCACTCAGGAGCCCTGCTGTCCCTAGCAGGTGGCTGCGGCTCTGAGCCGCTCTCCTTACCCACATGGGGCCTTGCAGCTCTCCTTACCCACATGCGGCCTTGCAGCTCTCCTTACCCACATGCGGCCTTGCAGCTCTCCTTACCCACATACGGCCTTGCAGCTGTCCTTACCCACATGGGGCCTTGCAGCTCTCCTTACCCACATGCGGCCTTGCAGCTCTCCTTACGCACATGGGGGCCTTGCCGCTCTCCTTACCCACATGCGGCCTTGCAGCTCTCCTTACGCACATGCGGGCCTTGCCGCTCTCCTTACGCACATGCGGGCCTTGCAGCTCTCCTTACCCACATGCGGCCTTGCAGCTCTCCTTACCCACATGCGGCCTTGCAGCTCTCCTTACGCACATGCGGGCCTTGCCGCTCTCCTTACCCACATGCGGGCCTTGCAGCTCTCCTTACCCACATGCGGCCTTGCAGCTCTCCTTACCCACATACGGCCTTGCAGCTCTCCTTACCCACATGGGGCCTTGCAGCTCTCCTTACCCACATGCGGCCTTGCAGCTCTCCTTACGCACATGCGGGCCTTGTAGCTCTCCTTACCCACATGCGGGCCTTGCCACTCTCCTTACCCACATGTGGGCCTTGCAGCTCTCCTTACCCACATGCGGCCTTGCAGCTCTCCTTACTCACATGCGGCCTTGCAGCTCTCCTTACCCACATGCGGGCCTTGCAGCTCTCCTTACCCACATGCGGCCTTGCAGCTCTCCTTACCCACATGCGGCCTTGCAGCTCTCCTTACGCACATGCGGGCCTTGTAGCTCTCCTTACCCACATGCGGGCCTTGCCGCTCTCCTTACCCACATGCGGGCCTTGCAGCTCTCCTTACCCACATGCGGCCTTGCAGCTCTCCTTACCCACATGCGGGCCTTGCAGCTCTCCTTACCCACATGCGGCCTTGCAGCTCTCCTTACCCACATGCGGCCTTGCAGCTCTCCTTACCCACATGTGGGCCTTGCAGCTCTCCTTACCCACATGCGGCCTTGCAGCTCTCCTTACCTATATGCGGCCTTGTAGCTCTCCTTACCCACATGCGGCCTTGCAGCTCTCCTTAAGCACATGCGGGCCTTGTAGCTCTCCTTACCCACATGCGGCCTTGTAGCTCTCCTTACCCACATGCGGCCTTGCAGCTCTCCTTACCCACATGCGGGCCTTGCCGCTCTCCTTACCCACATGCGGGCCTTGCAGCTCTCCTTACCCACATGCGGCCTTGCAGCTCTCCTTACCCACATGCCGGCCTTGCAGCTCTCCTTACCCACATGCGGCCTTGCAGCTCTCCTTACCCACATGCGGCCTTGCAGCTCTCCTTACCCACATGCGGCCTTGCAGCTCTCCTTACCCACATGCGGCCTTGCAGCTCTCCTTACCCACATGCGGGCCTTGCTGCTCTCCTTACCCACATGGGGCCTTGCCGCTCTCCTTACCCACATGGGGGTCTTGCAGCTGTCCTTACGCACATGCGGGCCTTGCAGCTCTCCTTACCCACATGGGGCCTTGCAGCTCTCCTTACCCACATGCGGCCTTGCAGCTCTCCTTACCCACATGCGGGCCTTGCATGCTGTTGGCTCTGGAGCCTCTCGTCTCACAGGTCTCTACAGGTGCAGGCCACTCACCGTCTGGTGGTCAGGACCATAAAGGACAGGGTTATGTTAAAGGTTTTGCCTCAAACCAGAAGGCGAGGACCCTTTCTGTCCAGTTGCCGGAATGATGTCATGAGGAACTGTGTGCCCAGGCACGCTGTGCTAGTTACAACATGTGTTTTTGTTTCATTCCCCACACACTGTAAGGTGGGCATCACTGGGCCCATCACACAGGTGAAACAGAAGCCCGGGAATCACTCGTCCCCTTGCCCAGTCATACAACTAGTAGCCAAGGCAGAATTTGAACTCATGTTGCCCTCAGTCCCAAAACCTGTGTACTTAACCCTTGTTCTCTCCTGCTGGTGTCTGTGTGATGTCCCATGTCTGTCTGTCTCTCTCTAAAGGGACAGTGACACACCAGGAGGATACCCAGATGCTGGGGGGCCTTGGGACAGAGTCTGGGAGGATTGAGTGAAGGAGCAGGTGAGGGTGAGCCTGGAGAGAGAACGCCCTGGTGGAGAGTTTATGTAGAAAGGGGATTAGGTCTCCGGGAGGAACCGGATCCATGTGGTCTGCTGAGATGGCTGAGTCTGGCATTCAGATGTGCCACCCAACAGAAGAGGCCCTGGAGGGACGCCCCCTTTGCTGGGTGGCAGCCGTGGGATTCCGGGGTCTGCCTTGGAGGTCCTGGAGAGGATGTCGTGGCCCTGGCCCTAGACTCAAGCTGCCTGGGTCCAGTTCAGCCCGGCCACTCCTGCTGTGGGCCCTAGCCAGGGGCCTTCACTCCACCGACTGCTGTGTGTTTGGTACATGGTGTCACCCAGGCCATGTGCTTAGCCATGTGCCTGACAGCCAGCGCCGGTGTCAGCCATTACAGGGACACACGTGCCTGGAGGTTGAGGCCACGTTCTGTCACCTAGGCCCACTCGTGGTCCTGGGCTGGGCCAAACCCCCCTTCGAAAGGATTCCTTTTTGCCCCTGGCATAGGCTCTCATTGTCCTAGTGAACAGCTACATCTTTTTAACAAGCCAGAAAAGGCCAGCTGGCAGTGGCTCTGCCTGAAATCCCAAGACTGGCTGGCCGAAGCAGGAGGATCACTTGAGGCCAGCCTGGCCAAAGTAAGCAAGACTCTGTCTCTACAAAAAAATAACAAAAAACAAAAAAAAGACCAACCAGCCACAACCACAGATAACACCTGGGGTTCACAGGGGGCCTGGGGACCGTGAGAGGGGCCAGATGTCATCCTTTGCCCTGGCTCTCTCTAGAGACTCAGGCAGTGGCCCCGATTGCAGGAGCCTTTGAGATGAGATACAAATAGTGACTCCCCCTTTGGCCCCCTCCCCTGTATAGGACACTCAAGTCTAGATCTTTCTTTGCACACACACTTGTCTGTTCCGTGCAGAGCGTGCCCCACATATGATGGCTCCAAGGAGACCTCCCAGGAAAGCCACGCACAGTAGGTGAGCCTGGCCCACAGCGATGGTCCTGGGACCTGCTGAGCGGTCGTCTCTGTGCCTCAGGCCAATGGTTCATGGGCATGATCCCGCCCAGGGCTCTCGGAGCCATTTCTCAGGCGAAAACCCAGGTCTGGCCTGGGCCTGAGCTCTGAAGCCCTCACCGCCAGGCTGCCTGCCTCCCACGGCGGGCGGAGGGTGCTGCCTACTGGAAATAATGGGAGGGTTGACATAGATTTTGATTTCACAGGACACAAAATATAGAGTCAAGGATATGCAAAAGGGTTGTCTCCCATTTTATATACAGGTTAGATAGACATTTCTAGAGAAATATTGAAATTCTTCATTAAAAAAGTGGCTGGCACCACCGCCTTAATTGGATATTAACTCACGGAATAATGGTTTCATTTGCTGGTAACAAGAAGGCATTGCAGGTGAGTGTCCTAGAAATACAGATCCCTGGCCTCACCCCAGCTTGACTAGATCATCTGTTCCTTGGGAAGGGACTAGGAATCTCTTTTAAAAGCTCCCAAGAGCAAACAACTGCTGGAACTGTGACCCAGCAGTCCCTAAGCCTATACGCAAGAGAACTGAAAACAAGGTGTTCAAACAAAAACCTCTGTGAAGTTCACACCTGCACTATTCACAGTAGCCAGAAGGCGGGGCCGGCCCACAGGTCTAGCAGTGATGGCCACATGGACAAAGGTGGCCTCTCCATGCCATTGAACACGGCCACAAAAAGAAACGAAGTTCTCACACATGCTCCCAAGTTGGGGAACCCCAGGAACATGCTGAGTAAAAGAAGCCAGACACAAAAGGCCATGTCATGTGTGATGAAGTCTCCACAGTAAACAAAGTTCACAAAAACAGGGAGTCGATTCGTGGTTGCCAGGAGCTAGGGGAAGGGATCTTCCTTTGGGGCTGTTGAAAATGTTCTGGAATTAGATAGTGGTGATACTGGCACAACATTGTGAGTACTTAAAGCCACTGGATTGCACACTTTAAAATGGTAAGCCCCAGAATGGAGTTTAAAAAAAGTGAATTTTATGTCATGTTAACTCTTAACACGCTCCCTCCACAGGAGATTCTTGTCAACAGGCGGCCCCCTTGGGAGCCCTGGCTTAGAACCTGGGAGAGGTTCTTGTGCCCTTCCGACTCCCAGTGTCAGTGTGAACCCAAGTGGTCAGAACCCCCTGGATGAAGACCCTGTGGGCTCAGCCCTGGCACCACGTCCTCCTCCCTGCCCTCTGCCCCCAGCCCTGTGTTGGCTGCTGACCACCCCCCGCAGCACCCCCAGTGTTTCCTCCATTGGACACAGTGGCAGGAGGAGAGTGAGCCTAAAGGATGCTTCCTTTCCCTCCCACAGTTCACCCCTTTACTGCTTTACCCAGAGCAGGTCTTCTGACTACAGCTCTGGAGAAGCAGCCCCCAGGCGGGGACCGCGGGATGTGACAAGGCCTGTGCCCTGTGGCTGTGTTCCTGAGGGATCCAGCCTCTGCTGCTGAGCCCAGGGGGAGCCCACCAGCCTGTCCTCTCAGAACTGCCCAAGGATCGGAATTCAGGATGCTGGTGTATGTGGGTCCTATTGCCACCTGGACAAACTACCACAAATTTAGTGGCTTAAAACATATATTGCGGTTCCAGAGGTTGGAAGTGCAAGTTCAGGCTCACTGGCCTAAAATCAAGGTGTTGGCAGGGCTGGTTCCTTCCTGAAGCCCTGGGTGAGAACCCATTTCCCTGCCTTTCCCAGCATCCGGTGGCCCCTCCTCCGTGTTCCACGCACACCCTTCTAGCCTCTGCTGCTGTCTCCACACCACTGTCTCCTCTCTGACCTCTGGCCCCTCCTGCATCCGTGTTAGAAGGACACTGATTACATATAGAGCACACCTGGATAGCTCAGGGTCCCCTCCCCACAAGGTCCCCGATCTCATCTGTGAAGCCCCTTTTGCCATGTGGGGTAACATACAAGGCCTGGAGGTTCCGATGAGGACATCTTTGAGGCCATCATTTCACCGACCACAAGCAGTTTCTCTATCCCTATGACATCCGTCTCCCATCCGAGGACTTTTGGTCCCTGGTAATTTCTGCAGGTGGGGCCCCTCCCACCATCTGAGAAGCTGGAGGCCGGCTCTGCTCCGACACACTGGGCTTGCTGCGCTGCTTACTAAGCAGCCTTCGTGGGCCAGGCCTAGGGCTGAGAGCTTCGGAGAAAGGAGGGGCTTCAGTCTCGGGGACAGCAGGGTCAGCGGGAGGCCCTAAGAACTGGGTGCTCTACTCTCACAGCACGGTAGACCCTCCTGGGGGAGCTTCGTAGAAATTCTGACTGCCCATAATCCCAGCACTTTGGGAGGCCGAGGCGGGCAGATCACCTGAGGTCTGGAGTTGGAGACCAGCCTGGCCAACATGGTGAAACCACATCTCTACTAAAAATACAGAAATTAGCTGGGCGTGGTGGTGCACGTCTGTAATCCCAGCTACTTGGGAGGCTGAGGCAGGAGAATGGCTTGAAGCCGGGAGGCAGAGGCTGCGGTGAGCCGAGATCGTGCCACTGCACTCCAGCCTGGGCAACAGAGTGAGACTCTTGTCTCGGAAAAAAAAAAAAAAAAAAAAAAAAAAAAAAAAATTCTGACGCCTAGTGCCGTCCCAGGCCAGTTGAATGTGCAGTTTTGCGGGTGGGCCTGGCATCGGTAGTGTAGGAAGGCCCGAGGCGGTTCTCGTGTAGCTAAGGTTCAGGATACTGTTCTAGAAGCTCCGATTTGGACCCAAGTGAAAACGGAAATTTGGATAATGGAATATGGCACACACTTCTGTTCCAACCTCAGCAGCTGCCACGTGCCACTCCTGTGCTGTGCACACCATCCACGGGCCCCTCCTGACAGCCCCAGAGAGCAGGCGCCTGTGTCCTCCCATTTCACAGGTGACTCGAGTGAGGCTCAGGCCTGAGACCCCAGAGCCAGGGTGACGATACTGTGTGCTGCAGCCGGCTAGCTCCTGAGGCCTGCCGTCATTTGTTCTCTGGAGTTTTCTGGGGTGGTGGTTGTTGTTGTTTGAGATGGAGTTTCGCTCTTGTCACCCAGGCTAGAGTTCAATGGCACGATCTCGGCTCACTGCAACCTCCACCTCCCGGGTTCAGGTGATTCTCCTGCTTCAGCCTCCTGAGTAGCTGGGATCACAGATGCCTGCCACCACGCCCAGCTAATATTTGTAGTTTTAGTAGAGACAGGAGTTTTGCCATGTTGGCCAGGCTGACCTCCAACTCCTGATCTCAGGTGATCCACCTGCCTCTGTGTGAGCCACCGGGCCTCTCCAGAATTTTCTAACGGACATGAGCAGAAAGGTCTGGGAAACGATCAGAGGCCACTTTGTTGTGAAAGTTCCTAGGCCTGTCACCTGACACGGACTCTGGGGTCCTCAAGAGCTCCCTTGGTGAGGTGGGTCCCCGCAGCACAGCGGGGGAGAGGCCACCCCAGGCTGGGCGCTCTTGTGCAGGGTGCCGTGTGCAGCGTGGGCCACGGCCGACAGCATCCACACGGGCACCTCCGTGTGGCCTCCTCGTGCTCCTGCTGCACTGGAGCCAGTGTCAGGTCTGGGTGGGCTGGGCCGACTAAGCAGAGGGTGGCCGCCCACCCGCCTGCCCGCCCGCCCACCGGCTGCAGATGCAGCCCAGTAGGGCGCCCCTCCACAGCTCGGGAAAGGTCACGCAGCCCTGTGATGCCGGCAGAGAGTGGATATCAAAGCCCCTCCGAATTAAGAGGTTTTCCCCATTGCCTGGAATTTCACAGCCCAATGGCCAATTTCTAAGTCATGCACGTTAATGGGCCGCTAATGAGGGACCCACCGGCAGGGACAGGGAAGTGTCCCCCCAGCCCCCGAGCGGAGATTAAGGACTGCAAAGCCCCCAGCCGCTGCTGAAGGGCCCTTTATCTCCTTTCTCAGGAGGCTGGATTTGGGGGGAAGCGGGAATGACTTGGCCTCTTTGGCAGGCCTCGGAGAGCTGTGTGAATACTGCGTGTGGTCCCCGCCCTCTCCCAGCCTGGGTACTGCACGGGCCCTGCCTGCGGTGTCACCCGCAGCCCCCTCCTTCCCTGCTGTGTCCAGTGCCATCTCCACATGGTTTAGTGACCCTCCAGCGAGTGGGACACAAGAGTTTAAGCCTTTTCCCAGCTCAGCGCTGACCTAGGTCTCTATCCTAGGGAACCCCAGTCCCCGGGGCCCTTCCCGGGAGCACTGGCTCATGCACCTGCCACTGGGAGTCTCCACTTCCCAGAACATCCTCCCAGCCCTTCACCAATGGTGCACAGATATCCCCTCAGCCCCCACACTTTCTCCAGGAAGCCCCTCCAGATTCACCTCCATTCTTGGGTCTCGTAGTCCGGTCCTCCCATTGGGCTTGGGTGGCTTGTCTCTTCTTGAGCTCCCCACGGGACCGTCCCCTTCTCTGGAGGAGCCTTCTCTTTCACCTTTGAGCTCCAGTGCCTGCATACAGTAGGCACTCAGTGTTTGTTGAATGACTGATGAGAACTCAAACAGATCTCAGATGTGAGGGGTGTAGTGGGCTGAATGGTGGCCCCCAGTAGAGAGATTTATGCCACGCCCTGGAACCTGTGACTGTTAACGTTATTTGGAAAAAGGGTCTTTGCAGATATAAGTAACGATCTTGAGATGGGATCATCTTGGATTATCTGGGTGGGCCTTTCTGAAAAGAGAAGACACAGAGGAGAAAGCTTGGGAAGATGATGCTGGCAGAGACGGCAGCAATGCAGTCACAAGCCAGGGAGTGCCTAGGCCCCCAGGAGCTGGAAGAGGCAGGAAGGATCCGCCCTCCATGGCCTCCAGAGGGAGCATGTCCCCATTGATACCTTGACCAACTTCTGACCTTCAAGACCATGACAGAATAACTTTCTATTGTTCTAAGCCCCTGAGTCTGTGTTGGCAGCCTCAGGAGCGTAATACAGGGGAACAATCAAACGACGTTTCCTTTCCTCTCTTTTCTGGCATTTGTGTATTCATTCATTCATTCATTCATTCTCTCACACACTCATTCAGGCACTGTCAGAGTCCTTGTGGGGCAGGAGGCCGTGTGACATTACAGCCTCTGAAAGGAGCCTGACTCAGGGTGAATCCCAGCCTTGTTGCTTGCCAGCTGTGATGCTCTGAGCCACGTGCTCCACCTGCCTGAGCCGAGTTCCTGCTTGGTGCGGGGTGGGAGTTGGGGGGAACAGTGGGGACACCCGCTCAGGAATCCGCGTGAACTCATCCAGGCTAGGTTCTCAGCAGCACATTTATGCAGCAGTGGCGTGAATGTCATCCGGGTCATTGTCCAGCCTTGAGCTCCGGGACTGCAATCCCGGCTCCCTTTCACTTGCCCCTGCTGAGAAGCCAGCCACTGACTCTGCTGGTTGGGCATTTATGGAGCAGCCATTGTGTGAGCCACAGAGTTTGGAACCTGCCTGCTCATCAGGAGGTAACAGGAGTCGGGGGTTGAGACCATTAGAAACCACATCAAAAAGAAGCCTTTGGGGCTGATCTGGTGTCGGACAGATAAGGACTGATTAGATGCAGCGGGGGGAGGGGTTCTGGGCATTGAGGATATTTAACTGAAAGCAGTGCTTCTCAGCGAGGGGCCGAACCAGCGGCATTGGAGTCACCTGGGAACCCGTTAGAAAGGCAGGTGCCCAGACCCCGCCCCGGAGACACTCAGTCAGAAACAGGGGCTGGGGCCTGGTGTTCTGTGTTTGAACAAGCCTTCCAGTGGATTCTGATGCAAACTGGAGTTCGAGAATGCGGGTGAGAGGGAGCCTGGGTTCCAGGAATAAACAGTCAAATTCCGGATCTGAGCTGCATGTGCCAGCATTTTCCGGAATGGGGCCGTCTCCGATATTCTGTCCCCTTAGCTGACCCCGTATCAGTTTGGAGAGATGTGTCATCACTCAAGCGTGGCCTAGGGACCAGCAGCCGCCGCCTCCCCCAAGCGTTCAACAAGCCCCGTCTCAGGTGACTCGTGTGCATGGGATTAGCTCTGAGACGCACCTGCTGGAGTTGGGTGGAGGAGGTAAAGGAAACCACCTAGGAGGCAGCACCTGCGGACGGTGGAGCCTGTTCTGCAGAGGAGGAGGCTGGGCTCAGGGCACTTTTCACGCCCCCTCCGTTGGGCTGGGGACCTTGGAGAGGTATGTGAGGATGGAGGCGCTGCAGAAGCTGCCATGAGATCATGGTGCCTGCTCCCCTGCCCCGTGTGGCTCCCAGCTGAGCTCCCTGTCACCCTCCAGGGCAGCTGAGAAAGCTCCACCCCCGGGGCCGGGCCTGCAGGGGGCTGGGGAGAGGCGGGAGTCTTAAGCCTTCCTTGCTCAGGTCAGAAGTCTCAAAAGCTGCAAATTCTTGGGACCCATGGCCCTGACCACTTGTTGCTGTCCTCTTAGGTGTGGAGGGGCCTGACCCTGACACATACTCGCTAGGGCTCCTTTAGTTAATGACTCACTCACCCCTGGCCAAGCTCGAATCTTGCTTCTCCCACCCCTCTGGCCCCAAGAAATGCAACTGAGCCACCTGGAGTAAGCCCGAGTCCCATCCCCAACAGCCAAAGACTGTCCGGCACCTTAAAAGTTGGATTTGGTGGTAAGGACCAGGAACTGGGGGTCTGTTTGTACAGAAGTTTGGCTGGAAGCAAAGGGAGTGGATGGGAATGGGGGGAGAGAGGATTGATGGGGATGAGGAAGGTTGGGGGTTTGGGAGAAGAGAGGGAGGGGGAAGGGGTGAGGTTGCCTTGGGGTCTAGTGGGAGGGCAGGAGTGAGAATAATGTGGGTAGGGAATGGGAGACGAAGGGGGACTAGAAGTCGTGGGCAGATGCATGCAGCACCCTTTGGAAAGGGGGAGCTGACGCCAAGGAAGCGGGCAGGAGCGGCTCAGGGAGCTCTCACTGAGTTGGGGAGACAAATAAGGATATCGAGAACTTAGGGAGGAAAGCGTGAAGACTGTGCTTTCTCTCCACCCCTCTGCCGCCTCTAGCCATGGAGGGACAGACCCCAGGAAGCAGGGGCCTTCCAGAAAAGCCTCACCCTGCCACGGCTGCTGCCACTCTGTCCTCGATGGGCGCTGTCTTCATCCTCATGAAGTCCGCGCTGGGAGCTGGCCTGCTCAACTTCCCCTGGGCCTTCTCCAAAGCGGGCGGAGTGGTCCCTGCCTTCCTGGTGGAGCTGGTAAGTCCCCGGGAAGTGAGTCCTGGGGACGGGTACGAGGTGGCTTTGGCTTTTCTGGGTGGGGTTCCTCGCATTGCTTCTGCGGAGTTGCGTGTCCTGTAAGCTATAGCTTCGGGGTTTTATTTTCTATCCCGCTCAGCTAATGAGGGGAGAAGATAATCCCACTGTAGCCCTGGGATGAGAATATCCCCCGTGGGCGCTGGTGGCATCTGATACACAGCTTCCGGGATGGAGCTACAGGCATCGCAGCTCTGTCTGTGAAGTGGGCATTTCACCTGGGAAGGAACCTCTCTGGGCGCCCTGCCTGGCCAGCTGCTCTTTCTTGCCTGCTGGTCTTAGCTCAAAAACTAAAGCTGGGCCGGGCACGGTGGCTCGTGCCTATAATCGCAGCCCTTTGGGAGGCCAAGGTGGACGGATCACCTGAGGTCAGGAGTTTGAGACCAGCCTGGCCCATATGGTGAAACCCTGTCTCTACTGGAAATACAAAAATTAGCGGGGCGTGGTGGCGGGCGCCTGTAATCCAAGTTACTCAGGAGGTGGAGTCAGGAGAATCGCTTGAACCTGGGAGGCGGAGGTTGCAGTGAGCTGAGACTGTGCGCTCCAGCCTGGGCGACGGAGTGAGACTCTGTCTTAAACACACAAAAACAAAGCTCGACTCCTGTGTGCAGATTGAGCCTAAAACTGGTGTGACACTCCCACACTCCCCACACAGAGCCGGGCCGGCCTTGCCTGGTGTCGGATGTTCCGCTCTCCTGCCTGCCGGGTGCAAAGCCAGAATTCCCTTTTGGGGAAGCGCGGACGCCGCGCTCTTCTCTTTGCTGCGGGAGAGCCACTGATGAGCACAGCTTTATTTTCTAAGATCCTTTGCCGCTGGCTGATGGAATGAATTGCTGCATTTTGTGGTAAGCTCTTTGGCCGGCTTTTTCTCACACGTCTTACGGCAGCTGGTGGATAATGGCTGAGTTCCAACCGTTTGTGTGCCCTGAGGCTCTTCGGGTCTGTTTGGAAACTAGTGTCGGGTGTAACCCATGACACCCCTGGCGTTGGCCGAGCTCCTGCCCCGTGCCTGGCCTAGGATGGATGACGCAGTGTGGTCCCTGTCCTCATGGAGCTTTGTTTTAATGGGAAGTCAGACAAGATGCATGTCATCAGCTTCAGATGGTGGATCATGCCGGGAGGGTCATGTGTCTCTGGGGATCGGGGGATGATATGACATGGCGTGGTCGGAAGCCTCTCGGAGGAGGTGACCTTTGCGCTGAGCCCCACTGGAAATGGTAAGAGCTTCCTGAGGTGCACGTGACGGGGCAGCACGCCTGCGTTTGGACTAGTGTGTCAGGAAGCCTGCCATTACAGCAGTGAGGGAGAAGCCCCATCTCAAGCCACAGAGGGCAGGTGGGGCTTGGGGGTAGGGTTGTGGCCAATCCCCGGGCAGCAGGAATGGCCATGAGCCAGAGAGTGGGAACCCTGTTCCACAAGCACCGTGCAGGCATTTCACACAGATCTTGCTGAAATGCAGATGCTGGCCCTGCAGGGCTGGGTGGGCCTGAGACCACATTTGTGACTTGCTTCTGGGGAAACAGCTGTTTTGTTTTGCTTAGGATGAGCTCCAGATCCCTTCACTCAGCAGACTTGAGGAGAAGGGAACCCTGAGGTGAATAAATGGAAACTCATGGCAGAGCAGAGGAGCCAGCCTGGCTCTTGACACGCTCCCGCCACCCCAAGTTGTTCCTTTTAGCCTCCAGGGCTACCGGGGAGATGGAGTTGGGGCTGGAGTGATGTCACTGTGAATGATGGAAGATTTGGGGGAGGCTGCTATCCTCCACTTAGCTGGTGAGGCTTCTGCATGGGGAGCGTTTAAATGTGAAGTCAGTGGGCAGAGGTTGGAAGCCTGACGCGTTAGGGTTGGCGGTTTAGTGCCATTTGATGAAAACAGTCTAGGGCCATACCACCTTGAACGCACCTGATCTCATCTGATCTCAGGAGCTAAGCAGGGTCGGGCGCGATTAGTACTTGGATGGGAGACATTTGATGAAAACGGGCAAATCCCCTCTTGGGAGCTGTGGAGGGGCTGGGTCTGGCATGGCGACCGGGGCTCCTTGCGGTTCTGCTGCCTGGAGGCTCAGTCCCTCTTGTGACCCTGTCCTCCAGGGATGGCTGGCTCACCAGTGAGGCTTCCTTGCCCCCCACACCTTCCCCTGCCTTTTTTTTTTTTTTTTTTTTTTTTTGAAGGTCTCACTCTCTTGCCCAGGCTGGAGTGCAATGGCGTGATCTCAGCTCACTGCAACCTCCGCCTCCCTGGTTCAAGCGATTCTCCTGCCCAGCCTCCTCCCAAGTAGCTGGGACTACAGGCATGTGCTGCCACACCCTGCTAGTTTTTTGTGATTTTAGTAGAGATGGGGTTTCACTGTGTTGGCCAGGATGGTCTCGATCTCCTGACCTCAGGTGATCCACCCGCCTTGGCCTCCCAAAGTGCTGGGATTACAGCCATGAGCCACCGTACCCGGCCCCCCTGCCTTTCAACCACAGATGTTTTATGAGTGTCTGCATTTGTCAGGCCCTTCTCTGGGGCAAAATAGAAAAAAGGATACCACCCAGTCTTCAGGGAGCTTAGAGCGTGGGTGAGAGGACATTGGAGAAATCCCTCAATATTTTACAATTGCATGTGTCTGTTTCCTAGGGCTGCTATAACATATTACCACAAAACGTAGGGCTTAAAACACTGGAAATGTATTCTCTCACAGTTCTGGAGGTCAGGAATCTGACATGAAGGTGTCAGCAGGGCTTCGCTCCCTCCAAAGGCTCTTCGAGCTCCTGGTGGCTCCAGGTGCTTCTTGGGTTTATGGCCTCAGGACTCCAATCTCTGCCTCCTTCCCTTCTGTCTCTACAAGGACATACCTCAATGGGTTGAGGGCCCACCAGATCCAAGATGACCTCACCTCAAGATCCTTAATGATAGAGGCAAACCCCTTTTTCACTTAATTAACATTTTCCTTGTGGACATCTGCAAAAACTGTTTCCAGTAAGTCACGTTCACAGGCTCTAGGGATTAGATGTGGAATGCTCGACCACCATGCTCAGCTAATTGTGATCTATTCAGACAATGGCCTTTTAGCAAAAACAGAAGCAAGCTGCCTGTGCGCCCGATACGGATCAATCACACATGCTTGATGGAGTGGGAGTAGCCAGGAATTACGTAAAGGTGGAAAATACTAGACCGGTGGTTTCTTCTGGGGATGGGAGGGAGACAGAAGTGGGACTCGTGGCACCGTCCGGGGTGTGGCGATGTTCCGCCTGTGGGTAGCAGTTTGGCTGGCACATGTGCATTGTACATCTTCCAGCAATACACTTAAGACTTTGAGCATTTTATATGTAAATATTCACCCTACAAGAGAAAAGGCCGGTGAATGAACAAACATCAAGCTCTAATGCATGGTAGGCACGCCAGAGTATTCCAGGGGATGTACACTGGGATCTGCAGCTTGCTTCAAAATGCTGATCCATTAAGATGGATGGATGGCCTCACAGAGGCATGGGTGGAAGGGTAGAGGAGTCAAAGCAAGTATAGCAACCTGTCATGGGGGAGTCGGGTGGCTGCCCACAGGGGTGTTCACTGTAACGTTCTTGCAACTTTCCTGTACATCTGAATTTTTTTTTTTTTGAGAGGGAGTCTCGCTTTGGGGCCCAGGCTGGAGTACAGTGGCACGATCTCAGCTTACTGCAACTTCCGCCTCTTGGGTTCAAGTGATTCTCCTGCGTCAGCCTCCCAAGTAGCTGGAATTACAGGCATGTGCCACCATGCCTGGCTAATTTTTGTGTTTTTAGTAGAGATGGGGTTTCATCATGTTGGCCAGGCTGGTCTCAAACTCCCGACCTCAGGTGATCCTCCCGCCTTGGCCTCCCGAAGTGCTGGGATTACAGGCGTGAGCCATAGCACCTGGCCTGAAAATTTTTTATAATACATTTTGGAAAAAGATTTAAAAATACAAAAAACAATTAGCTGGGTGTGGTGGTGTGTGCCTGTAGTCCCAGATACTCGGGAGGTTGAGGCAGGAGAATTCTTTGGACCTAGCAGCTGGAGGTTGCAATGAGCCGAGGTCGTGCCATGGCACTCCAGCCTGGGTGACAGAGCTAGACTCCGTCTCCAAAAAAAAAAAAAAAAAAATTGAAGCTGAAATAGAGGGATGTTTTCTTTTCTCTTTTTTTTTTTTCGGAGGCAGTCTCTCTGTATCCCCCAGGCTGGAGTACAGAGGTACAATTTTGGCTCACTGCAACGTCCGCCTCCCAGGTTCAAGAGATTTTGCTGCCTCAGCCTCATGAGTAGCTGGGACTACAGGCATCTGCCACCATGCTTGGCTAATTTTTGTATTTTTAGTAGGGACAGGGTTTCTCCATGTTGGCCAGGCTGGTCTCAAACTCCTGACCTCAGGTGATCCGCCTACCTCGGTCTCCAGAAGTGCTGGGATTGCAGGCATGAGCCACTGTGCCCAGCCGGAACACCATTTCTTGAGCACTGACACGCTGAGCCGAGTATGTCACAGACCTTGTTCAGTCCTGACGTGTCATAGCAGCACCCCTGCAAGGGGGCGGTGCCGCCCCCATTTCACAGATGGAAAAGCAGAGGTTGCCATCCTGCTTCATGCCACACAGCAGGTGAGCAGTGGTTAGAACCTGAGCCCGGCTGTGCCCGCTCCACCTCGGGTTCCAAGCCACCACGCCTACTGCCTCTCCACCCACAGCCCAGGCGATTTTAGGAGAGTAACTTAAACACTGGGTTTCTGATGTCTCATTTATCCCACTGGGGCAGGATGGTGTCAGATTCCCAGGTTCACAGCCTAGAGCCAGTGAGCCTGCCAGAATCAGCCTGCACTGCAGCTCTGATTTCAGGATAGGTGGGGTGGGGTGGGGGTGTGTGCAGTGACATAGCTGGTAGACTGCCAACCCCATGTTGGCAGCAGCCCTGGCCTCTGTGGATGAGAAGCCATGTGGAGAGTGTGCCCGAGGGGTGGCTGGCTGGGGGTGGGTGGGCTGTGGGCACACCCCAGTTCCAGGTCCTGCTCCTTCTCCGCAGGTCTCGTTGGTCTTCCTGATCAGCGGGCTGGTCATCCTGGGCTATGCTGCTGCTGTCAGTGGCCAGGCCACCTACCAGGGTGTGGTCAGGGGGCTGTGTGGCCCTGCCATTGGGAAGCTGTGTGAGGCCTGCTTCCTCCTCAACCTGCTCATGATCTCCGTGGCCTTCCTCAGGGTGATCGGGGACCAGCTGGAGAAGCGTAAGTACCTTCATGGGACTCGGGGTGGCCCAGGGTGCCGGACCTCTAATGACCTCTTGGAGTTTCCAGTTGAGCAGGACGTGGGGCCCTGGCCTGGGCCCTGAGGGACAGCAGAGGCTGAAACCACACTCTTGTTCCTAACATGGTAGGGAAGGGAGGCTCCGAATGGATAGTCACCAGTTGGGTGACAGTCATGGGCACACAAGTGCATGAGAGAGGTTGTGGCTGCAATTAGGATATCCAGTGGAGATAAGTCGTTTCACAGATGAGTAAATGGAGCCAACAGCAAGCAGCTCCTTCTGAGAAAGAACCAGTAACACCTTTAGCTTTGGAATGGCTGTGGCTCTGAGCCCTCACCAACCTTGGCCTCGAGTTCCCGACTAAGACTTTCCCTCTAAGCACTGCTTTAGCTGCATCTTGCCAATTTTCATATGTCCTATTTTCATTTTCACTGGACTCATTCCTCATGAATGGAAAATTTAAAATATTTGCTCCTTTTCACTGTGGTTTCTTTGACTTGTGAGATGTTTAGAATTGTAGTGTTTAATTGACAATTATTGAGGAGTTTTTTAGATTCCTTCACGGTTTCGACCTTAATTTGCATCATGGTCAGGGAGTCTGTATCATTGCTGTCTTTTGAGATCCAGTGAGACTGGCTCTGTAGTCCAGCACATGGTCTGTCTTGGAGAACACTTTGTGTGCTCTTCAGAGAATGTGTACTCTGCAGTTGCTGGGTACAGTGTGCTGGCAATGTCCATTAGGTCAAGGCAGTCAACAGCTGTGTTCAGATCGTCATTGCAACCATATTAATCTTTAGGTCTAGTTATTCTATTCCTAAGAGAAGGATGTTAAAGGATGTTAAAATCGCCAGCTGCGATTGCAGATTAGCCTATTCTGTCAAGCTTCATGGTTCGTGGTCTTTGAAACTCTAGGTATATCCTTTTATTATGAAGTATTCTTTATCTCTGGCATTAAATCTGTCTTCTCTACCATTAATAGAGGCACTCTAGCATCCTTAAGACTAGTGTTTGTATAGAAGTTCTCTTCTCATTCTTTGACTTAGAATCTAACTATGACTTGGATTATTTTTTTGTTAAATGTGTTTATATGTCCTTTTTGCAACACCAGCCTGAGAATGGCTTGGGATTTTAAAATGCATTTCTTGTAGGCAGCATATGGTCGGGTCTTGCTTTTTTATCCAACTTGACAGTCTCAGACTTCCGATTGGAATGTTTAGACTTTTAATTGGCATGTGATTGTTGATAGGGTGAAATTTAGTGTACCATTTTGCCATGTGTGTGTTCTGTGTGTCTCTTGACCCATGAAGCAAAAGGCCCCTGACTGGGGGGTATTGAGATTGAAGGCTGCTGTGTCTTGGTAAACACGACCTTATACCAAGAAGAAGTGAGATTGGCGTATCTGAACCTCTTAATGGGTAAGTGGGCACAAAAACGTCCTGCTCCCCCACAGTGGCAAGTAGAGTTCGTCTGCAGTTTCAACTCCACTGAACTGGTAGCGTTGCTGTGTTAAGAAGGATTCTGAGCCTCACTGGGAGCGGAGCCCCCTGACTAGTCAGAGGACGGATGAGGATACGGGCCACCCCAGGTCTGGGTTGATTGACTGTGGTGGAGAGAGCGTTCTTGTGTATATCTGGTTAGATATTTGGGGATGCCTCTCTGTAGGGAAGGCCAAGCTTCTGAGACGGAGTGCTAGATAGAGGTTGGAGTGCTTGGGGGAGTCATGGCACGAGGTACAATTGACCATGTCTTTGGTGCCAAAGATCTCAAGCATCCGGGAACGCTGGGTTTAGGAAGGAGCTGGTACAGTCCTGCTGTTGGCCCTGAGGATCCTGGCTATGGGAGGTCCAGATGCAGACAAAGGGCCTGCCCCATCCCACGCCACCTGGAGGTCTAAAACTCACCCACGATCTCGGTGCAGTCCTGGGGCATGTGCAGTCCCTTGGCATCTCGGCTCTCCCACGTGGATGCTGCTGTGACCACCTGCTTTTGGAACTTTCCCCTTCATCATTTCGTACGCTTGAGCTATTCTCACATGCATTCATTTTTTCACATGGCTCCCCTTGTTGAGTGAGAACAAAGAAGCACTTAAGACACCTCAGGGCCAACAACCCACCGAAGGAGCGAAGACATCTCAAGCTCCTCGGCCTCCCATCTCCAGTGGTTGCAGGGGCCACCTCACCCACCCAGGTGGTTCCCAGTGGCTCCCACCTCCAACCACCCTCCCACTCGCCTGTGCTTTCCCCTCCCCCATCTGTCTTACCTCTTAGATGGGTTCCAAATCATTCATCCCACTGTGGCAGAATAAAAATGGCCCCACATTCTTTGGTGTTCTTTCCACGGAGAGGTTAGTGGAGCTTGTGTCCCTTGCCTTTGAATTAGGTGTGCCTGGATGGCTTTGTCCAGCAATGTGTGGCAAATGAGACACTGCCCATTCTGGGTCTGGCCTTTAAGAGGACAGGCAGCTTCTGCCTCAGTCTCTGGGGTCCCCCAGCTGCCATGGAAGAAGTTGGAGGTGCCTGCTAGGTGGCCCATGTGGAGAGACTCCCAGACTGCAGGGAAGGCCCAGGTGTACCCATCAGGCAGTAGGTGTTGTGGGGAGCCATCAGGGTTCCTCCAGACCAGCCCCACTGCCAGCCAGAGACCCCCCAAGCAACCTCAGCCAATTCTATATGGAGGAGGATTGGCCAGCCTGGCCCTGTACTAACTCTCTACCTACGATCCATGACTTGTAATAAAGTGGTTTTGAGCCACTGCATTTGGGGTCATGTGTTCTGCTGCAACCATGAGGACCTACAATGCTCATGCACAGCAGCCTGTTGCTGACGGCACGGTGGCCAAAAATCGACTTCAGGCCCCCATTTGACTCCAGATACTATTGAGTTCCCGAACGAAACCAAAAGAGTCTTTCACCAGAATGTAAGGGGCACGAGGGCAGATGGCTTGTCTGGTCATCGCCTCATCTTGGGCCTTAGAGCAGTGCTGGGCTTGGGGAAGGAGCCCAGCGAATGTTTGTTGAATGAATTCATGTGTCAGGGTTTGTTCCTGCGTGGGGCACGTGACCTGTCTCCATCTCACTTGTCGTCTGATCCCTGGGCTCCTGGGGCTGGCTGAGGGTGGATGTCCAACCCCAGCCAGGGTTGAAGGGCCAGGTGGGAGCCGAGAACCCACGGCATTTGTACTCTGTGGCTCAGCTCTCCCCGTGTCTCTGGCAGTGTGTGACTCCCTCCTGTCTGGCACCCCGCCCGCCCCGCAGCCGTGGTACGCAGACCAGCGCTTCACCCTGCCCCTGCTCTCCGTGCTGGTCATCCTGCCCCTGTCTGCCCCGCGGGAGATCGCCTTCCAGAAATACACAAGGTAAGGGCTGGGATGCTGCCTGGTGGGGGCCCCCACCTTGCTGAGTGTTTGTGTCAGGGTTTCTGTCCATCTGGGGTCAGAGGAGCTGGGGAATTGGCCTTCACATTTGGAGAAGGGGAAAACGAAAAAAAAATTATACAAGTAAAATGTATGCATGATGCAAAACATAGATGAGCCTAAAGAAGAAAATGACCTGTAACAACGTCAGTGCTACTCAGTTTATTTCATTGTTGGATTTTTTGCACATGGCTGCAGAGAGAGAGAGACGCCTCCCCACAACACACACCTACCCACACCCACACATACACACCCACCTACCCACACCCCCCCATGCACACCCACCTACCCACACCCCCCCATGCACACCCACCTACCCACACCCACCCATGCACACCCACGTACCCACACCCACCCATGCTCACCCACCCACACATGCACCCCCATCCCCGCATGTCCCCGTGCCCATGCACGCACATGTGTGCACACACACAGAGGTTGTTTTTTTGTGGCTAAGGGTCTGTATACTTAGGAAGAAATAAAGCTTGGAAACAGTATCCATCTCCCTCTGCTGCCTGCCTTTTCCCTGTTGTGTATGAACAATAGACATTGTATAGAAACAGCAGGCAGCAAACCCGAGCCTCCCTCAGGTCTCTGCCCTGCAAGGCTCTCGTGCCACTCAGACCAAGCCAGGGGGCGGCTTGTCCCCTCTCAAGTGTGAGCGAGCCTGCTGGCGTCCTGCCTTAGGCATCAGGCTGAGTGGCTGATTAGCTTTTGCTGGTGGGAAGGAAACACTATTACAGCTGCCATCCCGAAGGGCGCCGGGTGCCATTAAGAATTCTACACATTTGGGCTGGGCGTCACACCTGTAATTCCAGCACTTTGGGAGGCCAAGGCAGGCAGATCACGAGGTCAGCAGTTCAAAACCAGCCTGACCAACACGGTGAAACCCTGTCTCTACTAAAAGTACAAAAATTAGCGAGGCGTGGGGGCGGACACCTGTAATCCCAGCTATTCGGGAGGCTGAGGCAGGAGAATTGCTTGAACCCGGGAGGCAGAGTTTGCAGTGAGCCAAGATTGCGCCACTGCACTCCAGCCTGGGCAACAGAGCGAGACTCCGTCTCAAAAAACAACAACAACAACAAAACAACAACAACAAAACTCTACATCTGACCCCTTGACCCCAAAGCAGCCCTGCCCCACATGCCCCCTGTACAGATGAGGATGGTGAGGCAGAGGTGGACAGCTTGGCCAGCACCTCATTGTCAAGGGCGGAGCTGGGATTCAGATCCCACTACTGTCCCCGTGCATCAACCGCACATGTCACCCACTGCGCAGCCCCTCACACGGTCACTGTGTTAGCATCCTAGGCACTCTGGCTGCCTGTTACCTGGCCCTGGTCATCACCGTGCAGTACTACCTCTGGCCCCAGGGCCTCGTGCGTGAGTCCCATCCTTCACTGAGGTAAGTCTGAGGGAACAGCTTCCGGCAGCCTCGGCGGGGAGGCACGGCAGGGGAGTCTGTGAGGGGAGTCTTGGAGGAGGAGCCTCTCGTGGCTCACTGCAGAGCCTGGGCTCCTTCCTTCCAGTTCTTTCCGTCTCTGATGCGGTGAAGGCAAGGGAGGGCCACTCTCCTTCTGCTGCAGGGACCTGGCCGTGGCTAGCGATGACCGGGACAGGCCAAGGGACGCAGAACCGCCAAAGGCTGCGGCGGCCTAGGGGTCATAGGTTATTGCAGACTTGTCCCCACAGTGTGGAGGTACAGAATCTGGCAGCCATCCAGCTGCATGTACCGGGGCAGGGGAACAGTGAGGAGGCCGGTGTGGCCAAGCCAGCCGGAACAAGGGCAGAGAGCATGGGCGGGGATGTCGTACAGGGATTCAGAGCCACGGCGAGGAGTTTGGTTTTGCTCTGGATGAGTTGGGAGACTTGGCAGTGTTTTGAGTACAGCAGGGATGTGACAGGATTTGTTTTTAGAAAGGGTCACTCTAGGTAGGGTGTGGTGGCTCATAGTTGTGATCCCAGCACTTTGGGAGGCTGAGGCAGGTGGATCACTTGAGGTCAGGAGTTCAAAACCAACCTTGCCAACATGGTGAAACCCTGTCTCTACATAAAAATATAAAATTCAGCCAGGTGTGATGGTGGGCATCTGTAATCCCAGCTATTCAGGAGGCTGAGGCAGGAGAATTGCTTGAACCGGGTGGCAGAGGTTGCAGTGAGCCGAGATGATACCACTGCACTCCAGCCTGGGCAACAGAGCAAGACTCTGTCTCAAAAAAGAAAAAAATTAATAAAAAGGCTCACCCTTTTTATTCTGTTCTGTGGTCCTTGGGAGCCAGGGGCAGCAACAGAGACCAAGTGGGAGGCCTCTGCCTAGATCCCGGGTCCCAGACCTGGTGGCTTCAGAGGAGGCAATGAGGAATAGTCAGACTGGATATGCTTGAGATCGGATTTCCCAGTGGCAGGGCTGGCTCGTGGGTGTGCGACCCCTACAGTCACCCAGGCCCCATGCTCAGTGTACCCTTCTGATGTCACTGTCTTAAAATCCTTAATCCTTGTCCAACAAGGGTCCCCGCATATTCCTCCTGCACCTGGCCCTGTGAATTCTGTGGTCAGTGCTGCTGGTGGGTTGGAAGGTGAGTAAGAGAGAGAAGAAAGTCAAGGTAACTTGGAGCTCTCAGCTTGAACAGTGGGAAGGATGGAGATGCTGTTTCCTGGATTAGAGAGGACTGAGCAGGGCGGGTCCCTGGGAGCAGCTCAGGCTGGAACAGTCAAGGTAGAGCCGACCTGGAGACATCTAAGAGGGAAGTCAAGCAGCTGGGCAGGTCTGTGTGTCTGAAGTTCAGAGAGAGAGGTCCGGGCTGGCAGGAGAAACGTGGCTGACGTTGGCCCAGACATGGCATTGAAGGCTGTGAGTGCTGAGATCTGTACACTGAGCCGGTGGTACTCTAGCACAGGCAGGTCGAGGGGATGAGGAGGCCCTGGTAAAAACAGGAGGTGATGAGTTAGGATATGTGAGTGTCCGAGGGCTGTTGTGACAAGTGATCAAAGTGTGGTCAGGCCATGCTCCCTCCGAAGACTCCAGGGGCAGATCTTTCCTGTCTCTTCCTGCTTCTGGGGGCCGCGGCGATCTGTGTTCCTTGGCTGATAGACGGATCACTGGGTCTTGGCCTTCATCCTCACACCATGTTCTCTCTGTCTGTTTTCCCTTCCAATAAGGGCAGCAGGCATTGGATTCAGGCTCACCCTAATCCACCATGACTTCATCTTACTTTCAGTAATTACACCTGCAAAGCCTGTCAAAGGAAGCTGTGAACCAGGCGGGGATCCCAAGAGGCTGGACCTGGAGGTTCTCCCCACGCAGACCTCTGTCCTCTTAGGTGGCTTGGACAGAGCTCAAACCATCCTTGTGCTATTTGGGATCACTGGGTGGATGCTCTGGGTGCCCCCGCCCCTGCCAATTACCAAACCGCACTGGGAGCCAGCAGCCTTCAAGAGGGAAGTTGGGAGTTCCTACTGCGGTTTTCCTGCCCAAATTCTGCCCACATGTAAAATGTCATGTTACCAAATGTCAGCAAAGACGTATTTAGAAAGTGCAGCATTTAGCCAGCATCCTTTTCCATTTCCAAAAGCCCGGTCACGGACACAGTCATTAAAAATACATCTTGCAGCCATGCTCTGTTACATTTTCCCAGCATCCTTTAAAATTCACCATTGCAGCCGCAGGTTGTTCCGGGTGTGACCCTTCTTTAATAAACTCCTGTTCTTGTCTGTTTACAGCCCTGCCTCCTGGACCTCTGTGTTCAGTGTCTTCCCCACCATCTGCTTCGGGTTTCAGGTAATTTTAGCATCTGTGTTGCAGCCTGTGGCGTTTGCAGAGGCTGTGGGTGACTCTCTGCTCCCTTGGGAAACCTTGGTTTCTCTGTCAGGGAGGCGTCTGAGGACTTCTCCTAGGATACAGTGGGCTCTGTGCCGCCCACCTGTGGTTCCCAGGCTGTCATTCCAGACCATGAGGATGGGTTGGTGTCTGGGCTCAGGGAAGTGGGAATTGCCTTGAACTTGGGAATCCAGCCCCCACTGATGGCCAAAAGCAGCACCATGTTTTTTAGGTTTCGCGTAGAGTGTGGGGACCCGGGACCTGTCCCTTCCTCTGCAGAACCCCCACAGGACTGCAGTCAGACCTGAGGCCTGGAGGCCTAAGCTGCCCACCTAACTCTGGCAGGACAGTTTTACCCAGGTGGACTCTGCCCAGGGCCTTGGGCAGGAAAGATCCTGCCTCCTGAGGGGTACAGGGTAGAGGAGCTGGAAGGTGTACAGGGAGCTGATTGGAGAGGGGAAAGGGGCAGAAATACAGAATTTTTAATAGAATGTCATGGGAGGGAGGACGGGGCTATATGTGTAGAATCCTGGCAGAGGGGCAGAGTCAGAGGTGTCCGCTCAAGGTGGTGGGGTTTGAAAGGGATCTTGAAGGATGTATGGGCAGCAGCCAGGTGACTGGAAGCGCACCCCAGGTAGAGAGGACAGCACAGGTGGGATAGCATAGGTGGGTCACCGATGTGAGCGGGCCCCAGGCACAGCTGGAGAGAGACCTGCAGAGGGCTCTGTGGCACAGCGCTGGGGGGAAGGTGGCGGGGCAGGGGGGGCAGGGGAGGTGGCGGGCCTGGGCTCAGTCCTCTGCTTCTGGGCTGTCATGGGTTCCCGCAGCCCTCCTAGCAGGTGGAAGCAGACACTGCTCTTCCATTTCTTTCTTTTTTTTTTTTTCTTTTTTTGAGTTGGAGTCTCATTCTTATTGCCCAGGCTGGAGTGTAGTGGATCTCAGCTCACTGCACTGCACCTCCTGGGTTCAAGCCTCCTGAGTAGCTGGGACTACAGGCGTGCACCACCATGCCTGGCTAATTTTTTTTGGTATTTTTAGTACAGAGGGAGTTTCACTATGTTGGCCAGGCTGGTCTTGAACTCCTGACGTCAAGCGATCTGCCCTCCTCGGCCTCCCACAGTGCTAGGATTATAGGCGTGAGCCACCGTGCCTGGCCACGCTGCTTATTTTCGGGAAGATTTGCCTCGATGTCCTAAAAACAACCACCTATCCACTGCCTACCACCAGCACCAACAAAACCATTCCAAAGTAAAATCAAGTCCACAGGGAGATGTGTCCAGGGTTTACCACCGGATCTCAGCTTTGTAGCCATTGAGCTCGTCTCTTCCCTTGACCATCAGTGAGCTCTGCTTCTGTTCTTCATCTTGCCTTTTCTTTGAGAACCCTTTTTAGGAAAAAAAAAAAAAAAATCTTGAAACATTTCCATTTCTCTTCCTCGTAATCAGTCGGCGTGCTGCTTCAGGGCCTCAGCAAGCCACTTCTGTGGATTTCTCACATTGCTTCCTGCACGCCCAATATTTTGAAAGATCTGAAGAGCTGATTTTGCTGTCAACTGTTTGTCTGGACTGAGTTTAAGAACCTCTCTCTGTGCCCAAGCGCCATATGGTGCAGCAGACCTACGCCGGGGCCGCCTCCCCGATGCTTGCAAGGGGTGCCCCTCACCTTTGCCTCCAGCCCTCACCGGATTCTCCTAGCAACGAGGCCTGGGCTGCGTTTCCAGGGACACGGGATGCCGAGATGAAGAGCTGGGAAGGATAGGAACTGAAGGAGTGGGAGTAGGGGCTCAGGCTAGAGGTGGGGGCTGCCAGGATCTGAAGCGGGGGAGAATAAATGTAACTGAAGGTGCTGGGAAAAGGGGGTAAGGCTGGAGAGGGCTGCAGGAAAGGGACGGTCACATACTGTCATCAGGAACTCTGACCTGACTCAAACACAGCGTCCCCGCCCAAACACATTTGGCAATGGGGCACCCCCGCCCCAGGCCTGTCCAGTCAGTGAGAGGGGCCTCAGGAGCAGAGGGGTTGTGTCCACTCCCAGCCAATGCGGCTACACCAGGACTTCTAGTGTGTGTTTGTTTGTTTGTTTGTTTGTTTGTTTTAATTTTGCTTTTGTGGCAGACTTGCTCTGTCGCCCAGGCTGGAGTGCAGTGGTGTGATCTTGGCTCACTGCAGCCTCCGCCTCCTGGGTTCAAGCGATTCTCCTGCCTCAGCCTCTTGAGTAGCTGGGATTACAGGCGCCTGTCACCACGTCCAGCTAATTTTTGTATTTTTAGTAGAGACGAGGTTTCAACACGTTGGCCAGGCTGGTCTCGATCTCTTAACCTTTTGATCTGCCCACCTCAGCCTCCCAAAGTGCTGGGATTACAGGCGTGAGCCACTGTGCCTGGCTGGTTTTTGTGGTTTTAAAAAATATCTTTATTGAGATAGGATGCATATACCGTGCCATTCACCCTTCTGAAGTGTGCAGTGCAATGGATTTTAGTACAGTCAGAGCTGTGCAACCATCACCACAGTCAATTGAGAACCTTTCTGTTGCCCCTCGAAGAAACCCATCGCCGTCAGTCACTCTCCATTCTCCACCTCTGCCCGCAGCTCTTGCACTTCTTGTCTGTCTGGATTTGCCTACGATGGCCACCTCCTAGGAATGGAATCCTATTGTGGCCTTTTAAGACAGGCTTCCCTCCCCCGCCGTGTTGGTGGGATTCATCCATGTTGTAGCCACCCTATCTGTGGTCAAATAATATTCCATTGTGTGGATAAGCTGCGCTTTATCCCCTGTCCTTTGATGGGCATCTGGGTGGGGTCCACTTTTTGGCCACTGTGTCGTCTTCCTGTCTCCTTCCATCACCGAGCAACTGCCCACTGCCACCACCTCCTGGGTACTGCCTGCCCTCAGCAGGCCTGCTCTGCTTCCCCTTATAAAACCAGTAGAGGCTGGGCACGGTGGCTCATGCCTGTAACCCCAGGAATTTAAGAGGCCGAGGCGGGTGGATCACCTGAGGTCAGGAGTTCAAGACCAGCCTGGCCAACATGGTGAAACCCCATCTTCACTAAAAATACAAAAATTAGCCGGGCATGGCGGTGCGGGCCTGTAATCCCAGCTACTTGGGAGGCTGAATCAGAATCCCTTGAACCCAGGATGTGGAGGTTGCAGTGAGCCAAGATCATGCAACTGTACTCCAGCCTGGGCGATGGAGCGAGACTCTGTCTCAAAAAAACAAAACAAAACACCAGTAGAAACCCAACTGCGGAGTCAAACAGGGAGAAAAGGAGGCACCCTCCTGCCCACCAACCTGTCTGGCACTACTAACTGTCTTTTCCCTTATATTGGACTCAGCTGTGCCCCTATACGCAGAGCTGCCGTTCGGGGACTCCCCACCTCGGGGCATCTGCCGTGCCCTGAAGGCAGAGCCTGCCATGGGGCTGAGGTGCTGGTGCACGGAGGTCCCCATTGTGGGCACTGGGGCTCTAGGACCACAGGGCTGACCTGAGAGTGTGGGGTGAGCCCCACAAGTGCTGCGGGGGTGCAGGAGGCAGAGGGGTTGCGTCCCCCCTGCTGGCAGAGCCCTCCTGTAGGACAGGAAACCTGGGGCCAGAGAGCAGGGGTGCGCGGTGCCTGAGGTCAACGCGCCAGCGGAAGGGCTGTGCTCAACTAGGGCTGGAAGCCGGAGGGAGGAGGCCACTGTGCCCTCCTATATTTCCAGAATGTGTCCTGGGGGTGAGAGGACAGCTGTGCTGGGCTTGTTTCCTTGGCTTGGCTCACTTGCACCGAGGAGGACTCATGAGTGACAGAGCGAGGCTGGGTGGAGGGAGGCCTGGTGGCTGCTGGGTGGGTTCACGGGATGGGTAGGTGGGTAAGCCCTGTAGTGTTTATTCAGCTCGGTGCAGGCTCCGATCCTGGCCCAAGCTCAGAGCCCTGAGCAACGCAGACTTGGTCGTTGTTGTCGTGTGGTTGAGAGACGCTGAGTAGACAAACCGAAAAGCCCGCTCGTGTTGAGGACACGGGCTGTGTGAGAGAGGAAACCAGCCCACTCGGGAGGGCTCCCCAGGAGGGTGCAGAGGAGTTGGCTGGACTCGGAGAAAATCCGGCCAGAGGGACCAGCAGTAGCAAAGGCCCTGAGGCGCGGAGGGAAGACCTAGCTGATCTGAGCTTCCTGCGTAGGGTCCCTACAGGGCGGGCAGGAATGAGGCCTTGGCACGTTTGGTTTTGGCCAGGAGTGAGAGAGTGGGTGTGATGGTGGGAACCAGCCCCAGGAGCCTGGGAAGAACCCTGAACCCACCAGTGTGTCCGGAAAAAGCATCCCCGCCCGGTGTGTCTGGACAGAGCAGAGCCTCCCTGCCCAGCCCTGGCTGTACATCAGTATTCTCTTGGCTGTTCGTGAATCACCAATGTCCACGACCCACCCAGGGAAATGAATTCACATGACTCATGGGCTCTTGGCATTGACTGTGTATGTTTTGCGTTAAAAAAATTCTTGCACTGGGCTTGGTGGCTCACGCCTGTAATCCCAGCACTTTGCGAGGCCGAGGTGGGAGGATCACTTGAGGTCAGGAGTATGAGACCAGCCTGGACAACATGGTGAAACCCTGTCTCTACCAAAAATATAAAAAATTAGCTGGGCGTGCCTGTAATCCCAGCTACTCGGAAGGCTGAGGCAGGAGAGTCGCTTAAGCCCGGGAGGCGGAGGTTGCGGCGAGCCAAGTTCGCGCCACTTCAGTCCATTCTGGGTGACAGAGCGAGACTCTGCCTCCCAGGCTTGAGCGACTCTCCTGCCTTAGCCTCCCAAGTAACTAGGATTACAGGTGCTTGCCACCACACCTGACTAATTTTTATACTTTTAGTAGAGACGGGGTTTCACCATGTTGGCCAGGCTGGTCTCGAACTCCAGACCTCAGGTGATCCACACGCCTTGGCCTCCCAAAGTGCTGGGATTACAGGCGTGAGCCACCGCTCCCTCCTGCGTTTAAAATTCTTATCCCCCTTGGGCATGGTGGCTCGTACTTGTAATCTCAGCACTTAGGGAGGCCAAAGCAGGAGGGTCGCTTGAACTCAGGAGTTTGAGACCAGCCTGGGCAATGTAGTAAGAAGTCATCTCTACCAAAAAAAAATGCTTACCCCAATATGGCATGTCACATATACAGTATGTAGATTCTAAGTATGTGTGCACCCATGTGACATGGTCAAGCCCCCGGGAACCCCTTCATGACCTTTTCTGGTCAGTAGCACCCACCCTACCCAAACCACCATCCTGCCTTCTAGCACCACAGAGTGGGGTTTGCGTGGGTTGGTTATACCCCCAGGGAACATTTGACCATGTCTGCAGACATTTTGGGTTGTCACAACTTGGGGGAGGGGGGCTGTTACTGGCATGTAGTAGGTCCCGGCCAGGGACACTGCACAACACCCCCACCCCAAACACACAGGGCGGCTGCCAAGAGTTAACCCACACCAGACATCAATCGTGTCAAGGCTGAGAAACCCTGGTGTAGAAGTGTTTATCTTGTAACTTGGACTTCGCATCCATTAACGGAAACATTCTCTGCTGCCCGGCTTGTTTTTCTTTTGAGACACAGTGTCACTGTGTCTTTCAGGCTGGAGTGCAGTGGCACGATCTTGGCTCACTGCAACCTCCGCCTCCCGAATTCCAGTGATTCACCTGCCTCAGCTTCCTGAGTAGCTGGGATTACAGGTGCTCATTACCATGCCCGGCTAATTTTTGTATTTTAAGTAGAGATGGAATTTTGCCATGTTGGCCAGGCTGGTCTCAAACTCCTGACCTCAAGTGATCTGCCCCCTTCGGCCTCCCAAAGTGCTGGGGTGACAGGTGCGAGCCAGCGTGCCCGGCACCTATGTGGCTTCCTGTGGTGTTCATTGTTCTGACTGAGATTCGTCTGTGTTGAGGTGCATGGTTCTTTGTCAGAGCCACATCATGCTCTGTGTGTTAGTATCCTGCCATTTACTTACGCCCTCTGCTCTTGGTGGGCATGTGGGTTCTGTTGGGAATAACGCTCAAAATCTTAAGAAAACGGAACACTGAAAGGATTCTTAGCAAAGTAATTTTACTTTTGTGCAGAGGGGTGCTTTTTCTTGGTCAGAGCACACCCGAGCAAAGGAGTACAAGAGCCTTTATTCCTGATGCAAGTCCTGCTCCTGTACCCTTTTCCCATTGGCTGGGGTTGGGCCGCACAATCTAAACTAGCCTCAGTTGAACATTTGAACTTTTTTTTAGATAAGGTGGGCAGGTAAGGGAGAGAGGGGAAAGGGGCAGTGGGTGTTTGTAATGAGCTAGAGAGCTAGTTTTTTAAAAAATAAGGAAAGGAATGCGAGCTTGTATTGATAATGCCTGGTACTGTGGCGTGTTTGGGCATGTAACAAAGGCAGAAAGGAAGGAGAAAAGGAAAGAGGGGTTGGGGGTGTACTGTGAATTAAAGAATAAAGGATTGATCAGGCTATTTCAAGAGAAACCTCATCATATCCCACATTTCCCGCCTTTTGGATATGAGTTTTTTTTCGCATCGCCTGTTCCAGGGGAAGCCAGCATCCTGCTGAGCCGCCCTCTGTCTTACAGTGTCACGAAGCTGCCGTCTCCATCTACTGCAGCATGCGCAAACGGAGCCTCTCCCACTGGGCCCTGGTGTCTGTGCTGTCCTTGCTGGCCTGCTGCCTCATCTATTCACTGACGGGTAAGGCCCTTCCCAGGCACCCCTGCAGAGGGTGGGGAGTGACAGTAGAAACAAGAGTAACAGCGAGTATCTCTCTAGAGAGTTTACCACGTGCTGGGCTCAATACTCAATGTTTTGAGCATCTTATTTAATCCTTAGTGTGCATAGGAAAAGGCCTCATTTCATAGATGAGGAAGCTGAGGCTCAGGTGCCCTCCAGAACTTGTTCGAGGTTTCACAGCTAGATCTGCAAAGCTGAGACCTGAACTCCAGCCTAGCCGTCTCCAAAGCCCGTGCTCTGACACACCACACCCCAGCCCTGCTGCCTGCTGTTCAAAGGACATTGACTGCTGTCCGTCATTACACTGTAACATCTGGGTAGGGTTTACAAAACGTTTGTGGGTGCAGTGGACTCAGGTGCTCACAAACTGTGTGTGGGAGGCAGAGGGTCTTTAAAGGTGATGAAAGTGTGGCTCAGAGAGGGGCTGTGACACGCAGGATCGTACAGTGCATTGGAAGGACAGTCCCAGGTCCCTGGCACGGCTGGCTTCTGGTTGGCCACTTGACGCCAGTCTTTTTTCATTCACCAACGTATCCTCCAGTCTAGGAAGCTCTTGGGCTGCAGTGAATCTCTCAGGCAGCCTTGGACTCCTGTGTGTTATGGTTTGAATATTTATCCTCTTAAAAACTCAGGTTGAAATTTAATCCCTGATGTGGTAGCATTGAGACGTGGGGCCTTCAAGAGGGGATTGGGGCATGAGGCCTCTGCCCTCAAGAATGGATTAATCTATTCATGGATTAGTGGATTAATAGGTTATCATGGGAGTGGGGCTGGTGGCTTTATAAGAAGAAGAAGAGAGACCTGGGCTCACACACTCAGCCCCCTTGCCATGTGACACTCTGCGCGCCACTTCAGGGCTCTGCAAAGTCCCCTCCGGCAAGAAGGCTCTCCCCAGATGTAGCCTCTTGATCCTGGACTTCTCAATCTCCATAACTGTAAAAAAATTTCCTTTCTGTATAAATTACTCAATTTCAGGCATTCTGTTGTAACCAACAAAAAATGGACTAAGACAGAAAATTGGTATCAAGAGTGGGGTGTTGATGATTGACTACCTGGAACGTGGAAGCGGCTTTGGAGCTGGGCAATGAGTGCAGGCTGGAAGAATTCGGAGGAGCAGGCTAGAATAAGCCTAGATTCTGGTGAGGGCTTAGAGACAAGACTAGGGAACATTTGGAACTTCTTAGATACTCTAGTTAGTCATGGAAATATGGATAGTAAAGTCTGTTCTGAGGAGGTTTCAGACGGAACTGAGGAACAAGGTTTTGGAAGCTGGAGTAAAGGACAAACCTGTTAGAAGCTGGCAAATAATTTGGCTGAACTGTGTCCATGCCTGAGGGTTTTGTGGAAGGCTGAACTTGAAAGGGATGAACTGGCCGGGTGCCGTGGCTCACTCCTGTCATCGCAGCACTTTGGGAGGCCGAGGCAGGTGGATCACTTGAGGTCAGGATTTTGAGACCAGCCTGTGAAACATGGTAAAACCGCATTTCTATTAAAAATACAAAAAATTAGCCGAGCATGGTGGCGGGGCACCTGTAATCCCAGCTGCTTGGGAGGTTGAGGCAGGAGTATCAATTGAACCTGGGAGCTGGAGGTTGCAGTGAGCTGAGATCGCACCATTGCACTCCAGCCTGGGCAACAAGAATGAGACTCTGTCATCCCTCCCCTGCCGGCAAAAAAGGATGAACTAGGGTATCTGGCGGAAGAGATATCCAAGGAGCAGAGCATTCAGGATGCTGCATGGCTACTCTTAGCTGCTCACGTTATGCTGGAACAGGCAAAAAATGACTTGAAGATGAAATTGATCATCAAAAGAGAACCAAAGCAGCAAGATCTGGAACTCTTTCAGCCTGGCCGTATAGAGTGCAGCGCGTATAGGAAACCAAGGTTGTGGCCCTGTGGCCTTTTGCTAAGGAGATTAATATGGAGAGAAAGGATTATCTAGAGAATGGAAGAAAGACCCTGAAGGCATTTCAGATATCTTAGAGGCTGCCCCTCCCATCACAGGCTCAGAGGCCTCAAGGGCAGGATGGTTTTGGGGACAGACCCAGGGTGCCTCCACAGGCTATCCTACGTGCCCTCACGTCTCTGCTCCCGGGACCCTGGCACAGAGATCCTCGCTGCACCAGCTTTGGGTCAGGTGGCCCCTGATCTGGCTCGTGCTGCAGCCCCAGAAGGTATAAGTGGTAAACCTTGGCAGGATGCGTGCGTTGCTAATTCTGCAGGCTGGCAGATAGCGAGAGCTACAGAAGCTTGGCAGCCTCCACCCAGATTTCAAAAGATGTTCTTCAGGCCAGGTGTGGTGGCTCATGCCTGTAATCCCAGCATTTTTTGGGAGGCTGAGGTGAAAGGACTGCTTGAGGCCAGGAGTTCGAGGCCAGCCTGGCCAACGTAGTGAGACCCTGTCTCTACAAAAACATTTTTTAAATGAGCAGAACATAGTGGTGTGAGCCTGTAGTTCCAGCTACTCAGGAGGCTGAGGAGGAGGGAGGATCACTTGAGCCCTGGAGGTCAAGGCTGGAATGAGCTGTGATTGTGCCACCGCCCTCCAGCCTGGGTGACAGGGCAAGACCCTGTCTCAAAAAAAAAAAAAAAAACAACGGATGTTGTGGAAAGCGTAGGGGTCCAACTGCAGAGAGTCTCTGCCAGGGCAATGCCTAGTGGAGTCATGAGAGTGGGACTGCCACTGGGACTACAAACTGCGAAGTTACCAGCAACGTGCAACACCTGCCTGCGAGAACTTCAGGCATCAGGTGCCAACCCCTGTGAACAGACACGTGGGCTGTACCCGGCAAAGCCGTAGGAGTGGGGTTGCCTCAGTGTGTCCAGGGGGTGGCACATGGTGTCAAAACAGATGATCCTCCAGCTTGACGCTTGAGTGTCTGCTCTGCTGGGTTTCAGGCTTGCTTAGAGCCTTTACTCCTTTCCTTTGGCCTTAGTCTCTCTTCTGGGATGAGAATGTTTCTTTTGCCTGCACTGCCATTGTGTCCTGGAAGTAGATTGCTTTTGATTTCACAGGCTCACAGACCACACTCTGGACTTTGGACCTCTGAGTTGGTGCTGGAGCGAATGAAGACTTTGGGGTCATGGGGTTGGAATAACCATGGGGTATTTATCTGCGAGGAGGATATGAGTTTTGGGGACTCAGGGACAGAATGCTGTGGTTTGATTGATTGTCCCCTCCAAAACTCTTGTTGAAATTAAATTGCCAGTATGGCAGTATCGAGAGGTGGGGCCTTTAAGAAGCTGTCGAGAGCAGCGCTCTCATAAACAGATTAATCCATTTGTGGTGAAGGGTTGAAGGATGCACCATCTGCCAGTATGCCAAATTGGTACATTAATTATTTCGGGTTAAAAATATTGGAGGCTGGGTGCGGTGGCTCATGCTTGTAATCCCAGCATTATGGTAGGCTGAGGCAGGTGGATTACGAGGTCAGGAGATCGAGAGCATCCTGGCTAACACAGTGAAACCCCGTTTCTACTAAAAACAGAAAAATATAGCCGAGCATGGTGACATGTGCCTGTAATCCAGGCTACTCAGGAGGCTGAGGCAAGATAATCGCTTGAACCTGGAAGGCACAGGTTGCAGTGAGTCGAGATTGTGCCACTGCAATCCAGCCTGGGTGACAGACTCCATCTCAAAAAAAAAAAAAATTTTTTTTGGAGAAATTGTAGTTTCAGTAAGAGCTAGCTGACTTGACTCTTTCTGCAGGCATCAAGCCATAAAAATTCCTCTGGGAGAGGCCACCTCCCCATACCAGGGTGAGAAAATAGTCCTCATCACTGGAAGCGGGACTTCTGGCTGCAATGGACCTGAATAAATCCACTTATTGAACTAGCCTTAGCTTCTGCTAGTTTTATACCCACCCCATATATCTCCTAGTGACTCCCCTAGAAATTCACTGCCCCGACCAGATCCCCTTTGTCTTGTCATTCCTTGTCAGATTTATTCTTTGTCTAAAAAGTATAAAAGCATCTCATTTCGGCCGCTTCATCAGACATCACTGTGTTAAGATCCCAATGACAAGGAAAATTAATAAGATCCGTAGGCTTTTCTCCTGCTGATGTGATTGTCTGGTGTTGATTTTAGTTTCTAGGTCCAGCTGAACAGCCCACATAAGAGGCAGGCATGGGGCAGGGGCTTAATGGATTAATGGGTTAATGGACTGATGGGTTATGGGCATGGCACTAGTGGCTTTATAAGAAGAGGGAATGGGCCAGGCCAGGCACGGTGGCTCATGCCTGTAATCCCAGCACTTTGGGAGGCCAGGGCGGGTGGATCACGAGGTCAGGAGATCGAGACCATCCTGGCTAACACGGTGAAACCCTGTCTTTACTAAAAATTCAAAAATGTGGCGGGCGTCTGTAGTCCCAGCTACTCAGGAGGCTAGGGCAGGAGAATGGCGTGAACCCAGGAGGCGGAGCTTGCAGTGAGCCGAGATCGTGCCACTGCACTCCAGCCTGGGCGACAGAGAGAGACTCTGTCTCAAAAAAAAAAAAAAAAAAAAAAAAAAAGGAATGAGGGCTGAGTCAGAGCTCATCCTTGCTATACAATGCCCTATGCCACCTCTGAAGACAGTCCCCATTGGCAAGAAGGCCCTCACCAGTGTGGGCACTCAATCTTGGACTTCTCAGCCTTCATAACTGTAGGAAGTAAGTTTCTTTTCTTTATGAGATGCCCAGTTTCAGGTATTCTGTTGTAAGCAACAAAAAATGGACTAAGATACTGTGGTTATCCAGGAAACTTGCTGGGTGACTCCTTCCCCAGCAGAGGAGGTCCCATCAGTCTGTAGCCCCTGGGTCAGAGGGTGTGACTCAGTGATTCAGTATCACCTCCACATGTTCCCACTGCCAGGGTCATGGGACCTCTCAGAAAGGGCTTGCAGAGAAGCTGAAAGGAACATGGCTCTTAGAGACCTATCTCTCAGGACAGGGCAGGCAACCCGGGGTGACAGAAGCAGTGTCACCCTGTTGGCGCAAAGGGAATGGCGCTCTTGTCCTCAGTCCACGAAAACTAGCTGTGTGATTCTAGGTATTGGTTGATGCCCTGGCTCTTGGTTTTCCCCATTTGGAAATGTGTGCACAGCTAGCTGCTTTCTTTAGATGTCGTAGGAGTGAGATGGACAGGGCATGGGAGGTGTGTTTGTATTTTTCAAAGTGCTCTGTGCTTCTAGTCAACACACGCACTGTGGGTGAGCTCCGTGCACCAGCTCTGTGAGCGATTTGAAAGGAGGATAAGTGGCGGATTTGTCTGCAGGGGTCTTGAATCCCTGGAGCACAGTCATGTGTAGGCTTAGGACAGGAAAGCTTTGGGCTATCCCTTCCAGAACCTTCTTTCAGCTCCTAAGGAAAATCTTAGGTGGTAAAGCCAGGCGCTGTCTGTCTGTTGGTGGGGGAGGGGGCAGCATTTTCCTAATCCACTCTGTGGCTTCCATCCTTTCCCACCTTCAGGGGTTTATGGCTTCCTGACTTTTGGGACAGAAGTTTCTGCTGACGTCTTGATGTCCTACCCAGGCAATGATATGGTCATCATTGTGGCCCGGGTCCTTTTTGCTGTCTCCATCGTAACTGTCTACCCCATCGTGCTCTTCCTGGGGAGGTGAGGCCTGGCTCAGTGGGGGGCACCGTGAAGCATGGTCTGCTGATGTGTGCTGTGATTGAGCATGTACCAGGTGTGGGCTACGCGGCTGTGGGACTACCATCCTCTCCAATTGTAGACAGGAGGAAACAGGCACAGAGGATTTAGGTAGATTGCCCAAAGTCACTCCGTGAGTGTGTGTCCACAGCCAGGACTGGAATGCGAACCACGTGCTTCATCCCCTGCCCCATGGGCTGCCCGATGGTGGCAGAACCCCTGAGGGTTGGCAAGGTCTCCTGGGGAATAAACACCTGAGTGTGGAACAGGAGCACTGACAGGTGTGAGGGGACTCCTGGAGGACTGGGGAGCAGCTGTCGGGTGGAGGCTGGTGCCCCTGAGATGCCCATGTGTCTGTGTTGGCTGTGGCCTCCAGGTCAGTGATGCAGGACTTCTGGAGGAGGAGCTGCTTGGGGGGATGGGGGCCCAGCGCCCTGGCCGACCCCTCAGGGCTGTGGGTCCGGATGCCGCTGACCATCCTGTGGGTCACCGTGACGCTCGCCATGGCGCTGTTTATGCCTGACCTCAGCGAGATCGTCAGCATCATCGGAGGCATCAGTTCCTTCTTCATCTTCATCTTCCCAGGTGAGGCCCCTGCTTTCCAGGCTTTCTGCCCACTTGTTCTTCCCTGCTCATCTCTGTGGGGACTCCCAGTGTTGGAGGTCAAGGTTCTGGAAGGTGGGAGCCACATATGGGTAGGATTAAGACCCCATGTAGGTGCCCTTTTTATTGAGCCAGGCACAGGCTTGGGCTTTACATACCTTCCCTCACTCATTAAACATCTCATTAGCTCCTGATGAGGTTTGGTTGTGTTCACACCCAAATCTCACCTTGAACTGTAATAATTACCATCTGTGAAGGGCAGGGCAAGGTGGAGATAGTTGAATCATGGGGATGGTTCCACCCATTCTGTTCTTGTGGTAGTGAATAAGTCTCATGAGATCTGATGGTTTTATAAGTGGGGGTCCCCCCCCGCCCCCCAGCACAAGCTCTCTTGCCTGCCTGCCACCATGTAAGACGTGACTTTGCTCCTTATTTGCCTTTTGCCATGATTGTGAGGCCTCCTCAGCCATGTGGAACTGTGAGTCCATTAAACCTCTTTTCTTTATAAATTACCTAGCCTCTGGCTGGGCACAGTGGCTCACGCCTGTAATCCCAGCACTTTGGGAGGCCGAGGCAGGCGGATCACCTGAGGTCAGGAGGTCGAGACCAGCCTACTAAAAATACAAAATTAGCCATCCATGGTGGTGTATGCCTGTAATCACAGCTACTCAGGAGGCTTAGGCAGGAGAATCACTTGAACCCGGGAGGCGGAGGTTGCAGGGAGCCAAGATTGCGCCACTGCACTCTAGCCTGGGCGACAAGAGTGAAACTCCATCTCAAACAAAACAAACCATTACCTAGTCCCTGGTAGGTCTTTATTAGCAGCATGAGAGCAGACTAATACAGCTCCTGATGGACATTCTTGACGTAGGAACGTTTATGATCCCATTCCATAGATGCGAAGACCGAGGCCCTGAACCCCCGCCGGGGGCACAGCTAGTATGCAGCAGGGCTGAGGGTCAATCATACAGCTCTGTCCATGCTACCGCTGGTGCCTCCTGCTAAAAGATTTTGTTTTATTAAAAAAAGAAAATCGTATATGTGAAAGTCACGTGGCTCAAGGCACCCTGCAAATGTCTCCCTTCCCTCCTGCCTCCAGGCCCTGGAGGCAAACACCGTTTCTGCGAAGGATGGTTTCTTAGGAAACCTTCCCAAACAGCCCAAGCATTATCTGAGAAGGGGAAGCCAGCAAGGTGGGGGCTGGAGGGATGCTTCTTCCAGTGGAAAAGGGTACACTGTAGTGGCCCACTGGAGCCCAGAACAGAGACTCCAGATCCGCAGTGGGGGGTGTGTTCCAGGGCCCCACACACAGCAAGTGTTGAGTACACAGTCGAGACTCCCTCAGTGCGTGTTCCGTGAGTGGACCCTGTGATTCAGCCGCGACTGGAACCATGCCAAACAGACATCGAGCTTGGGGACCCTTAGCCAGGTATCCCCAACACCCTGATGCAGCCGTTATGTCAAACAGACAAGAAGTAGATGCCCATTGGTGAAACTTAACAGAAAGCACAGGTAGAGGCTCTTACAGGTCTTCCAAAACTCGAATGGGGGCATGAAACGAAACATTGTTCAGGGTCCCAGGTAAGTGGGTGGTGACAACTTTGTCAATACCCCGGAGGTGGGGGGGCGATGGAAGAATTGAGGGCCACAGAGAAATGTTGGTTATCAAAGAGGCCAACTGATGTGTGGAATATGAAAAGTGGGTTCTTAGCAGGTGAATTAAGATTCAGGGGTTGTCTTTGATGTAGTCCCTTGAGAATCTAACCGTACCTGCCCCAGCTCCCGTAAATTGGGGTCTACTGGGATTAAGAGATAAAGACTGGGGAAGTGAAGTGAAGGGAGGGGAGGAGAACAGCCACCCACTCTGCTCCTGGCTCTGCCCAGAGCTCTCAGAGGTGAGGGGAGTGGCCATGTGGCTCCTCCCTCAGGTTCTGGGTGGAACTTTTAGAGAGGAGAGGGGTGTGGCCATGTGGCTTCTCCCTTGGGCTTAGGGTGGCGCTTTCACAGGTGAGGGTGTGGCTATACAGCTCCTCCCTCGACTCTGGGCAGGGCTTTCAGAGGTGAGGGGTGTGGCCACACAGCTGCTCCTGCATGCTCTGAGCGGAGCTTTCATTGATGGGGATGTGGCCACACGACTCCTCCCTCAGTTCTGGGCCGGGCTTTCAGAGGTGAGGGTGTGGCCACGCAGCTCCTTATTCAGGCTGTGGGCGAGGCTTTCAGAGGTGAGGGGTGTGGCCTTGTGGCTTCTCCCTCGGGCTTAGGGTGGAGCTTTCAGAGGTGAGGGTGTGGCTACACAGCTCCTCCCTTGGCTCTGGGCGGGGCTTTCAGAGGTGAGGGGTGTGGCCACATAGCTCCTCCCTCAGGCTCTGAGAGGAGGTTTTAGAGGTGAGGGGTGTGGCCATGCATCTCCTCCCTCAGCTCTGGGCGGGCCTTTCAGAGATGAGAGTGTGGTCACACAGCCCTTCCCTCAGGCTCTGGGCGGGGCTTTCAGGGCTGAGGGTGTGGCCACACGGCTCCTCACTCAGGCTCTGGGTGGAGCTTCTCAGAGGTGAGGCTGTGGCCACGTGGCTCCTCCCTCACACTCCCTGGTCTGGGCTGTTAGATTAAATTCTGATGCTGTGACCAGGTGGCCAGTTGTAGCGCTGGCTATTTCCTGTGGTGGGAAGGACTGCCCAGGACAGGTTTGAGTTGAGAGAGGATCCTTTGGGAGCTTTAGGCCAAGCTACATGGCCCTGAATCCTAGCAGAACTATTTAAAAAAAAAAAAAAAAAGGGCTGGGTGCAGTGGCTCATGCCTGTAATCCCAGCACTTTGGGAGGCCAAGGCGGGCGGATCACGAGGTCAAGAGGTCCAGACCATCCTGACCAACATGGTGAAATCCCGTCTCTACTAAAAATACAAAAATGAGCGGGGTGTGGTGGCACGCACCTGTAGTCCCAGCTACTCGGGAGGCTGAGGCACGAGAATGACTTGAACCCGGGAGGTGGAGGTTGCAGTGAGCCGAGATGGTGCCACTGCACTCCAGCCTGGCAGCAGAGTGAGACTCCGTCTCAAAAAAAAAAAAAAAAAAAAAAAAACACACACACAACAAAAGAAAGTAATGGTAGCTGCCAGTTGCCGAGCACTTCCCGGGTGTCAGGCATGGACTCTCACCATCTCCTCATAGACTCTGCTGTGGGGGGGCATGTTGTCAAGGTTGCCTGAAAGATGGGGCTCTGGGAAGTCGGTTGCTGCCAGACCTCTGCCTAAGTCATTAGGGCATGTTGAGCTGGGACTCCAGCCCCGTCCTTCCAGCTCCACTGTGTTGCCTCTCCAGGGGGCCTGAGCCAGGGGCACCCATGGGCGGAGGCCTTGCTGGCCTCCTGGGTCCCTGAGGACCTCTCCCGGGACCTTTTTGTTGCTTTGGGTTTGATAACGAAGAACTGTGGGTGACCCTGTCTTTTTTGCAGGTTTGTGCCTCATCTGTGCAATGGGTGTCGAGCCTATAGGACCAAGAGTCAAGTAAGTGTCCCTAAGATGAGGTGGCACCCTGGGTGTGCCCCGGATCAGAGTAAGAATGTTTCAGGGGACCCTGCAGATCCTATTTCTCATCCTCTGCATCCTGCAGGTGAGAAACCTGCGAGCCACAGGAAGAGAGTCTCTGTCTACCCAGTATGAGGGCATCTGAGCCAGGATAGGAGCCCGGGCCAGTAACACCGGGTCCTCCAAGGGCCTTCCCTTCCACTCTGAGGGTCTGTGGTTGGGATTTCATGTAGATTCCAGCCTCTGGAAGCACCCAGTGGTGCATCTGTACCCTCCTTTGTTACCTGGCTCGGACCCAGGGCAGGATCAGGGTGCAGGCTGGGTTAGAAAGGCCCCATGGCCGGCCAGACACCATCATCACAGCAGTGGGTCGCTGTTCCCAGGCTCCTCTGCTAGGCACTGAGCTAGGTCCTTTTACATGTTCACCTCCCCACCATACCCACATGTCTTCATCCTACAGCTGAGGAGGCGGGCCCGGATGCTAGTGAGGACAGAGCTAGGATGCAACCCAGGCCCCTGGCTCCCAGGCCCCATGCTAACCCACCTGCCTGGCATACAATGCTGTTGAGACCAGATAATTTGGATCTTTCCTTCATTTGACAAATATTTATCCCCGAGCGGACCTGTGGATCAGACACGACTGAGCCTCTGTACTTTGCCACTGAGCAGCTGAGTCTGACCCACGGAAGAGGACGATGTACACGTGAATGATGTGCGCTTCCTCAGCCGCCCCTGGGTAGTCTGGGGTTCTGGGTGACTCCCTCCCATCCCATAGATGGGGAAACTGAGGCTGAGGCAGGTAAAGAGATGATGTATTAGTTTTATGGGGTTATTGTAACAAATTACCATAAATTGGGGCATGGTGGGGAGGCTTAAAGCAACAGAAATGAATTTTTTCCCCAGTTCTGGAGCCAGGAGTGTGAAATCAAGGTGTTGGCAGGGCTGGACTCTCTGAAGGCGCCTCAGCTTCTGGTGGCCCCAGGTGCTCCTTGGCCTGTGGCTACATCACTCCAGTCTCTGCCTTTATCATTATTTAGCTTTCTCCCTGTGTCTCTGCGTCTCAGAAATCCCTCTGCTTTTATTTATTTTAGTTTTTGAGACAGAGTCTTGCTCTGTTGCTCCGGCTGGAGTGCAGTGGCGTAATTGTGGCTCACTACAGCCTCAACCCCCTGGGCTCAAGCAATCCTCCTGCCTCAGCCTCCTGAGTAGCTGGGACCACAGACGCCCACCATCACACCTGGCTGCCTTTCTTTTATAAGGATACCTACCATCAGATTAGGGTCCACCCTAAATCTAGGTTGTATCTTCTCTCAAGATCTTTTCCTTAATTACATCTGCAAAACCCAGTTTCCAGATAAGCTGGCAAGCACAGGTTCCAGGTAGACATGAATTTTGGGGGCCACCCTTCACCCCATCCCAGATAATGTTAAATGGCAGCAATCGTGAATTTGGGTGCCAGCTGTAGGTCTGTTCCCCTATACCCCCGGCCCTCTAGCCCCATTGAGCCCAAGCTTGGTTTTTGCAAAGGAGCAGGCCTGGCCCGGTTTCTTCTGGATTTGAGAGCAGTGTTTCTGGATGTTTCTAAACCTGCCTTGGGTATTGAACCAGCCTCCCAATGTCTGGTAACCCCCTAAGCCGCTCATTCCCTGGGATGCTTTTCGGAGTCTTCATGCTTTTTGTTTTGTTCCTTGATCTGAGCTCACAACAGTTTTTACTGATGAGCTTTCAAGATATTTTTATCGTTAAAACTGCTTTGGGTCCTTCTAATACATCAGCGCTGCTCCAGGAGTGCCACAGCCCACAGGCACATTAGCCTCACAGTCCCCGCACAGATGAATGGATGTTTATGGCGCTGAACAGCCGTGCTGAGATGCTGCTCGGTTAGAAATGTTCCTTCCATGACAACCCGGCCTTCTGGTCTTTGTTAATGGGGCCACAAATATCTCTGGTGGCCCTGCCATTTTGTGGGAATCTTGTTATCGCTCTGACCTCCTTGTCTACCCCATCTCTGGTTACATGACGAAGCTCACAAATGTGGCCTCGGTGGCTGCCAGTCCCAGCCACCTCTGCCTCCTGCGTCCTCGTCCCCTACCCCTCTGAGATCGTGTGTGACTTAGAGCTTGCGTCTTCTCCTTCATTTTCATGGGATTTCATCAGAGGCTGAGGAACAGAAAGGGAGGGTGGGGGGACTTTTCAAAGTAGTGTCTCCCTTCTCTCCATGTCTTTTTCTCTTTTTGAGATGGAGTCTTGCTCTGTCCTCCAGGCTGGAGTGCAGTGGTGCAATCTTGGCTCACTGCGACCTCTGCCTCCCGGGTTCAAGCAATTCTGCCTCAGCCTCCCACATAGCTGGGAATACAGGTGCCTGCCACCGTGCCTGGCTAATTTTTTATTTTTATTTTTAGTAGAGATGGGGTTTCACCATGTTGGCCAGGCTGGTCTTGAATTCATGACCTCAGGTGAATCCGCCTGCCTCAGCCTCCCAAAGTGCTGGGATTATAGGCTTGTGCCACCATGCCTGGCCCCCATGTCTTTTTATTTGATAAAATACTGGGGAGGAATGAGCTTATGACATAACAGGTGGGATCGGAGGGCTTTTAAAAACTGCTTGCGGCCAGCAACGGTGGCTTGCGCTTGTAATCCCAGTACTTTAGGAAGCTGAGGAGGGCGAATCACTTGAGGTCAGGAGTTCAAGACCAGCCTAGCAAACATGATGAAACTCCATCTCTACTAAAAATACAAAAATTGGCCTCGTGTCATCGTGTGTGTCTGTAGTCCCAGTTACTTGGGAGGCTGAGGCAGGAGAATTGCTTGAACCCGGGAGGTGGAGGCTGCAGTGAGCCGAGATCGTGCCACTGCACTCCAGCCTAGGCAACAGAATGAGACTCCACCTCAAAAAAAAAAAAAAAAAAAAATTGCCTGGGTACTTTGCTTCCCATTGTCTTGGAAACCCATCCCTACAGGTAACTGGAAATATTCTGAATTTTTCTTTTTTCCAAATTGATGACTCCATACTGGGCTCTACATAGTGAATTTTTTATGTGTGTGTGGCTTATTTGTGCAAAAATCCAGAAAAGCTCTGACATGGGTTTATTCACTTGGCAGGTGCTGCCTGGAGGTCTGGGGAGTGGTCTCTGTGCTGGTCGGCACCTTCATCTTTGGGCAGAGCACGGCGGCAGCGGTCTGGGAGATGTTCTGATGGGCAGCTAGTGCCGGGCAGGAAGGGGCCCTCCGGGGGCTGACCCTACGTGGCTGCTGTATGCAGCCAGGAGACCGATGCCATTTCTTTTCCTCATAAAGATGCTGGAGAGACTGATGCCTTCTGCCTCCTTGGGCTGCTCATGGGGCTATGCGGGTTCGAAGGGTTTCTGGTACAAAGGTGAGGAAAGTTCTTATGGCCGCTGTGATAAATGACCATAACCGCACTCTGGTGGCTTAAAACAACAGATGCTTGTTGCATCACAGTTCTGGAGGCCAGGAGTCTGAAATCACGTGTCATTAGGGCCATGCTCCCTCTGTGGGCTCTAGGGGAGGCTCCCTCCTGTCTTCCCAGTTCTAGGGGTGGCCGGCACTCCTTGGCTTGTGGCTGCCTCACTCCAGTGTCTGCTCTTGTCTTCATGTGACTCTCCCCTGTGTATCCTCTGTGTCCAAATCTCTCTCTTAAAAAGATACCCATCACTAAGTGAGCTCCTCCCACCTCCGTAAGTAGTGTGATCTCATCATAAGTTGCCTGCATCTTGTATTAATTAGGACCCACAAAGATGCAATTTCCAAATAAGGTTATGTTCACAGGTTCCGGGGGTTCAACCTCAACTGATGTTTCTGGGAGACAAGATTCAATCCATAAAAGGGAGCTAGGGGCTGAGGCCCAGATAATTGGCTTTGGAGTGTCAGGATCAAGGGTGTCAGGTAAGGATACTGCACAGCAATGGGAAGCCCAGAAGGGAGTGGGAGGAGGCATGGCTGGCGATGGTGATGGACTCAAATGGTCCTTTGGCCAGGGCGCAGGAAATGCCCGAATCCTGCCCTTGGCTGTGACAGGCCCAAGGAGGTGTATGCCCGGAACACGCCACACCGCCATGCACTTGGCCCATGCCCCGTGGAGGGTGGATGACTCCAAGGAAACTGTGCTTTCCCTCCCACCAGCTGGACTCAAAGAGCCTGGAAGCCAAGTGGACTGTTGGCTCTGCAGTTCTCCCTGGTGGCCTCCCCAATTCTGGGACAAGGGGTCACACTGGCAGCAGAGAGCAAGAGGAGACGAGGTTTGCTTCTAGGGCCTGGGTAAAGAAAAGGAGGTAGCTGGGCACAGTGGCTCACGCCTGTAATCCCAGCACTTTGGGAGGCTGACGCGGGCAGATCACTTGAGGTCAGGAGCTTGAGAACCAGCCTGGCCAACGTGGTGAAACCCCGTCTCTACTGAAAGTACAAAAAAATTAGCCGGGCATAGTTGGGGGCGCTTGTAATCCCAGCTACTCGGGAGGTTGAGGCAGGAGAATCGTTTGAACCTGAGAAGTGGAGGTTGCAGCAAGCCAAGATTGTGCCACTGCCCTCCAGCCTGGGTGACAGAGCAGTATTCCATCTCAACAACAATAACAAAAAAAAAAAAAAAAAAAAAAAGAAGGAGGGTAGGATGTGGAGAGGCAGACACGGACCCAGCTGCTCCTTTGCGTCCTCCCTGGCATTGACCCTGCAGAGGCCCCGGTTGCTAGATTCAGTTCAGGCCACGCTTCTCTGCCTTGGGACATCCTCCTAGAAGCCAGCAGTGCCAGAGTCAGGGGAGGGTGGGACTGACATTTGAGGATGCCTTCTTCAGGGCAGGCAGTAGGCCAGGCCTTTCCTGCTGTCACATGGTACAATGCACGTGACCGTGCAAGGCTGGCGGTGACAGGTCCATATTTATTTCAGCTTGTCCACATGCATGAATTTTCAAAATTGAGATAAAAGGTGTATACCGTAATGATTCACTTCTTTACAGTGTACAATCCAGTGGTTTTTAGTGTGCTCACAGAGCTGTGCAGCTGCCCCAGTAATTCTAGTCCGTTTTTGTCACGCTCAGAAGAAACTTAGTGCCCATTAGCAGTTACCCCCCATTTCTCCCTCCCTCAGCTCCCAGCAACCATGCAGCTGCGCTCAGTCTCTGGGTTTGCCTGCTACGGGCATGCCCTCTGAACAGCCTCACATGTACGTGGGCCTTTGTCTCTGCCTCCTTGGACCTAGCATAATGTTTCTAGATGTGCCCATTTTACAGGTTAGGCAACTGAGGCTTAGAAAAATCCAGGCTGAGCGTCCTGCAAGGTACAGAGATCAGATCAGAACTCATTTGGGGTTAGATTCTTTTCCTTCCCACTGTACATGCCATGCTGAGGAGACATCAGAGTTGGGGGGCAGGGGTGGGAATAGGTACCTGGCCCTGGGGCTCCTGTAGCCTGGCTGCTGGGGGATGGGAGAAGTGTGGCTGCAGGTGTGGACTCTGACCCTGTGGGGGTATTGGGAGGGTACCCAGGACCCTTCTTCAATGTCTGACCAACCCCACCATGACCTGTCACACCCTATGTTCAAGGGCCACAGCATCTTCCCAGGCAAGGGCCTTGGGAATTGGGACACGTGCGGGCAGATTGCTCTATTTTTTTTTGTTGTTGTTTGTTTTTGATGGAGTCTCACTCTGTCGCCAGGCTGGAGTGCAGTGGCGCGATCTCAGCTCACTGCAACCTCCCCGTCCTGGATTCAAGCAATTCTCCTGACTCAGCCTGGGATTACAGACACCTGCCACCACGCCTGGCTAATTTTTGTATTTTTAGTAGAGACGGGGTTTTGCCATGTTGGTCAGGCTGGTCTCGAACTCCTGACCTCAGGTGATCCACCTGCCTCAGCCTCCCAAATTACTGGGATTACAGGTGTTAGCCACCATGCCAGGCCTCTTTTTTTTTTTTTTTTTTGGGAGAGGGTCTCACTGTGTTACTGAGGCTACAGTGCAGTGGCACTATCACTGCTCACTGCAGCCTCCAACTCCCAGGCTCAAGTAATCCTCCTTCCTCAGCCTCCTGAGTAGCTGGGACCACAGGCATACACCACCATGCCCAGCTAATTTTTGTGTATTTTTTTTTTTTTTATAGAGTCAGGGTCTTACTTTGTTTGCCCAGGCTGGTCACGAACTCCTGGCCTCAAGCAGTCCTCCCACCTCGGCCTCCCAAAGTGTTGTAATTACAGGCATGAGCCACTGCACTGAGCCCAGATTGCTGTAATGGAGAATTTATCACCCTGGAGTGAGAGGTGAGGCTGAATAGTCATTCATTTCTTATTTATACCTGCCTGCTTCCTAAAGGGCTCTGTGACCCTGGCCAGGAAGGCTGGGGCTGTGCTAGTACTATTTATGGAGAGTCCTGAGATATCAAAGTGTGGTGGGGTGAGGGTCATGCCATCAAAGAAGGCTGTGTGTGAAGTAGCTTTGGAGTTGGACCGTTGGTTTTGAACACTGGGTCTGCCATTTGCTATCTCAAAGCCTTGGGAAGTGTGTGAACCTTCTTGCAGAATCAGTTTCCCTAGCGGCAAAATGGAGCAGGGTTACTCTGTACAAAGCAGGTCTCTTGTGAGGATTAAAGACGATGATGGATCCAGAGTAGCTGATGGGATACGTCACGCACAGTGGAGACCCAAGCAATGTAGCTTTATTCCCAGAAGACCAAGGTCGTGATTGGCAAGGGGTACCTGAGTTTCCTGGGAGCCAAGGGGAAATGGGAAGTATGAGGAGGTGAGGACTCATCCCAAAGCAAGAAAGCACCTCAGGAGGCAAGTGCACTGGCACTCAATGCTAAGAGGTGATAGCGGGGCTCTTTAAGGGGTGACTGAATATCACTCATCAGGACAAAGGCTTCTGTCTCGATTCTATGACAGGTCGATGTGATCCTCCTATGACTGTCTGCAAATTATCATAATGCAAGGACGCAGCTCATGCAATCACAGTGGTAGAAGCTGGGATGTCACCTTCCAGCCAGATGTCCTCAGGGGCCAGGTGACAATGTGTAGGGCTTCCAGCACATGGGCTCTGGGGCTGGCAGATGACTTGACTCTGCCTGCCACTTACCAGCTGTGTGGCCTCAGCAAAGCCTGTTCCTAGGGTGGTGACTGCAGGAAATCCCTGCCAGTGCTCTCCTCTGCCTCAGCACCCTTCCTCTGGATGTTTTCCAGCCTCCCAGTTCAGACCTTTTTGTCCTTTTCCAAAATGAAGCTGTGGACAGCCCCTCCCTCCCAGGATGGCTGAGAGTCTGAGCTGAGGTCCCTCCAAAGCCCTCGACACAGAGTGTGTCCTGTTGCAGCACCTGGCCAAGGATGACAGCTGTGTGTCAGTGGAGAGTCAGAAGTAACAGCTTTGAGCATGGCCCGGTGATGCTTCATAGTGCAAATGCCTTGTGCTCCTGCTCTGAGCATGGTAGGCTGCAGGGGAGACCTCTTTCCCTTGGCTCAGGGGCCCAGCCCAGGGCACTGCTGGCCCTAAGCACCTCAGGAGGAGTTGCCCACCCACAGATGCCTCCCGGGGACAAGTGGCAGGTTTTGAACCGGGCCTGGTGAGTATGCAGCTCTACCGGCTAAGTACAGATGGTGAACTGTTTTTGAGAGTGATTTGAGATTCTTAAACATTGAAATGCAACTCACATAGTGTAAAACTAACCATCTTAAAGCATAGGATTCAGTGGCCTTTAGTACATTTGCAATGCTACGTCACCATCACTTCCCTCTAGTTCTAGAACATTCCATCCCGAGGAAAGCCCCCTGCCCATGAGCTGTCCCTCCCCTTTTCCTCTTCCCCATCCTCGAGGCAGCCACTCTGTGCTTTCTGTCTATGTGGATTTGCTTATTCTGGACGTTTCATGTAAGTGGAATATTAGATGCCGTCTGTTGTGTCTGCCTGCCTTCACTCAGTGTGGGGTTTTCGAGTCACCGACGGCCCAGTCCTTCACTCCTGTTGATGACTGAATGATAAACTGTTTGGAGAGACTGCATTTGTTTACGCCTTCATCGGCTGATGAGTATTTGGATAGTTTCTACCTTGTGGCTGTTGTGAATAGTGCCGTCATGAGTACATGCACCGAGTGAGTGAGTGGATGGATGCCTTTTCCATTTCAGGCAGAGTATATCCCTAGAAGTGGAATTGCTGGGATACAGTACTTCTATGGGATACGGTACTTCGCCATTAGCATTTGGAGGAACCTGATTCTGATCTTAATGGGTTAATCTGAAGCCGTTCTTCCTCACGGGTTGATGCTGTGTGGCGCAGGGGTTAGGCACAGAACTCTGGGTTTGGATCTGACTTGAGCCACTTACTTGCTGTGTGACCTCTGGTGAGTTGCTTGCCCTCTCTGTCTCCATCTCCCCACCTGCCAAGAGCAGGACAGCATAGGGGAGCATGGAGGGAGATGGGCCTGTCAAGTGCTTGACTGTGCCAGGCTCTGAAGTGTGAATTAAGCGGGAGCTCTTAGAGCTTTTAGGGTTGAAACATGTTCTTGTCAGAGCCCATCCCCGGCCACTCAGGTTCTGAGGGGGCCCCTGAAGGCTTTCAGTGCACGTGGGCTGCAATCAGCAGAGATATCACCCCCCATGGAGGCCTGGGCAGATGTGACATGTGGGAGGGGAACAGGCCCGGCTAAAGGAGGTTCCTCAGTTGTACCCCAGAAAGCCTTAGCCCCTGAGAATGTTGTTCTTAGAATAGCTGAGGTGGTTGGAATGTACCAGTCTTGTGGGTGGGGCAGCAGGAGCCTGTAAGTGGCATTCTCGTGCGCCAGGCAGTGAAGCCCCTGATCCTTCAAGGGAGGGGTCTTTTCCCCACATTACAGGTGAGAAAACAGGCCCTGAGAGGCTGGTATAGGGACATTCAGCTTGGAGACATACAGATGGTTCTTGAACCCCTTTTCTTTTCCTACAAACTCATGTCGTGTTTTGCTGGTTTTGCAGCGGCAGGCATCACACCCCGCAAGGAGGTGGCAGTACCCAAGGGGCAGGGACCTGCCCTGGGAGCAGGGTTTCAAAGCTCCCGGCAAGCACAGGGGGCTGGACAGTGTGGGCAGGGACCTTGCTGGGTGGTGAGTGTTAATAACCACATGTGGCACTGGCCAGCCCTCCAGGCTCTGTGCCTGAGGTAGAAAGGTGCCCATTCTGGGTCCTGCCCCTTCCCCTCAGGGCTCCCACCTGTGCCCTGGCCTGTGGTCTTGGCTCTGCCCTGTTTTAGGAGAGGGACCCACCATTCTCTTTGTCCTTTGAACTTTTGTGATTTTTTTTTTGAGACAGTCTCACTCTGTTGCCCAGGGTGCAGTTGTGTGATCTCTGCTCACTGCAATCTCCACCTCCTGGGTTGAAGCGATTCTCCTGCCTCAGCCTCCCAAGTGGCTGGGATTACAGGCGTGTACCATCATACCCAGCTAATTTTTATATTTTTAGTAGAGACGAGGTTTCACCATGTTGGCCAGGATGGATTCAAACTCTTGACCTCAGGTGTTCCACCAGCCTCGGCCTCCCAAAGTGCTGGGATGACAGCTTGAGCCACTGCACTGGGCTGTGAGTGACTTCTTTCCTGCTAACCCGGACTGAGAAATAGGAAGAAGTTACAAAGCTTCCAGAATAAGACTTAAGACATGATTTCCAGTTGATAGGCGGGGTCTCCTGCTGTGTTGAATGGCTAATGCACAGACGTGCCGGGAGGCATTCACCCGTCCCTGGAGCGTCCTGCCTGGTGACAGTGTCTGTGTTGAGCCACACTGCGTGGTCTGGGCCAACCATGTGATTTATGGTGGGGTGTTGAGCCATGAGGTGTCAGCGTGTATGCGTCACCGAACCCCAGTAAGACTCAGGACTGCATCCCTGATTGGTGATGCTCTATCAGCATTGAAGCTGGGAGGGTTCAGTGCTATGGGCCTTTACTGGTAGCCCCGTGCCTGGCCCCCCACTCCGGGAGCCTCTTTCTTTGCTGGATTTTGTCTGTCTGTCTGTCATCTACCTACCTTGACCGTGACTTTGACAGTTGTGCCCAGTCCTTTGAATTACTGACCTGAGGGTAGGTGTGGTGCTGAGCTCCTGAATAGGCATGAGCCTAGTTCCCAAATACCGCATAGAGTGACCACCACCATTTCATGGTTCAGAAAACTGAGGCTGGGAGCACTTGAAGGGTCCCTGGCCCCCTGCTGTTGTCAACCAGGAAACAGACACAGAGCACACAGCTCTTCCCAACCAGGGTTTATTTGGCGCCTGGGCACAGTGGTGGCTACCTGGCTAGGTTGGGCACTACAGGGGCATGACTCCTACTAGGTAGAAGAATGTCACCGAAGAGGGCAGGGTGTGGTCAGTGTGGGTCATGCGTGGCCATGTGAGGGGTAGGGGAGAGGCCAGGACCAGGAGGCAGGGGTGCTGGCTCCAGGAAGCCGCCCCCTTCAACCTTGGGCTTCACCAGGACCTGGCAGCACAGACACTGCTCTGCCTTCTCAGGTGGGGGCAGGGGCGGCCTCCTTCACTTAACAACAGGGAAACACCTTCTTGTGGAGGATGGATTGAAAAGAAGCTTCTGCACCAAAGTGTCTGTCTAGAAAAAAACGGGATTTCCTTCACAAGAAGAAGGGGCTGGTGGGCTCCTCCACGGGCCTCTGGGAGGCTGTCAGTCCCGTCCCACCGTGCACCAAGCAGCTAAAAGGAGAGAGACACGTTAGAGGGAAGGAGTGCGAATGTGGGCAGCCTCGTAGCTGGTGGTGGTCGTCTTGAATGACAGGTCGGGGGATGGCTTTGAGTCCTTGTGTGACACACAGGTCCTTGCTGGTCACCCAGGTGCAAACCACACACCTGGGAAGGGAAATTCAGTCTGGCTGGAAGTAGGGGGCCGTGGAGGGGGTGCTCTGGTGCAAGCTCTGGCAGGCATACCTGTATGTGGGGCCACCTCAGGGCTGGCTCTGAGCCTGGCATTGGTGGCAGGAGCTGACAGTGGGCCCACAGCAAGCAGGCAAGTCCCCGGGAGATATGGGGCAGCCTCTAGGCTCTTGCCCTTCTCTCCAGTCAGGTGGCCACTGCAGTTCCAGGCCTTTGCCCCCTACCTGGCACCAAGATCCTGGAGAGGGCCTCAGGCTGGCTCAGTGTGTCCACCTTGACGTGCCGGAACGCCTTACACAGGGGGCTCTGCAGGTGCCTGTGACGCAGGGACATGTGTGAGTCAGGGGTGGCAGGAGTGGAGCTCCGCGTGTGGCTCCCCTGTTAATCCTAGCTCTAGCCCAAAATGGGGAGCTTATCAATAAGCACGGGGGGTCTTTGGACTCAGAGCCTTTGTGGGAAGGTGAGGGGGTGCCCAGGGAGGCTGACTCTGGGGTGGGCAGTGAGCTTCTCTTTTTCCCTGTGAGCTATAAATGGGCAGCGGGATCCCCCCACTCATTGCACAGAGCCTCTACCTCCCCCTTTACCCTAGCAGGAGGAGTGGGGCCATCCTCTGCCTGGGACCCATGACAACACAGAAGCTGCGAAGGCTTTTAGTCCCTCGTTTTATGAGTCACTGAAGTACGGACAGGGAGGGGACACTCTCACTTCTCATGACCGCCCCTGTTCCCACTGGGGTCCTGAGTTTGTCAGCAAACCGTGAGTGTTTACCAGGGAAGCAGGAGATGGGGGCATGGGCTACCCCTAGGCCCCGCTTCCTGCCTGTGGGGTCTGGCGCATCAGCAATAGTCTCCACCCTCTCCCAGATGTGTGCTGAGCAGAGGACAAAGGCCTAAGGCCCATCAGAGCTGCTGACACCCTACCCCATCTCCGTCCCTCGTACCGGGCACTCAGCTGGAGGGGAGGTTAGTCGCTGGAACAATTGATCACATGGGGACTGAGTCACCTTCTAGGTTAGGCCCTCAACTCTACAGGGTGGTAAAGAAGGCAGTGCCTCGGCCCCCAGGGCTGTTCCAGGAGGACAAGGTGCTCTAGGGGCACAGAAGCAACCCTGGGGAAAGCAGGAAAGCCCAGCTGAGTGTGGTGGGGGCTCTCACTACCCACCAAGAGCTCCTGCCTCCACCAGGGTTTACTGACGCAAGCATGCCAGCGGGTAGATGCCTCGGGAATCTGCTGACTGGACTCGGCCTTACCCTCCCCTCCAAGGATGCCTGGCTCCAGGAAGACAGCCCCCCCACTTCCCTCTGTCTCCCTCACCTGCTGTGGGGACCCAGCATCTCACCTCTTCCACGCCTCCTCTGTCTCCCAGAACTCATAGATGACAAAGGTGAAGCCATCTGAGAGCCTCACGGCAGTGATGCTGCAACAGGAGATGGTCGGGGGGAGGAGGCTGGAGCTCAACCAAGGCCACCTCAGTGCTGTTCCCCTGGGGTGGCCTGAGACCCACCACTATACACAACGGCTGCCTTCAATGTTTCTTCCTGTCTTGACCTCCATCGAGACTCGACAGGGTGACCCCAGCACAGGGAATAAGGCCTGGCTTCTTATAGTGGCCAACAGCTATTTATTAAATAGAATCAATGCAGTGTAGTTTTTCTTTTGAGATAGGGTCTCACTCTGTTGCCCAGGCTGGAGTGCAGTGGCACAATCACTTCAGCCTTCCAAGTAGCGGGGACTAGAGGAGTGCACCACTCGGCCTAATTCAAAAACTGTCCCAATAGAGATGGGGTCTTGCTATGTTCCCCATGCTGGTCTTTAACTCCTGGGCTCAGGCTGTCTTCTCACCTTGGCTTCCCAAAGTGCCAGGATTGCAAACTTCAGCCACTGTGCCCAGCTGAAATGTCATGTTAAAGTGTGAACATTTATTTAAACAAAACCAGGTGGCTGGATGTGATGGTTCACGCCTGTAATCGCAGAACTTTGGGAAGTCTTGAGGGGTCGAGGCAGGTGGATTACGTGAGGTCAGGAGTTCAAGACCAGCCTAGCCAACATGGCAAAACACTGTCTCTTTAAAAAAAAAAAAAATAAAACTTGCTGGGCCTGGTGGCACATCCCTGTAATCCCAGCGATGCAGGACACTGAGGCATGAGACTCATTTAAACCCTCTGGTGAGAGGTTGCAGTGAGCTGAGCTTCCACTACTACACACTCACTCCTGCCTGGACAATAAAGCAAGATTTGGTCTCAAAAAACCTTTAAAAATCAAAAAACCTTTAAAAATCAAAGCATCTTCCCTCTTCTTCCTTCTACTTGTCCTCTCATTTAATCCTTGCAACACCCCCACTGCACTGTACCTGACCTGACCAAAGGAGGCTGAGGGGAGGGGGTGCTGGGCCACAGAGGAAGGGGCTGCAGGCAAGTCCCCCATTGCTCTATGGGACCCAGGGGCCCGCACTCACGTCATTTTAAAGGTGCTGATAGTCTATGCCGCCCCAGAATCCTCTCTGCAAGTGCACTACAATGAGGAAGCCCCAAGTGACCATAAAGCGGGGGCCAAAAGCTGGGGAGGAGGGGCTACAGTGCTCAGCCTAGAGGAAGGGGCCGGGCTGGATTCCATCTTGGGGTGGACACACCTCCGTGCAGCTTTAGGTGCACCATGCCTGGGAAGTAGAATCTCACCTGGCTCTCCAGGCTTGCCGTCTCCAACTCGACAAACCAGAGCCTCTACGTCCACCGTGCCTCCTCTCCACAGCGCATCGGGGTGGCCCTACTTCACCCTGGAGCCTCCCACTTATTCACGTAATGGAAAAAGATCAAGTCTGGCCCCTGCTCCTGTGCAGTCTGTCCTCCTGGAGTGGAGTGGGTCCTGCCCCCCCATCCTGGCTACTTACTCAAGAATGGCCCCTCGTGGCCACGCCGAGTCTCGGGAACGGCCGCACTCCTGCCCAGGCTACTCCTCCCCTCGTGCTACAGGTCAGGCTGTTGTCACTCAAGCCTCAGTGCACAGGGGGCCCAAGAAGACCCCTCTCAAAGACCCTGTGCTAGGACCTGGCCTGCCTGGTTCACAGCCATGTCCCCAGGCAATGGGGTGAATGAGTGTGTGCTCTGGGGATGGAAGAAAGCCCTGGGAAGGGAGTTGGGCAGAGCCTTGCTGCAGAAACGGGGGGCGGGGGACCACTACCAGCAAGAACAAAGGGCTGTTGTCTTCTGCAACCCCCTCCACTCTGGCCCTGGCCACATGCCTTAGCTTTACCAAGGAGCTACATCAGCCTGGTGGGATGAACAGGAATTTGAAGGTAAGGCCGCTTGCCCCGCCCTGGACATCTCAGCACATCAGGGGGAGAAGGGCAACTACATGACTTGGGCATTTCCCTTCAGCTACCGACTCTCCTCTCCTTCCTCAGTGGTTAACTGAGCAAATACTACATTCTGGGCCTGGACTTAAGTGTGCAGGAACCCCTGTGACAGCAGCAGCTGAGGCTGACTGAGCGCACGGGGCACACCAGGCCCAGCTGGAGCCCTTCACACTTGAGATTCACACACTTGATTGTATATGCACTCATGATCACCCCAGCAAGGAGTCCTGGGGGTGGTCCCCCCTTTACAGATGAGTAAGCTGATGCCAGGGAGATGAAGACACCTGCCACATTTGCTTGGCTGGGAGGAACCTCAGTAGAGACCTGAACCCACTTCTTACGCATCCAGCTGTGTGTGTCCCTGGGGTGCAACTTGTACTACTTAGGGCAAAGCCTAGTCCTGCCCTGTTCCTCCACTGCCAGGCAGAGCTCCCTGCCACCATCCCACCCACGCCTCGGCAGCTCACTCACTGGAAGCAGTTCCTCACGCCAGTGGTCCCCCGCAGATACTGGCGCAGAGAGTCCAGAAACTCGCTCAGTTGCTCGGGGCACACGGCCATCTCCTGCCGGACCAGCTGCAGGTGCTGCCGGGCACAGCAGGAGTCAGTGTGGGGCTCCACGTCAGGCCTTCTCCCTAAACACCCCATCAGGCCCCCATGACCTCCCTTCCTCGGTCAAAATAAAATAACCCTCCCCCACTTTTCATTCTTACCCATGAATGGATAAGAATGGACTAAAAATGGGCTAAGAAAGGACTAGAACCTCAAGAGCCCAGTGCAGAAGTAGCCCCCAAAAATGGGGAAAACAGACGAGGTTGTTTACAGAGGCCCCATCCATGTCCACAACCACCTGCACAGCCTCCAGGGCCTGGAGACACAGCACATCCACTGACAAGAAAAACTCATAGTTGATGGACTCAGCATTTTCACATCACTGTCTGGCTGATCACTTTGCTCTATGCCAAACCTTTTTTGGATCAAAGTCCAGGAGCCTCTGGGCCAGGTGTGGTGGCTCACGCCTGTAATCTCAGCACTTTAGGAGGCCAAGGTGGGCAGATCATGAGGATAGGAGTTTGAGACCAGCCTGACCAACATGGTGAAACCCTGTCCGTCTCTACTAAAAATACCAAAAAAATTAGCCAGGCGTGGTGGCACACACCTGTAATCCCAGCTACTCAGGAGGCTGAGGCAGGAGAATTGCTTGAACCCAGGAGGCAGAGGTTGCAGTAAGCCGACATCCCACCACTGCACTCCAGCCTGGGAGATACAGCAAGACTCCATCTCAAAAAAAAAAAAAAAAAAAAAAAAAAGGTCCAGGGAGCCTCAAGAAATACCCCCGGAGTTGGTGGGGTGGCTCCTGTGCCAGGGCAGGGTCTGGGTGCCAAGCGCTGGGCGACATCTCCCCTCCTGGTGGTCCCAAGCAGGGAGAGCGGGGTCAGGGGCATTGAGCCACTTGGATCTTGGCAGTCCTGGCATGGGTAGGGATGTGGTCCCAGAAGAGAGGTGGGAAGGGGCCTCACCATGTTGGTGCCATCTTCATCTGACAGGCGCTGCTGCAGGTCGAACCACAGTGCCTGAAACAATCCAGCACACAGTGATGCTAGACCCAGAGCCCCACTCCGCCCCGGGGAGCCAGGAGCTCTGGGATCCCTGGGGCTGTTGGGAGCTCCCAAGGACCCGGCCCTGTTGCACAGGGCTGGGAGACCAACGCTAGGAAGTGGCAGAGACTCCCTCTGGCCTACAGGGGGCCTAGAACATGTTGCTGGGGTGAGGATGGCTTGGGAGAGGCAGCAAGGGGGACTCCAGAGGCCTGAGTCCAAGATGCTGGGGTTTGCCACTATGATGAGCAACAGCCCTTAGATTCCCTGTAACTTATAATTCACCCCAAATCATAACCCCCAGCACCTCAGGGATCTAATGGGGTGAACTGTTCTCTCTGGTCTTCCCCAGACTCTAAGCTAGATGGTTTACAAATACACAATCTTCCAGACTCCCCAGGGAAGGTGCTGCCCCACTGTAAGTTTCGGTCTCCAGGAACCACATCTGCTCTGTTCGCCCACGACTGGTGCCCACACAGGGCTGAGCCCCCACAGAAGATCAACAGTCACTATGTCACGGCAGAGAACCCCGGCTCTGAAGGCACGAAAGCCATGTAAGTGTCAGAGCGTGGGTCTGAACCCAGTGTGTCTACCTGACGCACAGGCTCATGCTGCTGCTTCCTTCAGCTTGGGCACCCCACTAACCACCTCTGTGGCTATCTCTGTCCATCCTCCATGAGGACAGACCATCTACGGGAGTCACACAGGGCAGCCACAGGTAAAGCACGCCAGCTAATAAGGAAAACAGCAGCAGGTGGATGAGTCTGTGTAGTCACCACCGTGACGTTCTAAATGTTTGAGCAAGGGACCTTGCACGCTCATTTTGCACTGGGCTCTGTAGTAGCTGATCCTGGCAAGGGTACTGCCTTCTGGGGGCACACAGCATGAACACGCCTTGGTAAGTGGTGAAGGTGTGCCTGGCAGGAACAAGTCTGTTTCCATGGTTTTACAAGCATACGTGAGGGGTCCTGGGGCTGGAAAAGCCATAGGAGGATGAGGAGAGGCACTGTGGCCCCTGTATCTGCCCCATTCTTCTCCCAGCCAGGGGCCCCTAGAGCCTCCATCCTTCCAGCCCAGAGGCAGCTCCGGTTGGCCGGTGAAGGGCGGGGCCTGAAGCCAGGCCCGGATTGGCCCCTGCTGACCGCCCGGGCCAGTTAGAGGCTGGGGAGGAGGACCTGGTCCCACCCCGTCTCCAGGACGCCCAGGTACTCCGTGGTTACCAGCCAGCCTGGTTGTTAGGGCGACGGTGCTCTAAAAATAAGCTTCAGAGTCTCCCTCCCGAGGCGCCCGCTGAGTTGTTATGACAACCGGGCCACGGGGTCCCCTCCGAGCCGCTCCCGCAGCTGGCTTCAGGAAGGGGGTAACTCCACCTCAGCCTCATCCCTGCAGGAGGGGAAGTTTGAGCTTCCTCCCTCGGACTTCATTCCACGTCAGCCTCTGTCTCCCTCCATGCGGGGAGCCCCTTGTTCCTGCCCCCATGAATGCCTGAGAACCCCCAAACTAAAAGTAGCAATACCCTTTACAAAGGGTGTAAAAAAAATACACAAAAGTAGGAGAAACATAAAACCACCTCAATCCCAGGGTTCTGAGAGCTCAGTTACCTTGGCTTATGTGGGTATACGGGTGTGCTGTGTGCATGTGGATAGGTTTGGGTAACAGAATGCCTCATAATAATTGCTAACATTGCTAATATTAAATGCAAGCTACAGCACCGGGCCCTGTGCTAAACCGGAGACATCATTTTGGTTCATCCTAACGACACCCCTATGAGGGAGGGGTCCCATGCTCCAGGTTATTTTCTTGATTATCAGAGGAGGAATCTAAGCCTCAGAGAGGACAAGTCCCTGGCCCAGGGTCACACAGCTATGAAGTGGCACAACCAGAATTCTGACTGATACCTGAGCCCATCTGTCTGTAGGCCCTAAGACAAACTTTTCTTTCCACCAAATGGTCATATTGTGAGCACTCTATCCCGAGTCACGAAACATTATCTGAAAATGTTTTCTGTAAGGGCTGTGCCATTTTCTATCACCTGTGGACGTCCCATATCACACTTAATACATTTGCTACTGCTGGTCACTTCCTTCCTTGTTTTGAAACTCTCTCGAATCATCACGTCTCTCTTTCATCCTGGTGCTGCCTTTCGGCCAATATCTGCTCCAGCCACTTCAGAGCAAAGTCTCCTTGAAGCTAGGGCCTTGCAACACGGGACCCTGCTGACCACCCTCTGCTCCTGGAGCTGCTCCTGCTGCCTGCAGGCCCGCCTGACCCCCCAACACTCTCTCTTCCCAGGCGCCCCTCCTTGGGCCTGAACAACACGAGCATCCCCCGGGGTTTGATCCTTAGCTTCGTCCTCGGCAGCTCCACGCCCCACCTGGGGGATGTCTTTTTCATGGTTCCCTGGCCCCTCTGCAGCCCAGACTTTTGTCCTGAACTCCAGGCTTAACTCTGCACTCCCTCAGGGGTTGGAAGGAGTAGACGCCGTGGTCAGGCCAGGGCTTACTTTGCTCTCCAGCCTCCCAATCAGCTCTGCCAAGCGGCTGATCTGGGCTTCCAGACCCTCTTCCTTTGCATCCTCCGTGGCTGCGGTAGAGAAAGAGACACACAGACTTCAGTGGTGGGCAGGACGAGGGCTTCGGGGGGAAGCTGGAAACATCCAGCCCCTCCAGGGGCATCAAACTTGCTCATCTCCCCAGTCCCTGTCAGAGGACTCTCAGAACTCCTCGGGACCCCCAGCTGGTACCCCCACCAGGGCCCCCGCTTTCTCTCACCAGATGGAAGGGTCTTGCCTTGTTCCATAGCCATGAGCTTGTGGTTGGGGGCAGAGGCGGGAGTGGGGCTTCCACACCAGGTCTGTGCCGCGCTGTGGCTGGGTTTGATGTGGTTCTGTCTGCAGTTTGGATGGGAACACACACAGACCATGGCGGTGGCTTCAGGGCCCTTACCACTTCCAGCATCTTCCACAGGCATTTATTACGCAAGACAGTGGACTCACACATGCACAGAACTTGCATCATGGCCTTTGTTTTGACAGAGGAGGAAATGAGGTTCTTAAAGCAGGTGACTCAGCCAGGGCCACGCAGCTAGCTGGGCAGAGCTGGGATTCGAATTCAGCTCCATTCTAGGACCCCACGGCCTAGGCCTTTTCCCCAAGAGATTCAGTTCCAGAGTGAGGCTGAGCCAGGGACCCACCCCCACTCTAACAGCTCGAAGCTTTCGGGCACGTGTAGAGCCCAAGCTGTGGAGTGACCAAGTCCCCCTCCCTCCCTCATGATAGGCCCATTTAATGTTTGGTGCCCTCTGGGGTGGGGGACCTGGTTTCAAGACCCCCCTCCAACACATACACATAAAAGCGAGACCTAAAGAGACACTGACAGTCGGGATGTAACAGGACAGAAACTGTGATCCTGACCTGGGCCTGGCCCCATCTCCCGGCCCTGGACACCCCTCTCCTGTGCATACTCATGTGCATACACACCCCTGCGTGCCCTGACAGGCACAGCTAGCCACAGGCAGAGGCAGACACACACACACACACACACACACACACACACACACACACACACACACAGCTCACCTTGCACTGTGTCCAGCACATAGTAGGGACTCAAAAATGCTCAATGAATGACCAAATCCTCCCATGCAAAAGGATGCTGAAAAGCTCCTGGCAGACATACAGAAACACAGACACTCCCCCAGAAGACACACAGAGTGCCCTGTGCACGGCCCCAACACCCGCTTGGTCTCTGTGCATCGCGGTCTTGGTGCATTCTGGAATTTGTCTCTTGTGAACCTTGAACACTCCGCCAGGCTCTCCCCCTTGCGGAGGGAGCAAACTCGACTCCCGCCTTGGGAGGGGAGAGGCTGGCAGAGTCTTTATGGTGTCAATCATGGCTTCTCTATAAACCAGCAGGAAATTAAATGTATCCCTCAGACCATGACGGGTTGCTCAGGGCTCCCGGGTGGTGGGGTCTGAGCCAGTAGCCTGTGCTAGAGGTGACATCCTGGGAGACTGTCCTGGGGCTGGGAAACAGGATAGTCCTCAGGGACCCACAGCCTAGAGCCAAACTAGCTGAGATTTGGGGAAGTTCGAGGGAGGGGCATGTGTGGAACAGAGGTATCACGACAAGCTGCCCCGTCTGACAACATCCCCAAGTAAGGTCCCCACCATGGGGGCAGGTGGGTGTAACTGCTGACGCGTGATGGAGCTGACCCAGTGTGGGAAGTCTGCCCTGAAAACTGCGCAGCCATACTATCTGTTCTGCGGCAGGAGAAAAACAGCAAGTTTTTCATCAAGATAGTAACAGGAAAACCCAGGAAATCTAAGTGTCAGCTTTTTTCACAGCGATGGCTGCTAATTCTGGGGCACCCAAGAATCACAAGACTGACCACATGTGCAGAGTTCTGGGCTCCAGTCCAGGGATTCTAGCCAGTGAGTATGGCCAGGAGCCCAGGAATGTGTATTTTAATTTTCCCAGGTGATTCAGCGCAAATGCTCAGATCAAACTCATTTGGGAAACAGTGTCTCAGAGTTACCTTCACAATCATGTCTGATCAGGACCAGCTCTTCAACTACGAAGAAACACACGATCAAACCCCAGTCCCCCAGCAAACCAATATCCTGGTCCTGAGGTACCTCTCTGCCTGGAAAATTAAGGGCTCAATCGAGCTTGGGTGCCGACACCTGGCTGTTTCCCTCATCTGTTTGCATTTTCTCTTTTTCTTCTGTGTCAAGCACATCAGCTGTTCTGGGAAGAACTGAGCAAAGAAGGGTTTTTCTCAATTTGAAACAGCAAATGGAGGTGGGCGGGGGGACGGGTGCTCGTGTTCCCCGGGAGATGGGACTGCTGAGCCACGAGAATGTCGCTCCTCTCTAAATACCAGGTCACACCCCTAACACAGCAGCCACCACCTAGGATGGGACCCCAGATGCATTCCCATGGTTCCAAGCACACAAACAAGGCCTAACACAAGACCAGAAAGAAACACTCCTCTTTCACGTCTCTTTCAGTCCTCCTGAGAAACTCTCAACTTGCTACTACTGTCTTCAACACCTCTCTGATTTCCCCCCAGTCTCTCTTTTTAACAGAGAGGTGGCAAGCCTCAGGATTCAAGCTGGATCGTAAACAATGACAGGTGCTTATTTTTACAGTTACTTCACTTACGGCATGTGATGCCGAGAGTGCAGTTATAACCATATGCCATTTCCTAAACTGCTTTCTAATTTTCAAAAGTGGGCTGGGGTGTGGTGGCTCCTGCCTGTAATCCCAGCCCTTTGGAAGACTGAGACAGCAGGATTGCTGAGACCAGGAGTTTGAGAACAGCCTGGCCAACATGGCGAGACCCCGTCTCTACAAAAAAAAAAAAAAAAAAAATAGCTGGGTGTGGGTGGGACTACATGCCTGTAGTCCCAGCTCCTTGGGAGGCTGAGGTGGGAGAATTGCTTGAACCTGAGTTGGAGATTGCAGTGAGCCACAATGGTGCCACTGTACTCCAGCCTGGGGGACACAGCAAGATTCTGTGTCAATAAATAAAATAAGGCCGGGCTCCATGGCTCAAGCCTGCAATCCCAGCACCTGGAGGCTGAGGCGGGTGGATCACCCTAAAGACCAGCCTGGCCAACATGGTGAAACCCCATCTCTACTAAAAATACAAAAATTAGCTGGGTGTGCTGGTGGGCATCTGTAATCCCAGCTACTAGGGAGGCTGAGGCAGGAGAATCGCTTGAACCTGGGAGGCGGACGTTGCAGTGAGCTGAGATCTCGCCACTGCACTCCAGCCTGGGTGACAGAGCAAGACTCGATCTCAAAAAAAAAAAAAAAAGAAAAGAAAAGAAAAGGAAATAGAAAAAGAAAAAAGAACGAATGAGAGAAAGAGAGAAAGAAAGAGAGAGAGAGAAAGAGAAAATAGGCTAGCTGTGGTGGCTCACACCTTTCATCCCAGCACTTTGGGAGGCTAAGGCAGGTGGATCACGTGAGGCCAGGAGTTCAAGACCAGCCTGGCCAACATGACAAAACCCCGTCTCTACTAAAAATACAAAAATCAGCCAGGCATGGTGTTACACACCTGCAGTCCCAGCCACTCAGGAGGCTGAGGCATGAGAATTGCTTGAACCCAGGGAGGGAGAGGTTGTAGTGAGCCAAAATCACGCCACTGCACTCCTGGGCGACAGAGCGACACTTTTTGTCTAAAACAAAAAAATAAATAAATAAATAAAACGTGGGCCAAACAACAGAATAGTTCTGCATAAACAATTAGCATGTGGATGCAGCAAAACAAATTAGAGTCTGGGAAATGGTGTCTTCACTGTATTAATAAATATGTACACCAGGCATTCTCCTGAGCATTTACTATCTCATTCAATCCTTGCAATGGCTGAGATTTTAGGTATATAATTGTGCCTATATTACATAATGGAGCACCAAAGGCACAAAGAGCTGTGGCAACTTGCCCAAGGTCACCCAGCTCTTAGGTACACAGACATCCCCACCAAGCAGCAGGTGGGCACGTGCGCGTGCACGGCATACCCCCATGGGACCCTGCAGGGTCTCAGAGACTCACCGGAGCTGGCTGGTCTGTTCCTCGATGGCCTCCACCGCACTCTCCACTGAGCTCAGCAGCGACTGGATCTGATTGGCCGTCTCCTTCAGGAGGAAGCGGGTCACAAACTGGTCCACGTTGCTCCCACCCTCATATACCTGTGGAAGGAAGAGAAGAGGCACTGAGGGGAAAGGGGTGGGAGGGAAATTGGAGGTGGGGTCTAGCACAGGAGTTGGGGGAAAGCTGGTGCTGGTGAATTTGCTTTGCAAAGGGAAGGGAGGACCCCACGGCCTCCTGGGGTCCAGTCTTAGAGGCTGTAGCATTTCCAACGCAGAGGCTAGAGGTTTAGAGACCAAATTTGAACCCTGGCTTCACCACTTACTAGCTCTGTGACCTCCCAGAGTATAATGGGGTCACTGAAGCATCTATCTTACAAGGTTGTAGCGAAGATTAAACAGCAACATGCGTGTACAATGCTCTGCACAGGGCCTGCCACACAGCAAAGACTCAATCAACAGTAGGTGCTACAATATAGATGACGGTGATGGTGGCAGTGATAGTGACTGGTAGTTTTGTTGTTGCTGTGACAAGGATAATGATCAGGCAAGAAGAATCCACGACCTTCCCTCCCTCCTTCCTCCTGCAAGGAGGATTCCTAGGGCTCCTGGATCTCCAGGCTGCTACTAAGGAAAATGACAAAACGGAATCAAAAGCAGCTGAAGGGAGGAAAGTGCCCGGGGCTTAGTAATCAAAAGGAGGTGGCCAGAGAGGAGCCTGGGGGGAAATCAGAGAGGGAGTCTTAGCGGAACTCTGGGGAAAAGACGAAAAAGAAAGTTTTTTCCAAGTTTTGCTCTGTGGTGTGGAACAGAATTTCCACCTCTGTCCTGAGATTCTGCAAGGACATTTCTCAAGGCTTTTGGATCCAGTGGAGATGCTTTGGGCTGCAAAGACTTTACAGCAGAAGGGAGAAAGCTCTGCTTACCCACGTCGCTCAAGGACGGGATGATGAAAATGATGCTGTGTTGGGGGATCTTGGGTCTCCCAAACCCTGCCCTGCTCTCCTGGCCTCCTCTGCCAAGACCCCGCCTTCCCAAGCCACCTGCCCCAGGCACCTTGGATTTCTGCCCAGTCCCTGGCAAGGCAAGGAAAAACAGGGCTCTCAAGGAAAGCAAATTAAACCATCCATCACTCTGACTGGGAATTAATTAGCAATAATTGCACAATGGGAAACACGGCTGACAGACAGACTGAGAAACAGAGGAGGAGGAGGGGCACATGAGAAGACAGCTAAGGCGTGGTGAAGGTGGGCGACCCAAGCCACCAAGCCGACAGCCAGACCAGGGTCTGCTGGGGACAGACCCTGACAGAGTACATGGCCAAAACTATGTCAGGTTCTTACAGCTTGGCAGGTTCCCGCAGCTGAATAAATGGCAATGACCAAAACCACACATGATCCAGTGATCAACAGACTCCAGACACGCGAATGGCCAAAAACGGACATGAAGACATAACTTGGTAAAATATTTAAACACAAAGCAAAAGGCTGCTAGAAGTGATCAGCAGAAAAATGGGCTGAAGTGTGTTAAAAGCACCCGGACCAGTGACTGAAGATGTGGTCAGCGATCAATAAGTGTTACTGGTTAGCTGAATTCCAAAGAAGACAAGTTATTTTCCGGGGAGTAAAAAATGAAGCTTTTCCTGATTTCTCCTCCACAACTGAAAAGCAGCCTACATTCCCCCATGTAAAGATACAACCCCAGATTTGACACAGGGGTACACGTGCCTATTTGTTACATGGGTATATTACATAATGGGGGGGGACTGAGCTTGCCTCAGACAAGAGACCAGCTCCACAGACTCCACAGGGAAAGGCTCAGGTGGAGAAATTTTGCATCCAGTGGACAAGTTACTCATTTGTAGAACAACTGGGAGATCTCCAGAAACCTGCAAATTTCTGAAATTTTACCAGATGAGCACCTTTTCTGCAAACAATGCTTAAGAGTTTGTCCTAAGTCACTTGGGCTTGAATTAGAGAGAGTTCTTCATATGGGGAAGTTATGACAAGAACTAACAGCGATCACTCAAATTAAACATTCAGGTTACAGAGGTTAGGAAATAAAAACATTAACCACTAATGGTTTAATTTCAACTATATTGGATTTAGTCAATAAAGCATAGGGGAAAAAAGCCTAAAATCTTAAAAATTATTTTTATTCCCAAAGGGAAGAGAAAGTGTTAATTAGCTAAGTATAAAAATAGGATTAAGAATCTTAATAATAATGTATTTTTTAAAGTAACTGATGAAGTGAAAACTAGGAATTGTACATTCCAAATCATAATCCATGATATAAACAGGGCAGACCACCAAAAGGTAAAATGTAAAAGAGATGAAGAAAGCATAAAAAAAGGGAAGAATAAAACACAACAGTCAGACCGAATAAAGCAATCATAATAAAAAAGGTGGCCCGAATTCCCTTGTATAAAGACAAAGTCCCAGATCTGATTAAACAAGGTCCATCAGAAGCGCACCTAAACCAAAGCAGCACAAAGGACTTATGAAGAAAAGCCTGTGTAAAGATTCAGTAACCAACTGTGATTGAACAGCATAAGGTACAATATCACTATCAAGTTAGAATTTAAATGAGAAAGTACTGCCCAAGAAAGGTAGGAATATAATGATAAAAGGCATAAAGTTATAACAAAGACGTGCCATTATTAAATCTTCATGTACTGACACAGAATATAGCTATGGGGACTTCGATGCTTACAGCCATCTTATGTAGCCATTTTGCTCTATGTCAAGTGCCATAAACTGCTCAGATTCTTTAACCCAGTAATTCCCCAACTCTGATAAATTATCCTCAAGAAATAGTGCAAAATATGGACAACTATGTTTGCCACAAGGTATTAACTATGTAATACTCATAATAGCAAAAACTTGGAAATAATCTAATATACCTAACAAAAGAGGAAAAATAAGTACACTAAAATATTTTAAATGATGCTTTTGAAAAGTTTTAGTAACATAGGGAAAATGTTAAAAAATTAGGTAAAAGAGCAGGAAATAGATTTTTGAACACAGATTATAAATTTAAGAAATACACATAAAAAAAGGCTAAAATGTTACCAGTGGTTAGGGATAGTGGGAATTAGAAGCGATTTGAATTTTCTTTATACTTTACTCCCTAAATTTTGCATATCAACTACGTACCATTATATAACAGAAGTACTGTAACAAAAGTCTATATGCGTCAAACAACATGGCTAAAAATTAGAAAGGAAAACCATTAGAAACACAAAGATTTAATGACAAAACGCAATTTAGTATGAGAAATTAGCTAACCACTGTCTCACAGAACAGATACATTAGATAATAATAAATAAGGACGCAAAGGGCACTGTTAGAAAGAATAGTCAAAGTCTCTGAAATGGGCAAAAATGACTCTTGGGTTTCTTGTTTTTCTAAGTTTACTATTTTTTCTAGTTTATCTAAGTCTTTCCTTATTCAGGAGCTACTTTGTTTTGTTTTCCAACATTTATTTATTTGAAAGATGGATTTGAGAACTTGTTACAGGAGGGAAGCCAAGGACAGAAAGTTGGGTTTTATGTTTTATTATTTTTATTTCAGATTCAGAGGGTACTTATGCCTGTTTGTTACATGGGTATGTCATGGTGGGGGTTGCGTTTCTAGTGTACCCGTCACCCACATATTGAACATTGTACCTACGAGGTAATGTTTCAACCCTAACCCCACTCCTACCCTCCCTGGAGCAACTTTTAAAACTCTGTGGATATAGACCATTTATAATAATTCAAAGAGTTCTCTTCTGGCTGGCCATGGTGGCTTATGCCTGTAATCCCAGCACTTGGACAAGCCAAGGTGGGGAGATGATTGCTTCAGCCCAGGAGTTTGAGACTAGTCTAAGCAAAATAGGGAAACCCTGTCTCTACCAAAAAAAAAAAAAAAAAAAATTTGCCGTGAGTGGTGGCACCCACCTGTGTTCCCAGCTACTTGGAAGGCTAAAGTGGGAAGATCACTTGGGTCTGGGAGGTTGAGGCTGCAATGAGTAATGACTGTGCCACTGTACTCCAGCCTGGGCAACACAACAAGACCCCGTCTTTATCTCTTATACAGAAATGCACAGGAAGTTTGTCTGGCACTCTCCACAGGGCAATTGGTTGTTGCCCTGGGATAGTGACCATTCATGCATTTATTCACCAACTGATTTCGGAATTGCTATTTACCTATGTATTAGTGCACAAGTTCTTTCAATTCTCCTTTGAGCCAGTTCCAGTATCTTACTGATTCTCATATTGAGTTAGAGAAAATCTTTGGGCTGGGCGCAGTGGCTCATGCCTGTACTCCCAGCACTTTGGGAGACTGAGGCGGGTGGAACACCTGACGTCAGGAGTTCAAGACCAGCCTGGCCAACAGGGTGAAAACCCGTCTCTACTAGAAACACAAAAATTAGCCGGGCGTGGTGGTGCACGCCTGTAATCCCAGCTACTCGGGAGGCTGAGGTGGAAGAATCGCTTTAACCCAGGAAGCAGAGGTTGCACTGAGCTGAGATCACTCCATTGTACTCTGGCCTGGGCAACGAAAGAGAAACTCCGTATCAAAAAAGAAAAAAAGAAACAAGAAAAAATATTTGATGTGTATTTTAATACCTGCAGAAGAGACATAATTTTACCTTTAAAAAAGTACCTCTTAGCAGCACGTATTTCATAACGAAGAAAGGATAGCTGTTTTCAGATCTGCTAATTCTGCAAGCACAATCCACATCGTCTTAAGCATTCATGAGGTAGTTACAAAAACAAACACAAATGTAATGGAAAAATCTCAGTACATTAAAAAAATAGAGTAGAAACCTTTCTGGTCATTCAATTTTATCTTAATACAATGAACTGAAAAATAAATGAGAACATAACAGGCTGCTCAAATAATAGGTTGAAAATACTACACATTAACATCTGTGATTGCTATGGGAACGCCAACAGTAATTTTTTTTTTTTTTTCTGAGATGGAGACTCACTCTTGTTGCCCAGGCTGGAGTGCAGTGGGGCAGTCTCGGCTCACTGCAACCTCCACCTCCCGGGTTCAAGTCATTCTCCTGCCTCACTCTCCCAAGTAGCTGGGATTACACACAACTGCCACCACGCCCAGCTAATTTTTGTATTTTTAGTAGAGACGGGGTTTCACCATGTTGGCCAGGCTTGTCTTGAATTCCTGACCTTGTGATCTATCTGCCTCGGCCTCCCAAAGTGCTGGGATTACAGGTGTGAGCCACCGCACCCAGCAGTAACCTTTTTTTTTTTTTTTTTTTTTTTTTTTTTTTTTGAGACAGAGATTTGCTCTTGTTGTCCAGGCTGGAGTGCAATGGCGCAGTCTCTACTCACTGCAACCTCCACCTCCCGGGTTCAAGTGATTCTCCTGCCTCAGCCTCCCAAGTAGCTGGGATTACAGGCGCCTGCCACCACGCTCGGCTAATTTTTGTATTTTTAGTACAGACAGGGTTTCACCATGTTGGCCACGCTGGTCTCAAACTCCTGACCTCAGGTGATCTGCCCGCCCCGGCCTCCCAAAGTACTGGGATAACAGGCGTGAGCCACTGCACCCAGCCCCCATCAAAAGTAAATTTTAAAAATGTCAACATTATCAAAAAAACCATTCCATTTCACATATGAAAAAGAACAGCAAAAACAACAAACCTAAAGTTATAAGAGGGAGGAAATAATAATGATAGGAGCTATAAATAAATAAGAAAACATGTCATGAAATTTAAATAAATGTGCCAGGAGCTTGTTATTTGAAACAGCTAATTAAAACAGGCAAAACTGTCAAATACAAGGTTTTAAAATGTAGAAAAATGGGAGAAACTTAAGATGTGAGCTACAGCAGCACATTTTATTTTTTTATTTTTGAGAGACAGGGTTTCTCTTGTCACCCAGGTTGGGTTGCAGCGGCATGCTGTGCCTCACTGCAGCCTCGACTTCCCAGGCTCCAGAGATCCTCTCACCTCAGCCTCCCAAGAAGGTGGGAACTACAGACACATCCCACCATGCTCGGCTAATTTTGTTTTGTTTTGTTTTTGGTAGAAACGGGGTCCCACTATGTTGCCCAGGGTGGTCTTGAACTTCTGGGCTCAAGCGATCCTCCCGCCTCGGCCTCCCAAAGTGCTGGAATTACAGGCGTGAGCCACCGTGAGCGGCAGCAGATCTTTTATTGAACTTAATGTGCATTAAGTGCCTGCGTGTGTCAAACAATGTTTTAGATTTTTAAAAATAATCATAAAACATTCCATGCATGACTGATTGTAAAAACGACTATGCCCAGGGCAGTTTTGTTTAAAAATATTCCGCCGGGCGCGGTGGCTCACGCCTGTAATCCCAGCACTTTGGGAGGCCGAGGAGGACAGATCACGAGGTCAGGAGATGGAGACCATCCTGGCTAACACGATGAAACCCCGTCTCTACTAAAAATACAAAAAATTAGCCAGGCGTAGTAGCGGGCGCCTGTAGTCCCAGCTACTCGGGAGGCTGAAGCAGGAGAATGGCGTGAACCCGGGAGGCGGAGCTGGCAGTGAGCTGGGACTGTGCCACTGCACTCCAGCCTGGATGACAGAGCGAGACTCCGTCAAAAAAAAAAAAAAAAAAACCACCATATATATATATGTATTTTACAATGGACAAGTGAAAAAGTTGACTAAAAGTAGAGATGACCTTAAAATAACTATGAAAATCATCCCCTCCCCTGTTTAACACTGAGACCCAAGCGTTATGGATAAATTCTATTTTTACGTAGAAAAATGATGCTATGTTAGAGAAGCTGATTCATACACAGAACACATTCAAAACCACTTCACAAAATCATTCCCAAGCTATCATCCGATCTCCACTCCCAATGGAGACAGAGATAAAATTCTTGGCTCATGACAAGGACTCAGTAATGTGATAAAAGAATAATATACCAATTAGGGTTTATCACAGGGAGCGAAGGATTGTTCAATTTGAGACAATCTAAAAATAGCATCCACCCCATCAATAGCTTAGGGGAAAAAAATCATATGATCATTTAAAAATACCAAAAGGCATTTGAAAAAATTCACCACCACCCTCCTAAGACAAAATGGAAAAAAGGGAATGCAAAAATATTTCTCCAACATGCTGACAAGGATTCTAAAATAAGAGCTGGTATTAATATGATAATCAGCAGAGAAGTACTAGAGATGCACTCGAAAATCAGGAGCCAAACAAGCATGCCTGGCCGTGCCCCACCACGACGTTTTAGAACATGAGAGAAATGCCACAGGATAGACAGGGAAGCAAGAGGGGCACGTGTTAGAATGCAGAGACAACGGCACTCTTAATAACTGATGCTGCGGCTTGACGAAAGCAAACAGCACATACAAGAAAAGCATTCAAAACAACAACCGACAAGCTGCATTTCTACAAACAAAAACCACTTAGGAAATACGCAAGCAAAAGAAATGCCAATCACATCACACCTGTAATCCCAGCACTTTGGGAGGCCGAGGTGGGCGGATCACCTCAAGTCAGGACTTTGAGACCAGCCTGGCCAACATGGTGAAACCCCGTCTCTACTAAAACTACAAAAATTACCCAGGAGTGGTGGTGGGCGCCTGTAGTCCCAGCTACTCGGGAGGCTGAGGCAGGAGAATCACTCAAACCCAGGAGGCAGAGGTTGCAGTGAGGCGACATTGTATCACTGCACTCCAGCCTGGACAAGAGTGAGACTCTGTCTCAAAAAAAAAGAAAAAGAAAAAGAAAAAGAAAACAAAAAAAAAGGAAATGCCAATCACGGATGCAACAACCTATCATCACCACGACTGCCACAAAAAAACCACCAAAGACCACCCCTGACATCATACGCACATGACTTCCAAGAGCAAGATCTCTAAAACCGGTCTAACTTGTATCAGTAGACACTGATGGAGAACTCTCTTATGTTCCTGAAAAGTCTGACTGAAGACCAAGACGCAACCATGGATGTTACGAATGCCTCACAGCATGGCTAGGACGTGGGCCCCTTCTAAGGTGAGAAAACCGAGGCTCAAGGAGGTGGTTTCCATTTCCCAGGGTCATCTGTGAGCACATGGTGACCTCACACAGCCTGTTTGGAGCAGAGCTGGCATTGCCACCCTTGTCTGGGTGACTCGGAAGCCTGGGATCTTCCCATGCTACCTTCTAATCCACCGCCTATACCTTGATACTTGGGGATATCAAACGATATTCTACAAAGATTAATACTTGAAGGGAGCAGGTCTTACATGGTATTAAAATATACTCTAAAACAGCAAGACTCAAAACAGCATGATACTGGGACAGAAATGGAAATGTGGAATCGTGGAGGCCCAGAATGAGGCCCAACTATTGTTAGATATATGGCAAAACAGAGACTGTCTAATACATGGCGGTCACTAACTGAGAAGCATGGGAAAATTGCACAGAATGGGTTTTAATATCTGGCTGAGCGTACAGTAGGAGCGTATTGATACAAACCAGCAGGTGCCTTTGCTCCGAGCTTGGTCCTGCATGCTCAATAGCTCAGAGGCCTTACTTGGCTCAATCTCTGAAGGACTTCGTAATTCATAAGGTGGATGTCTCCATTTCACAGATGGAAAAACTGAGGCTCAGAAAGGGAAATAACCAGCTCAGATCCCTCAGCCAGGTCTGGCTGGCTTTATCAGCTAAGTTCCCCGGCCTCAACCGGCAGACAAGGCTGGGCTTTTCTGGACTCCCAAAGCTCAGGGTGCTGGTGGCTGCTGCCTCGAGCACCTGTGGGTCCCTCACCCTTGCATGCTCCCAGTTCCCTCACCGTGGGCCTGGACCAGTGTGCCCTATGGCTGCTCTCTGCTCCTGGATGACTGACTCTCCAGTTGCCTCCTGGGTGTGCCTGGAGTCTCATGCTACACTCCCATGCCTATTGCCAGGTCCCTGACTCAGTTTCCCCACTCATCCCAGCCAGCAGCTATGGCTGTCTGGCTGTGACTCTGTTGAGTTCACCTTTGTGAGCCTCTGTTTCCATAGCTGTGAGATAGTGGAGGTGACAGCAACCACCCATAGGGTTGCTGTGAGGATTAAACCAGGTGCTGAGCATCGAGAACCTGATATGGGACAGGGTTCAGATGCATGAACCACCACCCCCCACCACGCCCCACCCCGCCCCCTCTTCCAGTCTTGTAAGCCCACCCTGAAGGGTACGACACCTGTCTGGGGACCCCTTAAGGGCACAGGGTGATTGCGGCCACCCTTTCTAAGGCCCCAGCCCAGGATCAGGCCTGATTCCGGGAAAATGCCTCCTGCTCCCAACCAGAGCCATTCACCAAACCATTCTATTCCCTTCCCAGTTCATCTCAGCTGCTTCAAAGAGGCCCAGGCAAAGCCCACCCCTGAGATAGGCCTCCCTGGCGGCCTGTCTTCAAAAATCCAGGCATCCTTAGGCAAGGGTGGAACTGAAGCAGCACTGGAGCCCTGGACCCCGGGGGCCACCTACACCCACTGACCTTCTTGGTATAACCCATGGCCTTCAGGACAGAGTGATTCAAGGTCTCCAGGGAGGCCAGGACATCCTCATAGTCACCCATGTGGTCCACAAAGTAATCTGGGGAAGGAAAGGCAAAGGTCAGGGGTCACAGGTCCTGCCCCTCCCACTCAGCACTCCTGCACCTCCCACCTGCGCTACCTCCAGCCTCCCCTGCCTCAGGCCCTTCTCATCCAGCCCCATCCCAGCATCCCCATCTTGGTCCCAGCATAGCCAGGCACCTACCACACAGCTCCTTGGTGTCCACATGGCTGCAGAGACAGACAGAGGCAGAGACAGACAGAGACAGAGAGGGGGTTAGCAGGCCTGACCCTGCACAGCCTGCGAAACACACATCCTGCCTGCTCTTTGCAGCCTGTGTGCTGGCCCCACAAGCTCCGCCTTACAGAAGAGGGTGCAGCAGGTAGGTGACACCCCCGCCCCTGAAGGCCCACGTCTGTCTGATCCCCCACACCACCCACCCTTGTTCTGTTTTCTCGGAGTCTGCTGACCCCATCATGAATAAATGACACCAAGGGGAGGGCCAAGCTGGGGGCCAGGAAAGGGGTAAAGGGACAGAGAGTGGGGACCCATTACTGTGACGGGCTGTCAGCAAAGCTCTCATCTGACCCACTGACCCACCCCCAGTCGACCCTGCCTGCTGGGTCCTGGAGTTCCTGGGGTTGTGGCAGAGCCCTTCCTGTTCTGGTCGCAGCCCCTGGGTCCCATATCCCCATTCCTACAGCCTGGAGAAGGGTCCTGTCCTTTCTTGGGGGAGCAGGCTGAGCATGAGCCTATCCCCCATGGCAGTGAAGGAGCACAGACCGGCCCCAAGATAAGGGGTGCAGTGCTGGGAACTATGGTGGTTCTGCAGCTTAGGAGCAGATTTGATAAGCTGAGGCCCTCTGGGACTGGCTAGAGATGGTCTGGATAAGGAGCTACTGCCAAGTCAATGTGCAAGGGACCCAATACGGTGGTGGCCCTTTCTGGGCCTAGGTCCCTCATCGTGCTCAGTGGAGCCCAGGCTCAGCAAAGCACATCTGGACAGAAGGCTTCTGTGGCCCAGTGAATCTGCACTCGGGGGCTCTGCATGCTCTGTCAGGAGGTGCCTCCAACCTCCATCTCATATTCAGAGTTCTGGCAAGTCCTGCAGAAAGCGACCCTGTCATTCTGCTTTAATTCATGTTTCACAAAACTTTTTGATGGTTTGTACACTGTTTTGGGCACAAAGTCTATTTAGCATCCCAAGGGGCTAATGTTCGTGGCTCACACCTTAGGTAATGTTGGGGAGATTAATCCTAAAAGTCTTTATAGAGCTTTGACCTTCCATAACCGCGAGTCCTCCCTGCACCCCCACCCACCCACACGTACTCTCACAGTTCGACTCTCAAACCAGTGCCTCCTCCTCCCTCCGCCTCCACCCCCTCCTCTACCCCGCTGGTCCTAACACAAAAGGCCCTGAAAGAGAAGGTCTAAATCAATGGGCACCTGCCTGGCCCCTTCAAAGCACCCCAGGAAGCTGCAGTAACAGCTCAGAAATCTCCATCTGGCCCCAGACAGTTCTCCATTCTGCAGTCTGGAGCCTGAAGCCATTTCTTTAAAGTGGCCTTTCCCAGAGGATGGTATCTGCTCCACTTACCATATCCCGGTCCCCAGCCAGTGCCCCCCAGGACTCTCTCAGCCGCAGCCTCTGGTCCAAACCACCACTGTACTCTACCCCTTGCACACTGGTTTGGTGGTAGCTCCTTGTCCAGACCATCTCTAGTCAGTCTCAGAGAACCTCCGCTTACCAAATGTGCCCTAAGCAGCCCTCCAGAAGCTTGGGTCCTCATCACGCGAGTAGGCCTGAGAAAGGAGACCAGGTGGGGCTCTGATCCCTCCTGAAGGTGGGGTTGAGGAGAGGGCTCAGACCTCATCCTGTCTGGGGAATCCCAAGAAAAGGGCAAGATTGGAGGTGAGGCTGGGAAGGGTCAAGGGTAAGTCTGAGTAGAATCTGCATTTTCCACTTGATTTAGAGATGGGTGGAGACAGAGTTTTTGGCTGATTCTGAGATGCAGGTCAGGGTTATGACTGGGTTGGAGAAAAGGTTTAATAAGCTATAATGATAGACGTAGTGTTGAGTTAGGATTCGTGTTTGGTTTAACACAGGAGTCAGTGTTAGGATGACGTTCAACCTCACAGTTAATGTTGGGACTGGGAGGACACACAGGCATTGGGGTTGGGGTGAGAACTGGCTGCTGGCTGAAGATGGCAGAAGGATGAAGTCATTGCCACCTTCCCATTTTCATAATCCCATGTCCACTGTGCAAAACCAGGAGTCTCTCCTTAGTTGGCCATGTGCACTCAGAAGACACACTTGCGATAGTAGCCAATGCAATATGAATCTGCACACGCCCCATTCACCCCAGGCAGTGAAGAGCTGACTTCTGGATTAGCAAATTTGGGGATTTTCAGTTCTCCTGCCCCTTACAGGGGACTAGGAACGGACACTAGATGAAAAGATGCCTCCACCACAGCCCACACACACCCCCACTCTGCCAGCCAGGACTGAAGCTCACTTGGTGTTGTCAGAGTCAATCGTGTGAAAGAGATCCTCCAGTTCTTTCTCATTAAGGACGCCATCTGCAAAGAAGAGCTGGAATTCCTCCAAGGACAGCTTCCCATCATCTGCAAGGAAGGAAGCAGAGAAAGGAGCTGGTGTCTGCAGAGATAAGGCTGGTGGGGCTAGTGCATGCACGGCCCCCAAATCCAGTCAATGGCCTGACTGACAGAACAACTGCAGCTCAGATAATCCCTACCCTCCCAGCTAATCCCCAAACTAAAAGACAAATTCCATTTTAGATAATCCCTACCCACCCAGCTAATTCCCACACTAACCAGTAAACTCCAGTACACAGAGAATCATGCCTCATCCAGCTAATTCCCAGACCAATGCCTGTTTACAGATAATCCTCAAACTAACAATAATGCAATAGCTAGCTTTCTTGGGCTCACCATGCACTCAACATTTTCCATGCGTTCAACAAATATAGAGTATCTGCCCCCTGCCAGTGAATTTTCTCTCAATTTACATGGCCACCTGGAGGCAGGTGCTATTTAAGATAACCCACTGTGAGCAACTTGTCCCATGTCACACCATCGGTATGAAGTGGATCCAAAAACCAGCAGCTGGATGAGCCACCACTCCATAGCTTCCAAACGCCAAGTGGTCTCTGCATGCTCCCAACCCCAATCCCAGCCCCTAAGCCCTGACTCTCTCAGCACTGTTCTTAGAGTACAGAAGAACCCTTTCTTCTCCGCCCCATCTATGTGGCAAACTTCAGGTCCTTCCCTGAGGCAGCATGAGATGGCTGCCAATGGCCGGCATGAGGTTCTCAGTTACCTCCTCTCCCAGGCCACAGATGCAGCCATCTAGATGCCAAGCCATGCAGGAAGGAGGTGCCAGGCCTGGAGGTGCCAACGCTCTGGCCAGAGGCTGTGCTTCTGAGGTGGAGCTCCACAGAGGGGCCTCCACAGCTCCTCTGTGGAGGGGCTCTGTGGAGGGATGGGTGGGACACATGCCACCAGTCCCACCCATCGCCTCACCTTTTCCCTTCACTTGCAGTTGCTCTGGGGACACTTTTGGCCCTACCAGGAAGGTCTTGTGGGTTTGGATCAGATTGGGCCACCAGGGGAGGTGGCTTAAGAACATCAGGGACTCTGGGAGGCGGTCCCTAAGCTTCCACCCTCAGCTCCTTCCACCTGAACAGACCTGCTGAGCAAATGCCAGCAAGCTCATCCCCCACCTGCCCTGCAGCCACCTCCCCCCTCCTCAAGGATCTGTTCCTCCTTAAGAGAAACTATGTGAGTGGCATGGAGGTCAGAGACAAGAGGGAGCCCATGACAGTTCCTGGCCCCCAGCCTCTCTGCATAAACCCCTGGCATTACTTCCAGAGGATCTGCATTCAAAGCTGGGTGCTTGGGACAAGGGCCCTGAGAGTCCACATGGCACCTTCCTATGGATTAGAAAAAGACTCTCCTTTCTCTGCCGAGAGGATGAGACCAGTGTCAGTGCACATGTGTTGAAAGCGGATTGCAGCCTGGATTTGAAACCCTCCATTTCCTCGGGTGGGTGCCCTTGTGCAGCGCACAACCTGCCTAACCCGACATGGCAGACGTACTTGGGTTGAGAATGAGTCATTCTTAAACTTTAAAGGCTCCAGTGCTTCTGTCTGTGCTCCCAGCAGCTCTGCTGGAGCTCAACACAGGGTGAGAGCATAAGCTCAGGAGAGGGGGGGTCCTCAGATCTTGCCAAGGTTTCATGCCACCACTTTTCTCTTTAACCCCATAGAGCATAAAGTATCAGAGACCGGTAAAGAATATGAACGTGTGGGCACGGGGGGCTAGGGCCAATATCCCAAGATGCCCCCATCGCAGCTCAGATTTCAAGGTTACAGTGGGAAGAATTTCTGTCTTTCAAAGGAAAGGCCAAAAAAACCCCAATCCAACCACACATGCACAAACCAAAGACCCAAAACCTAACAACTAAAAGTCCGCAAAGTCAGCCACGAGATAAGTGAAATCGAAGTTGTTGCTTTCTGTGTTCTGTGACAGAGGATGCCTTCCGAGTGTCTTCGGCAAGCCTGAAGATAAAACCCAGGAATCCCAGTGTGGAGTCACACCACACGTGGAGTACCTTCCACGGACTCACTCCTTTAGTCTTCTTAACACTCACGACACAGGTAGTACTACCACTTCCATGTTAGAGAGGGGTAAACTGAGGCACAGAGCCCTTAGGGTACTTGCCTAGGTCCTACAGCTGAAGCTTGAACCCAGGCCATCTGGCTCCCAAGTCCAGGCTCTCAACCTAATCCAGGGGTAGGATCTTGTGGCGACATCGCCACCTACCCAGCAGGGGGTGGGTGCTGGCTCAGGCACCCCCACTTTGGGTGAGGGGCAGTCACCATGGGCATGACAGGGGTTGTGAGCCCCAATCCCAGCCTCCCTCTGGCTGGCTCATCTCCCCACGTGCCTGTCCAGGTACCTTGGGCCCCCTCTGCACACAGGGAGAGCAGGCAGCCAGAGACCAGCAAGGTGCCCCCTCGGCACACAGGGAGAGCAGGCAGACAGAGGCCAGCAAGGTGCCCCCTCACTAAGCTTTCGGCTGACATTTATCCTGAACGCCTGATCACGGCCCTAATGAATTCACTAATGAGGAAAAAACATGCCCTACGTAGGCCCCCAGTCCAATTAGACAGGCCAAGCGGGCCCGCGCTGGCACTTTTGCCAGAGACCCCAAGCGGGCCGTTTGCAGGTGTCTTTGCTAATTAGCACAAACTCACTCTCTGTCTCCATGACCTTTCAAATGCCAAGAGCCTGTCAGCCTGTCAGCGTCCATGTCCCTGAAGGGAAATGCTGTCTGCCACTCAGCCCTCTGCCACCCCCTGAGTTTATGTCCCAGGCTGCCAGTCAGGCCCCTCATGCTAACCTTCCCATAGGGACTGGGCATCCGGTATCCAGCTCAGCCAAACAAGTCTCTGTCACAGGAGCCACCCTGACAGGGCAGCCCTGAGCCTTTGTTCCTGTAATCTCTAAGTCCTAAGGGCAGCCTGGGGGGTCCTTTGAGTTTGCACCCCATCTCCCGCTCCCCTGAGGCATCCCATCCATCCTTCCTGTGGACACGTGAGGCAGGGCTAGCGTCAGTGTTGAGCAGTCCTGTGTGTGCTTGTGGGCCTATCGGCCTCCACATCTGCACCCCCTGCACACCTGTTCTCATCCCTGCACACCTGTTCCCATCCCCGCACCCACACCTCCCTGCACACCTGCTCTCATCCCTGCACACCTGTTCCCATCCCCGCACCCACGCCTCCCTGCACACCGGTTCACATTCCCGCACCAACACCTCCCTGCACACCTGTTCCCATCCCCGCACCAACACCTCCCTGCACACCTGTTCCCATCCCTGCACCCACACCTCCCTGCACACCTGCTCTCATCCCTGCACACCTCCCTGCACACCTGCTCTCATCCCTGCACACCTGTTCTCATCCCTGCACCCACACCTCCCTGCACACCTGCTCTCATCCCTGCACACCTCCCTGCACACCTGCTCTCATCCCTGCACACCGGTTCACATTCCCGCACCCACACCTCCCTGCACACCTGTTCCCATCCCTGCACCCACACCTCCCTGCACACCTGTTCCCATCCCCGCACCCACGCCTCCCTGCACACCTGCTCTCATCCCTGCACCCACACCTCCCTGCACACCTGCTCTCATTCTTGGATCCACACCTCCTTGACACCTATTCTCACCCCTACACTCATTCCTCTTTCCCCAGCCATTCTATTCCCACACCACTCCCCTATCTATACCCACACCAAGTCCCATCCCCACTCCTACAAGCTTTTAAGCTGCTGTGTTGAATCAGAACCTGCCTGCACCGCTGCCCCCCGACCATGTGAAGAATATCACGTGCCATCTCCGAGCCTTGTTTTCGTCATCTGGAAGGAGGGTGGGGGTTGATACTTCTTGTCTCAGGAGGATCACAATGAAGATTAAAGGAAAAAGCACATTCAAGTCCTGGTGCATAACAGACGTTCAGTGACTGCTGGCAGCCTCCCCCAGACCGAATTCCCTGCTGAGCACAGAGGAATCAAACCCCTCTGGACAAGCCACACCTGCGGACTCCCATTTCCGAGGCATTTGAGGCAGAGCAGCGGGGACTTATTGATATCTTCAATGAGCGAAGCCAGGAGAGCAACTATCTATCCTCAGACAGCCCTCTGAGGTGGGTGCTGTAATTATTCCCATTTACAGATAAGGAAACTGAGACTGCAGAATTTGGTGACTTGCCTGAGGCCAGAGCCGGTACGCGGCTGAGCCAGGACTTGAGCCTAGGCAGTCAGGCTGGGGGACCTGGGAAGCTCTTGCTGGAACCCGCATCTCACACCCACATTCACCCTGGTGACAGCCCCTAACGGTCACATAGTGGTGGCTGGTAAGATGTAAGCCCCAAGGAGAAGGAACAGGCTCGGCCTTTGAGGAGGCTGCAGTAAGGAAACTGAGAGTCCCACAGCTGTGCTCAGGGGGTGGACACATGGCCTCTGATGGGGGGAGCCTGCAGCAAGGACAGAACCCCATCTGTGCCCGAGGGGGCCAGGCACCACCTGCCCAAGTGTATACACTGCAGTGGCTCCTGCAGAGCTGCACACTCAGGAAGCCACACACGCACACTAACTGCACACACACTCGGGATGCACAGCCATGGCTAGAGGCCCACGCTGGACACACGCATTCCCAACAGCCTCACGCTGCTGAGTCACCGAGATACGCACAGCCACGCTCTCACCAACAAACACGTCCACCAAGTCTACAGACATTTACCGAGGACCTACTGTGTGCTGGGTATCAGGCCCGGGACAAGGGACAAACCCAAATCCCTACCTCTCAACCTGCTGGAGGAGCCAGGCCAGCACACAGGCAATGACGCTGAGGGCTCCGGCGACCCCATCTCAGGGACAGCCCCCTGATTTCCCCTCCTCATCTCCAAGGCTTTTCAGGCCATGATGCTACGGCTGTTTTTCCAGAGCCACTTCATCTCCCTACGTCCCTCTTATTCCTCCTCTGCTCCGTATGGAATCACTGCTGATGGTCCTTCTTCCCCAGAGGCCTGGGAGTGGTCACTGTCACCCCCCAGGGATGCAGGAGGCCAGGGTGGGAGACTCGTTGGAACTGATTCCAGCCCAGGCCTGTGCACCTGCCCTCCCACCATGCCCAAGGCCTCCAACTCCACCCTGCAACCGCCCTGGGTGGGAGCCGTCAACAGGAACTCCCAGGGATGAGGCGGGTGCTGGAGACCCAGGCCAGAGCTGCCACCCTCAACTGCAGCTTGTGCAGGAGAGGAACCGGGGCCAGAGGCGTTGGGGACCAAGGGCCCTGGGGCAGGTCACAGGGTCTCTGTTGCGTGCTCTTCCCCTGCCACAGGCTTGGTACTTGATGTGCATTTTCTCAATGAATGAACATACCGGGAGCACGCGATTCTCTTTAAAAACATTTGTCACCCACACCGCCTCTCTGGCTTTTCCCCAAAACCCAGGGAAGGAGGCAGGGCAAGTGTTATTGCCCCACTTTACCCACGGGAAAACCAAGGCCCAGAGAGGGAATCTGTCTTGGTTCAAGTCCACGGTGAGTTGCGTTGCAACTGTAATAATGATTCTGGTATTTTTAAGAAGGTGCTTTTTGTCAGCCGAGGCTCAGCTGGGCCGCCTAAACGTGCTTATTCTCTCAAGGCCTGGGCTCCTTCTGCAAGTGAAGCCCCTCCAAGGAGTCGGGAGAAGTGGAGCGCTATGAATTCCGTGGCCACAACAAGGCGCTGCTCACATTTTTAAAGAGGCTGAGAGAGAAAGGGAAAAGGGCCCCGGTCTTCAGGAGAGCCTCCGTTTCCTTCATGCAGCTGGGCAACCCTGGGGCAAATTGCTTAACCTCTCTGGGCTGCTATGGTGTCAACAGAGGCAAGAGCACTGACTGCTCAGGTTGCTACGATGAAGAACTGCACCAAGGCTTGTGAAGGGCCTAGCGTGAGGCTGGCGGCTTCCTTTCAAGGAGGGTTTCTGGGCCCCAGCCCGGGCTCCTCTGGTCCAGCCCAGCTAGGAAAAGGCCTAAAGTACACCCAGCCCTTACCACGGCCAGTCATTGTTCTTGGCATCACAGACAAGACTCACTGAGCCCTTGAGTGGAGCTGTCCCTACTAAGTAGGCCCTACTAGGATTCCCGTTTTACAGACAGGGAGGTCAAGGCACAGAGCAGCAGCAGGATTTGGCCTTCTAACTTCAGACCCCTGCACTCCAAACCTTTAGGTTCAAGGTTGCGCTTGTCTCCTATCCCTGATCCCTTCCCCATGAAGCACGAGGACAGAAGGAGTGGGGCGGCCGTCGGCCTGGAAGGGAAACTCACCATTTTTGTCCGCACGGCGGAAAATCTGCAGAAAAGAGAGGCGGAGTCAGCCCTGGGCCAGGGAGAGGCAAGCGCTTCCTGCAGCCTCTGACCGGATACTGGGATCCTTCTCTTCTCCCAGGAGCAGCTTAGGGTCCTGGGAAGCTGAGCCCCCCTTCCCTCTCCCCCTCCCCGGGCTGGGATCCAGGGGGAACTGATGAGGGATGTTGCAGACAGAGGCCCTCCCCTCACCCACGTGGAAGCGGCTGCCAGTACCACCAGCCTGCTCCCAGCCACGCTGACACACACACGCAGGCCCACGGCCATCCCTGCAGGTGTAGGTCCACAGTCATCAGTCCACGTGGCTTCACCCACCGCCAAACGCTCAGCTGCACACAACCACACTCCGAATCAGTGTCCCAGGGAGCGCCACAACCTTTACCACTGCAGTCCTTCCAAAACCCCTGGTGTGTTTCCAGGGAGGTTGGGCAAAGTCCGACAGAGGTGTTTGCAAGGCCTGGTGACAATGCCAGCCACGGGCAGGACTGCGTTAATTTTGGGGTGCAGGAGGAGAAACAGGACGCCAAGAGTTCAGAAAAGCAGCCGCAGACGAAGTTCCGGCTGCATTAGGCAGGGATGGGTGGAGGGCAGCTCCAAGGCTGGCCTGAACCTACAAGACCAGGTGCCTCCTCGTTCTGCCTTTCCAGTGACATCTGAATCCGTGGGACAGAGCTGCTCCCCTTTCCTCAAGGTCTGGCTGGCAGGTGCTGCTTGCCAGGCTGAGGCTCGAAGGCAGCTTTCCGCCCCTTCCAACACCATCGCCTGGAGAGCTTTCAAAACCTCCTCAGCCCGGGCCACACCCCAGGGTGACTGAATCAGCTGCTGTGAGGCCCACTCTGATTTCAGCATTTTTAAAGCCTCCCAGGCCCAATGTTGACACCTGTGCGCTAAGACCTTGCTATTCACAGGAGCTGTTTGGGTCCTGCAGGAGCTTGTTTGCAATGCAGGATGTCCCACCTACTCTGCACTGTAGTGGAGTCAGACCTTTCACTGTAACCAGTTCCCACGGGGACTGATTCACCAGCACTATTTTTTTTTTTTTTGAGATGGGGTCTCGCTCTGTCACCCAGGCTGGAGTGCAGTGGCGCGATCTTGGCTCACTGCAACTTCTGCCTCCCGGGTTCAAGCAATTCTCCTGTATCAGCCTTCCGAGTAGCTGGGACTACAGACGCCCGCCATCACAACTGGCTAATTTTTGTATTTTTTAGTAGAGACGAGGTTTCACCTTGTTGGTCAAGCTGGTCTCGAACCCCTGACCTCAGGTGATCCACCCGCCTCGGCCTCCCAAAGTGCTGGGATTACAGGCGTGAGCCACGGCGCCCTGCCCACCAGCACTTTAAAGCCTGAGAAGGATCCCAGCTTCTGCGGTGGCCCCCACCCCAATCTCAGTGGCTTGTTTTAACAAGGAGGGTACTGAGACCCAGGGAGAGGCAGCAACATGTACACATTTCCCGACACCAGGGAGGGCTGCTGGGGCCAGGTCAGCCATGGAGGAGGAGGAGGTAATACTCACTCTGACCCTTCCACCCTCTGTCCTCGCCTTGGGGTAAAGGACAGATGCCCTCGCCCCCCATCCCTCCAGGCAACGAGAAAGGGGGCACCCTTGGTCATTTCTAGGCACCTGGGCGGTGAGACTGAAGCACAGCTATGGGAGGGCCTCTCAAACATCACCCCTCCTCCTGGCTGAACCTCAGATCCCCAAGCCCTCCTCAAAGATCCAGCCTGGGCACCCCGCAGCCCCGTTCCTGACTGGGCAAGGCTCCTCAAAACTGGGGTCCCTATCTGGGTGTCCCAGATCCCCCTTGAGGCCAGGCACCAGGTAGGTGCCGGCTCTGGGCAGGAATGCTGAACACATGAGTGACATGGCAGGGCTGACACCTGGTAATGTCAGCCAGCTCCAGGAGTCTGCATGAGCACCTCCCGCCCCACCCCCCGCTCATCACTCCTTTTGGCAGGTGAGGAGATGGAACCTCAGAGCCCCCACCCTGACTGGGCAGGGCTTCCATGCAGGGCAGCTTGGGGCTGCAGGGCTCTGCCCAGGACTTTCAGTGGGAGCTCTGCGGGGGTCCTGAGGAGGGGATGGTTTGGCTGCATGGGTGTGTCTCTGGCTGTGTGTGCGTGCGTAAGCGAGTGCGTGAGTGTGTGAATGTGTGCCTGCGAGTGTGGCACTCTAGAGCTCCCCCTGCTCTGGCCGGCCCTCCCAGCCCAGACCCCGGCCAAGGGTTCCAGGAGCAGGGAAGAGGAGAGAGGAAGGGAGGGAATCCCCCGACTCACAGGGATCCGCGATACACGCGTGTGCACATTCACACACACCCACCACTCTCCCAGAAATCCACCACACAGGCAGAGGCAGCCCCCAGCCCCACCCCAGCAGGACCCTCGCTGAAACACGCAGTCAACATCCCCAGAAGCCTCCTCCACCTCCTCCTAGCACTCTCTGCTGGGAGAAGTCCTCCTCCTCCGAGCCGCCCCCTGAAGATTCCTCCCTCCCGGGTGGGGCGGGTGGGAGGGTGAGGTGGGCTTCCCAGAGATGGGTGATTTGGGTCCCAGGGGAGTTAGGAGGGGTGAGGGGTGAGTCTGGTCCATGAAGAGGACCCAGCTCTCTGTAGGGTAGAGGGGTGTGGGGAAGGGAACAGAGGACTTGGAATGGAAGGGGGCGGGGTGGGGAAGACCAGAGGGGTACCAGCTCAGGGCTGATGGGCGATGGCTCTGGCTCAATGGAAAGGAGACGAGAAGACAGAAGGTGGGGAGGGGGCTTCACTTTTAAAGTGGCAGTAGCTGGGGCAAAGGGTCTTTGAGCGTGAGATGAACGGGGGCTCAGGGTCTAGGGCGAAGAGAGGTGGGCTAGAGGTAGGGGTTGTTAGGGGTCTCAGAAAAGTATCGCTCCGGACAGGATCCGGGATGGAGAGGAGGAGGCGGCTGGACGCGGCGAGGGGCTCCGGTCCCGCGGGGTAAAGGGTGGGGGTTTGGCTTGGACAAAACTAGGGGGACAGTGGCCGGGTCCGGGGGCTCACGGCTCCCCACTGTGGGCAGGCAGGGACTCCGAGAAGCGCCGGTGGAGGGGCGGAGGAGGGGGGTCTCCCGGTCCAGGGAGAGGACTGGGCTGGAGACCGGCCTGGACGTGGCGGGGCTGGGGGCTCCCGCTCCGGCACGCGGAGGGGCCGGGGGTCTCCTGCCCGGGTAGGGAGGGCCTCGCGGGTCGCGGCGTCGGGGTCCGCCCGAGGGGCGGAGGGGGCTCCGGGTCCCAGCGGAGGCCACGGCGGGGGTCCCGGCCGGCGCGTACTCACGTCCAGGATGACGGCGGTGCCCCCGCGCGGCGAGGCTGGGCCGGGGTCCGCGGGGGCGGCGGGGGCCAGCGACTCCCGGGGCTCGCCCATCCTGGCGCCCACCCAGCGCAGCAGCCCGCCCAGCGCCCGGCCCTGCTGCGGCGGCTCCCGGAGCAGCCTGTGCGCGCCGGCCCTGCACAGGCGCGCCGCCCGCTCGCACATCGCGCCGCGCCCGCCGCCGCCGCCCGGAAGCCCGCCGACCCCCGCCCAGCTGCGGCCCGCCCCCGCGCGACCCCCTCCCCGCGCTGCCCGCGCCGCCCCGCCCTCTCTCCCGCTGCCCCCGCGGCCGCGGACACCGCGGGGACTGGCCGGCGCCGGGGGGCGGGCCGGCCGGACCCCGAGCCACGTGCCCGCTCCCCGCCGCCCCCACCCCCGCCGGCCGGGCGCGGGGCCTGAGGACTGCCCGCCGGGGCGAGGGGCGCGGGCGCAGCCACAGAGGGGGCTACCCGGAGGGGAGGGGTATGTGGGGCCTGGGGGCGGGGCGGCGCCCCTGGGGCCTGCTCCCCAAAAGTCTCCTGCTCTCCCCGCTTCTAAAGTCCCCCCTCCCACTCGCGGCGCGCAGCAGAGGCCGAAGCGCGGGTGTCCAGCGAGCCCGGAGCGCCCTCTGCCGGCTCCAGCCCCGGGGAGCGGCGCCCACGCCCCGCGGCCCCGTCACGCCCGCGGGCGCCCATCCTTAACTCCCGCGGGCGTGCACGCCCCCTCAGGCCGCCCCCTTGGTTACAAAACGCCCAGAACCAGTCTTCACCCCAGAACATCTTTCCTTCATACTCCATCCACCCATCCATCTATCCACCCACCCACCTGTCCGTCCATCCATCCATCCATCCATCCACCTGCCTACCCGTCCATCAATCCATCTATACATCCATCCACCCATCCTCCCATCCATCCATCCGGCCGGCCGACTGTCCGTCCATCCATCCACCCACCCTCCCAACCATTCATCCATCCATCCATCCACCCACCCAGCATCCTCCCATCCATCCATCCATTCACCCACCCACTCATCCTCCCTCCCTGGCATCCATCCATCCACCCTCCATCCATCCATCCATCCACCCTCCCATCCATCCATCCATCCATCCATCCATCCATCCATCCATCCGTCCATCCATCTGCCCGCCCGCCCATCTGTCTGTCCATCCACCCACCCACCCTCCCATCTATCCATCTATCCACCCCCCTACCCTCTCATCCATCCATCCATCCACCCACCTACACACCCTCCCATCCATCCACCCACCATCCTTCCATCCATCCATCTATCCTCCCTCCCTCCCATCCATCCATCCATCCTCCCTCCCATCCATCCACCCACCCACCCACCCCCCTCCCTCCCATCCATCCATCCATCCATCCACCCACCCACCATCCTCCCATCCATCCAACCATCCTCTCATCTATCCATCTGTCCACCCACCCACCCATCCTCCCATCCATCCATCCACCCATCCATTTAAAAGATGAATTAAGGAGAACCCACTAGGTGCCAGGCAGGTGCCCAACCACGGAGTTCCAGCAATGGGCAAAACAGATGGTGTACTTGGTCTCCCAGAGCTCCTGGAGCTTACATCCAAGTGGGCAGAGCCAAACACTGAAATGATTCCACAAACAAATGAACAATTAAAACTGAACTGCTGGAAGGGTGTGGTGGCTCATGCCTGTGATACCAACACTTTGGGGAGCCAAAGAGGGCGGATCACTTGAGGTCAGGAGTTCAAGACCAGCCTGGCCAACATGGTGAAACCCCGTCTCTATTAAAAATACAATAACTAGCTGGGCGAGGTGGCAGTCACCTGTAATCCCAGCTACTTGGGAGGCTGAGACAGGAGAATCATTTCAACCCAGAAGCAGAGGTTGTAGTGAACCAAGCGCCACAGCACTCCAGCCTGGGTGACAAAATGAGACTCTGTCTCAAAAAAAAGAAAAAAAAACTGCACTGCTATGAAAAGGTAGCACCTTAGACCATGAAAGGAGTATTTGCTGTGACGGCAGTGGAGGGGTTTGTGTCAGAAGAGGCTTCCTAGAGGAAGTGATTCTTATGCTGAGACATCCCAAGGAAAAGGAGTTAAAGAAAGGCGGGAAACTGTCCTGGGCTGGGGACTCTCTGTGCAAAGGCCTTGGGGCAGGCAGAGACCTGGCCAGCAGGAGGGACTGAAAGGAGGCCGCATGGCAGAACAGAGAGGAGGGAGGCCTGGGACAGGCTGCGGAGGGGGCGGGGCTGCAGCGCCCTCCTGGACATCACTGCCTGCACACACCCGCCACTCCCACCCCCAGACTCTAGTACAGCTGCCCGCTCAACTGCCCCCACACTTGGGGCACCATCCTTTGTACCCCAAGGCCCCAGCCATGGACCTCATCCAGGACCACATGCCCCAGGACTCCTCCCACAATCCCCTTTCCTCCCTTCCCCCCAGCCCAGTGCAGGGTTCCGGGAACGCAGCTCCCTCCGAGCACAGAGTCCTCAGACGCATGAGAGCAGGTGGGCACTGGCTTTATTTGGGACCTGCTTCTGGAAGGCGCAGGGCTGCAGGTCTCCTGGCTGGGTGCTCAGCTGGTCACACCAGCAGCTTTCCCCACAAATCCCAGGTCTAGGCCAACCCTGGCCTGCGGCCGCTGTTACCACCTCAGACACTGGTCTAAGTCCAGGGCAGCCTGGGATCCCTACTCCTCTTGACCCCAAAGGCCAGCAACGTGGGCTGACACCCCTCCCCGGGGCATCTTTGGACGGGTCCTGCATCCAGCAGGGATGTGGTCATCTCTGTCCTCTCAGGGCCTGGGAGCCAGCGGGTCTGGCCGAGTGTTAGGGTGGCTTCCTGGTCTCCTTCCTTAGCAGGGAGCTGGCCACAGCCAAGGCGCCCCCCTGCACAAACCTCACGAAGTTGTCCCCGGCCAGCGGCCCCATGGCGTACAGGCCCTCCTGGCGGGTGCTCTGGTAGGTGAAGGGGTCCACGTCAATGGGGTTCCTCTTGGCGCTCAGCGGCTGGTCAGGATCCACTGCAAAGTCAGCCCCTGCCCCAGGCAGGAAGGAGAGGTCGGGGTGGGAGCCGATGAGGACCAGCACCAGGGAGACCCCAAACACCTTCTCGACACCCTCGAGGTCCTGGAACACGGCCTGGCAGTCTTCCTTGAAGCACAGCAGCTGGTGCCTGGGGAGGCTGCGGTAACCCTCATAGGGGCTGGGCGACAGGATGGACTGCTCCCGCATCATCTGGTGCACCTTGTGGTACTCGGGGTACAGCATCTTGGGCAGCTGGTTGAACACCAGGCCAGGGTCGTCCACGGCCCGGCGGAAGGCATGGATCACCGGGATGTTGTAGTGGCGGGCGTAGAGGACCGCGTCGGCCGCTGACAGCCCCGCGCCAATGATGAGGACAGGGTCTGAGGCCGGGGTCACCGCACCCACCCTTGTGGCGGCCTCCAGGGCAGACAGCTCATGGTGGATGAAGGGCAGGGCCTCCCCGGGGATGCCCAGCCGGGCCGGGCTGTCGAACGTGCCTGTGGCGAGGACCACGTTGCGGGCCCACAGCGAGAAGGGCTGCTGGGCCTGGTTCCTGGTCAGGAAGCCGCTCACCTGGAAGAGGGGGCTGGAGTCCTGGGCCCCACAGCTGCTGGGATCGGGGGTCCCCCACTCCACGGCTGTGACTACAGCACCGGACACAAAGTTATGCCCCAGACCCTTCTTGACCACGTAGTCCCTGTAGTAGTGGGCGATGTCCCCGGCAGTGGCCCGGCTGTTGCGAAGACCTCTGTTGGGGAGGATGCAGGACGCCAGAGTCAGACACTGTTAGGGGTTGGGGGGCTGGGTGGGACGGGAGATGTCCAGGGCAGTGTCAGGCCCTGGAGCTGGACTAGGCTGTAGCTGTAGGACTAGGCCAGGTAATTCAACCTCTCTAAGCCTCAGTCTCCTCTTCTGTAAAATGGAGCTAACAAGGGTGCCTCCCTCAGGAGAGGTGGTGTAGGGTGGTGTAGGATGCTCTAGGGTGGTGTAGGGTGGGGTTCAGAGGGCAGCCTCCAGAGCCCCGCTGCCTGGGCTCGAATCCTGACTCTGCCATCAGGGAGCTGTGTCTGTTTCCCCAGTTTGCAAAATGAGGAAGATGTTGGTGGCAGGACCTATTTCGTGAGGTCGTGGGGAGGATTTGGTGAGCTGACAAACACAAAGTGCTTAGGATGGAACCTGACTGGAAGTAAGTGCCATGTAAGGATAGGCCACCATGATTGTCACCTCAAATGATTAAATATGGTATGATTCCATTTTTACAGAGTTCAGAAACAGGCAGAACTCATCTATGGAGCTGGATGTCAAGAGAGGGGTTACCTCCGGGGATGGGGAATGGGATCCTGATCAGAAAGGGCATGGGGGCTTCTGGGAGGGGGCCTGCTTCTTCATTCTCTGTGCTTACCTTGAGAAATTTCATCAACCTGTACTCACAGGAGTTACGTACTTTTCTATATGTAGCCAATTTATTATTTTATTTTATTTTATTTTATTTTATTTTAATTTTTTGAGACAGAGTCTCACTCTGCTGCCCAGGCTGGAGTGCCGTGGTGTGATCTCAGCTCGCTGCAGCCCCTGCCTCCCGGGCTCAGGTGATTCTCATACCTCGGCCTCCTGAGCAGCTGGAACTACAGGCATGCAGCGCCATACCTGGCTAATTTTTGTATTTTTATTAGAGATGGGGTTTTGCCATGTTGGCCAGGATGGTTTCGAACTCTTGACCTCAAGTGATCCACCAGCCTCGGCCTCCCAAAGTGCTGGGATTACAGGCTTGCGCCACCGCACCCAGCCTATATGTAGTCAAAAAGTTGATTTAAAGTTGATTTAAAGACTCCCATGTGACGCACTCACCATCGTTCCCAGCCCACGCAGCAGCAGGAGGTATTCTATTATTGTTGTTGTTGTTTGGATTGTCACTCTTTCCAGGGGCAGTGACTGCAGGCCCATTCTTGTGGCGGTTGAATGACAGGCTTTGCATCATTCTAGCACCTTCCTGTATCTCACTGTGTGACCTTAGATGAGTTAATCTACCCAGCTTGTGGGCTCATGGTTCAAGATGAACTCCCATACGGGAGAATCCTGTGCCACCTGCCGTCCGGCTACATGTAGCAGGAGCTGACAATGGACCCCCAAGGCCGTGCCAGTCAACCCAGCGCAGCCCGTCTGCGACCCTGGAATTTATCTCTGTGGGCAGTCATTCTTTTCTCAGTTTTTGTAAAGATTGTGACACAGAACGGTCCCAAGAGCATGTTCTGTGCAGAGTTATTTATAATAATGACACAATGGAAAGAATGAATGCTCCAGGGCTGGCAGGGGCTGGGTAACCTTGGCAGTGCCATGAGGCAGGGGGTGTGTCTGCGGTGGTTTTGTGCTCTGACGTCTAAGCCCAAGGCCTGGCACATAATAAGCATTCGGTGAAGATTTGCTGGACTGGGGATGCTCACTCGCCTTTGGGAATATTGTGAGGCCATGTAAAAGGATGGTTTTGAACGCTGTGACTTCACCACATGAAACGCTTGGGATACAATGTGAAAATGCAAAATGAGCCTATAAAAGGCTGTGCTTACAAGCGAAATGTAAGTTTCTGGCTGCCTACTAACATGTAGCTACACAAACCTGGAAGTCTTCCTGCCAAACATGCAGAAGAGTCTTCGCATCAAAGAGATAGTGAGGCCTGGAGGGGGACGCCTGGAGTGCCTGCCGTTGGGGACACAGGCCTGGTCACAGCCCTGGGGGCGGAGGAAGCAGGGCTTCCCGAGAGGCAGACTGCACCCAGGTATCTGCGCTGGGGCAGCTTCTCATTGAGTGGATGCACCCCAGGAGGAGCAGGGACTAGAACTCCTTTATTCAGTGATTGAAACTGTGAGAGGCAAATCAATCTTGGGGCCCCCAAATCACTAAGTTAAAGGAAAAGTCAAGCAGGGAACTGCCTAGGGCAAAGCTGCCTCCCGTCCTACTCAAAGTCTTCCCTCTGCCCACTGAGATAAATGCACACCTGATTGCCTCCTTTGGAAAGGCTTATAAGAAACTCGAAAGAATGCAACCGTTTGTCTCTCACCTGTCTGAGACCTGGAAACACCCCTCCCTGCTGGAGTTGTCCCGCCTCTGGACGGAACCAATGTCCATCTTACATATAGTGATTGATGTCTCAAGTCTCCCTAACGTATACAGCCAGGCTGTGCCCCGACCACCATGTGTACATGTTATCAGGACCTCCTGAGGCTGTGTCATGGTTGTGCGTCTTCAACCTTGGCAATTAAACTTCCTAAATTAGCCTGGCGTGGTGGCTCACGCCTGTAATCCCAGCACTTTGGGAGGCCGAGGTGGGCGGATCACGAGATCAGGAGATCGAGACCATCCTGGCTAACACGGTGAAACCCCGTCTCTACTAAAAATACAAAAAATAATTAGCCGGGTGTGGTGGTGGGCACCTGTAGTCCCAGCTACTCGGGAGGCTGGGGCAGGAGAATGGCTTGAACCTGGGAGGCGGAGCTTGCAGTGAGCTGAGATCGCGCCACTGCACTCCAGCCTGGGCGACAGAGGGAGACTTCATTAAAAACAAACAACAAATAAACAAACAAAACTTCCTAAATTAACTGAGACCCATCTCAAATATTCAGGGTTCACAAACCTTTTCTCTAGGGTGGCCATGATGGGGCAGGAAGCCAGATGGGGAAAAAATACCCCAGGAGTGAAAGGGCGTGGAGAAGTGTGGGTTTGGGGTGAGCTGTTTTCCTTCTGCATTTCCAATAACCTGCATGACCTTAGGTGAGTTAATTTACCCAACTTGGGGGCTCATGGTTAAGGATGAAACTCACCTGTAGCAAAAGCATTAAAAAAAAAAAAAAGAAAAGAAAAAAGAAAGTCACCCTATTAGCTGACCCAGAAAGATTGTTCTAGGCCAGGCTCAGAATAGAGGAAAGGGCTGAAGGGAGACCACAAGGACTGGGGGACCTGTGCCAGAGGCACGGGGCAGGGCGTGGGGCTCAGGGGCCAGGTGTTACCCCCTCCTTAGAGGCTGGGGCACTATGGGGAGGCCCAGTTGGGGGCCATGTGACAGGGCGGTCTGCTGCTTGCACGGGACAGGGGGTCCTCGGGTGAGCCCAGCTCTGCTGCTCACCCCCACTCATGTGGGGTGGACAAGTCCTTTCCCTATCTGAGCCTCAGTTTCCCCCTCTGGAAGAAGAGGAAGACAGACCAGATGCACTCTGAAGCCCCTGTACCTCTGGCTCACGGGCTCACTGTGGGGGGCCTGTGAAATCCCCCAAATCACTAAGCTAAAGGGAAAAGTCAAGCTGAGAACTGCTGAGGGCCACCCTGCCTCCCATTCCATTCCAAGTCACCCCTCTGCTCCCTGAGATAGATGCGTATCTGATCGCCTCATTTGGAGAGGCTCATCAGAACCTCAAAAGAATGCAACTGTTTATCTCTCACCTACCTGCGACCTGGAAGCCCCCTCCCCACTTCCTGCCTTTGCTTCAAGCTGGCCCAGCTTTCCAGACCGAACCAATGTACTTCTTACAAATATTGATTGATGTCTCATGTCTCCCTAAAATGTATAAAACCAAGCTGTGCCGGATCACCTTGGGCACATGTCATTAGGACTTCCTGAGGCTGTCACGGGCGCGTCCTCAACCTTGGAAAAATAAACTTTCTAAATTAACTGAGACCTGTCTCAGATTTTCTGGGTTCACAGGCCCAACCTTCCGTGTCCCCCAAGGCGTTCCGGGGCGGCCTCACCTTCGCTTCTTCTGCATCCAGTCCTTGACCTCCAGGTCCGGGAGCCCCATCCACTGGCCTTGGCTCAGGATCACCATGGAGCCTTCGATGGACTGCAGGGAAAGGAACCCTTTGGTCCAGGCCTCTGCTCGCCTGAACCCATTTGGGGCTAGAGGGCATGGGAGGCCTTTGCTGGGGCTGGGTAGAGGGAGGAGGGAGAGGCAGGGTTGCGGGGTGGAGAATGAGGAAAGGGAGATGCCAGAGTCCCAGCCCCAAGTGGGGAGAACGAGGGAGAGAGCCCCCCACAAGCCATGCCCTCGCTGCCCCACTCACGTGCCAGGCTCCCCCGGGGAGGTTCCGGCCCAGAACCACGTGGGGGATGGCGTGCTCCTTCCGGTGCTTCCAGGTGAGGACCGACTTCATGTTTCCCCCAAAGTCTGTGTCTGGGCGTAGAAGGGCATCAAAGAGCAGGGCCACGGGGCTTTGGGATCGGCCTTCGAGGCCTTCGGACAGGTAGTCCAGGTCCTGGAGGGGGGCATAGGTCAGAGGGGCTGCTGGAGGAGGGCGGGGTCGTCTTCCCAGAGCCTGAGGCTGGGCAGGAACGTGGGGACTGGGGCCGGGCCATTTCCCTGGCACTGGAGGGTCTCAGAGAGATGCGCACCCTGGGGGTAGTTTGAAGCTCTCGTTTTGAGGTCTTTCTAGGAGGCCAAGGGCCCCAGAGTACAGACCAAATGCGCAAGCTTGGGTGAGACTGGAGCGATTGCCTGGTCCTACATCCCTACCCTAATATCAGTGTGGTCAGATCAGCTTGGGAGGTGCTGCCTCTTAACAGCAGATAACACAGACGGGCATATTAAAGGCTCTGACAAGTCCTGCAGCCATCATTTACCTGTTTAATTTTGCCAAACCCAGTGTGTCCCTGTTTTACTGGAGTGGGGACATTTTTCTCTCTATATTATACTGAGGAACTAGTATTCTATAGAGAGCACTTTGAAAAATGCTGATCTAGATCAAATGGTCAAGACCTATTTCCTCATCTCCAACTCAGGGGCGGGAAGGGAACAGGAGGATGTACACTGCCTGACGAGGGAGGTCGACAAGGGGAGGTCGTGGAGGAGCACAGTGGAAGACAAGGGGTACGGAGGGAGGATTTGCAAACCCTTGTGGGCAGGAGGTAGTGGGACTGAAATATCTGTGGTGGAGTTTCTCAACCTTGGCCGCACTGACATTTGAGCCAGATCATTCTTTGTAGCCAGAACAAAGTCATCCAAATGTCAGTGGGGCCAAGGTTGAGAAGCTCCACCACACATATTTCAGTCTCACCACCCTCGTTGTCCTGTGCAGTGCTGGATGTTTGCCAGCATCCCTGGCCTCCACCCTGCTAGATTTGGTAGTACCGTCACCCTGCCATGACAACCCAAATTGTCTCCAGACATTGCCAGGTGCCCCCCGAGGAGAAAAATCATCCCCTCCTTGAGAACAACCGGCCTAGGGCATAGTGAGCCCTAGATCGTGTGGCATTTGTGGGTCTCTGATTTCTCTTTCACGATCTCCGTGGCTGACTTTGTGGACTCTCGAATTCTTTGTTTAGTCTTGTTTCCAGCAAACACACACTTTTGTTTTTCCCTGGGAAAGCGGCGGTAGTTTTCCAAGGGCGGGTATGTACTACCCAGAGCTCTGGCCCCAGGCTGACCCACCTGGTCCAGGATGGAGACCCCCGGGGCCTCGGTGAGCTTCCTCTGCAGCAGGGGGTGTGGGTGGATGGCATCTGGCTTCGTGTAGGGTGTGTAGCCGGAGAGCAGGTAGGACAGGCAGATACCAGAGGGGCCGTTACCTGGGGAGAGAGGGTGGAGGTTAAAGGGGGTGGCCTTTTCAGGTGGGGGACACTACTGTGGAGGGCTTTGATCTAGATGCGGCGCATTCATTCATTTATCCTTCATTCATAAAAATAAATATTTATTAAGCCCTTAGCCTGTGCCAGACACTGTGCCTAATAATACTTTTAAAAAGAAGGAATGAACAACTGCTGAGAGCTTACTCTGTGCCAGGAATTGTACTGAGAGCTTTCACAACAGCCTCACAACAGCTTTAGCGAGGTAAGTGCCACTCTTTTCCTCCTTTTATACTTGAGGAAATGGGCACAGAGAGGTTAAGTTACTTGCCTGTGGTCACACGGCCGGAAGGTAGACGAGCCGGGATTAAAACCCAGACAGAGGGAATATCTGACGACGCGACTGAGATTCTGAGATTGCTAAGAACTAGGTCAGATGGATGAGTGAATGTAGCACAGATTGCTACGTGGCCTGGGGGCGAACTTGAGTGGTGGGTGCTTGTGGGCGCTCAGGGGTGCTGAGCCGCCTGTTGGGTCTGCTGCTTGCACGTCTGAAGAACTGCGCTGCCATCTGTGGCGCTTCCTGGGCGATTCACCAGGCACAGCCCTGTGATAGCGCTTCTCTTTTTATCTGTCCTTTCCCCTCTTCTTATCTCGTCTGATTCGGAATATTACTCATATGCAGGATACCAGGAAGAACCATATGAAATCACAGGCACCCATCTGCTTTTGCCTTACAGAAATGACCATCTCACGTGGCTTAATCGGACGCCTGCATACTGGGGGGTCATCTGTCCCCATTTGTGCAGACAGAGGACAGGAATCATAAGCCGCTACTGTGTGTCCTCTCATGTGGGCACCTAGCACAGTGCTGGGCACAGGGTAGTCATGGGATCAGTGTGGGCTCAGGACCAGGCCTCCCTGCGCCACGCCGGGTCGCCTCCAGCTGATGGGTGTGTTCTAGACCCCTGGGTTCTCGGAAGTGTGAAAGGGAATGATAGCTTATAAACTGCTAAGCCTAGCACTGGCCACATAGTAAACGCTCAATGGCTTAATTTAAAGACCACTGTAAAGAGGCCAGGCCTGGGCCAGGCATGGTGGTTCACACCTATAATCCCAGCACTTTGGGAGGCTGAGGCAGGCAGATCACTTGAGGTCAGGAGTTCGAGACCAGCCTGGCCGACATGGCGAAACCCCATCTCTACTAAAAATACAAAAGTTAGCTGGGCATGGTGGCATGCACCTGTAATCCCAGCTACTTGGTAGGCTGAAGCAGGAGAATCGCTTGAGCCCGGGAGGGAGAGGTTGCAGTGAACCAAGATTGCACTACTGCACTCCAGCCTGGGCGACAGAGTGAGACTTTGTCTCAAATAAATAAATAAATAAATAAATAAATAAATAAAAAATAAACCCCAAAAACGAAAAAAGACACCAGGCCTGGACTTGCCCAGCTCCTGCCCTCAGACCTGGGGGGTACCCGGAAGGCTCAGCGGAGCCCCTCCCTGGCTGGGGCCTGACACTCACCCACAATGATGACCGGGAGGGGCTCTGAGCTGCTGGCGCCGAGGTGGTCCTTTCTGGAGGAGCTCATGGCTGGTGGGGGGCTTGGGGCTGGCAGCGGACCTGGAGTGGGGGAGAGGGGAAGGAAGAGTCCATTCGGGTGAGGCCTGGGTGTCCACACAGCCACTTCACCTCCCAGCTAGGGTGGCCTCCTGTGGCCCTCAGGGTCTGGTCCGGGGTCCCCATGAGACATATCTGACGGGACTCCCTTCTTGCTCTCACACAGCCTCTGCTCCAAACAGGCTGTTTGCCCCACCCCTCCCCAGTCATGCAGAATGTGCCCTCCCCTCCTCGGGCCTGGTTGCCCCAGGCAGCCACTGTCCCTCCGAGCCTCACTCTACTCTCCCATCTCACTGGGGCAGTAACAGTCCCCGAAACTCATTATCTGTCTTCCCGAGAGGCCATTCCTGCCCAACCCAGGAACCAGCCCTGCCAGACCCTTCTGTGGGCCACAGTCCTCGAGTCCCAGTGTGGCCTGGTGGACTCGTCATCCAGCCCTGGCACGTTGCTTCCTATCCCATTCCCGGGCCTCTCTGGGTCTCAGTTTCCTCATCTGTAAAATGGAAGCAATGAGTCCCTACCTCCTAGGGTGGTTGAGGGACACAGTAGGATCACAGACGGGAAGCACCTGCCTGGAGTGAATCTGCCACAGGGAATGGGCCAGCGCTGTGGCCTGCCCCAGGAGCTGGGATGGACTTGGGGAAATGGAAGCAGTGGCCAGGTTTGGGGACGTGCTGGTGAACCTGCCATCTCTGGGGCAGCCGCGCCCTCTGCTGGCCGCAGGCCCAAATCGCTCAAAGGGACCCAAGTGCTGGTCCTAGAGCTGCCGGTTCCCAGAGGAGCATCAGACCTACCTTCTTCCCCACACCAGCTAGCAGCGGACACCAGCCTCACCCGAGGGCCACATGCTGCCATCCTGAGGACCACAAGGCAACACCCTTGTGGGCACAGGGATGATGAGCATTTGGCACTTACTGTGTACCGGGTATTTGACATGCTTTTTCTCATATCCGCCTCACGCTGACCCTGTGCAGCCCTGGCCATATTAATGTCCCATTTCACAGATGTGTAAACGGGGCTCAGAGAGGTCGCACAAACTTCTCAGTGTCACACAGCTGGCTTTGAAACCCAGGGCTCACTGGTGCCAAGACCCTGCCAGTGCCACCACCCACACCACTCGGCCTGTCCCTCGAGATCCAGGGCCCATCCAGGTGTCACACTCAAGTGGGCGGGCACAGGGCTTGGACCACCCAGAGTGGCCAGGGGTGGGGGCCCAGGGCCACCTGCCTCCAGAATTCTTCCAGAGAAAGTGGGAATCTGGATTTCTATGTGAATGATCTGAGTTGAAGAAGTGGGCAATGAATGAACGCAGAGTTTTGGAAGATGCTTAAAAGGCCAACCAAACACAGCTGAGACCAGTGTGTGGCCTCTGATGTGTGCAGGGTGACAGAAACACCTTCGTCCACCTCCAGGCAGGTCCCGAGGAGAGGGATGAGAAACTGCCACACAGATGGGCCACTGAGAGGACCTATGTGTCGCCCCCACAGTGACAACAACTGACCTTCTCAGAGCACTCTACAGTTTGCAAGGAGGTTGCATCTAAGCAGTAGCGTCCAGCCCGCTCAGCAGCCTTGAGAGGTGAGCCCTGTCACCTCTGTCTTGCAGGTGAGGAGAAGGAGGCTCCGAGGGTGAGGATGTGCCTAGCGGGGAAGGGGTCTGTCAGGGACCCCTGTGTCGGTGCTCTCTGCTCCCTTGAGCATAGCCTTTCTTGCCTCCACTGGCGTGGGGGCCAGGGACAGCCTCCGTGTCCTGTCTAGGCAAGCTCGTGTGCCCAGCACCGAAGACCTCCTCCTCCCTTTCCAGAGAGAAGGAAGGTGACACGCTGCAGTCACCAGGGACCACATGGCCTCTTCATGCTCAGCTCCCTACAAGACCCCAGGCTGCCTGCCTTGAGGGGGAGATTTCAGGGGGACGCTGCCACCAATTATAATAGTAGTAGTAGTTACAAGAACAACAAAGACAGCATGTGGCTGACATTTCCATACTTCTGTGGAGTGGGCTGGGTGCCAGGCATGATCTCAACACTTAATACACGTTAACAAATTGAATCCTTATTTAATCGGGTTGTTGTAAGTACTCTGAGGGCCAGAGCGTTTCTCACCGCCCTTTATAGTTTGCAAGGTGGTTGAACCAGCTCTTGCAGGCTGGGCTGGATCAGAGCCCAGGCCGCCCTGCTCCAGAGCCTTCTCTGTGCCCCAAGTGCTGTGAGAGGTCCTGCTGAGACCCCTCTGCCGGGTGGAACGTGCAGTGTCCGTTCCAGGGTCCCCCACTTCTCTGTCGCAGCGCTAGTGGCAGGCGGGGAGGCAGAGGGACAGCTGAGGACCTGGTGTTCTGGCTGGGAAGGGATCATTTCTCATTGACTCTGGGTGCTGAGTATACCCAGAGGCCTTGGAGAACAGGACTACGGGTCTCAGAGTGCTTTCTCTGGCTTGCTCCTGATACCCTCGAATGGCTCTGGGCCCCTCAGTCCTCATCATGGTCCCCGGGAACAGCAGCCACTGGGGAGCATGGGACCTCCTGGTAAAGGGCTTCCCCGCATCACCTCCTTTGATCCTCCTAGCAACCCACTTTGCAGATGAGGAGACTAAGGCTAGGAGAGGTGAAGCCGTGCCCTGAGGCTACAGAGCCGGTGGGCGATGGAACTGATATTTGATCCCCGTGGGCTGACACCCCCAGGCACCCCAGCCCCTTCACCAAACGAGTGAGCCAACCTGCTCCATCTGCCCCAGTGCGCCCACCCTGGGCCATGCCCTGCCCCTCCTTTGTTCTTTCAGATTTTCCCACCACCCCAAGAAGGGCATTTGCAGGAGCCCCTGCTGGCCAATGAGGAATCAGAACTGGCTGCCCCTTCCCACCCTTTGCAGGCAGCAGAGGACACTGGTTTACCACCAGGGCTTTGGGGCTCCAAGTCCAGGGCTCCCTCCTGGGACTGTCCTCAGGCTCTTGAACAGAAGCTTCTGGATGCCACATACATGAGGTCACCACCCAGGGGCTGGACCTGAGAAGTCACTTCCCGTTCAGAGTGACACAGGACGCCCCAAAGTCCGAAGCAGCTTGACGCTGTCACTCATAACCTCGGACAAATATGCTGCCAACTTACAAAAGAGAGTTCAAAAGTTTCATTTCAATTCCTTTTGTGCTTTTTAGTTTTACGGAGTTGGAAGAATCAATTTTTAATGTTATCTTTTTAAGTCCCTTTAATTGAAGATGGCAGATGTTGATGGAAAGAAGTTAACATTAAAAATTGATGTTTCAAATTTCACAAAGGCAAACAGGATAAAAGAAATGAAAACAGTTGCACCTTCGACTGACGTTTCTTTCAAGTGTGCGGCATTTGTACTTCTGAGGTTGTTAAAGCTGCAAACTGCTCTGAGACTCTGGGACACCTGTATGTCTGCGTTTCTTTGGCACCTCTAGTGGCCATTTACTCCTTTGCCTTTGAAGACACCCCAGGAGGTGGGTGTTCTTATCCCCATTGTGCAGAGGAAGAAAAGCTGGTCAGGAGGAGTGGGCGTCTTGCCCCAGGTCACCTAGGAGGGTCCAAGACCACGGCCATGTGACAAATCTTAGTTCTGCCAAGTCCCCTCCAGTAAAACAGCTGATTACAGGGAGACCAAGAAAGTGACACGAAGCCCTGGGGGCGCTAAAGTGTGAGGGGGTGGTCTGTCCACGCAAGCGGCACTTGCCATTTATCACAGACGAGCCCTCGCCCCAGTGCCGCACACCTGGAGCCCAGGGTCTCCTGCAGCTCCCCAGCCTCCCAGGGGCCGCCCTCCCAACCCGCCGCACTCTTGAGCCTCCTGAGAGAAGCTAAGTCGCTGGGACCTCCAGGGATGGGGGCTGTTCATGGGCACCCAAGGGCTCTGTCCCTCCTGAGCAGGAGAAGCAGAAACCCAGAAGGCACCCAGCCTGGCTGCCGACCCAGTGGCCTTGGAACAGCTGGGCAGTAAGCCCGGGCTGGCCACACCCCTCTTTCCTGCTAGGAGCGGCGGTCACATGGCCCAGGGTACGCTGGGACTGTGGCCGCTTCAGCTGCTTGGCTGAGGGTACCAGGCACCTGGACAGGGACACAGCTGAGGATCTGGGAGGAACCTGGTGTAGGGGAGAATCCTGCCGGGCTCCAGAGAACCCAGGCGAGGGCCTCCACTCAGGACCACCCGGGACCCCCGCCTGGCGCCAGGGCTCTGCAGACCCTCCGGTCCAGCTGGGCTTGCCACGGGTGCCTGGGATGTGCCTGATTCCCTGCCCCGGAACCTGGCCCCGGACACTCACCTGACAGGCAGTGGTGCAGGAGCCCAGTGAGCCCGGCCAAGTTGTGCACTAGGAGGGTCAGGGGAACACGGATCACAGAGTCCCCCGCGAGATCGGGACACCCATTACCCTGTGGGGATCCAAGAGGCTCTGAGAGGCCAGAGGGAAGTGAGGGTATTTCACGGGGAGGGAGGAGGCGGCGCAGGCAGTGGGCGGGGCCAGGAAAATCACTTTCATAAGCGTGAGTCAGCAGGGGCCCGTGATGAATGAACTTGCACACTGGGCGGGTGTCACGCTGCCTGCCTCATGGCCAGCCTTAAAGGGCCCCTGCTGGGCGGCCTGCCAGGGGGCCTAGGGTGGCGCTCCCTCCCAGCCACCTCCCCCTAGCCAGACCCCCATCCCTGGGGCTCAGTCTCTGGAGGAGGAACCAGTGACCTCTGAATGAGCCAGCCTGGCCTTTGCCATAAGCGAAGAGGAGATGGCTTTGTCCCGCACACAGTTAAAATAACAGTACCTTTAAGTGGCGAAACCCCGTCCAGTTCCCGCATTCCACCTGGATTTCACTGCACCCTCCAATCCCCAAAAGCCCTCTGGCACCAGCCTGCCTGGGCTGCGAATCCAGCTTTGCCATTTCCCAGCTGCAGGGCTCTGGCAAGCTGCCTTAGGGCCCGCACCTCAGTTTCCTCATCTGAAAACTGGGGCCAAGTCACAGATTGTCTCTACCAGAGTGGCCGTGAGGGTTTACATGACATCCTTCTTGTCTGCCATGCTTAGAACTTGAAGCCTGCTCCCAGGCTCTTCTCTCCTGTTTTATGTGGGTAGCACTGCACACCCCACACCTTGCTGTTTCTTAATTATTATTATTTTGAGAAGGAGTTTCGCTCTTGTTTCCCAGGCTGGGGTGCAATGGCGCGATCTCGGTTCACTGCAACCTACGCCTCCCGGGCTCAAGTGATTCCCCTGCCTCAGCCTCCTGAGTAGCTGAGATTACAGGCATGTGCCACCACGCCCGGCTAATTTTGTATTTTTGGTAGAGATAGGGTTTCACCATGTTGGCAAGGCTGGTCTCGAACTCCCGACCTCAGATGATCCGCCCGCCTCAGCCTTCCAAAGTGCTGGGATTACAGGCGTGAGATGCCACACCTGGCCTATTTCTGAATTATTTTATTGTCTCTCTTCCCAAACCAGAATGTGAGCTCTGTGTGGGCAGGGAAGTATATTCGTGACTGCTCTACACAGTGTCTAGAACAGCGCTTAGGACACATAGGCACTCAACATCGGTTAAACAGAAGGGAGGCAGGGAGGGAGGGAAGCAGGGGGGGAAGGAGGGAGGAAGGCAGGGAGGGAGGGAAGTAGGGAGGGAAGGAGGGAGGAAAGCAGGGAGGGAAGGAGGGAGGGAAGGAAGGAGGTAGGGAGGGAAGCAGGGGGGGAAGGAGGGAGGAAGGCAGGGAGGGAGGGAAGTAGGGAGGGAAGGAGGGAGGAAAGCAGGGAGAGAAGGAGGAAGGAGGAAGGGAAGAGGGAGGGAAAGAGGGAGGAAGGGAAAGAGGGAGGAAGGCAGGGAGGGAGGGAAGGAGGGATGGAAGGAGGGAGGAAGGCAGGAAGGGAAGGAGGGAGGGAGGGAAGGAGGGTGGAAGGCAGGGAGGGAGGGAGGGAGCTGCCGCGGTGCACACATGACCTCAGTGTCCATTCGCTGTTGTTTTCAGTGTTGATGTTGTTGTCGCCCGCCCTCGTCCTCCTGTCTGCCACCCTCGAGGGGCGGGGGATGGGGGTGCACCTTTGAGTGCAAACTTTAAGAGGGAACCAAAACCAGTAAACAAAATAATATTTTGAGGCAATTAAAAAAAATCTAAATGAATGCAAAAAAGCCAGGATAAACCCAGACAGGTTCCAGAGCAGTGCCTTGGGGCTGATGGGAAGAGGAGAACCAGGACTTCCGATGCCGTCTGTGTTTATAATAAAAGTTTGATATTTTTTCCATTCTGGATTTTTTTTCATGAATTTTGATGTGTAAGAACACTGCATGGACACAGTATGTATTCTGGTGATGGGAGTGCTTTGCTGCCCCTAAAATTTTGTGCCTGAGGTGATGCCTCCCCCTCCTCACCCTCGTCCTGGCCCTGGTGGCCACAGCCCTGCCCTGGAGTCAGGCACATCCTGGAAGCCACAGCCCAGGGTACCGGAGCATCTGCCAGCAGGGGCTGGGGCTGGGGCTGGGGCTGGTTCCTGGTAGAAAACAACTCTGATGAGGTGAGAGTAGCAGGAACCTACAGAGGGCGAGAGAGAGAGAGAGGGAATGAGGATGTGTGTGCATGTGTATGTGTGCACATGTGCTCATGTGTGCATGTGTGTGTACGTGTGCCAGTATGTATGTGCATGTGTGCACATGTGCTCACGTGTGCATGTGTGTGTACGTGTGTGCCAGTATGTATGTGCATGTGTGCACATGTGCTCACGTGTGCATGTGTGTGTACGTGTGCCAGTATGTATGTGCATGTGTGCACATGTGCTCACGTGTGCATGTGTGTGTACGTGTGTGCCAGTATGTATGTGCATGTGTGCACATGTGCTCATGTGTGCATGTGTGTACGTGTGCCAGTATGTATGTGCATGTGTGCACATGTGCTCATGTGTGCATGTGTGTGTACGTGTGCCAGTATGTATGTGCATGTGTGCACATGTGCTCACGTGTGCATGTGTGTGTACGTGTGTGCTAGTATGTATGTGCATGTGTGCACATGTGCTCATGTGTGCATGTGTGTGCATGTGTGCACATGTGCTCATGTGTGCGTGTGTGTACGTGTGCCGGTATGTATGTGCATGTGTGCACATGTGCTCATGTGTGCATGTGTGTGTACGTGTGTGCCAGTGTGTATGTGCATGTGTGCACATGTGCTCATGTGTGCATGTGTGTGTACGTGTGTGCCAGTATGTATGTGCATGTGTGCACATGTGCTCATGTGTGCATGTGTGTGTACGTGTGTGCCAGTGTGTATGTGCATGTGTGCACATGTGCTCATGTGTGCATGTGTGTGTACGTGTGTGCCAGTATGTATGTGCATGTGTGCACATGTGCTCACGTGTGCATGTGTGTGTACGTGTGTGCTGGTATGTATGCGCATGTCTGTGTGTGCGTATCTGCCAGTGCTGGCAGTAAGGGAGGGCCTGATAGCTGGGGGTAAGGGTTTAGGGAGCACAATGAGAAGCTGGGGTGAAAAAGGCTTAGGGAAGAGGTTAGGCACAGCTGGGGCCATGTGCACAGAGAGCCTGGAGGGCTGGGGAGGGAGCCGGGACTGAGCTGCGTCTCTCCTTCCCCTCCTCTGCTTCCCTGGGTGACCTGTGCTCAGGGCCCTGTGATCAGAAGAGCCCGGAGTTTGGTTTAATGCTCTGCTGCCACTGCCTTAAAATTGTTAATTTTGACATGAATATCCTGAATTTCCATTTAGTACTAGGCCCCCAAAATCACGTGATGCGTCCAGCCTGGGGCTGCACCCTGCATGAGGCTGGGTAGGTGGGAGCTGTCTGTGGGTTCAGCCCTGGCAGGCTGGGTAGGCTTTGACGAGGCATGGCCCCTCAGTCTCAGTTTTACCCAGGGGAAATGGGCCCTCGTATTCCTTTCCTCCCGGGGCCCTCAGGAGCAGTGCCCCACATGGTGGAGGGGCAGCAGGAAGCCCCTTGCTCTGAGCCTCAGCTCCTGGCCAGTGTCTAGCCCCACCTCAGGTGTGCTGTGTGACCTGGGGGGGGAAGCCTCCCTCTCTGGGCTTCTGTTCCAGCTGTGGCCTTGTGACCAACACTCTGACGCTCTGAATGTGCAGCTCCAACACACCAGGACCTAGACAGGGCTTTTGAACATGAGGGCAGGGAGGGATGCAGCTGCCGCCGACGTACCTCTTGTCTGCACTGCATATTTCCCCGGCAGCAGCCTCTCGGTCTCCACTTCCCCATCCCACGGTGCCTGGTCTGTGGCTTCCCAGTGGTTTTGAATGTGTAAACTGAGGCAGAGAGAGACAGGCACCCAGGATCAGAGACCCCCCACCCTGGAGTGCTCAACTCCTTAAGGCTGGGGCTTGAGAAGGCCTGAGGCTGGGGGTCTTGGGGGTCTGGAGGGGAGACCCAGGAAGGAGGTGGGCTTCCCTGGACCCTGTCTCTTCTCCTGGGCTTGGCCTGGCCTTCCTCCAAACCTGCCCTGCCCCTGCTGACCCTGACCTTGTTCTAGAATTTGAAGATTTGCTGATATGGGGAACTGTGGGGCGAGACGTGGACTTTCCTCCCTGCCATCTTGTTTACCTGTTAGGTGATTATCGGTAACAGAATTGCTGAGTTGCTCCTCGAAAGCTTGACTAAGACAAAGGCCGATACTGTTAAGGGCAGGCAAAAGGGCGATGGTTAGAGGGGCTGCAGAGAGGGGAGGAGCCAAATGGGTCTTTGCAGGCTGACTTGAGGGGGCTGGCTGTCTTGGGTGCCAGTGGGTGCCCTGGTTCCCCTGGACCTGCCTTGTGCTCTTTAAGGCCATGAGTTCAAGTGGCTATTGAGAGCTTGTGACGTGATCCTCCAAATTCAGGCGTGCTCACAAGAGGGTTTCTAGAGGCAGCAAAAGACAACAGAGGTTCCAGGGAAATTTGAATTTCAGATAAATAAGAAACAAACTTTTAGTGTATCTTCAATATTGCACAGGACATACTTACACTAAAAGTTTATTTCTTGTTTATCTGAAATTCAAATTTCCCTGGCAGCCTGTATTTTGTCAACTGCAGTTGTAAATGTAAAATACATGCCAGAATTCAAAGAATTAGTACCAAAAAGGTAAAATATCTCATTCATAATTTTAATATGGATTACATGTTGCAATGAAAATAAGGAAAATATCTGACATACTGGGATAGATAGAACATATTATTAAAATTAGGCCGGGTATGGTAGCTCACGCCTGTAATCCCAGCACCGTGGAAGGCTGAGGCGGGCAGATCACCTGAGGTCAGGAGTTTGAGACCGGCCTGGCCAATATGGTGAAACTCCGTCTCTACTAAAAATATAAAAATTGGCAGGGCATGGTGGCGGTCACCTGTAATCCCAGCTACTCAGGAGTCTGAGGGAGGAGAATTGCTTGAACCCGGGAAGCGGAGGTTGCAGTGAGCTAAGACTGAGTCACTGCACTTCAGCCTGGGCGACAGAGCGAGACTCCATCTTAAAAAAAAAAAAAGAATATATTATTAAAATTAATTTCACCCATCTCTTTTCATTTTAACTTTGCTACTGGGACATTGGAGGACACACACGTGGCTCTCGTCGGGTCTTTGTTGGACACTGCTGGTGTGGACTTCGGCACTGTTGCTAACAGGAGCTGGGACATTCCAGGGTTTCTCACTGAAAGCCTCACTCTGTCCCAGGAACCCCCAGGCCTGGGTAAGCCAAGACAGTTGGTCACCCTGCAGTGCTGCAAGCGCCCAGGCAGGCAGTGCGGTCAGTAGAGGTGCTTTCCTTCTGAGCCTCGGTTTCCCCATCTGTGTACTGCTCCTGCCAACGTGGAGTGTTGGGGTGGTGGCAGCTGATCCATGCAGGCTGAAGGAAGGGGCCTGGCACTGGGGAGGAGCTCCCACACAGCAGCCCCTGGTGCTGGATGGCAGGCCCCCTCCCCAGGCCTCCCTCGGCCTCCCTCGGCCCCCCTGCAGGCTGTCTGGGAGCTGAGAAGCCAGGGAAAAGCGGGTAGGGGTGGCCTCAGGTTGCATCCCTGGTGTTCTTGGTATCAAAACGGATCCCTGGGCCCCTGTTGGAAAACCACCATCACTCTCTGCCTAAGAAATCCCAGAGCTATTCGAAGGGGCCTCTCTTGACTCCTCCTCATCCCTTCCCGCCTCTGTCTCTTGCCTCCCTCTTCCTCAGCCAGTGGCTCCCACAGCTCTGCCATTGCTGGGCACCTGCAGGCATTGGGCACTGTGAACAGAGGGCTCTTTAGGCACAGCTGACGCTCAGAGAGGCGGATCTCAAGCCTGAGGCCACACAGTGTGAGTGACAGAGCTGAGGCTCGAACCCAGCTGCAGAGTTGGGCACCTCCAGGCAAAGACATACAGCAAAGCAAGGAAGGAAGCCTCCTTCTTGCCTCAGGTGCAAAGGCACAGGTCCAGAAACACGGCCGTGTTCACCACGCCCCAGCCCGCAGGTCCTGAAGGGCCCGCCCATGTCCACGGCCACCCACACTGTAGGTGGATTTCTTGGGCCCGTGCTTTAGACCTGCACACCAGTCCAGCGAGGAGGGCACGGTGCTATTATCTTCCCCACACTACAGGTGAGGAAACGGACGCCCTGAGTGTAAGGTGTGGCCCAAGTCATGGTCAATGGCAGAGCTGGGGCTGTCAGTCCGTCCTGCCCGGAGCTGTGGCATGAAGAGGTCAGGCCATTCCAGCTCATGAAACAACTAATATTTGTTTGGTGCCACAAGGTTTACAGAGCCTGTTCACCCACACTGTTTCATCGATTCTCCCAGAACACAGAGGTGAGCAGATATTTACAATACCGATTTTAGTTTACAGACGAAGAAAGCCGGAGGAGCCTTCCCAAGGCCATAGGAAATGAAGTGGGGTAAAGGGATTCAGACTTCAGTCTGTCTGGAGACAAAGCCACTGAGGGCACGGGTGTGAGCTGTCAGCGCCCTGCTCAGGGGAGAGAGCATCACCCAGCTCCAGGGGGTGGGGGTGCAGGGTCACTATTGCCCCCTGGAGAAGATGGTGTCACAGCTGGGGAGCCAGGGCCCAGGGAACGGGGAGGAAGGTGAGGAGCCATAGGAGGAGGGTGGGAAAGGGTGGCCGCACAGGGGTGAGGCTGCGGAGGCTCCCGTGTCTTCAGGCAGCCACATCCTGTGTTCCCTGATTCCTCCCTCTTTTTTCTAAAACCCAAGGGAGAATCTCGGCGGGAGAGGGAATGTGCCTGCCGCAGAGTTCGAGTGGTCAGGAGGTCCGGCCCAGCTGTGTAAAAGCCCTCCACTTTGGCGTCAGACAAGCTGGGACTGGGCTCCGTCATTTTCGGCTGTGTGACTCCGGGCCTGTGGCTGAACCTCTCAGCGCTTCCATTTCTGTGTGTGAGACGGGGATAGCGGCACTTGTCTGCTGGCGGAGCCTCTGTCTCCGCTGCACATTGTGATCCGCTGGGGAGATTTTAAAATACACTGACACCCAGGCCCCGGCCCAGAGGGGTCTGACATCCCTGGGCTGGGGTGTGGCTGGACATGGGGAGTTTTGTCCCCGGCGATGGCCTGGGCTGAGAGCCTCTATCCCTGCGGCTGTTGGAGGATGAGCCGAGATGCAACCCAGAAATTGCCTGGCCTGTGGAGGTGCCACATACATCACACCCCCACTCCACCTGGCAGCCCATCTGTTTTGTAAAATACATTCATTGCCCCGTTGACGGAACAGCCACAGGTTCTAAAGGAAAAGTTCATCTTCAGAGGAGCCAGGCCAGCAGGATGGCAGGGGCCTGCTGATGACCCTGGTTGGGGTGGGGGTGGCTCACGGGAAGCCCAAAGGGCCTCTGAATCGGCCACCTGGAAGAGAGAACCCCGTCGGCACCTTGCTCATTCACCGCGTGCAGGATTAGCCCTTTCCCTGACTCAGTTCCCATAACACTGACTTTGAACTCAATGGACTTTGAATTTGGCGTTTCCCCTTGGCCGTTTCATGTCTTTCATCCTAAGCGTGGCCATACTCTGAGCCCCAAATTACAGTCTTTTTTTTTTTTTTTTTCTTTAGTAGAGACGAGGTTTCACCATGTTGGCCAGGCTGGTCTGGAACTCCTGACCTCAAGTGCTCCACCCACCTCAGCCTCCCAAAGTTTTGGGATTACAGGTGTGAGCCACCACGCCGGACCCAAATTACAATCGTAAAGGAAAAAGTTCCAGGGGAAAAACACCCAATCGAGAAATGGTTACAATAGACAAGGAGGCATCAACTGCAGCATTAATACTAATACTAATATTAATAGTGAAAAAACTGGGAGCAACTTCCGTGTCCAACTATGAGAACCATTCAGCAAACACAGGCAAATGCCCAGAGAGGAATATCATGCAGCCTTAAGAAAAGGAGTTAGAGAACCAGGCGGCAGAGCGGCAATAAGACAAGCAGATGATGAGACCGGGCTGATGCTGCGTCCGATGTGTAGGCCGCTGGTCAGGAGCTGGAAAGGGATCAGGGAGAAAGAAAGAAGCCAGACTGATTGCTAGGGCCAAGGAATTTTATGTGAGTTTTTAAAATTCTAATTTCCATTATATTTGTGTAATGAACAATAATCCTAAGGAAAGGCAATTCGGTGGGACAAGGACCTTCTGTGTTTTGCTGAGTTCACTGGGTGTATCACAGATGCCTAGCACAGGGCCCAGGGCATAACGGTAGCTCCATAAACATTAATTGAAGGAAGGAATGAATCCCGTTGCTTTCAGACTTTGCTGATAGACTCTTTTTTGTTTTTTGAGATGGAGTCTCGCTCTGCCACCCAGGCTGGAATGCAGTGGTGCAATCTCTGCTCACTGCAACCTCTGCCTCCCAGGTTCAAGCGATTCTCCTGCCTCAACCTCCCAAGTAGCTGGGATTACAGGCATGCCCCACCATGCCTGGCTAATTTTTGTATTTTTAGTACAGATGGGGTTTCACAATGTTGGCCAGCTGGTCTCGAACTCCTGACCTCAGGTGATCTGCCCGCCTCGGCCTCCCAAAGTGCTGGGATTACAGGCGTGAGCCACTGCGCCTGGCCAACTCTTAAAACATTTTTCAGCAGGCGTGGCTCCTCTTGGCTTTATACTGTATGCATATGGATTGACACGCCTTTCATACACTTACTTTTTATTTTTTTGAGACAGTCTTGCTGTGTCACCCAGGCTGGAGTGCAGTGGTGCACAGAAACCTCTGCCTCCTGAGTTCCAGCTATTCTTGTGCCTTAGCCTCTTGAGGAGCTGGGATTACAGGCTTGTGTCACCATGCCCGGCTCAGTTTTGTATTTTTAGTAGAGTTGGGGTTTCACCATGTTCTTCACGCTGGTGGTCTCAAACTCCTGGACTCCAGTGATTCGCTTGCCTCAGCCTCCCAAAGTGCTGGGATTACAGGAGTGAGCCTGTCAATATGTTTACGTGTTTGATAATAATTTTGAATTGGCCAAAGGTGAAGACAGAGCCCTGTGGTTCACCATTAGAGATGCTGTCTCCAGTGGGAACAGCTCTGTTCCTGGAAGACGGCTAGGTGGAAAGGGTCCTGTCCATGCACTCAGGAACTCTGGGTTGCGTCTAAGCTCTGGAACTTCCTAGCTGGGTGTTCTTGGGCAAGTTGCTTCTCTTCTCTGAGCCTCAATCTCCTCATCTATATAACAGGAATAGTAATACCTGTTCCCCAAGGTGGCTTGCTGCCTGACACGTCCTAGCTCCTCCGTAAACGGTGGGTTCCCCCCACCTCTGTCCACCAAATCCTGGGCCTTTCCCTGTGGGTGTTAATCATCCAGCTCTCTGCAGCCAGTCACTTTCCTGCCATGCAGCCTGCATTTCCCAACAACTGCCCTCCAGGGCAGTCATTCTCCAAGTGTGGGTCCCTGGAGCAGCAGCAGCAGCAGGAGCACCAGCAGCACCTGGAAACGCATCAGAAATGCAGATTCTCAGGCTCACCCGAGACCCAGTAGATCAGAAGTTCTGGGTGTGGGCCCGGCCATCTGCGCTTTCACGCGCCTTCTGGGTGGTCCTGATGCTTGCTTGGGTTTGAGAGCCGCTACTCTAGGCTAGGATGAGAAACTCCACCAGGGGCCTCTCTGCCTACACCCTCCTTGGGACCAGTCCATAGGCACAGCAAGAATGACAGGCATGTGGCCTGGCCCTCCTGGGGAATCCAGGGTAGACCCTCTGGGTGACAGCTTCTCCATACAGGATCCTAACCCATAAGCATGTGCTAGAATTCTGCCTGGAAGGGCTGTCAGTCCCCACGGCTGGGTTCTTGCACATGCCTCCCTCATTCTGCAGAAAACTGGAGCCCCACCTGCGTGTCCCTGCCCCCAAGGGCCCTGCCGGTTTCCTGTGACCCAGCAGTGACAGTGGCCCTAAGGGCGAGTGCCCAGGTCCCCTGCATACCAGGAGGTCACTTTGCAGCATGAGGAGGTCTGCAGACTCCAGTCCCTTGCCCAGGCTTCCATTCCTTCCTAACAAGCGTGTGACCATTCCAGCACGAGTCCCTTGCCCTCGACAGAGAGGTCGTTGTCCCTCTGGAGGGGGAAGGACCATCACTTTCCTTTTTTTCTTTTTCCCACAGCTGCTTTAAAACAAAACAAACCAAACCAAACAAACCCTGTGTACTGCTCTTATCAGACTCCACAAACATTCTAGGCCTTGACTTCTGGCATAGGTAGGGTCAGTGACATAACTGACAGTCATGTGAGCCATGCCCCTCTCCAGACGCAGGGCCAGCCCAGCCTGCGAGCACTCTGCACCTTTCTTTTTTGTTGTTGTTGTTGAGATGGAGTCTTGCTCTGTCACCCAGGCTGCAGTACAATGGCACAATCTTGGCTCACTGCAACCTCTGCATCCCGGGTTCAAGTGATTCTCCTGCCTCAGCCTCCCAAGTAGCTGGGATTGCAGGCGCCACGCCCGGCTGATTTTTTTTTTATTTTTAGTAGACACGGGGTTTCACCATGTTGGCCAGGCTGGTCTCGAACTCCTGACCTTGTGATCCACCCACCTCGGCCTCCCAAAGTGCTGGGATTATAGGCATTAGCTGCCATGCCTGGTCCACTCTGCACCTTTCTCTACAGAGAAGCCATAGTGCCGGGCCTCCTGGCATTCTGGGGAGTTTCCTGGCCTTTGGGCTCCTGTCACTAGGCAAAGCAGGATTCCAGAGTCCTGTCCTTTTCTACCAAGGCTCTGATACCTCCAGAATCTGATATACTACAAATTAGACCCTGCCCTGCTCTACTGAACATCCGGCAGGAGTTCCTGCTGTCCCCAGGCCCACCCCAGACTGATGGCCCAGCACTGACAGGCCCCTGCATGGACTGACCTGGGAGGACCTCCCCACCCGGTTTCTCTGCTCTGTCCTTCCAGGGCGTGGGCTCGCCCGTGGCCGCCTCCCCGCAACTGCACTGCGCGGCTCTGCCTGGAGGCCCTTCTTTGCTTTACCTTGGTCTGGGCAACCCTCTCTAGATTTGTCTCTAGTTTTCCACTGTCCAGAGAAGCGGCGGGAATGGAGCTTGCATCTCCGCGGCCTTGCTGTGGGTGGGGCTTGTACCAGGAACTTTGTAAGTGCACTCCTGGCTAGGAGGTTCTGAGGCTCCTGCTCTGAAAACCAGACCAGACGAGCCAAAAAGTGATTCCAGGCCGGGCGCGGTGGGTCACACCTGTAGTCCCAGCACCTTGAGAGGCTAAGGCAGGTGGATCACTTGAGATCAGGAGTTGGGAGACCAGCCTGGCCAACATGGTGAAACCCCATCTCTACTAAAAATACAAAAAATTAGCCCAGTATGGTGGTGTGTGGCTGTGGTCCCAACTGCTTGGGAGGCTAAGGCAGGAGAATAGTTTGAACTCAGGAGGCGGAGATCACACCACTGCACTCCAGGCTGGGTTAGACCCAGTCTTGGAAAAAAAAAAAAAAAAAAGGCATTCCAGCTGAGTGCGGTGGCTCACGCCTGTAATCCCAGCATTTTGGGAGGCTGAGGCAGATGGATCATGACGTCAGGAGTTCGAGAGACCAGCCTGACCAACATGGTGAAACCCATCTCTACTAAACATACAAAATTAGCTGGGCATGGTGGCGTGTGCCTGTAATCCCAGCTACTCGGGAGGCTGAGGGCAGAAGAATCGCTTGATCCTGGGAGGTGGAGGCTGCAGTGAGCCGACATCGTGCCATTGCACTCCAGCCTGGGCAACAGAGTGAGACTGCCTCTCAAAAAAAAAAAAAAAAAAAAAAAAAAAGAAGGCATTCCTGCCGGTGTGCCCCGTGTCACGTTGCCCAGGCTGGTCTCAAACTCCTGGGCTCAAGTGATCATCCCGCTTTGGCCTCCCGTGCTGGGATTACAAGCGTGAGCCACCGGGCCCGGCTCAGCAGTCAACCCCTTTTCTGACTTCCGTCCCATACATCAGTTGTGCCTGTTCTCGATGTTGGCATAGATGGAACCGCGCAGGACGTTCTCTCTTGTGCCTGGCTTCTGTGGCTCGACATTGCGTCTCTGCTGGTCACCACACCGATGTGCAGACCAGCGGTTCCCCCTTCTCACTGCTGAACCCGTCCCCTGCCTGAACACCTGCAGCTCTGTTTCCCGGCGATGGAGGCTCGCTGTCACCAGCTTGCTGCCGGGCCGTTCCCATGGGAGTCTTTGTGTGCCATCTGTTTTCATTTGGGCATTTGGGTGAAGACTGAGAAGCGGCACTTCTAGGCCACAGGGAAGGTGAGGGTGATGTGTATTAGAAACTGCACCCACTTTTCCAGAGGGCTGCCCCCACTGCACCGGGGTTTCCACAGCAGCCTTTCAGCATCCTGCCCCCTGCTCCCTGCTACCAAGCGGGCTTTCTACCTGCAAAGCAGGCCACGCCCCTCCCTTGCTTACAGCGCTTTGATGACTGCCCGGCCTTCAGAGGAAAAGTTTAGACTCAGCTGAGCCACAGACCTCCTATCCCCCAGCCCTGCGGGTCTCCTCAGCTGGACCTCTGACTCGTTCCCACCTTGGACCTCATGTTCCAGCCGTACTGAAAGCCCACTGTCCTCTGAGGACACGCCATTTCTGTCCTTCTGCACAAACTGTCTTTTCTGCCTGGAGCACAAGTCCCTCCCTCGCCCTCCTGGGGAGAGCCTCCTTGTCTTCTAAGATCTCTAAAGCATCTTCTCACCCTGCTAACTCCTCCGAGTTCCTGACCGGCATCCTCTGGCCACCTCCACCTGCCTCCTCGAAGCCACCTTGGTTTGGGCTGTCTGAGCACACTGGGTTCGTGTTGTCGCTGAGGATGCTGTACAGTCAGGGCAGGGATGGTGACTTTTTCCTCCCCAGCTGTGTCCCCAGAGCCCAGCAGGACAAGGAGGCCTCAGCAAACATGCAGTCAATCCGTGGAACTGAGTGTGGGTAGGCACAGGCTGAGCGATGAGTTCCACGCTGAAGGGGGCAGCAGCGTGAATCTCTGCAGATGCCTGTTCCTGTGAACATCACCCAGGACAAGACGGGGAGTACGCCCAGCCTCCTGGAAGCCTTCCTTGGGGCCCCTCAGTTTTGTTTTTTTTTTTTTTTGAGACGGAGTCTGGCTCTGTGCCCAGGCTGGAGTGCAGTGGCGCGATCTCGGCTCACTGCAAGCTCCGCCTCCCAGGTTCACACCATTCTCCTGCCTCCACCTCCCAAGTAGCTGGGACTACAGGCGCCCGCCACAGCGCCCGGCTAATTTTTTGTATTTTTAGTAGAGATGGGGTTTTACCATGTTAGCCAGGATGGTCTCAATTTCCTGACCTCGTGATCCGCCCTCCTCAGCCTCCCAAAGTGCTGGGATTACAGGTGTGAGCCACCGCGCCCGGCCTGGGACCCTCAGTTTTTTGACCCCTTTCTGCTTTTTGTCCCCACAGAGTAGTTTTGCCTGTTCTGAGCTTGACATAAATGGAATCACACAGAGTGTCCTCTCTTGCGTCTGGTTTGTTTTGATGTTGTGTCTCTGAGATTCAGCCACACTCCTGCTTTGAGAGGCAAATTCCTCTGCCTTGACATGTGGCATCTTCCTTAGCCTGGACGTGACTGTTTCTCTCCCTAGACTTCTCTTCCGACTTCCTGTTTCCTTCCTCTGCCGGGGTGGGGCTTGGTCTGTAAGTTCCTGGTTTCTGAGTAGACAAGGCCTCTTCCTCTTGTTCTCGGCAAGTTATCCTTGACATTCAGGACATTTCGGTTTGAATATCCTTGAAATACATGGGCTGCAGTACTGCCCCGGCACCTCATGGAGGATTCCTGGGCAGGTCGCCCAGGGCTCCCCATATCTGGTGCCCTCTTTGCAAACACCTGGCCTTTCATTCACTGCAAACCCTGGTCCACGCACGCCACCTAGATCCACGAGGAGGAGGCCCGGCCCTTCCTCCATGCCTGCTGGGGTGATAACACAGCCAGCCACTTTGGCTTTGTCAGAGGAGGGGAGTATTACAGTTTAGTCTACATGCAGCAGTGAATTCTGAAAGTGGCGTGCCAGGACAGCAGCACCTGGGGATTTTGAAATCCAAGTTCGTGGGCACCCTTCATCCTCCCGACTCACAGAATCAGAAACACTGGTCTGACTCTGGGGCGCAGCAATCGTTTTTCTTTTCTTCGAGACGGAGTTTTGCTCTTGTTGCCCAGGCTGGAGTGCAATGGCACAATCTCGGCTCACCACAACCTCCACCTCCTGGGTTCAAGTGATTCTCCTGCCTCAGCCTCCCAAGTAGCTGGGATTACAGGCATGGACGACCACGCCCAGCTAATTTTGTACTTTTAGTAGAGATGGGGTTTCTCCCTGTTGATCAAGCTGGTCTCGAACTCCCGACCTCAGGTGATCCACCCGCCTCGGCCTCCCAAAGTGCTGGGATTACAGGCCTGAGCCACCGTGCCCGGCTGCAATCATGTTCTTAACCTCCCCCCTACCCAGGGGTTCTGATGTATGCTCAAGTGTGAGAGCTTCTGACTCCTGGCCTAGGAATGTGTCAGAGATGAATCAATCAAAATGGAGCATCGTTTTCTTTGAGTAGATGTTATCACTATTCCAAAAAATTAAAAAGAGGTTCTAGTACATGGGGCTGACGTGGTCTATTACATAAGCAGGGCACCAGAGCCTCCTTGATGGATCATCCAGCTACCAGGTGGTCGCCTGGCTCAGTGCTGGCATGCAGGTCTGCCTCACGCAGAGGAACATGTTGACTGCACGTGTCATGTCTCCCTGAGAGCAGGTGTGGGCAGGCTGATCATTTTCTACTGGCTTCCCCCATCCATTTTCCACCTCCTCTGTCCTGCTCTGAGCTCCAGGAGGCTGAGCCCCAGGCTCTGCACCCTTACGCGCTTTGGCCAGCTGGCTTCTGGTTGCTTTTGATCAATGGGTGGCTGTGACAGAGTCCAGAGGGTGAGAGGAGTGGGTGGTCAGGACAGTGCTGTGTTGACAAATGTTTAACAACCAGTCTTGGGGCCGGGCGTGGTGGCTCACGCCTGTAATCCCAGCACTCTGGGAGGCTGAGGTGGGCGGATCACGAGGTCAGGAGTTTGAGACCAGCCTGGTCAACACGGTGAAACCCTGCCTCTGCTAAAAATACAAAAATTAGCCAGGTGTGGTGGCAGGCACCTGTAATCCCAGCTACTCAGGAGGCTGAGGCAGGAGAATCACTTGAATGTGAGAGGTGGAGGTTGCAGTGAGCCGAGATCATGCCATTGCACTCCAGCCTGGGTGACAGAGCGAGACTCCATGTCAAGAAAAAACAACCACCACCAACCACCAGCCTTGGGGGGCACTGTGGAAAGCCCTGTTTTGCAGTCCACCAATATCTGTGGCGTGAACACTCCCACCATGATCAATGTCACGTTACCAGTGTAATACTTCTGAACAGTGGAGTTGGAAAGAGATGTGCAGCTTTGCACTCTGCAGCACTACTGCTCCCTGGAACACACTTTGGGAACCATGGTTAGCAGCTGGCATAAATGCCGACTGTCACCCTTAAACTCCTGGAGACCAGGGACTTAAGGAGTTAGGGATAGTGGCTGGGGCTCAGAGGACTAGGAGGCCATGGGACAGCAGCATCTCCATCTTTTGGTTCTGGCTACCCATCGTAATCACCTGAGACCATCTCCAGAGATGATAATCCTGGATTTTTTAAATTCTCAAATGATTGCATTGTGTAGGCTGGGGAGAACCACTGCCTTAGAGCTAGGATCAGTGGGAGAGGCAAGAGGATGATGATCTTTCTATATTGCAATCTTGGGTCACATTAATAAGGGCATAGTCTACAGAATGTGGGAGGTGATGGTCCTGCTTGATTTGTCATTGATCAATGAAACCACGTTCTGAGCCCCACAGCTTAATGGAAACACCAAGTTGGAAAATGTTCAGAAAAGAGAAACCAGTAAAATGAGGAGACTCAAAACTTGGTCTTGAGGGGCTCAAACTAGGCCTGTGCTCCACAGAACTCCACAGATAGCGGCCATTCTGGGAAGCATGGGAGCCAGTTCAGGGCATGCCATCTGCCACACCGGCCCTAAGCTCTGTCAGTTGAGGACTCACCTTTGAAGCCACTCTGGTGCTTCTGTCTTCCCACTGAGGAGCAGGAGGGATTTCCTGAGGGTGGAAATGGCAGATGCTGGGTGGGGAGAGCCCAAGATGAGGGGGACCTAGGGGCAGCGCAACAAGGATTCACTTGGGTGACGACGACGATCAGTGATTCTCCAGGGTCATACGGGAAGACCAGCTAATCTCAGGCACGATCCCATGAGCTCATGAATATTTAAGAAGGAGGATGGAAAGGAGAAGGTCAGATGACAGCACCGGCCATGCTGGTAGCTGTGCCCAAGAACGCACACCCTGTGCCGGAGGTCAGGTCTGCCAAAGCTGGGACCGCGCTGTCCTCATTCTCTGTTTCATCCCTGGCCCAGACGGCACTCAGCGCATGCTCAGTACAGTTGCATTCAATGAATGAGTGAGCAGGAAGGCGAGACGGGGTCCTGATGCGGGGGGAAGATGGGCCACCAGGGCTGGCCTTTGTGAAGAGGGGGCTTTTCCACTGAGGCCCGAGGAGTGGGTGGGGAGCCGGCCACGGGAAGAGCACTCCAGGCAGAAAGAAGAGCACAGGCAGAGGCCTGGGGGCTGGCAGGGCCCTGTGGGTCTGAGGTCAGCAGTAGGACCCGAGGGTGTGGAGCTCTGGGGGTGAAGATGGCAATAGCGGAGAGGGGGACAGAGGGTTGACCCCACAGGGCCGAGAGGCAGTGGAGTCAGGAACCAGCCTCAGGGGCTGCTTCCCGGCTGTGTGGCTTGGGCCAGTGACTTAACCACTCTGGGTCTCAGTTTCCTCAGGGCAAAATGGAGAGGAAAACAGCAGCCATCTCCCGTGACTGAGAATGACGGGTGGCGCTGGGAATGGTGCCTGGCACACAGTAACCTCTGCAGCAATGGTCGCTGCCATTGTTATTATTACTGTTATTAGCAGCGGAGGAGCTGGGGAGACAGAGCTGGGTCTGGATGCTGGGTCAGCCTGCCTGGGTTCGGGGTCTTTTCCCCTGATTAGGAAGAGTCTGCAGCTGGCAGAGGTCCAGGGTTTCTGGGTGCTGCCCAGGCCCTTAATTGGGAGCTGTGTCTCTGACACTTCCACGTCCTGGAAGGAGGGCTCAGCGGGCCTGCCCGTCCCTGCAGGCTGGGTGCCCTGGCAGGCATGCTGCCTCCTGCTCTGGGTGGCAAGCAGCAGGCAAGCGGGCGGAGTGATGATGGGGCTGGGAGTCTTGCTGGGCTGCGAGGGCAATGGGGCTGTGTCCCAGGCGCTTAGGGACACGGTGTCCCTCTGTGTGAGCCACTCAGCTCTGGGAGGGCCGGGTGGGCTGGGTCCCACCTGGGTGGGTGGGTGAGGCCCTGCCTGCAGGCTCAGCAGAAGAAAGGGGCTTCTGGGTGAAGGGTGAACCCGGGGCAGGACGTGCCCAGCCGCCTCCTCTCCCTGGGAACTCGCACTGCTCCCTGCCCGGGCGCCAAAGCTGGCGCTGCCCACGCCTCCTTCCTTCCCACTCCAGCCCCGCTCTCTTGCTTCAGTGGCTCAGGCTGAACCCTGAGTCAACCTTGCCCCCTCTTTCGTTCACACCCCAGTCCCTTCGCGAACCCACCAGCTCCACCTGCAAATAGATTTGGATTCTGACCCCTGGGCCCCTCCCTGTGACCCTGGGTTGCTGCAAAGCCTCCCAGCTGAACGGTGCCCCCAACACACCCTCCACACAGCGGCCGGGACACCCACACCAGAACAAAGCCCTCTGCTGACCACGCCGGATATCGACAAGTCACCGCTGAGCTGGGTCCCTTGTCCCCGTCTCCATCTCCCTGGGCTCCTCCCTGCTCCTGATTGACTCTTACCCCAGGGCCTTTGTACTGGCTGTTCCCTGTGCCTGGAACACTGTTCCCTCAGACGCCCACACGACGCTGCCTCAGTGAATTCAGGTCTGTGCTCCAGCGTCTTCTCAGCCAGGCCAGCGCTCCCTGCATGAAACCGGAACTCCCTCCCGCTCACGCAGCTACATTTTTCTACACAGTCTCATTGGCGCTTTAGGTGCTACACACTTCCTTGTTCATTTGTTTGTCTGAGTCCCCACCTTGGGATGCAGGTTCCCAGAGGGCAGGGTGTCCTCTGCTCTCTTCCCTGGTGTATCTCAACTGCCTGGCACATAGTAAGTGCTCCCTACATACCCTTGCCTGAATTGGGCCGACATGCATTCTTTAAGCAAGAGATGAACAGGGCCACGGTCTCCTCCCTCTGGGACTGGCCTTTCTGTCCCTGGAGACACAACATCAGAAGGGTCACCCCTTGCAGGATGCTTTAAGCCCGACTCCCCAGGAGTGGCCGCTGGCTTTCCCTTTGCAGAAGCCACAACGAGCCCTGGACTGAGGGCCAGCAGGCCAGAGCTGGCTTCTTTCTGGCCAGAGAATTGGCGCGGGACACCTGTTACTTGTTCATCCGGCACGGGGCTAACTCTGGGGGGGCAAATGCCAAGACCCGTCAGACGGCGTTCACAGGCAGAGGAGGGGAGCAAGCGGGAGGCAAATGCCACACCCATGGCGCACGCTGCTGGGCAGGCTGAGATGCCACCCCCCAAGCCAGTCTAGGGGGCTTAGAGACCTTCTGCAGAAGTAAGATTAAGGACCAAAGACCTTAGCCAGGAAAGCTGGGCCCAGAGAAGCCCCGCAGCGGGGATGGAAGCCGAGGCCGAGACAGGAGGGGACGGGGCTCTGTGGGGTTCAGCGCCAAAGCTGAGCTTTGAGGTGTGTGGGGCAGAGATGGAGGCTGCTGTCGCCCCGAGGGGGGCTGGGGCTGGGAGGAAGAGCAGGGCAGGAGCAGGCTCTCGTGGGGTTTGCAGAAAGGCCACCATCGGCTGCTGGGAGAAGGGCCTGTTGCTGCAAAGGTTGGGCCAGAGGCTAGGGTGGTGGCGAGGGTGCAGACAATCAGATGGATTTGTGAGCTTAGTTCAAAAGCCACAATCTGGGCTTCAGGATTCTCATCCATAAATAAGGGGGCCGGTCTGGGTTCTCTGCAAGGGACTTTACGTCTTGAAGATCTGGGTGTTTATTCTTCCAACCCCCTCCGCTCCCGAAGGAACATGAAGTGGCGTGGGAGTGGGGAGTGTGTCATCCACTGTCGGTAAGAGCAGGAAGCTTACCCAAGTGAACAACCACAACAGAAACCCTGCATGGCTCCAAGTCGCTGCTGAGACGCCGTCGCATCTGGGGGCGGAGGAGACGGGATGTTGAGGACCAAATGGTGGCTTCCCAGTGACGTGTCGGGAATCTGTAAATGCGGCCTTGATTGGAAAAGGGGTCTTTACAGAATTCATTCAGTTAGGGATCTTCGAATGAGACCATCCTGGATTTAGGGTGGGCCCCATATCCCACGACAAGTGTCCTTATATGCAAGGGGGGGATCTGAGGACCCAGGGAAGGCGGCCACAAGACCACAGAGGCAGCGGTTAGAACCAAGGGACGCCTGGAGCCCCCTGAAGCCGGAGGAGTCAACGAAGATCCTTCCCTGGAAGCTCCAGAGGGCGGGGGTCCTGCTGATGCCTTGAATTTTGACTTCTGCTCCAGATGATGAGAGGGTACATTTCTGTTGCTTTAAGCCACTTAGTTTGTGGTCACTGGTGATGTCAGGTACAGGAAACTCATTCAGGAGGAATTGCAGGGGGATTAAACCCCGGCAAAAGGATTGATGAGAAGTCTGTGGAGGATCATCTTTCCTTCCAGTTTCAGGTCTGGGCTCCAGCACAGCTGCCGGCCCTGTAGAGGTGGGGGAGGCGCATCGAGGAGACAAGGGGCATGCGCAGGGCAGGGGCTGGGGGGGTCGCTCGGCGCCTCTTCCCTCCCCAAGCTGGGCACCTGCTGCTACCCTGGTGGAACATTCTGGGCCTCGTGTTTGCCGGAGGCGAAGTCTCACAAAATGAAGGGAACAAGGGTGGCAGTGTGGCTGTACTTGATCTCATCTGCCCTTGGCTGTGACCCTGGAGCCCCAGAAGCCTTTGCTGTCAACCTTGGAGATGTTTAAAATGGGAAAGAGACGGCACGGGAGGAGAGTGACACCATGCTCACGCAGGGCGAGCGTGCGCCAAGGCCATGCTGCTCCTACAGAAGGCGCAGGAAACGGTGGCCCAAGTGCAGAGGCTCCGGCACACAGTGGAGCGTGGGGACCGTTTCTGGAGCACTCATCGCTCCCCACCACACCGGCAGAGCTCAGCATCTTTCCTGTGTTACACCGTGGGGTGTCTCAGCCTCCTCATGAGGGAGCTGCCGTTCTAGGCATTTTACAGATGAGGAAACTGAGGCAAAACAGCCTTCCCAAGGTCATCCTGCCAGGAAGTGGCGGGGGTGGGGTCAGAGCGGCTGAGCCTCCTGAGGTGAGGTCGGAGCAGCTGAGGCCCCAGGAGCCTCCACCTAACAGGCTCCGTGGCCTTTGTGTGTGCATGGGACCAGGTGTCTCTCCAGGGAGTGGGCCTGTCCAACTTCAAACCTGGCTGGACCTACCACGCCGATAAGTCCCAGCACGTGTTCCCACACTCAGAGCTGAGGGTTCCCCAGTGCCTGCCACCGTAGGAAGGACCAGGACACGTTTGGGGGTTACTCCTGGGCAAAGACTCCAAAACCAAGTGTGAGTCTGGAGTGCTGGGAGCCAGGGCTGAGGGGTGGAGGAGCAGGGCCGGAGCACCCCGACGGGGATGGGAGTGCACTGAGGCCCTGGACCCCCGATCTGCTGCCTCTGCTGGTGGAGCTGGGATCACAGGGCTGGGTGGGGCCCCTGACCAGGGACTCTACTTGCGGTCTGGGGTTGGGAACTGGGTTTCGGTGTTGTCCAAAGCTTTCCAGGTGGTTCTCATGGGCAGCCATGGGTTGTAGTGGAACAGTCTGGAGAGATCTGGGTTCAAACCGCAGCCCCGCCTTTCCTTGTGGGATCCTGGAGGCCATTCTTGCTCAGCCCTGAATGGAGCTCGCTGGACAGAGAAGGGGATGGTCTTGAACACGGGAACCAAAAGCCCGGTGAGGCTGCAGCATCTGCCGTTCTGTGGTGGGACAGGCTGGGGGTGGCCATGGGCGTCCTTGGAGGGCCTGTAGTTTATTCTCTGAGTCACACACTGTGGGGCACACAGAGTCCCCTGGGCAAGCTCGTTCACAGATGAGACTCAGGGTCAGAAAACCTAATGCTAGGCCTCTGCCGGGGACCCAAGCCTCCCCCAGGTGAGTGCCACCCACAGCCAGCTGAGAATGACAGGATGTAGACGCAAAGAGGCATGCTGGGGAGACCTGCTCCTGCTGTCCGCTCTCCCCCATCCACCAGGATGAAGGGGCCAGGCCCCAGCATGGCAGTGGGTGGGGAATCAACGAGGGGCTGGTGACCAGAGGACAGCGCCCAAGCCTGGCTGAGATAGGCATGAGTGGCGGTCGGTTCCGGGGCCTGATGACTATGGGCGATGTGTATCGAGCGCGGTCTGCACGTGGGGCGAGTGCCAGGGCCTCCCGTGGAGGGGCTCACTTCACCTCCCAGGACCCCTGCGAGGAAGAGACCCGAGGAGCCATTTTACTGCCAGGGAGATGGCAGCTCACAGGTTATGGCACTGTCCCAAGATCACACGACGGGCAAGCAACAGCACCAGGTTCCCACCCAGGCCACCTGCACCCCAGAGTCCACAAGCTGAGCCTCCTGCCTCCAGGGCCACCGCCCAGGAGCCCCTCCTCCTGCCTGGCCCTACCAGGCCCCCCAGCACACCTCACCCCTTCCTGGAGCAGCCCCTGCCCCTCCCTGCTCCAGGCCCTCCTTACCTGACAACGAAGGGGCCGGGTGCAGCAGAGGTGACAGAGGTGACCAGTTTGGCCGGGGAGGAGTGGACACACTGGGGTTGGCCCTCCCCCAGGGGACACCCCCCCGACGTGGTAACAGGGGAGCTGGGGGACAAGAGGCCAGGCTGGGCCGTTTGTCGCATCACAAAGTCCTGCCCTGGGCTTGCTGGGGTGCCCGGTCAGTGGTGGGCAGCCTCAGGGTGGCTCTGCCTGAGGGCCCAGCCGGCCCCGCTCCCGTCCTCTGCTGCAGCTCCTCCGGAGCAACTGCAGCCTCGGTGATAGCACCTGGAAAAGGGGCACATCTTGCCAAGGTGTGCCCAAGGGGCAGGTTGGGTTGCTGTGATGATGGGTACACAGGGCCCTGCACACGGTAGGTGCTCAGTAAACAACTGCTGAAGGATGTGCCTTTCCCACGGTCACACGCAAGCAGGTGCTGGCGCAGGGCTCAAACCCAGACCAACCTCGGTGCCCACCCGGTGCCTCCTCCCAGGCAGCCCTGCTGGCTGTGAGGATGTGGGAGCCCTGGGGATGGAGGTTTCTACCAACCTCGGTGCCCTCCCTGTGCCTCCTCCCAGGTGGCCCTGCTGGCTGTGAGGATGTGGGAGCCCTGGGGATGGAGGTTTCTACCAACCTCGGTACCCTCCCTGTGCCTCCTCCCAGGCGGCCCTGCTGGCTGTGGGGACAGAGGTTTCTACTTGTCCTGCCTCCATCCCATTTCCCGTAAGGGAGGAAATTCTCCGTGGAACTCCCCTGCTGGACTGACACTCCTCCACCGCTCGACACATTCAGAATCAGGTCAGGGCTTGGTCAGCTCGGAGCCTTCCACCAGGAGAATGAGGCTCAGGAGGCTGCTGGCCTTGTGGGGAGCTCTGGGTGGGACCCTCCTTGAGGGGTGAGACCCCCTCACCACCATATTTCTGCCCATAATTCATTGTCTGCCCGTGGTTATTCTCCTAAGAGCTGCCCTTGCATGGGCAGCCGCTGCGAGGGAGGAGAAATGCACACCCGTCTGTCCACCGCTTCCTCTGGGCAGCGATGTCCACCCAGCACTGCTTCCCCACCCCCAGGGACACCTCCTACCCCTCCTCATGTGGACACCGGCACTTTGCCCCAGATCCCAGGGTGAATAGCGCTGCTGCTTAAGGACAGCACAGACCCTAGGAAGATAAGGCAGATGACATCAGAAATGTTCAGAGGGTCGTCCATGCCAGCTGTGGGAACAGCCCCGGGGCCAGGCCTGTGGGCACCTGGGCCTTTGCAGATCAGAAGGAGCAAGTGTCCTTCTGTGTTGATGCAGGCTTTCCAGTCGGAGCTGCAAAAGGAGACACAAAAATCACAGCTCATTCCAAGAGGTGCCTGCAGCCAGCAGCACCCAGCAGCATTGTCACCACTGCAAGCAGCCACTGACAGCCGACCTGAGAATGAACATGAGGGCCAGGGAGGAGGCAGCTCAGCCTGCAGCGTCAGCAGCGCAGTTCGGCAGAGCCTGCTAATCGTCTTGCTCAAGTTTCAAACTCTGTTTACCAAATGACCACAGAAGCGTTTTAACAACAAACACCTCATTTGAAGGCCAAGATGAAAAATTTTACATAAAAAATTAATTTTACTGGTTTACATTGTTTTTATACATTAAAATGAATACATTTACTTATTTTTTTGAGACAGGGTCTCATTCTGTCACCCAGGCTGGAGTGCAGTGGCACGATCATAGCTCACTGTCGACTCGACCACCTGGACCCAAGCAATCCTCCCACTTCAGCCTCCCAAGTAGCTGGGACTACAGGTGCTCACTGCCACATCTAGCTAATATTATTTTTATTTTTCGTAGAGATGGGGGTCTCGTTATGTTGCCCAGGCTGGTCTCCAGCTCCTGGGCTCAAGTGATCCTCCTGCTTTGGCCTCCCAAAGTGCTGGGATTAAGGCATGAGCCACCACGCCCAGCCAAAATGGACACATTTACTTATTGTAAATTTAGTAATGGCCACACAGCTCATAAGTGACGATGCCAGGCTCAGGACCCATCTCTGGGTCCTAATAAAATATTTTCTAGCCTCTGTCCTGTCTAACAATACAGTTGGAAAAAAACTGGGTACAGCTATGTTTTTATGTGCCTAAGGGTCAGCAAGATGTCAGAGATGACTGTGCATCGTATGGATGGGCTGGCACCGTCTGGATGAGTAACTGAATGCAGTCGAGTGAGATTCATAAATTACACCTGCACCATGGCAAGCTGGACTTTGTCAGGCAAGAGGCTCTTGGACTCCTGCTATCAGAGAGGAAGGACCAGACAATTCAATGACTGCACCTCTTGTCTCACCTCAGCTCTTCCACCTCTCAGACCCTGCCTCTACTCCAGTGCAATGTCTGTCTCTGTTGGTGATGCACAACCTACCTGCCTTTACAGCATTTAGATGAAGTGGCCTTTTGTTTCCAAGTTGTCAAGCGGGAGACGCAGACAGTGTTTCTTCGAGGCTTGGGGGGTGGTTGTGCGAGAGTGGACGCTAAGTCCGGGCCAACACTGAGTGCTGTATCCCAGGGACATAGGAGTCCTGCGTGTGGGTCTGCGACACGTAAGGGCCTCTCAAGCGTGGGGTCTGTGGCAGGTGCCCTCCTGCCTGGGTCTAAGGCCAGTGCCGATTATTGTTGTGAAAGCCCCACATTCCTTTCAGAAGAGGTTTGGCAATCGACTGCTTTACCATAGGTGCTGCCTTCATGATCCTGAGGTCGTGGGTAAAAATCTCCACTTTCAACCACAAGGCTGCTTTGAGGATTGCAACACTTGGGCAGCAGAGGTTTATGTCCACTGCTGGTTTCTAAGCCAGCCTGTGTCTGTGCTTGCACAGGAATGGGCAGGAGCTCTGATTCATACAGATAAAAAGCTGCAAATTATAAGAGTTTCAGACTGTTCTCTCTGTGGCTGCTGCAACTCACAGATTTTGGGAGAAGCCTGGGTATGCTGAGGGCTTACGAAGTCGAGATGACCTCACACCACAAGGTGACATGTTGGTGGTTCCAACGTGCTAATCTCTGATGCATCACACTTGTGAATTGGCCACTTCCAGTGCAGTTACAAATGAGATTTTAAGTGAAAGCTTAATAAGTATTTTGGAGCTCTGGAAGGCCTGCAGGATTTGGCTGGTCCCCAATGCCACTGTGCCAAGCAGAGGCCAGGTTCTGCTGGGGTGCCCCAACTCCTGGTCACATAGGGAAGTTCCTCCTCCCAGGACGCCAAGGTCTGGCTTCTACCTGCATGTAGCTTCTCCTTCTGGTCCCAGTGCTTATCACTGGGGTTTCCAGAACACATCTCTAAGAGTCGGGCGTGGTGGCTCACACCTGTAATCCCAGCATTTTGGGAGGCCAAGGCGGGTGGATCACTTGAGGTCAGGAGTTCGAGACCAGCCTGGCCAACATGATGAAACCCTGGCTCTATTACAAACACACAAAAAATTAGCCAGGCATGGTGGTGTGTGCTTGTAGTCCCAGCTACTCAGGAGGCGGAGGCAGGAGAATTGCTTGAACCTGGGAGGCAGAGGTTGAAGTGAGCCAAGATGGCCCCATTGCACTCCAGCCTGGGCGACAGCGCAGGACTTAGATAAACCCAGGGCAAAGTGCACTTTGCATGTCTAGAGGCAAAATTCTTCAAAGGATTGCCCAGGGTGTGAGATGTGTGATAATCTGGTGGCTCCTGGACGAAGCAATAATCTCATTTAATCCTTTTCCAATTCTTGCTCCTTTATGAGTCTTTTGAGGACTTTCTGAGTCCTCAAAGAGAAAGTCTGTTTGGTAATATACGTTTAAAAAACCTTAACATTTATTAATCCTCCCCCGCCAACCCCGATTTTTTTGAAGAGAGAAAGCAAATGTATCTAACTGAAGTTTAATGCTGTTTTGTTTTTATATTACTTTTTACTTTTAGCTTCTACTTAATAAAAAAATCCAGCTTGTATTGATGGGAGGGATATAAAAAAATTGCGACAGTGCTCAGCAAATGACTGGTGTTTGGGACCCGTGGCCTCTAGATTTAGCGGAGTTTCGATCTGTGATCTGGGCTCCATGCCTGAGACAGAAAGTCATGCCCTCAGTCAGCCCGACTTGAGACCGATGTGAAGCGACTGGAGGGGGCCCTCTGGGACATTTGCAAATGACCACGCCCCTGCTGTACTGCAAACGACGACTGGGCAAGGAGGAGCTGACCACAGGAGGCTCGGACTGGGAGCCAGAAGATTCCCCCGGGGAAGCTTCAGAAAGCAGGAAGAGCAGCTGGTTTGGGCAGTCCCAAATGCCTGCTCTAGCTCTGAGTATCGTTACCTAATCCCTGTGAGAGAGTGGGGAGCGGCTGTGCAAGTTCCGAGTGCAGGTATGCTACCTGTTAGGATTTTATTTTTTTATTTTTATTTTTTTTTGAGACGTAGTCTCGCTCTGTCGCCAGGCTGGAGTGAGTGGCGCCATCTCGGCCAACTGCAACCTCCGCCTCCCGGATTCAAGCGATTCACCTGTTAGGAATTTTAACATTCAGCGCCCAAGCGCAGAGCAGAGGAGGCTGGAGGGGCGCAACACCGCCATCTCGCGGCGACGGGGTGCACAGCGCTTGCGAGGACCCAGACTGGGATCCATCTGTCCCAGAGACTCATTTTCAGCATCAAAGTGCGTCCCTGCGCTGTCCGTAAAGAGCCTGCCATGCGGCAGGTACCGCGCAGGACTCCAGACCTGCCTTATCTTTTGAGATCCCCACAGCCCCTGAAGGAAGGGACCACTAATATCAACATTCACAGGACGAAATCGGAGGTGTCCTTGTGTTCACAGCTGGGCAGCCCACCCAGCTCAAGGGGGGACTTGGGGAACGCTGTCTAGCCTGCGAGAGGTGGAAGTGGGCTCCTGAGAAGGGCGGCCGCGTGTGGCTTCACCGTCCCCTTTTGGGTTTAAAGGGAACTTCCCCGGATGGATTAGGTGTCACGGCAGCAGTGTGAGAATGGAAGCGCCCAAGCCCGTCCCCTCGGCCAGCCCCTTCAGCTCTCTGGGCCTCAGTGTCGTCACCCGTCAAACGGGGACAGGGACCCTCCTTCCCAGTGCAGGGTGGGGTCCGAGTGAGCTAGGGCAAGCCAGCGTTCAGTGCAGGGCAACTGGGGTCTGAGTCCTTGGGGAGCTGGGCTTGGAGAAAGTGAGATCTCGTGGGCTCTGGGAGGGAGGGCCTGTGCTCTGTTCCCACACAGCACCCCCAGCGGCAGGGCTCCTTGGGGAGGCCAGACCAGGGCCAGGCGTGGCCAGAAAGACCCTGCCTTTAAGGGGCTGTGGAACCCTGGGCAAGGAGTGTACCCAAGTAACCAGCGTGGCCCCAGGCCAGGGGTCCCCTCTGCAAGTGTCACATTGGAGGGGGCCCTGATGATCTTGCAGACCCTGCAGCCACCTCGGGCCAGAAGCGAAGCAGGGTCCCTGCCCTCAGAGAGCGTCTAGTCTAGTGGAGATACACACATGAAACTGCCTTGTTTAGAAGCTACCAGGAAGGAGAGGCCCCAGTGAGAAGACGGCAAATAAAGGGGGACTGTGACCTAGTCAAGCCACCAGGGAAATCTTCCTGAGGAGAGGACGATGGATGAACTTTGGAGGCAGAGTGGGCATTGCCTGGGAGGCAGGGAGGGGAGAGCGTTTCAAGAAGAGGGAGGAGCATGTGCCACGCAGGAAGGAGGGAGGACAGGGAGTCCCAGACTGAGGGAGGACAGTGCCAGGAGGGCCTGGAAAAGCAGAGGGGAGGGTCAGGCCACAGCAGGCTTGAGAGGCCACGGAGGGGGCTGTGTGTGACAGGGAGGGTGACGGGGATGGTGGGAGGTAGGAAAGGAGAGGAGAGATGGAACCTGATTTGCATTTCACAATGACAACTCTGCCTGCTGGGGTGGAGAAGGATCTGGAAGAGTCTGGCGTAGGCAGGTGGGCAGAGCACCTGCGAGGTTAGTTAATGCACATAATCAGGAAGGAGACTTTGTAACCTGGGCCAGGGAAATGAAGAGAACAAGGCCAGTGGTCTGTCCAGGGGCCCGGGGACGGGTGGGAGGTGGGGGTGAGGGGAGCCCCAGGGATGGCACCCAGGCTTCTGTGTTACACAGTTGGAGGTGGCCTCGCCAGGAAGGAACAGCTGGAGGAGGCCAGGTTTTGGAGGGAGGGCATCTGCATTCAGCCTTGGCCGTGCTGAGCCTGAGCTGCTGCTGAGCTATGCAGGGGAAACACACAGGTATGGGGTGTCTGTGTCACCAGTGAGGGGACTGTGCAAGTGACTGTCCTAACTGAACACTTCAGAGTGAAAAGAAGCTCTGTTAACAATGATGCCACACCAGGGCCCCAGACAGGGCCTGTCCCCGGCAAACAGGGGCACTAGTGCCCTTGCTATCGGTAGTTAGGAGACAGCAGAGACACGGATGGGGGTGAGATCCTTAGAGAAGGAGGGGACTCCCGGAAGCCGAGAGGAATGGCTGACTAAGAGTGGCGGAGCACAGGTGGGGATGGCCAAGAGGGTGTGCATCTGTGCCAGTGCCGGGAGCATTTGGGAAGTGCAGTGTGGCCCACGGTGGCCCCTGGCCATTGCTGAGGGGGAACCTGGCTGGATGTACCCCCTAGGAGGTCACCGGGGGCCTCGGTGAGAGCTGGCAAGGAGAGGTGGCATCGTGAGCCACACTGGGGTGGAGACTGCAAATGGCCAGTTCTCTCTGGAGCAGCGCCGCTTAAATAAACATGGCTCTGGCATCTTTGAAGGCAGCTCTCTGGTCTTCTCTCCTGCGAAAGTGCTCAAGGAGGCAGTAACTCACGTTCAGGGGGTGCTGTCTGAGCAGCAGGAGTGAGGGCTGCCTTTCTTCAGTGAACCAAAAATATTTGCCAAGCCTCTCCTATGTGCCAGGCGATGGAGACAGATTTACGGCAACAGACGTGAGAGAACAAGCCGGGGGTTCAAGCCTCTGTCACAGACGCACGGGAGCTTCAGAAGCAAGCGCTCCTGCTGGGTGGGATACGGCCCACTCCATCTCCCCCGCTCTAGGAACTGCCTGGGCCACTCATCTCCCCTCGTCAACATGAAGAGGTGACGCCAGCTGTTCTACTCAACTGCTCCGGAGAGACACCTGCTCTGGGTGCACTCACCACAGGGCCAGATCCCCCATCTCCAAACCGGGCCAACCATCGTTCCCACCACGGCCCGGGCTGAGTCTGGGGTCATGAGAGGAGGCTGTCTCTGTGGCGGCGGAGCTGTGCACTGCCTGCTTCCTGCACGAGAGCCAGGTCCGGGTTCCTCCTGTCTTCCCGTGGTCTGGCTGCCCCTCGCTGGCCTGGATTTTATGCTTTGGTGGGAGCTCAGCTTCTCTCCCTGGCAGCCGAGGGCTCGGACCGATACGGCCAGCACTGTGCATGCCCGGGTTTGAGAGAAGCCACCCCAGCCTGGGGTTGTCTTCCACAGACCCCCGCCCCCTTGCCAGAATGTCAGCACCCTAACACCCCCTGTCCTCAGTCTCTCAGCCCAGCCGGGCTACCTTTCTGACCTATTCCCCTCCAGGCTTGCCAAAACCTGCGGCCCACTCTGTTCTGCCCACTGCTGGCCTTCTCCTCTCTGGGCCTTTGCGTGGGTCTCCCCACGTACGGTCAGGAGGTGGACCAGTGCGGTGGAAGGAGAGCTGGGTGGTGGTCGGGCCTGGGTTTGAGTCCCAACTCTGCCCTCACCAGCTGCTCAGCCCTCTCCCAGCTCGCCGCCTCATCGCCTCATCTCTAAGTGAGGAACACTCGCTCCAGCTTCAGGGCTGGACACGGTGATCCTCTAGGGAAGGAGGCAGGCTGGAACCAGGAACGTGTACAGAGAATGCCTGGCCCAGAGCAGAGAATCTCGTTTCTCTCTGCCTTCCTCAATGATCAAGAACTAGCCAGGCGGGAAACGCAAATGCAATGTGGAAATAAACCAAACAAAGGCGAGACAGAGATCTAGGGTCACCTCTGTGAGTCCGCTAAACTGCAAATGAGGCAGACTTTCTGTGGTGAAATCATGGGCAGCTTTTGTTTCTAAGAGTAGATCAAAATGGACTTCATATTTCTGTAAGCGCCTCAGAATCCAATTGGAAATCACAGAGGTGTTTGCTCGATTTAAATCTTTAGTACACCTCATGTTTAATTTCAAACAGAGCTCAGAATAAGCACATGCCTGCACAGAGCACTGAGATTCCCTCACTTCTGAGGCCACACAGAACGAGGAGGAGGGAAGCCCTCTTGGGAGCAACTCTTGGTTGTTCTTGCCCTGGAGGTCAGTGAAGGTCAAGCCCTCAGAGGGAAGGAGGGATGGAGAGGGTAGAAAGAGAAAGACACAGAGAGACAGAGAGGCCTCAGAGTGACCACAGGGAGTTCAGATTCTGAGGCCCTGCAGAGCCAGTCTGGAGCTAGCCGGTGGCCTGGGCTCTCCCTGAGGAGTATGACAAGGGTGCTCAGCCATCAGGGGTCAGGAGGTCCCCTCAAGCCCCTGTGCAATGCCGTGTCCACAGGAGCCATTCCCACCTCTCCCGGGAACGAATGATCCACTTAGTCACCTCTTAGAAATTGTGAGAAGCCAGAAAACCAACAAATATTCAAATATCCAAATAAGGACTGAAAGATCCCAGAACCCGCATTCAGGTGAGCAGGATGGTGGCGCCCAGGTCCAGATGTAGAAACGCCCATCATGACAGGGACTGCTCTGCTTCCCAGGGCAGGCATCAGTTAACTGCTTTATATACATCGTCTCCTTTGAGCCTCTCAGCAGGCTGTGGGGTCGGTACTATGGTTACTGCCACTTAAAGATGAGGAAACTGAGGCAAAGCAAGGGTAGGTGGCTTGCCCTGGGCCACCCAGCTGGAAGTGGTGGGGCCAGCATTTGAACTGGGCACTGGCCGGAGCCAAAGTCTACAGCTCCCTCCATGGTGCCTCACGCTGCATTTCAGAAGAAAAAGGAGCCCATGAACAGGTGAGAGCAGGTGCACCCCAACTCCAGTGGCACCCCTCAAGTCTGAACCCCAGCAGGGTGCATGGCTGGGCCTCTTGTGAAACCCTGTGGGTGGGATGGAGGGAGCTGGGGAGCATCTGATCCACAGATGACAGGGCTCCAAGAGATAAGGAGAGCCGGAACTTAGGTCTCGGATACGGGGGGAATGGAGCAGAGTAGCTCCTGAGATGGGACGGGACGCGGGCTCCGGAAGCACAGGTCGGGCCTCAGACTGAGATGGGGAACACTCGGGGGGGCAGGCTCTGTGGCAGGGGTGGGGTTGTGACTTCAGCCTTGAACCTGGGACACAGTGGAAAGCACTCATGACAATTTATTGTGCAGCTACGGTGAGCCCAACACTGCTGGGCACTTTCCAGAGGAAGACACTGTGGTCACAGTTGTTGCCCAGGGTTCCTGAGAGCAAGTGGGATGGAAACCAGGTCTGTGAGACTGAGCCCCTGCCCTCTTAGCCACTGTGTTCCCCTTGTGACGATGTCACCTGGGCACTGAGTAGCACTTTCCTGTAGGGTGTAGTTCAGAACACTAGGACCCAGTGAGTAGCCTATCACCCTCAGACCTGGCCGCTGTCTGCTTTTGTTCTGCTTTTGTCTCCTCTGCACTGCCACTGTGGGAAAGATGACATGTGTAAGAATGGGTGGTCAGATCATCCCTCAGGAAAAGCGAGGAGCTGGAAGCCACCTGCCTTTCTAGAGGTTCTACAGTAAGAGTGAGACGTAAACAGATGATAAGAGGTTTGTAACACCCATGAAGTGAGGGGAATATTGGTTCAGTGCAGTATCATAGAGGGACGACAGGCTCTTTCTCCTTATGATGGGGACTGAGGCATGGAGAAGGGATGTTAATACATCCATCCACCCATCCTAACATCCTCCGCCATCAATTCATCTGTCCCCCATCCATCCATCTTCCATCATTCATCCATCTTCCTTCCATATACCCTGCGCCATCCATCCACCCACCCACCCACCCATCCATCCATCCATCCTCCTTCCTTCCATCCACCCTCCTCCATCCATCTATCCATCCATCCATCCATCCATCCTCCTTTCCTTTCCTTCCATCTACACTCTACCCTCCATCTATCCATTCATCTTCCTTCCATTAACACTCTGCCCTCCACCATCCATCCAAACATCCACCCACCCACCCATCTATTCATCCATCTTCCTTCCATCCACCCTCTACCACCCATCCATCATTCCATCCATCCATCTTCCTTCCATCCACCCATCTTCCTTCCATCTATTCGTCCATCCATCTTCCTTCCATTAAAACTCTACCCTCCATCCATCCATCCATCCATCTTCCATCCATCCAACCATCTTCCTTCCTTCCACCCACCCAGCCATCTATTCATATACCCATCTTCCTTCTATCCACCCTCCACCATCCATCCACCCATCTTCCTTCCACCCATCCATCTTCCTTCCTTCCATTAACCCTCCACCATCCATCTGTCATCCATCCATCCATCCATCCATCCATCCATCCATCCATCCATCTTCCTTCCTTCCATCCATCCATCTAATGTTCATTGAGGACCTGCTAAATGTGAAGCACTGTAAGAAGTACAAAGATAAAGTTTGATAAAAACAGAAAACCACTGATGACTGTGGAAGCTGGGTGATAGGTCTGTAGGTTCGTTATGCAATTTCTCCCTGCTTTTACATATGTTTGAAATTTTCCATAAGAGGTTAGAGAGATGAGGTGTGAAAGGTGGGAACTAGGAGTTGCAGTCTCGGACACGCCTGCCACACAGAGGCAGCGGATGTGCAGCTCTTCCTGGGCTCCCTGAAGGCAGTGATCTTGGAGCCTGGGAGGCCCTGGCAGAACACAGCCACCCGGAGAGACCTTGCAGATTCGAGGGCAGGAGGGAGGAAGGGGAAAGGGAAGAGGGAGAGAACGAGAATGAACCTCAGGCCTGAGAACGGGCATGGGCTGGGGGTCTTCCTGCGTGTCTCCCAGCTCTGCCCATTGGACAGGGCTCTCTGACACAGAACATTCTGGCTGGCTTTAGGTCTGTCAACTGTTCACAGGCAGCGACCTCAGCCTGGTGAGATGAGCTGCTAGTCAAAGCTGCTAGCTGCCCAAAAAGGTTTTGAGGAACCCGTGCCTAGCCTCACGTGAGCTGGAGGAGATCTGTTTTTATCGCAAACAGAATGGGCTCTATGAATGGCTGTGGGAGGCCAGGGAGCTCCCTGGAATTGCAAAAGCAAAACAAAACAAAACTGTGCACAGGGTGTGTGTTCTGTGCACTAGGTTCTCCTGTGCACTGCGGGTGTTCTGCTGTGTACCGTGTGCTGTCCTGTGGACTGTGTTCTGTGCACTCTGTTCTCCTGTGCACTGTGCGTGTTCTCCAGTGCGCTGTGTGTGTACTGTGTTCTCCTGTGCACGTGTGTTCTGTTGTGTCCTGTGCACTGCGTGTGTTCTGTTGTGTCCTGTGAATTGCGTGTGTTCTCCTGTGCATGGAATGTGTTGTTGTGTACTGTTCTCCTGTGCACCACTGCATGTTCTGTGCAGTGCGTGTGTGTTCTCTGCACTGTGTTCTCCCGTGCATTGCATGTTCTCCTGTGCACTGCGTGTTCTCCTGTGCACCGTGTGTTCTGTACACCGTGTGTTCTCCTGTGCACCATGTGTTCTCCTGTGCACCGTGTGTTCTGTGCACTGTGTGTTCTGTGCACTGTGTGTTCTCCTGTGCCCCGTGTGTTCTGTGCACTGTGTGTTCTCCTGTGAACCGTGTTCTGATCACCGTGTTCCGTGCATCGTGTGTTCTCCTGTGCCCCGTGTGTTCTGTGCACTGTGTGTTCTCCTGTGCACTGTGTGTTCTGATCACCGTGTGTTCTGTGCAGTGTTCTCCTGTGCACTGTGTGTTCTCCTGTGCCCTGTGTGTTCTGTGCACTGTGTGTTCTCTCCTGTGCACTGTGTGTTCTCCTGTGCACTGTGTTCTCCTGTGCACTGTGTGTGCATGTTCTCCTGTGTGCTGTGCATTTGTTCTGTGCAGTGTGTGTTCTCCTGTGCACTGTGTTCTCCTGTGCACTGTGTGTGTTCTCCTGTGCACTGTGTGCATGAATTCTGTGCACTGTGTGTGTTCTCCTGTGCACTGTGTGAATTCTGCTGTGCACCATGTGTATTCTCCTGTGCACTGTGCATGGTCTCCTGTGCAGTGTGTGTGTGTGTTCTCCTGTGCACTGTGTTCTCCTGTGCATTGTGTGTGAATTCTCCTGTGCACCGTGTGTATTCTCCTGTGCACTGTGTTCTCCTGTGCACTGTGTGTTCTCCTGTGCACTGTGTCTGTGTTCTGTGCACTGTGTGTGCGTGTTCTCCTGTGCACTGTGTTCTCCGGTGCACTGTGTCTGTGTACTGCGTGTATGTTCTCCTGTGCACTGTGTGTGCGTATTCTCCTGTACATTGTGTGGTTCTCCTGTGCACTGTGTCTGTGCTCTATGCACTGTGTGTGCGTGTTCTCCTGTGAACTGTTTATGCATATTCTCCTGTGCAGTGTGGTTCTCCTGTGCAGTGTTCTCCTGTGCACTGGCTGTGTTCTGTGCACTGTGTGTGCGTGTTCTCCTGTGTACTGTGTCTGTGTTCTGTGCACTGTGTGTGCGTATTCTCCTGTGCACTGTGTGGTTCTCTGTGCACTGTGTGCGTGTTCTCCTGTGCACTGTGTTCTGTGCACTGTGTGTGCGTTTTCTCCTGTGCACTGTGCGTGTGTTCTGTGCAGTCTGTATTCTCCTGTGCACTGTGTTCTCCTGTGCACCATGTGTGCATGTTCTCCGGTGCACCGTGTTCTCCTGTGCACTGTGCGTGTTCTCCTGTGCACTGTGTGTGTTCTGTGCACCGTGTGTGCGTGTTCTCCTGTGCACCATGTGTTCTCCTGTGCACTCTGTGTTCTCCTGTGCACTGTGCGTGTTCTCCTGTGCACTGTGTGTGTTCTCCTGTGCACCGTGTGTGCGTGTTCTCCTGTGCACCATGTGTTCTCCTGTGCACTGTGTGTTCTCCTGTGCACTGTGTGTGAATTCTCCTGTGCAACATGTGTGCGTGTTCTCCTGTGCACCGTGTGCGTGTTCTCCTGTGCACTGTGAGTGTTCTCCTGTGCACTGTGTTCTGTGCACTGTGTGTGTTCTGTGCACCATGTATGTGTTCTCCTGCGGCGAGGCCTACCTGGCTTTCACCAGAATTTCAGTGATCTGTAACTCACAAAAGGTTAAGAAACTCTGCCTGAGTGATAAATAAAACCGGGAGGGTTACATTTGACCTAAAGAGTAACGTGATGTGATGAGCCGCCTTGCTGGAGGGAGGGCTCCTTGGCCGCAATAGTAAAATGGATTTGAACACTATTCCGAGACCTACCTCAGGCGTGCTAGTTCCTAGTGACTTGGGGATGACTGACATCTACAAACTCCTCTGGTGAGCCAAAGCCTCGGCAGATGTCACCTGAGCCCGTCCTCCCAGCGGCCTGTGCAGCGGGAATTCCTATCATCCCCTGTCCACACAGGAGAGAACCAGACAGCACAGGTGAAGGACACAGCCAGGAAGGGCGCCACCGGATCCGAAAGGCTGCCGGAGTGATCGAGAATGGGTGATCTGTCCATGGCACTCTGGAGGCAGCAGGATAAAGCACAGAAGACTGCTGGTCTTTAAGGTCTAGGCCAAAAGCTAAGCAAAGACGGTAAGGCCCAGCAGGTTTCCGCAGGCCTGAGGGTCTGGGGACGCTTACGGTAAAGAACTCTGCCCGCAAGAAGGGCGGGCAGGTTGCCAGGATTGCATTGATTGGCCTGCAAGCCACTCTTTCAGAATCAGCCCGGAGAACAAGAGGCATGAGACAGCTCCCGCGATCACACCGTCTGTCACGAAGCAACACGCCGTACGCAGAAGACAGAGAAGGGGCCTGGCGAGGGTCACAGGAGATGAAAGGCAAGGAAGGTGAGGGACCTGTCTGCCAAACCGAGGACAGCGAGGACAGGGCAACTGCGGACACACGCACACAGACACACAAAGACGTGTAAGCACATGCACATGCACGTGTGCACATGCACAGACGTGCACTGATCCAGAGACGCTCGTGCACACGCACACAGACGTGCACTGACACACACAGATGCTTGTGCACACGCACACAGACGTGCACTGATCCACACAGAGACGCTCGGGCACACGCACACAGACGTGCACTGATCCACACAGAGACGCTCGTGCACACACAGACGTGCACTGACACACACAGAGACGCTCGTGCACACGCACACAGGCGTGCACTGATCCACATAGAACGCTCGTGCACACGCACACAGACGTGCACTGATCCACAGAGACGCTCGTGCACACGCACACAGACGTGCACTGATCCACACAGAGACGCTTGTGCACACGCACACAGACGTGCACTGACACACAGAGACGCTCGTGCACACGCACACAGGCGTGCACTGATCCACATAGAACGCTCGTGCACACGCACACAGACGTGCACTGATCCACACAGAGACGCTCGTGCACACGCACACAGACGTGCACTGATCCACACAGAGACGCTCGGGCACACGCACACAGACGTGCACTGACACACAGAGACGCTCGTGCACACGCACACAGGCGTGCACTGATCCACATAGAACGCTCGTGCACATGCACACAGACGTGCACTGATCCACACAGAGACGCTCGGGCACACGCACACAGACGTGCACTGATACACACAGAGACGCTCGTGCACACGCACACAGACGTGCACTGACACACACAGAGATGCTCGTGCACACGCACACAGACGTGCACTGATCCACACAGAGACGCTCGTGCACACGCACACAGACGTGCACTGATCCACACAGAGACGCTCGGGCACATGCACACAGACGTGCACTGATCCAGAGATGCTCGTGCACACGTACACAGACATGCACTGATACACACAGAGACGCTCGTGCACACGCACACAGACGTGCACTGATCCACAGACGCTCGTGCACACGCACAGACGTGCACTGATCCACACAGAGACGCTCGTGCACATGCACACAGATGTGCACTGATACACACATACACACACAAACACAACTGCCTTCCTCCCACAAGCACAATGACTGCCCCTTCCTTCACCTTTGTTCTCATCCAACACACCCCAGGCTCCTTCATCCCAAACTCCCCGTAGGCTGGCTGGCTGATTCCAGCCTTCCCAGGTCTCTAATCTTAAAGACGACCACCACTACACAATCAGATGTTCAATGCTTTACAGAACAAACGTGTTCTTTACTGTGAAGTTCATTATGAACCTGAATCCCTGATCATTTAAAGCCTATTATCCAACTTATGCCTCAAGCAGCAACATTTTTGTGTTCAACAATTTAACTTACTACACACACCTTGTGCAAAATCACAAACCTTCTCATACATTTATGAGCTTCAGAATGTAACTGGGAAGTGTAGCACAGCCCTTTGTCCCTCTGCATTGCATGGTGAGAAACGGCTAAAGCAACCATCGCCGCATTCTGTTTTATGAGCACAAAGGAACACCTATTCTTATCTGGGCCACGCGCCCCGGTCCTTAGGAGGATGCCAGATCCCCCTGGGATGGCAATGGCAGAGGCTGCACAGCTTCCTGAAGATGTAGGTACCACAGCACCAGCCCCGGGCAGGGAGCCAGGCCAAGGGCAACGACAGAATCTTCCGGAGACAGCACAGCAACCCACTCATTTGTGTGCACCCGCACCCACAACCGTCTTGCACTGGGTGCATGTCACGCCCAGGGTGAGGGAAGTTGAGGCCTGGCCTCACAGTGTGGACCGGCTGCGGGACAAGAACACAGTCAACTTTGGCTTTGCTTGGAAAGCTGCTTCAGATACATAACTCCCGGCCCCTCCTGAAAATGATCGTTTTCTTAGCCGGGGCCCTGTGCTTTAGGAGAGGTTTACTGTCAGAGCTTGCTGTTCTTTTGAAACTGGGCCACTAGGCTGAGGACCTGCTCAGAGGCTTTGATGATCTTGGAGCCGAGGTAGGAGGTGCTGTTGGGGCCCGTCTCCTCCAGGAAGTAGCGGTAGTTGGCCATCAGGCCGCAGGAGCCGGTGATGCCTCTGAGGCTCACATCCGCCATCCAGTTGATGCGCCACAGCACCGCCCCGTTCTGCAGGTGGAAGTTGGCCACGGGGTTCAGCGCGTAGCCGCGGTGCTTCTCTCCATACAGGTACCAGGCGCACAGCCTCATCAGCGGAGTCTGCAGCGCCCGCACCAGCTTCTCCGACTGCACCCACTCGCTGCTGCTGAGGAGGAGCTTGAGGGTCTCGTTAATGGGGCCACCTGTGATCTCCGAGATTTCCTTACATTCCGAATCTGTAAAGAGTTCATTCCTCCCATGCTCCTTCGTTTGCGAGTTCAGAAGCCCCAGAAGCCATTTGGTGAAACCAGGTATAGGTGACAGACTTGAAAACACCCCAAGGTGAGGAAACTCTCTCTGTAAAGCATGGTTGGGGTGGAAAGGAAGGCGGAGAAAACACAAATTCAGCAGGTACGTTACCAACAGAGGAGCACCTCTTAACCTACGGCTCACATGCTGCTGTGTAGCGGTCAGAGTGACATCTGATACATGTTGTTTATCTTCTTTCAAGCAGCTTTTCTTTTTTTCCTCTTAGAGTCAGGGTCTTGCTCTATTGCCCTAGCTGGAGTGCAGTGGTGTCATCATGGCTCACTGCAGCCTCCATCTCCTGGGTCCAAGCCATCCTCCTGCCTCAGCCTGCTGAGTAGCTGGGACCACAGGCTCGCGCCGCCACACCCAGCAGGAAATATTTATCAGGAACCTGATGTGTGCCAGACCCTGGAGGCATCCTGACTCCCCAAGGCAGGGCGTCTCTGTCCCCACCATCCCTTCTCATGTCGGCAAAACCGAGACTAGAGTGTTGGGGGACTTGCCTAAAACCAGACAGCTGGCCAGTGGGGAGTGGGGCTCGGTGCACTGCAGCTACTCACTGCAGGCCTTGTCTTTCCCGTACACCATGCTCCTCCCATGGCCACCTGTGAGGCCCCGGAAGCTGCTCTGCTGCTCGGCACACGAGTGGCCAGGGACTGGTGAGTGAGCGACTAGCTGCCCGGCCACACCACGGCGGGTGCAGAACGGGGTAGAGGGCGAGGAGGGGGACGCTGCGGGTATCTCTCCATATCACATGACACGGTTCAATCGTTATTGTCCCAACTAGATAGAGATCTCATGATCATTTCAAACAATCTGCTACTTTCTGATTATAAATGTAACACATGCTCACTATAGATATTTTTTGAAAAAATTAATGACAGAAGAAAATAAAACCATCACACTCCACTACATTGAGAAAACCACTCTCGACAGTCTGCTCAGATAAACTCCTGGTGTTTCTTGATGCGATTTTTGCATGGGTGAGACACTTACTTTATATTTTGCAATATGAATTTATATCGTGAGCATTTTCTCATTATCATTTAAAATTCAAAAACAGAAGATTTTAACCACAGAGTAATATAAAAAAAGCAGCCTATTATGATTTTCCTCACCATGTTCCTCTCGTTGGGCATTCGTGGTAGCTCCCGGGGTTTTTCCCCCACCCCGAACCACTGTTTTTTTTTTTTTTTTTTTGAGACTGTCTCTCCCAGGCTGGAGCGCAATGGTGCAGTCTTGGCTCACTGCAATCTCCGCCTCCTAGGTTCAAGTGATTCTCCTGCCTCGGCCTCCCGAGTAGCTGGGACTACAGGCATGCACCACCATGCCTAATTTTTATATTTTTAGTAGAGACGGGGTTTCACCACGTTCGCCAGGCTAGTCTCGAACTCCTGACCCCAGGTGATCTGCCTGCCTCGGCTGGGATTACAGGCGTGAGCCACTGCGCCCAGCTGTGTTTTGCTTTTGTAAACCCTGACGAGCGCCTCCACGCAGAGGGGCCATTTGTTCCCTTCCAGACTCCCTTTGAGGACTTCTAGGCTGGCCGCCCAGGGGCAGTTAAGCGACACCCTCAGGACAGCTGCTGGGCTAAGGCCCAACTCCCCCGAATCCCGGGATCTGCTCCTCCTCTTCCTGCCTTCCTTACCCTGATACATTTCCCCACCCCGCCCTGCTAATCACCACCCTCAGTGAAGACAGAGGAATGAGGAAACTGTGGGAATGAGCTACGGCTCATTGTTACCCGGGGGAAACATGGCGGCGTGGTAATGAAGCCCACGCCCAGCTGAATCCTGAGGGCTTCAATTAGAAATTGATTATGAATTTACTAGGAGCATGTAAACGTCCCCACTCCACACTGTCGTCCTCAAAGGAAGGCCTCTGCTGCAGCCATGTGCAGCCCCCAACACAGTGAACACCCTGCTCAGAGCCAGTCATTAGCAAACATCTAGCTACCGCACCTAATTATTAGATTCTACTCATTGGAATTTATCCAAGTCCCTGATGAGGCTGGTGGTTTTTGAAAGCCTAGGCCTGGAGTGAACATCAACATTTCTGATGTAGGATGGTTAATATGTTTTTCACAGGGCAGCAAAGAGAGGAGAGTTAGATTAAAAGCCGATGCATTTACCTTCGAGCTGTCTGGTCTCACCTCAGCACTCCCTCACAGGCCATGAGAAGGCCCAAGCTAACAGCACATCAGGTGTCAGAGGCCCTGAGAGTGTGGGCAGGGGCAGGGGGAGGACAGGCGTGGCAGGATGACTACCAGCTGTGCCATCTGGCTGGGACATTTCAGAGTGACACTTACACCAGGATGACACGTGAAATCCAGAGTGTCCTGACCAGGTCAGAACGAGGTCACCCTAGAGAGAGTTGATGACCTCAGAATACAACTGCGTCTTGCAGTCAACTGGGCAGCTGGGTTGGAGGCCTCTCTCAGCATCATTCTCATCTCTCTGGGAGACTCATGGCTCCTAGGAGTTGCCAAGGGGTCTCTGGCACCTTTTCTACCCCCTGCCCCTCCCTTTAGCTCCTGTCTTCATCTGTGTCCCTCATGGCACCTGACACCCCACGAGGTTCGCTGACCTGACCACACGGAAGCCAAGCGTGACCGGGGCTCCCTGCGTGTCGCTTACCTGCAACTCCTTGACGACTCGCTTTATGAGGAATGTTCCCAGCTCCACCCCTTGGAGTCCCTGCTGGGTCAAGCTGATGGAATAAAAGATCGCAGCAGTGATTTTGTTCTTCTCTTCTGTTTCTGATGGAGGATGTTCCTTCACGATTGCCTGGAAAACACCAACGATGGTTCTAAGGGTGGCCTGGCCGCTCTGCAGCCCACGAGGCAAGCCTGTTGCTGGGACGAGAAGACAATTCTCAGAGCACTGAAGGAGCTGGAAGAGACCTCGGCTCCCCAGCTGGGGTTCAGGCTACAGAGCCTAAAAGCTGCTCTGTTTTGAAAACTCTCTGGAGGAGGCGACTCCACCGCGTGCCTGGGGGTCCTCAGCACTGCATCGTTTCTTGAAATTTTCATGCAAACTTTGTTGAAGAGCAATGTATGCCCCTTTCTGTCTCTTTTAGGCCTTTGTGCAAACAAAAACTTGCTCCATAAACTCTCCGGCCAACACTCAGCGATAACACACGGATCCTTGAGACCAAACAGCTCCAGTTCCTTCAGCTTCTCCTAAAGGACTGACGTTTCCCACCACTGAATTGTTTTTCCTCCTTTTCTCTGAACCCTAGGTTTTTCAAATTTCTCAAGAGGCTATAAGCAGTCCTATATAATTTTCTTTTAGGAAATATACCTTTGTTTGACTTTTTCATGTACCTTTTGGGTTTTGTGCCATTTCTGTTTTTCCTAAATGGTAACACATTTGCAGACATCCCTGCGAGGCATTCTAAGAAACGAGCTAGACTGGGAAGTCGCTTAGCTGAAGTCTGAGTTTATTGCCTCTCATTCTCACGGCAGCGTTTTCTAATCCCTTATACTCCGAAGCATAATCCTTAACACTCCAAAGCTCACTGGATAACAGTGGAACAGCAGGGGGCTACCTTTTCATTTGCTTTGAAGCAGGGAAACCAGCTTACTTTTGAAGAACCCATTTAAACTATTTTAACTTCTACCAGCGACCTTCGATTCTGGAAGTAGGAGCGTTTAGCTCAGACTGCATAGATGAGGTCTCGTAGTCAGTCCATGAACTTTCTGAAATTGTTCTGAAATTGTATGGAGGCCGGGCGCGGTGGCTCACGCCTGTAATCCCAGCACTTTGGGAGGCCGAGGCGGGCAGATCACGAGGTCAGGAGATCGAGACCACCCTGGCTAACACGGTGAAACCCCGTCTCTACTAAAAATACAAAAAAAATGAGCCGGGCATGGTGGCAGGTGCCTGTAGTCCCAGCTACTACGGAGGCTGAGGCAGGAGAATGGTGTGAACCCGGGAGGCGGAGGTTGCAGGGAGCCGAGATCATGCCACTGCACTCCAGCCTGGGCACAGAGCGAGACTCCGTCTCAAAAAAAAGAAAAAAAGAAAGAAATTGTGTATGGAATGTGTGAGTCTATGCATATCTGCCCTGAGGAAAACATCCTCAGCATTTTTCCCTCCAGATTCTTAACAGGGTCTGTGACTCCAACAAAGTGAAGAAATGCTGCTGTGAGGAAAGGGGGAGAGCTCATGACATGAAGGACATATCCTCCGAGGCCCGAGAGGGGCCCGCTGTCCTGCACCGTGCTCTATGGAAGAGCTCTGTCGTTCATAGGACGGAGCTCACTTCACATCACTCCCAGGCTTATCTCCTTTCTTTTTTTTTTTTTTTTTGAGATGGAGTCTTGCTCTGTCGCCCAGGCTGGAGTGCAGTGGCACGACCTCGGCTCACTGCAACCTCTGCCTAGTGGCAAGCGATTCTCATTTGTGCCTCAGCCTCCCAAGTAGCTGGGGCTACAGGTGCACACCACCACACCCGGCTAATTTTTGTATTTTTAGTAGAGACGGGGTTTCACCATGTTGGCCAGGCTGGTCTGGAACTCCTGACCTCAGGTGATCCGGCTGCCTCCTCAGCCTCCCGGGGTGTTGGGATTCTGGGCGCGAGTCACTGCGTCGGGCTCTCCTTTGTTTTTTAAGAAGTCTGCAAATTATCTTGTGATTCCTTATGCAAAAATCCCAGCAATCTTTTTTTTAAGTTTTCAAAATAAAAACAAAACTTTCTTCGGTTATACAAGTGAGGTATGTATAATGTCAAAGAGACAAAAAATTGATAAAACTAAGTGAATAAAACAAAAAGAGGCAAAAAAAAAAAACCATGCATAAAAAAAAATAACCAATTACTCCAAAATCTAATCTCCATGACTGTTGCTGCTGCCCTTTTGATGAACACCTTTCCAGGCCTGTCTCAGAGGCTCTCGGTACGCACACAAATGCACACAGGACTGCGTACCCACGCACATTCTCACGTGCCCTTAGAGTCAGGATGCGAGCTGGGTCTGAATTCCAGTTCCGCCCTTACTTGCTCGATGATCATGGGTAAGTTGCGGACGTTCCCTCAAGCCTCGGTTTTCTCATAATAATACCTATATCAGCCGGGCACGGTGGCTCACGCCTTTATAGTCCCAGCACTTTGGGAAGCCGCGGCGGGCAGATCACCTGAGGTCGGGAGTTCGAGACCAGCCTGGCCAACATGGTGAAATCCCATCTCTGCTAAAAATACAAAAAAAAAAAAAAATTAGCTGGGCATGGTGGCACATGCCTGTAATCCCCAGCTACTCGGGAGGCTGAGGCAGGAGAATTGCTTGTACCCGGGAGTTGGAGGTTGCAGTGAGCCGAGACAGCACCATTGCACTCTAGCCTGCGCAAGAAGAGCGAAACTCCGCTTCAAAAAAAAAAAAAAAAAACACAACACCACCACCTAAATCACAGGGTGCTCAGGGCAATAACACACAAAATGTGCTTCACAGACTGACAGGCACAGAGCACTACTCAACAGATATTATTAATATTATTCATAAGACCACACCATACCCATGCTACTCTATAAACCTGAACTTCTACTCAAGAGTAAGTCAAGGCTGGTTTTCCATATAAACCTACAACAATATTTAAATACATGCACAGATATCTGATGTACACGAGGCCGCGCCATGTGTCTACAGCGCCCTCCTGGAGCCCATTCTCTCCTGATGGGCCCTAGGTTATCATCCCCACCCTTTTGAACTGTCAGCAATGCTGCAGGAATAGCCATCTGACTCTCAGGGCTGAGCATCTCCCCAGGAGAAGTTCCTAGGAGTGGAATTGTTAGGCCAGAAGGAATGCACATTCTGAATTTTCATCCATGTTGCCAAATTGCCCTCAGAGAAGTCAGAATGGCCCCTAGTCCCACCAAGAGGGCATCGGAGTGTGACTCTTTCACACACAAACATTGTAAGGGAATGTGTTTCTCCTTGGTGATCAGGAATGTCTGCTCATTTGCCCTACTCAGCTTCTCTAACTTCTCAGCAGGACACCTGCTTAGGGCACTCATCTTGTGATGGGCCATCATCCACTTAGCTTCCTAACAGCCACTCATGTCCTCTTGGTCTGAGCAAACCTGCAATGCCCCAGGGGTCTCATGCTCCCTGCCACCTATCTTTAGCACTCCTATTTCCAGACCCTGCAATGTGCTCCCTGGTTCTTCTGCCCCCACGGGCCTGCAGGAGTGTTTCAGACATTCTTGCCAAACTCATCCAGGAGCAGAGCAGCTTGCCACAGACGGGGCTATCAACCACAAGTCCCATAACCTCCACTCGCCAAGGAGTGTCCTCGGCCCACATCAAGCATAAGGGATGGAGTGCCTCTTTCAATTTTCTAATCAAGTATCTTTCAAAACTCCCCACAGGCATTTAACAAAAGCTGTAAAGGTAAACTATGTATGAATCAGGTATCTGTCCCTTCTTCCTTCACAATTATTTTCTGCCTCACAAACATGTTCTGTGATAGACTTTAACTGTATCTCAACCTAAGATCAACACAGCCAGATGAATGCTCGCCTTGCTCCATAACTGTCTGCCTGTTACACTTCTACGCTCTACACCTACAAATCTGGAGATTTTATTTAACCAATTTAAAAAAGCCCAAAACCATTTATTTAAAAAAAAAAAAAAGGAGGATAAAATCAAGTAAAAACAAAACAAAACAAAAAACACAAGGGGCTCTATGGGGTGCCCATCTTGTCCCGAATTGACCATCGCAGGTACCTGGATGTTGCTGGAGATGTCACCAGTCAGTGCCACGTGCAAAACGACCAGGGGCTCCCCAGGGGTCGAACAGTGAGAAAAGAAGTAACACCTTCTGTAGGGCCCAACGCGGCGCTTCATGTCCATCCAGTTTTTTACAGGATGCACAGCCTCAGCCCTGGGGCGGAATTTATAAAGAGACAAGACAAATGCATAATTCACAAGCAACGGCTGCTGACTCCTATTCATACTATTCGTCTAAGTCAAACAAGTTCTTTAAATAGAGCTTTAATGGACTCTTCTGGAAAATTCAAAGAAAGTCATTTTCATGAGAAACAGCACCCACTGAGAGGAACTACAGTGAATGACCATTTTACACACAAAATTGTGCTCCAGTTTTAACCCCAGTTTTAAAAGGAGTTTGTGAGGCTCCGGGGAAGGATTCATGCAGATTTTAACGTGAAACCTAATCAAACGCTTGGTGTTGAACACTGTCTTTTCTTTCCTTGGGATCTCTGTGAAGCCGTCAGTGCTGCAATCAGGGGGCTCATCTGGTGTCTTCCAGCAATCTCGCCCCACCGCTATTTTGTTTTCAGCATGTGAAATGGCAGCAGGCACTGTCAGCCCTTTGAATTGAATTGGTTACATTTCAAATAGGACACTTTTCAAACCATGGATTCCATGGGACAACATGTAATGTGAAGATGCCTACGTGCAAAGGTAGTGAAGGCACCGTGACATGCTAGCCTGTGTCATACGGGTCCTGGATGTAACTAACACATGATATAGTTTGTTTAGAGATTTTAACTCAGGGAGAAATCTTAACCACCAGGTGGGCTAAATACTGTTTTGATTACGAATGCAAACGCTTGGTCCAGTGAGTTTCTACAACTCTGATCACGGGGTCTTGGGACGAGCGAAAATGGGTGTGTTTGCTTTAAATAAGAGGACACAAATAAGACCTCACACGCAGGTCACTGACAGACATATCAGTTTCTCTTGGTGCCCTTTCGTCTTCCTCCATAATCTTAGTATCATGTGTGGTGACAGCCGCAGCATTTGCAAATACTGTGTTTGGATTTTATTAGACTTGAAATAAACTGTACATATGAATGGAGATAGATTAGCTTTTAGCCAATATAAAACATACACAAATATATATGAAAAATGTATGTACAAAGAAAATGAAAACCGTAATACTTACTCACTGATTTTCTGAAGCACTTCACACGGTGAATGCCAGGTAACCCGTTCTAGGTTCAGGAACCCGGAGGAAAACCATTCTGAGAGCATTCCTTTCAGCACCCCATTCATTTCCTGAAAAGGAGAAGATAAATCCCAGGCCTCCAATGTGCGACAGATCAAGCCCATCTCTGTGTTGTGGTCAGCACAAGGAATGAAAACACTCAAGCACGATACATAAGACAATTGTGCAAGACAACTCTCCAAACAGCTTTTCCCAAGATTCCTCTGTCAGACATCTTATCTCAAACCAAGTCAGGCTTTCTTTCGTTCAACGCTCTATTTAGACTTAACTACTTCAGTCTGTTAAGACCTCTGAAGGAAACAATTCAATTTGAACTAAGTTGCCCAAATCAAATAATATCTTCCAATTCGTTCACCATAGTGAGCATACTAATCATATAAAATCAACATAACAATGAAAGATGCACTGTAAGGGAAACACTAAGACAGCAAGGGTGTCAACAGCACTGTCCTCATCCTCTCGGGAACCTTCTTTGATACGTCAAAACATTACGCCTACATTTCCTAAGAAAGACAAGTACTTGGTTCAGGAACCCTATTTCATCAACTCAGAGATGTACATTTTCATATTTTAACATCTCTCAAGTCAGGATGCATCTTTCGAATGATGGCGGGTCACAGACTAATTGGCAGCATTTTTGTTTTAAGAGACGGGGTCTCACTCGGTCACCCAGGCTGGAGTGCAACAGCATGAACACGGCTCGCTGCAGCCTTGACCTCCTGGGCTCATGTGGTCCTCCTGTCTCAGCCCCCCAAGTAGCTGGGACTGCAGGTGAGCGCCACCAAGCCTGGATAATTTTTTTTTGTCTTTTTTGTAGAAATGGGGTTTTGCCACGTTGCCCAGGCTAGTCTCGAGCTCCTGAGCACAGGCAATCTGCCTGCCTCGGCCTCTCAAAGTGCTGGGATTACAGGCGTCAGCCACTGTGCCCCGCCGTAACTGGCAGCATTTTTAACCTACCTTAGAGGGACATAAAATAATAGCGTATCTGGCAACCAATGCATTTCAGAGTTGATGAAATTATCCTAATTTTGCCTCACTTATTTATATTGTATCTACTTCCAAAAATGATGTGAATTGACTTGACCACCCAAGATACATCTGCACTGAAGCTTTTCCAGCAAGAGCAGAACACAAGGCCCTGAGCAGGAGCAGCGTCGCCTCGGTGCTGCCTGCACAGCCACAGCTTGTTGTTCCCCGATGGCTGTACCCCTTTTCTTTCAAATTAACAGAAGCCTCACTTTTCAGCTAGGGACACAGCTGTCCAGAACAAAGATTGCACTGCGGCTGGGGGCAGCCATGTGACAGAGTTCTGGTCAATGAGGGGTAAGCAGAGGTCTCCTGCAGCCACTTTGGGGAACTTGAAAAGACAGCAGGAGCAGGCCCTTGGCCCATCTTTTTCTTTGTCCTTTCCACTGCAGACTGGAAGGCGGTGTGATGGCTGGCATTGGAGCAGCCATCCTGGGCCACGACGTGGCTTTGGAGATGAAGGTTTTTCTCGGCAGAGCAACAAGATTCAAGTCTGAATCCACCAAGAGCACCAAAGAGCAGAATCAGCTCTGGGCTGCCCACCTCTAGACTTTCACATGACAGACAAACTTCTGTCATATTCAAATCACTGTTATTTTGGGTCTTTGTTACTCATAAACTACATAGTAACAGATCCACTGAACATTATTATTAAATAACAGTAAACATCTCAGGACATCTGATACAAGAATGACCTTCTGAATCTCTCTACAAGGGTCATAAAGAACACAATGGGCAACACCTATAAGAATGGCTTTACAACAGCTAGAATTTTTTTTTTTTTTTGAGAGATGGAGTCTTCCTCTGTCACCCAGGCTGGAGTGCAGTGGTGCAACCCTGGCTCACTGCAACCTCTGCTCCCTAGGTTCAAGCGATTCTCCTGTCTCAGCTTCCAAATTTTATAAAACAATTTTACATTTTAATCCCTGTTAAAGGGTGAAAGGACTCAGAACTTTGACGCCTGAGAAAGAGTTGCAGGTTTTGGGGTGATGGCTCAGAGAAGTTTTCGGAAGGAGATGAGGTCTCCTTTTACATGTTTAAGCACTAGGGCACGAAAGAGGCCACAAATTTGTTCTGTGTGACCCCATGGGGGCCGGGGAAGGAAATCTAGGACTGACTGGTGGAAGTCATGGGCAGTCAGATGTGGACTCAATTTAGTGTAAAGAGGAACTTTTGAATAGCTGGAGCTGTCCACAGAGGTCATCCTGGGAGACGGTGACCCTCAGCACTGGAAGCCATCAAGCACAGGTGGACAGAACTCAACGGAGCTGTTTGAAAACGGATTTAAGCATTAGATAGACAGCTGGACCAGAAGATCTTTGCAATTCCTTTTAACTCTACATTCCATGACTCAATCTCCTTTACTTGGTTGTAAACGCCATAAAAGCAGGATCCACTTCTGATTCATTTTTATAGTTCGCAAAGCATTCACTAATAGATTGATATCAAATGAAAAAGATGGAAAAATGGAATGAATCGTGATTAGGAAGTAGCAAGAGGGCAGGATGAAAGAGATCATTTGCTAGGTGACACAGAATGGCCCTTTGTAAAACTGTACTTTCTGCATTTGACTATAGCAATTCTTAATCTTCCTGGGATCCTCTCACACTCTTACGTGCTAAAAACCATAGGCCCTGCCCCCAAAACACTGCAAATACATTAGTAAAATTGTGCATACGTTTTCCTGGGGTACATGGACTCCTCTGATACTTATCTATGGACCATCCCAGGGGCCAGGAGGGCTTCTGTACCCCAGTTTAGGAACGGATGAGCTGAGCTCTGCGTAAGAGGTACTGGTATCTGTCTTACATTCGTGATATGAAAAAAGCTGGAAATACCTAGTTTTACTATCAATTTAATATTAATTATGAAAGAAATGGTTTGGCTGATGAAAGCTCCTCCCCTACAGATCTCTTCATTCTATTTTGGGCTCCTGACAGCTACAAAATGTGACACTGGTACACGAGAACTGGGAATCCAGGCTAAAGGTTAGAAGTCTCCGTTGCTCAGTTCTAACACCGGCAGCAGCTGTTCAGGCTGGGATGAGCCACAGCACGCGGCAACGTTGCCAGGATACAAACACCACCAGGGAAAGAGGCCTCTGCAACTGTACGTGCGTTAATTCAGGCACCATTTATCACCAATACAAGACTGAGAAACACAACTGCGGGGAATATCCTGGTGATGCTAAGGGCAGCGACAGTTCTCAGTGGATTCTGCTGGAGTGTTTCTTATTTTTTTTTTCAGAGGCAGGTCTTGCTCTGTTGCCTAGGCTGCACTTGAACTTCCGGGCTCAGCTGAACCTCCCAAGTAGCAGGGACTACAGGTGCGTGCCACTGCACCCGGCTCTGTGTATTGTGTATTGTTAATTCCATTGACTTGTATGACACCGTTTAGACCAGCCCACTTTTCCTTTTAAAAGAGAAACTGGTTCCCTCTCTTTTGAAGCTCTATCAAGATCTGCTTATTTTGGTATGTGAAGAAAAGTTACCTTCCCTTGTCCAGAAGCCCTGCTCTGGGGAAGGGAGGATAAAGTCATGGATGAGGGTAGCACTGCAGAGGCTGAGAAATTTGGGGAAAATTCCCACTCACGTAAGCTGACACTCCGCAGGTGTACACTTGATGCTATGGGTATACTGTCCTATCTAAAAATAAGTATTATTTAGCATAGGTAAGCACAGAATTTACTAGAACCAACAAGGAGTACTCAATTAACTAAAAGGCAGAGGGTACGCAGGTGTCTAGCATGGCCGGGTGGCTGTGGCAGTGGGAACCAGGTCCCTTCTCTAGTTTCTGTGCCTCTGTTAAGGTTGGAGCACCTCTCATTCCACCCTAACAGCAAGGTCCAAACTGCCCATGAGGAACCCTTTCCATGAATTAAAGGCCAACCTTCCTCGAGTGCCCACAAATCACTGAACCTCGCTCAGACCTTCCCCTCTACTGGGGATTCGACTCGGTTTCACTGGGATTTCACCTCTAAGAAACTGAAGTCATCAACCAACTGGGCCTCTGGAGAAAAACAAAAAGCCTATAAACCACCATCCCCCAGACACATCACATCCTCATACCCACACCTACCATGCAACCACAGGGACACACATACCTCCAAACTCCTCTACATTCAGGAGGCCACAAATCCAGGCAGTAACAAGCCTCCAAACTCACTCAGATCAGAGGAAAAGAACATTTTAAAAAGTAAGAACACAGCCAGGCACAGTGGTTCACACCTGTAATTCCAGCACTTTGGAAGGCCAAGGCGGGCGGATCATCTGAGGTCAGGAGTTCCAGACCAGCCTGGCCAACATAGCAAAACCCCATCTCTCCTAAAAATACAAAAATTAGCCAGATGTGTTGGCAAGCACCTGTATTCCCAGCTACTCAGGAGGCTGAGGTGGGAGAATGGCTTGAACCTGGGAGGCGAAGGTTGCAATGAGCAGAGATTGTGCTGCTGCACTCCAGCCTGGGCAACAGAGCAAGACTCTGTCTCAAAAAAAAAAAAAAAAAAATCAGATTAAAAAAATAGATCAGATCATACCACATTAAGTGATTCTGGTGAGAGGTTACAATATCAGATCCCAGTTGATAGTTTATAGGTACAGAACAATCTAATTCTATTCTAAGACTGATTTAAGCGACAGGGATTTTAAAAAAATTACATCTGGGCTCACACCTATCTATAATCCCAGCACTTGGGATTGGAGGATTGCTTGCTTGAGGCCAGGAGTTCAAGACCAGCCTGGGAAACGTAACAAGAAAAAACATAAACATGAACAAAAAAATAAACACAAACAAAAAACCGTAAACAACAAAACAAAAAACCATATATATATATATATATATATATATATATATATACGCACGCACACACACACACACACATATACACATACATATATATGTGTATATATGAGAAAACAACTACGTAGAACAAGGGAAGGGGAAGGGAATTAATAGGTTCAGCTACTAACAGTTACATGCACTGAATATAAGGCTGGGGTTTCTAGGTAAAGAAATGGAAGGGGCACAATAAAGCAATCACAGAAAGGCTCCTGAAGCCATTATGTCCAAACCATATGCAGAGGCAAAGATCAGACTGTCGTTATTCATTCTGTTTGATAAACACCTCTGGTCCACAGGACTTTTGGCCTAGCATTACAGTATGCAATGTTTTTTTCCCTTCTGTAAATAGCCTTGGTCAAAAAGCAAGGAAACTTGTGAATGTCTAAGGACTCAGCAGCCTCTGTATTTCCCAGGGGCCAGCTCCTTTCTCTCAACAGTCAAGTCTGGATGTGAGTGTCTTCAGTTGCCATGCAACGTGTTCCTTCCCAATGACGCGATAACCAAGAGTTTTCTTGAGTGGGGAAGAACAAAAGGATGTATTCCACAGCATCTCACAGAACCAGAGAATTCAGAATTGGACCGGATGTGAGAAATCAATGAGGGACAAAGCTGTCCAAATGTCTGATATGAGGACCCTCTCAGCTGGGCAGAAACCTTTCAAGTCCTTCATGGCTTTCTCTCAGGCTCAAAAATCTATGACTGAGTGTGGGGCAGACTCACCTCCACACAAATGCTGAATGATTAGTGTGTCAAGTGTGTCTTATGCCAGGACACCCAGGAATCTATTGCAATGATTCATTCATCATTCTGCTATGCAAGAAATTTAAAGACAAGTTTCCCAGTTTTCGAGGAGCTGATCATTTACATGGGGGGATGATATACTGCAAGTACTATGTCCAAGTGTGGATCAGAAAAACTCAGCTATTCAGACTAGGCTTGAGCCCAGAACATGATAATTCAACACAGTAAGAATTCATGACTGATTCTGTGTCATGCAATTAGCAACTGTGGGCTTTCTGTCTGAGAATCTTACGGCCAAAGATGCCTGGCCCTCAGTAACACTTAGCGCTGTAAATTAACCAGCTATCACGGGGAATCAAATCATGGCCACTGTTGTCACTCTTGACATTAATCCCATACTTAATTATGCCCAATTTTATGCATCTAAGTAGCCAAAAAAGAAAGTTTCTAATAAACATCTGATTAACGGTAAGACAGTGATATAAAGCGTAGTGCAAATAACCCTGGATTAGGGTGGGTGATCAGCAAGAGCTTTTCGCTCTGAATTTCAGGACAAGTAACACAACCTCAGCATGTTCTCCTTTACTGTAAAAGGGATACGTGTTATCACCCACGTAAGACTGAAGGAATGTAAACTATTAAACCAGTATTAGAGTTCTTAAATGGGTCAAGTCATAATCATTCAAGTGTTCAATTTTTTTTTAACACCAACTGCACATAACAAACTTCTGAATGTCCAAAACTTCCTGAAACATTTACGTCATTTTTCGTTCATTAAAAGGGCAGGTTAAGCCTGGGCCACATGGTGAAACGCCCTCTCTACAAAAAAAAAAAAAAAAAAAAAAAATTAGCCGGGCATGGTGGCCTGCACCTGTAGTCCCAGCTACTCAGGAGGCTGAGGTGGGAAGATTGCTTGAGCCTGGGGAAGTCGAGGCTGCAGTGAGCCGTGATAACACCACTGTACTCCAGTCTGGGCAACAAAAATAAAAATAAAAAAAGGGCAGGTTAGTTTTTCGCCGTATTTAATACTAACAGTATAAAAGAAGAGTATATGTTGCTCTAGGCCTTCTTTCGGGTCATAATCATTTAAATCTCAAAGTATGTGTCTGCATTTAACATGAATGAACTGTGCTAATGCCTGATTACCTCAAGTCAACTCAGAATCATCACATTAAGTACTGAACGCAGGGAGTTAAATGCCCTCCCAAAAGTCATGGAGCACAGACAAGGCCAGAAGCCATGGAGACTCCTGGGTGGTGGTGGTGACCTTGAGTCCTATTTACCTTTGTGCATTTCACAGGACTTCTCAGGACAATGTCTCACACATAGCGGGTGCCCAGTGAACTTCTGAAACACCATCCAGGGTCTCAGAAGGCTGCCTGATGCTCTAGTTCAGGTATACCATATAGATGAAACACTTCTCAGCTACAATAATTTCAAAAGACTGTAGAGCACACACTAATCAGGTACGAGAGGTGACAGCTACCTTAAAGACCACCAAGTGCTGAGTATTTAGTAAACACTATACAAGTGAGGACTTCAAGGACAGACTGGAGGAAGGCGGGGGTGTGCTCTGACGAGGCCAGGACTCAGACAGCGTGGGAAGGGGACACAGTTGGCAGGCGGTAACTGCGGGCGAAGTGAGCGTGCTATCGGGCAGGGAAGGCGGGGTGTGTGGGACTTGGAGGGGGCAAGTGAGGACTACTCGAGGAGGGCGGCCAGTCCGCGCTGCCGGGGGATCGACGGCGGCCCCTTACCCGGACGTCCGGCCCCTCCACCAGCTTGAGGGCCTGCGCCTCCAGCAGGTCGGCCCGCAGCTGCACCAGGAAGCGCACGCCGCCGTCCAGCTTGCTGATGTGGTGGAAGAGGCCGCGATAGCGCGGCACCAGCGCGTAGCGCAGCCGGTCCTCGGCCTGCAGCAGCACCGCCGCCTCCCGCTGCTGCTGGCGCAGATGGAGCACGCCGGCGCTCTGCTCCGCCACCTGGCCGTGGTCCACGCCGAAGCCCCGCGCCAGGCGGCCCAGCAGTTCGGCCCGCTGGGCCGTCTCGGCCAGCCCACCGTAGAAGCTCACGAAGTCCGCGCACTGACCCTCGGCGGGCGCCGGTGTCTTCTCGCGCAGCTCGTAGGCCGGCGTCGGCGGCACCGCGCGGCGCAGCAGCTCGTCCATGGCCCGCTCCAGGGCGCCGGCCGCCTGCCCGCTCGCCAGCCGGGGCCCGGGCGGCCGCGGGGGCAACCGCAGCGGGAGGAGACGCCTGGCCGTCAAGCCTGGCCCGAAGCCTCGCATGGTGCCCCACAACAGCTGCCGAGGGGGAGCGCCGCCGCCGCTGCCGCGCTTCCGGCTTCCGGCGCGCGCCGGCCCCATTGGCCGAGGCCGCGAGCCCGGCTGGGGACGCGGCCAATAGGAGGGCGGGGCGGTGGGGGCGAGGCGGCGGGGGCGGAGCGGCTCTGGCGGCGGCCGGAGGCCAAGTGTGGCTAAAGGTTACTGCCCCGCGGCTGGGCTGCCTCGGGGCCTGCTCCCGCGCGGCTGGCGGCTTGTACTCCGGTCCTAACACCTGACCGCCTAAAGGCACCGGCCCAGCCCCTCCTCTCTTTCCCGACTGCACTGCACAAGTGCCGCCTCCTCTCTAGATCCGAGCGCCTCCAGCCTCCCGGTGCATCAGAGTCACCTGGGAACTCCTGCACCGGAGGATTCCTGGGCTCCGAAATCAGAATCCTAGAGATTCAGATTCAGTGTGTCTGGGAGGAGCCAAGGAATATGCTTGCTTAAGAGGTGTTTGTGGCAATCCTCTGGCATGGTAGGTAGCCTTTGTTTGACCCCTGCCTAGGCACTCACCATTCGCGTCAGTGTCTTACACACATGACGCTCAGAGCCACAGAGGTTGGAGGGGTGTGTGAGTGTGTGTGGAGAGAGAGAGAATATGTCTATATGTATGGATGTATGTACACATACGCACGCATATACACATACATATGTATGTAAAAGAGACATGGAGACAGAGAGACTGATGGAAAGCCATACCCTTGAGCAAATGCCAGAATGAGACAAAGAGTTTTCTTTGAAATAGTTTTCAGATAATTGCAGTTATCAAGGCATATTTATTTTGTCCTCTAGAAAGATAGGCCTGAACTCTAGTTCCCCCTCCTTCCCCAATCCATTACAATCTGTAGAAGAGAATGTCACATACCAGCCATGTCTCCCACATGCAAAATTGCAGGAGGCATTAGGAACACAGTGGGATTTTGTTCCACTCTGATGGAAATATGGCATCTTTGGTTGGAGGGTGAGGGAGCCATGTACTTGGTTGACTATGTCTAGGTGCTAGGATTTCTATAGGTAGAACCCTTTGGTGCAGGTCTTGCAGTATAAAAGACACCTGGAGGTAGTTCTGTATGAGGACAGCCTTTGCTGGGTGTGTCTCATCTTATGGGGCACGAAGAAAGTACGTTTGGCTCATTCTGCCAAGACACAGACACACAAAACATTCTGAAAGCCTAGTGGTGGCTTTTGAGGACACCTCTCCATTCCTCTTTTCTAAGAAGTGGTGAAACCATATTGCCAGCTGGCTAAGGGAGTTGGTGGGGTCCAAACTCTGGTGTTTGTCTCTTTGCCTTGTCGAGTGAGCTTTTGTCTGTCCTAGGATACTCCTGCCTTGCTTTAGGAATCTTGTCTTGAAAGCTTGACTTTGCTTAAGCATTTGCTAAGTGTAGTACTCCCACAACCCTGTTCTTTCTCATCTTTCCCGGTGCCTTCCTTTTTATGTAATTTCTGGCTTCTGTTTTTTTTTTCTCTGTGTTTATACTTTTTTCTCTAGGCGTCAACAGCCATCCTCTGCTTTTTCCCACTCATGTCCTTATTTCAAAAGACTGCCCCAATCCAAAAATGAAATTAAAGAAACAATTCTATTTACAACAACATCTGAAGGGATAAAAGAAACATGTTTAACCAAGGAAGTGTGAGACTGGTAGATGGAAAACCACAGAACAGTATTGAAGGAAATTAAAGAAGACCTAAACAAATGGAATGGTCCATGCATGGTTCATGGATTGGAAGATGTAATATTGTTAATATAGCTCATATGGTTTGGATCTGTGTCCAACCAAATCTCATGTCTAGTTGTAATCCTCAGTGTTGGAGGTGGCGCCTGGTAAGAAATGATTGGATCATAGGGGCAGAGTTCTCATAAATGGGTTAGCACCATCCCCGCTTGGTACCCTACAGTGAGTTCTCAGGAGATCCGGTTGTTTAGAAGTGTGCATCACCACCCCCTCTCTCCTGCTCTGGCTATGTGAAGCTCCTCACTCCCCCTTTGCCTTCCGCCATGAATGGAAGCCTCCTGAGGCCTCTCCAGAAGCAGAAGCCACTACGTCTTCTGTACAGCTTGTGGAACCATAATCCGATTAAACCTCTTTTCTTTATGAATTACCCAGTCTCGTGTATTTCTTTATAGCAGCGTGAGAATAGACTAATACAATGGCAATACTCCCAAAATTAACCTACAGATCTAATACAATCCCTATTAAAATTTCACTGCCCTTTTTTTTTTTGCAGAAATAGAAAAACATATTCTAATATTTATATAGAAATGCTAGGGGCCCTGAGTGGCCAAAACAATCTTTAAAAAGAACAAACTTACTACAAAGCCACAGTAATCAAAATAATGTGGTATTGGCAGAAAGATAAAACACAAAAATCAATAGAATAAAATTGAACATTCAGAAATAAACCCATCTATGGTCAATTGATTTTTTTTTTTTTTTTTGAGACAGAGTCTCACTCTGTCACTCAGGCTGGAGTGCAGTGGCATGGTCTCGGCTCACTGCAACCTCTGCCTCCCAGGTTCAAGTAATTCTCCTGCCTCAGCCTCCTGAGTAGCTGGGACTACAGGTGTGTGCCACCACACCCAGCTAATTTTTGTATTTTTAGTAGAGACAGGGTTTCACTAAGTTGGCGAGGCTGGTCTCGAACTCCTGACCTCGTGATCCGCCCACCTTGGCCTCCCAAAGTGCTGGGATTACAGGCGTGAGCCACCGTGACCAGCCTGGTCAATTCATTTTTGACAAGGGTTCTAAGACCATTCAGTGGGTAAAAGTGAGTCTTTTCAACAAATGGGACGGGGACAACTAGACATCTACAAGCAAAACAACAAACATGGACCCCTACCTACCTCACAGCCAATAGAAGAATTAACCCAAAATGGATCCAAGACCTAAATGTAAGAGCTAAGACTATAAAATCCTTAGAAGGGAAAATAGGTGTAAATCTTCAGGACTTTGGAATAGCAATTATTTCTTAAATATGACGTCACAAGTGCAAACAACAAAAGAATAATAGATAACTTGGACCTCATCAAAATGAGAAACTTTTATATATTGAAGGACACCATCAATAAAGTAAAAAGATGAGCCACAGAGTGGGAGAAATATTTGAAAATCATATATCTGATAAGGGTCTTTATGTGGATTATATAAAGAATTGTGGCCGGGCATGGTGGCTCACGCCTGTAATCCCAGCACTTTGGGAGGCCAAGGCAGGCGGATCACAAAGTCAGGAGATCGCGACCATCCTGGCTAACACGGTGAAACCCCGTCTCCACTAAAAATACAAAAAATTAGCCGGGGGTGGTGGCCGGCGCCTGTAGTCCCAGCTACTCAGGAGGCTGAGGAAGGAGAATTGCGTGAACCCGGGAGGGTGAGCTTGCAGTGAGCCAGATCGCGCCACTGCACTCCAGCCTGGGCAACAGAGCGAGACTCTGTTTAAAAAAAAAAAAAAAAAAAGAATTCCTACCACTAAACAATAAAAAGACAAACAACCTAATTAAAAATGGACAGAAGATTAGAATAGACATCTCTCCAAAAAATATATATATGTGTGTGTATATATATATATGTGTATGTATATATATATGTGTGTGTGTGTATATGTATGTATGTGTATGTGTAAATATATATGGCCAGTAAGTGCATAAAAAGATGCTCAACGTCATTAGTCGTTAGGGAAATGTAATCAAAGCCACGAGTTACCACTTCACATCCACTAGGATGGCAATAATAATAACAACAGAATAACTGGTGAGAATGTACAGAAATTAGAACCCTCATACTCCGCTGATGAGAATGCTAAATGATACAGCCACTGTGGAAATCAGTTTGGCAGTGCCTCAAAAAGTCAAAGAGAATTGCCATAGAGCCCAGTAATTCCACTCCTAGGTACCCAAGAGAATTGTGAACATACATTCACACAAAAACGTGTGCACACATTTTCCTAATATGTAACTTAAAATAGCAAAAAGTAGAAAGAACCCACGTGTTCATCAGTGGATGGATGGGGTAAACCAAAGGCGGTCTCACCATACCACGGAGTATTATTTAGCTATAAACACAAATGAACCCCTGGCCCCTGCTACAACATGGATGAACCTTGAAAACACTGTGCTGAGCAAAAAGAAGGCAGTCACAAACGGCCATGTGCTGTATGATTCCATTTATATGACATGTACAAAACAGGCAAATCCCTAGCGACAGAAAAAAAGTTGATCTGTAGTTGCCAGGGGCTGTGTGGGGTCGGGGATGGGGAGAGGGGAAAGACTGCTTATCAGCACAAGTTTCTTGTTGGGCTGATGAAAACGGTGTGAAGTGAGGTAGTGGTGATGATAGCATAACATTTTGAATATACTAAAAACCACTGCTTTGCACACTTTAAAATGGCTAAAATAGTGAATTTTATGTTATGGGTATTTTGTCTTAAAAAAAAAACAAAACTGGCTGGGCGCGGTGGCTCACGCCTATGATCCCAGCACTTTGGGAGGCCGAAGCGGGTAGATCACGAGGTCAGGAGTTGAAGACCAGCCTGGCCAAGATGGTGAAACCCCGTCTCTACTAAAAATACAAAAATTAGCCAGGTGTAGTGGCAGGTGCCTGCAATCCCAGGTACTCAGGAGGCTGAGGCAGAGAACTACTTGAACCCGGTGGGTGGAGGTTGCAGTGAGCTGAGATCGGGCCACTGCACTCCAGCCTGGGCGACAGAGCAAGACTCCATCTCAAAAGAAAATGAAAAACAAACAAAAAAAACTACCTCGGAGGCATTATCATTGCTCTACCAGTTTCAAAGACTCAGTAGAGAGAATCTGATTGGTTCACTTTGGATCAGGGCTAGACTGGGATACAGGATAACACGGAGCCCTCAGAGATGTTAGGGATTTAGCCTTTTGGGTGGGGACACAGTGTTCGGACAAGAGGGGTGTGGGCTAGGCAGTTGTCCCAAAAGATGTCTACTTTAAGTATTAAGAAAAATCAGGCTGGGTGTGGTGGCTCACGTCTGTAATCCCAGCACTTTGGGAGACTGAGACAGGTGGATCACCTGAGGTCAGGAGTTCGAGACCAGCCTGGCCAATATGGTGAAACTCCATCTCTACAAAAAATACAACAAATTTGTATTTTTTGTACACCACAGGCGTGGTGGTGGGCGCCTGTAATCCCAGCTACTCTGGAGGCTGAGGCAGGAGAATCACTTGAATCTGGGAGACGGAGGCTGCAGTAAGCCCAGATTACACCATTGTACGCCAGCCTGGGCAACAAGAGTGAAACTCTGCCTCAAAAAAAAAAAAAAAAAAAAAAAAATTAAAGAAAATCTGGGAAAAAAGAAAAAATAAATAATCGCCCATGATCCTAGCATCTTAATCACTACAGCTTTTATTTCGGCAAATCCTTTCAGTATTTGTCCACAGGCCAACATATTTTTTAGAGTTGTAATCACTGTGTTTGTGCTGTTGATTTTGGTTTTTTCCACTTGCCATCGTATCACAAACACCTCCCACGTTTCTAAATCACCTTCATAATTATCCTTTTTAATGGCTGCATAACATTCAATTGAGTGTATGTACCATAATTGTTGTAATCACTTTGCCATTTCTGGATATTTACATAATTTCTAATTATTTTTTGCTATTTTATATATATATATACACATCTCATACTGTAGGAAATACTTTCATGCATACTAATGTTTTTTTCTTTACTTGAATTGCCCACATTACTTAAAAAGACCAAATAGGATAAAATTTCCCATGAAATGTCAAGCTAACCAAGCAGCCTAGAAAGAAGAGAGACTCAGAAACTCACCGGGGATCGTTGGGAATGCAGCCGCAATTCCAGGAGACCCCCTTCCCACTGGGGAAGGCCCTGTTCTGTCACCCCTGCTGTTTCTGCCTCTTTCCCTCACCGACAGTGCACTGACATTGTCTGCACTATGAATGTGCTGCTGTAGATTTATATTTTCATTGGCGTGGTATCTGGGTTGGTTTGCCTGTGCTGTTACCATGCTACTATGAACATCCATAGACATGACTCCTGGTCCTGGGGCACATGTGTAAGGGTCTTTCTAGACCAGTTTCTCAACCTTGACATGACAGATATTTGGGGTTAGATCCTTCTTTGTTATGGGGGCTGTCTGTGCATTGTGGATGCTCAGCAGCACCTCTGACCTTGACTCTCTAGAAGCCAGGAGGAGTTTCTGGTAAGAAGACATATACTGAACATGTCTTCCTGCTATTGAGAATCGCTGCTCTGGACTAATGCCCCTCCTGCTATTGAGAATCACTGCTCTGGACTAATACCCCTCCTGCTATTGAGAATCACCGCTCTGGACTAATGCCACTCCTGCTATTGAGAATCACTGCTCTGGACTAATGGTTGTCAAACCTTGCTACACTTTAGAATCACATGAGGAGTTTAAAAAAAAATTCACTAGCCTGGGCAACACAGCAAAACCCCATCGCTACAAAAAATACAAACATTAGCCAGGTGCAGTGGTGCATGCCTAGGGAGGCTGAGGTGGGAGGATCACTTGAGTCCAGGGAGGCTGAGGCTGCAGTGAGCTGAGATTATGCCACTGCACTCCAGCCTGAGTGACAGAGTGAGACCCTGTCTCAAGAAAATTAAAAAAAATTAGGCCCAGCACGGTGGCTCACACTTGTAATCCCAGCACTTTGGGAGGCCAAGGTGGGTGGATCACTTGAAGCCAGGATCATTTGAGGCCGACCTGGCCAACGTGGTGAAACCCTGTCTCTACTAAAAATATAAAAATTAGCCAGGCATGGTGGCTTGCACCTGTAATCTTAGCTACTTGGGAAGCTGAGGCACAAGCAACGCTTGAACCTGGGAGGCAGAGGTTGCAGTGAGTTGAGGTGGCACCACTGCACTCCAGCCTGGGAACAAAGTGAGACACCGTCTCAAAAAAATTAATTGAAAAAATAAAAATGTTAATGCTGAGACTGTATCCCAGACCAATTAAATCAAAATCCCTACAGGCACAGTGCTATGGAATGACCTGAGAGCTTTAAAAAAACTGATGCTTGAGCCAGGTACCCAGAGGTTCTCACTTAATTCATCTGGAGGGGCGCATGCAGATTTTAAAAAGTGAAGCCTTAGGTGAGTCTAATGTGGAGTCACATTTAAAACCACAGGGGCAAATGCCTATGAGCGGAATTGCTGGATTGCAGGCCTGTGCTTTACTAAGTAACAACAAGCTGCTTTCCAGGGACTTTTTTTTTTAAAAACACACGTCTGCCTTCCACCCTCTATGTCCCAAAGCTGAACTCCCCAAAGGCAAGATCTATGTCTCACTTATCTTTAGACACCTGCTGCCTAACCAAGTAGCTGGTATATAGTAGCTGCTTAATGTATATTTGTTGTTGAATGATTAGAAGTAGTTTATCATTTTGCTGCCATCAGATAATATTTTGTTGCTGTTGGAACCAATAAGAGAGAAGCAGGATTATGAACAGGATGGAGATGGAATCTTTTTTTTTTTTTTTTTTTTTTTTTTTTTTTTTTTTTTTTTTTTTGAGACAGAGTCTTGCTCTGTTCCCAGGCTGGAGTGCAATGGTGCAATCTCGGCTCACTGCAACCTCCACCTCCCAGGTTCAAGCAATTCTGCCTCAGCCTCCCAAGTAGCTGCTGGGATTACAGGCATGCACCTCCACACCTGGCTAAGTTTTCTATTTTTAGTAGAGACGGGGTTTCTCCATGTTGGCCAGGCTGGTTTCAAACTCATGATGTCAGGTGATCTGCCCACCTTGGCCTCCCAAAGTAATGGGATTACAGGCATGAGCCATCACACCCAGCCAAGATGGAGTCTTTTAACACAACATCTCAGACTCAAGCTGAGAAAGGTGGTACCTATCAACAAGTTTGAGAACTTCTAGATGCTTCATTTTCTAAACTCTGAAAGACAGAAGTCCAGGTAAGACTTAGAGAATGGTAAGCAGCCACGAGGGACTTCTATGCTGTCTGAAGAGGGTGCCAGGAGGCAGAGGCTCCAACCTTGACCATAGGGAGTCAGGGTTGAGGTGGGGAGGCCTGAGTAAAGAGAAGCGGAATGGGGATCAGACTGACAAGGCTCCTAGTTACTGGTCTGTGGTTGGCAGAAAGATGTACCCCCAGATATGTCCACGTCCCCATCCCTGGAATCTATGAATATGTTACGTTGCATGGCAAAGGGAAATTAAGGCAGCAGATAGAATTAAGGTTGCTAATCAGCTGACGTGGAGATGGGGAGACTGTCTTGGATGATCTGGGTGTAACAAGGAGGTGGAAAAGTCAGATTCAGGGAAAAATGTGAGGATTATATGCTGCTAAGATGTGGGGGGTGGGTAGGTGCCGGAAGCCACTGCAGGTTGTCTCTAGAAGCTGGGAAAGGCAAGGAAACAGAGGCTCCCTCAGAGGCTCCGGAAGGAACGAAGCCCTGCTAACACCTAGATTTCAGCCCAGTGAGATCTGTGTTGGATTTCTGACATCCAGAACTGTAACAAAATAAATCTGTGTTGTTTGAAGCCGCTGAACTTGTGGTCATTTGTTACAGCAGCCACAGGAAACTCATACATCTTTCAAGGCTGGCTTTGTTTGCTCCAAAAGGAAATGCAAAGGGGAAAGTAATACTTTGTATCAAGCTCTGGACTCTATGAATAGTAATCATAACTAATGCTTGGTATTGCTCTTACTAAGTACTACGCGTCATCCTAAGTGCTTCACATAAACCCATTCATTGAACTTTCCCAACTCTGTAAGGTAGATACTATTTTTATCTGCATTTTTCACTGATAGGGTAACTGAGGCACAAAGAGGTTGTGTAACTTGTTCGAGGCTGCCCAGGCAGTCTGGCTGCAGCATCCCTGCAACACGCTGCCATGCTTGTGTTTGGTGACTCGAAAGATGGGTTTCTTTCAAGTAAGACATGCAGCCCTTCTAGATATGGTAGAGCAAAACTGTGGAGGCAAATCTGTTGGGAGAGCAAGCTCACAATTTCTGACTTAATAACTATAATAAATACAAGTCACTCTCTTCTTGGTAACTCAGTGTCCTCACCAAACCCAAACTGGCGTGAAATTATTGGAGATAAATCCATGTTGTATGGGATGCACTTTGTCATGCTCCTGGGGGCTCCCGCATTGACACAGAGGCTCACTTGTTACCGTGGAGCAAGTCAGCTTCTGCATCGGGCAGTGTGGGTTGAAATCCTGGCTTGTTGGTTTATTAGCTGTGAAACTCCAAGCAATCTACTTTACCTCTCTGAGCTTAAGTTTCCTCTTCAACAAAACAAAACAAAACAAAAAAACTCTTCCTTCAAGGGTTGGCACTTCAGTGACAGGAGGAAAAATATGAGTGTTACAGGAGGCAGAAAGAAATTATTTAGGTAGACAGGGTAAAGACAGTCCCCAGCAGAAAACTTTCCTTCTAACAAAAAGCAACTCAGAAATAGCTCCCTTTCAGGCCAGGTGCAGTGGCTCATGCCTGTAATCCCAGCACTTTGGGAAGCCGATGTGGGCGGATCACCTGAGGTCAGGAGTTCAAGACCAGCCTGGCCAACATGATGAAACCCTGTCTCTACAAAAAAACCCCATAAAAATTAGCTGGGCATGATGGCAGGTACCTGTAGTCCCAGCTACTTGGGAGGCTAAGGGAGGTGGATCACTTGAACCCAGGAGGTGGAGGTTGCAGTGAGCCAAAATCACACCATGGCCCTCCAGCCTGGGCGACAAAGCAAGACCCTGTCTCAGGAAAAAAAAAAAAAAAAAAGGGCTGGGCGCAGTGGCTCACGCCTGTAATCGCAGCACTCTGTGAGGCCGAGGCAGGTGGATCACTTGAGGTCAGGAGTTCGAGACCAGCCTGGCCAACATGGTGAAACCCTATCTCTACAAAAAATACAAAAATTAGCTGGCCGTGGTGTAGCTGTAATTCCAGCTACTCAGGAAGCTAAGGCACAAGAATTGCTTGAACCTAGCGGGGCGGAGGTTGCAGTGAACAGAGATCACGCCACTGTACTCCAGCCTGGGTGATAGAGTGAGACTCGGTCTCAAAAAAAAACAAAAAAAAAAAACAAAAAAAAAAACAAACGAAAAAAACAATTAGCTCTGTTTCTAACATCATGCAGTTCAAATAAATCACTTCTCTTCTAACAAGCAGGCTGAATGATCAAGCTGTAAAACACAGATAAGACAGCTCAAGCATAGAAGAGGGCAGAGTCTCCTGGGTAATCACCAAACTTCACACTCATACAATGGGCCTCAGTGAAACAGTGGGCCTTAATAAGCACATTCCTTTCCTTTAGGCACACTAAGTAAGATATGGAGCTAAAAGTGGATTGGGGTTGTGGGGGATGTCTACCGCCGCAAGATGCTGCCTGGGAACAGACACAGAAACTCTCCCTCGCAGATAAGCAACACAGACTAAGAGTTGGCCTAGGTGGTTAGGGAATGGGGTGAGAGCTGATAAAAAATCTCTGGTCTATACAGATAGCACACCTGGTCACAACTAAATCGTTGGGCTCTAGGAGTAGAAGACATCCCCTCCTCACTAGCCCGTTATAAAAACCCTGACATTTTTACTACCACCTGGCAACCCGCTCCGGACCCCTCTCCATGATACAGAGCTGTTCTTTCCTTTTGCCTGTTAAACTCCTGCTCCAAACTCACTGTATATGTGTGTGTGTGTGTGTGTGTGTGTGTGTGTGTGTGTGTGTGTCTGCAGCCTGGATCTCCTTGCCTGTGAGACCAAGAACATTGATACTTATCCCATACAACGAGGCTGCTTCTTAAGGAAACACTCACTAAATGTATTTCCACCTCTTGTCTGGTTCTGTAATTGAGGACAGTGGTTAAGTGGTCAGGGGAGAGACACTGAGTCTCCTTTCCTTCCTGTTCATTCTGTGTCCATTCCTAGATCCATCACTTGCTTGCTGTAACAGTAGGCAAGGTACTTAATCTCTCTAGTCTCAACTTCCTAATCTGTAAAATGGGCATGCTGGTGACAGCATCTCCCTCTAACTTCCTTAGAGCAGTTGTGGAAAATTAATTGGGATATTTTATGTAAACTTCTTGAAACAGTGCTGGGGACCCAGGGACCCAGTGGTGTTAGTCCTCCTGCTTATCAGAGATGAGAAGAAGGGAAGGGAGTCGAAGACCCTTCAGCTGAGGTGGGGAGAAGAGTATGTGATGCTGTGGTCAGGGATGACCAATAAGAGACCTTGTGGGAGACAATGGCTCATAGGACTGAGAGGGGAGAGCTGAGCTGGACAGGGACGGGCTTCCGGGTCAGAGATCCAAGCATGTCCAAGCATGGAGGGTGGGCGGCTGCAGCGTCAGCTAAGCCTGTAAGGACAGCCAGCAGCCCACACAATGGTGGTCATGCAAAGGACGAGAGAACAGCAGTGCAGTCTTTGTCTTCCTCCCTCCTTCTGAATTCCCCGCTGATGTCTGTGTCAGCTTTCACTCATCTGGTGGCCGTATGTTGCCACGTGAAAAATATTGAGTTACAAGACATTATACCATGATGCTATTTTAATTTTTTTAGAAAAGCACTCTGAAAGAAGGTTCACCAAAATGTGAACAGAAGTTATTTCTGGGCGATGGGTTTTTTAAAACTGTCTTTTAAACATATTTTTGAGTTGCCTGGGTTTTTTAAATTACAACGAGCATGCATAACTTTTAATAATAAGAACGAGTCATATTTTTTCCCATTTCCATTTTGGATAAGAAAAAGAACCTATATTTATCTAGCATCATAAGATGTTATGAATCGACGCATCTTCCAGCAAGCCAAGTTTTATCTTTATTAGATGCAATTCAATGCCATGAACATTTGGGGCGCAATGACTCCGTGCCAGCTGTTGGCCCTGGTGTTACAAGAACAAATAAAGCACAATTCCTGCTTTTAAAGAGCTCAGAGTGTCGAGCAATGACTTCTGTTCTGTGTTTATAAAAGCTCACAATTTCTGATTTAATATCTATAATAAATACAAGTCAATATCTTCTTGATAACTCAGTGTCCTCACCAAACCCGAGTTAGTGTGAAACTGTTTGTTGGGAATAAATCCGTATTGTACGGGATGCACTTCGTCATGCTCCTGGGGGCTCCTGCGTTGACACAGTGGGTCACTTATTGCTTAGACTAAGTGGTCTTGGACTGTTATGATTTTCTTGCTACTCAGTAAATAATAATGACGTACTTTCCCTCCTGAACACTGACTACATGTTAGGCACGGTGCTAAACTTTGACATGTATGATCACATTTTATTCTCAGAGTAACCCATGAAGGATGGGCTTTACTCTGTTGTCAGTCTTACAGATGAGAAAACTAAGGCTCAGATAGGTTAAGTAACTTGCCTAAGGTCACACAGCTAGTCAGTGGACATGCCAAGACTTGAACCAATTTCCGGCCGATTCCAAGGCCTAAGACGTTCATCTCCAACCTACGCACCGTTCTGTGCTCAAGCTATGTTTGCGTGTTATAGCACATTTTAGGTTCCAAAGAATTTGGAATTTTCCTAGAATCAATTCTTGTCCCACGTGTTCTTCTACAATCTCGCCAATTCCCCATCAGAGGGTGGAACCTAACTCTCTTCCCCTGAATCTGGGTGGGCTTGTTTGGTAGCTGAGGATTTCACCGCTCAGGTCTCCCTTCAAGAAAAGAGTTACTTTTCAGCTGTAAGTGTGGTCTGCACCTGTTAGCACCACCAGGGTGTGTCTTCGCCTTCAAGCCAAGGCCACTCTCTTTCTGGACAGTCTCAGCCAATGACTAAGCAGGGCAGGGGTCTAGGGCCTGGCTGTTTCTGTTCATCATGGGACTCTTTGTCCCAGAGCATGAAGTGGGTTGGCCAAGACCCTGTCTGATCTATGCTGCCACCTGAGACTCTCCTGCACCATCCCGTGTCCCCTCCTTTCCCTTTACAGCTGTTAGAGCCACACTGTGTCCTGAAGGCCTTTCCAGCCTCCTTCTGCTTCCTCCTCCCGTTCTCTGTCTCAGGTATGACTCCCAATCAACTTCTTGACTCCTAACTCCCATCTCGGTGTCTGCTTCCCAGGGGACGCATCTGACACAGCCTTTTGCTTGCTTGTGACAAACAGAACATTGCAGAAGTGATGCTGCGTGACCTCCAGGATAAAGCTATAAAAGGCAATGCAGCTTGCACATTGTTTGCTAGAACCCTCACTCTTGAAGCTTTCAGCTACCACTTAATAAGCAGTAAGCTCAGCTCCCCTGAGGATGCCACACTGTGAGGAAGCCGAAAGTAGCCCACATGAAGAGACCACGTGGAGAGGCCCTGAGAGAGAGAGAGAGAGAGAGAGACTGATCAGCCCTCATGAACTCCAATTCCTTGGGATTCTACTTCCAGCCATCATTGGACTAAGACCACACGAGAGACCCTAAGCCTAACTCATCCTGAATTCCTGATCCACTGAGACCCTGAGAGACAAAATATTGTTGTTTTAAGTCACTAAGTTTTGGGCTGATTGGTTACCGAGCAATAAATAGCTGGCACAAGTACCATGTGGGCTGTGGTATGTGAGCGTGGGGCCTGTCATTTTTCATAATCCTTCTGCAGCTTTACTATTCTGTGGGAGCTCAGCATAGTAGGTGTTCCATTCGCATTTGTTACCGTTTTGTATGCTCAGTGAGATTACAGATACGGGCCAGTTCCGAGCTGCCTGGAAATACATATGTAGCAATTTAAACATTTCCTTTCTAATTAAATTGTGATGAGAATCCATTCTAAGACGCCCTCCCAATATTTGTGGATAAGAAAAACAGAGGGTGCTTCTGAGGTTTAGGATTAATATTATGAGACTATGAAACTCAAAATTATGAGACCCCTCATGCTAAATAAGCAGAAATGACTGTGCATGAGATACTGGCTCCTGGCCAGTCTCAACATAGTTATAAAGACATATTCAATCAGTGCCAAGGAAAGAGAAGTCATCCTTGTATCTCCTTAGCCCATCCCAAATCTTTACACAGGCTATGACATTGATTCCGAGCTGGGCAGACTTGGGTTTGAATCCCATCTTTACCCATGTAAATGTAACTTGGTTTGTAAAACTGTTGGCAGAATCCACTAAAGCTGAACATATGCATTCCTATGTCCCAGCAGCTCCCTCCAAGGTATATACCAAACATGAATATATATGTATATTCACCAAAATACATGTTTTGCGGTGGGCAGGGCTGTGCAAACCTACCCCAAAGTGCAAGGAAGCCAAGAAGCCTAAGAAAAAGGCTGACAAATCCAGTGTCTTAGTAAGAAACATTTAATAGGGACTTAGGAACAGAAGACATGTCTGTGTCTTGGGTGGCAGTGGGACAAGATGGTGGATCCCTGTGCCACTGCTGCTGAGATCCAGGGCTTATACACCATAGGGGAGGGGTAGTTCTGAAGGGTTGTGTGGGACAATTGAAGTACTACAACATCAGCGTTGCCTGGCTAAGGGCAGGATTCATGGCAAGGACCTGGTCTCACACAAGGAACAATAGATACACTTGAAATCTTAAAGACCTTCCCAGAACAGGGGTTAATCACAAGCCAACGTGGTAGACTAGCATCCAAGATAGAGTCGGTTTGGCTTCCACAGACATGCACTAGAATGTTCATGGTAGCCCAGGGTTTAAAAGCCCAGATCTGGATACTATCCAAATGTCCGTTGTGTTAGTTTTATATTGCTACATAACAAATTGCCACAAAATTAACAGATTAAAACAACACATATTTTTGACCTCACGGTTTCTGTGAATCAGGAGTTAGGTCGTGGACTCTGCTTCCGAATCTCACAAAGCTGCAGTCCATGCAGGCTGCTGTACACAATACCACAGACTGGGTGGCTTATAAACAATAGAAATTTATTGCTCACAGTTATGGAGGCTGAGGAATCCAATATCGAGGCAGCTGCAGACTCGGTGTGTAATGAGGGTCCACTTTCTGGTTCATAGATGGCAACTACTAGCTGTGTCCCTACATGGTGGAAGGGATAAGGGGTCTCTTTCGGGCCTCTTTTATAAGGACGCTGATCCCATTCATGAAGGCTCCACCCTCATGACCTCATCACCTCCCAAAGACCCCATTTCCTAATACCATCACCTTGGGGGTTAGGATTTCATATGTTGGAATCCTATTGTAAACACAATTGCAAGGTGTCTGCTAGGCAGTAGTCTCATTTCCAGGTTCAGCAGGTGTAGGGTCCACTTCCAAGTTCACATGTGCTTGGCAGAATTCAGTTCCTTGTGGCTATAAAACTGACGGCCTCAGTTTCTTTCTGGATGTGAACTGGAGGCCGCCTTCACTTCCTTGCCACAGGGGCCTCCCCAACATGCCACTTGCTCTAACAAGGCCTGCAAGGGGGAAAGTGCTCTTGAAAGGTGGAGGTCACAGTCCTGTGTAATGTAACTGTGAGTGGATTCCATCATACCCACTGTATTCTATTGGTTAGAATCACATCACACACTCCGCCTACTCTCACATCCATCAATGGCAAAATGCATAAATAAAGCATGGCACGTTCACACGGTGGAGCAGTCCAAGGCAACGAGAATGAAGTCTCAACCTACACAGCCATAGGATGCATCTCCAAACAGATGATGGTGTGAAGGTGGCCAGACACAAGAGAGCCTATTCTGTGTGATATCATGATATAAAGTTCAAAAATTGTCAAAACCTCTGCTGTCAGGGGTCAGGACAGTAGTTACTTGGGATGCAGTTAGTGACTGGGACCATGCACACCTTGCCTATTGGATGAGAGGCAGCTCAAGGCCCTCTCGCTCTCCCAGCTCATGTGTGAGAGAAGAACCAGCAGGGGCTGAGAAGCAGCTCTGAACCTTGTTTCCGGCTTCAGAACCAAGTGTCTAGCTCTGATCCAATCGGCTGTGGCCAGAGGCAGTTCCTTCCAAAGGCAGTGGGAACTGATACACCATATAAATGGCTCTAATGGGCCATGCGTGGTGACTCACACCTGTAATCCCAGCATTTTGGGAGGCCAAGGCAGGCAGATCACCTGAGGTCAGGAGTTCAAGATCAGCCTGGCCAACATGGTGAAACCCCGTCTCTACTAAAAATACAAAAATTAGCCAGGTGTAGTGGCAGGCACCTGTAATCCCAGCTACTCAGGAGGCTGAGGCAGGAGAATCACTTGAACCCAAGAGGCGGAGTTTGCAGTGAGCTGACATCGTACCACTGTATTCCGGCCTGGGCGACACAGTGAGACTCCTTCTCAGGAAAAAAAAAAAAAAAAAAAGGCTCCAATGACAGCCCCCAAAACTTCCCATTTCACATTTGTTAGCCGCCAAGCCTACGCCAGCTTTGCCCACCCTTTCAGGGGCTTTGATGAAACCATCATTGCTCTGTCTTCTCTTCTTGGGAGACAGCGGCAGGTGGCTGATCCCTGGTCATCTGCACAGGGTGTGGACAGCAAGAACTCAGTGCCCTGTGCTCTCCCTGGTGCCCGGCTTTGGAGCTGGCAGGGAAGTGCTTGCACCATGGTACAGGGACATTAGTCTGCGGAATGGATATCATTTCTGACAGACGCAGGACAAGGAGAAACAGATTTGCCCCTAGAGCTGAAAGTTTAATTTCAGCTGTAGGCTTTCTCCAAATGGAATGAGAGATGGCAGGAGTGAAAAGCAAAACTAACAACAGTGGGCATTCTCTTTTCTCCATCACACCCTCTGTGTTTTCAATGGCCAAAGCACATGGCTGCCCCCCAGAAAGGGCATCAGTTCAGTCACAGAAATGGTGGTGTTCAGCTGCTGCCTGAATGCTTTTTGTGAAATCCGACACCACTGCATCACTCTCCTGCTCAAAGCTTTTCAACACTCTCTCTCGGCTGTCAGCAGTGGCTGGTGCCTCCAGCATTTTGGGTTTCAAGCAGTTATGAGTTTTATCCCAAATAACTGGGTACTGTTAAAAGTTAACACATGGCTGTTTGTAGGGGATTTAAACTTTTTTGTAATTGGAGTGAACTTCTGAAAGGCAAACGTTAGAATGTTTCTAGGTACTAGCACAAATGGTGAACAGCCAATGTCCATCAACAGGAGAATGATAAATTGCGGTATGTTCATTGAATGGACTACTACACAGCAATAAAAAAGAACAAGTGACCAGTACACACGACATGGACGGATCTCATAAACACGATGATAAGTAAAGGAAAACAGACAGACAGACTATGCACCGTGTGTTCCACTGACATGAAAGGAAAGATGAAGGAAAACTAATCTATGATGATCAACGTCGGAACAGTGACTGCATCTGTAGGAGGTGTGTGCATTTACAGGGAAGGGAGCCTTCTGAGGTGCTGGGAAAATTCTTTATTTTTATGTGAGTGGATTACACAGATCTGTATCTATGTAAAAACCATAGAACTGTATGCTTAAGATTTGGACACTGTAGCTCCATAAAGAATAGGTTTGAAGTTATCCACGTTAATAACCACATCATTCTTGGCCAGGTGTGGTGGCTCACACCTGTAATCCCAGCATTTTGAGAGGCCAAGACAGGTGGATCACTTGATGCCAGGAGTTCGAGACCAACCTGGCCAACATGGTGAAACCCCGTCTCTACTAAAAATACAAAAAAATTGCCAGGTATGGTGGCAGGCGCCTGTAGTCCCAGCTACTCAGGAGGCTGAGGCAGGAGAATGGCGTGAACCCAGGAGGCGGAGCTTGCAGTGAGCCAAGATCGCGCCACTGCACTCCAACCTGGGCAACAGAGCAAGACTCCATCTCAAAAACAAAACAAAACAAAACAAAACAAAACAAAACAACAAAAAAACCCCCACATCACTCTTGGCCAAGTGTAGTGGCTCACATCTGTAATCCCAGCACTTTGAGAGGCCAAGGCAGGTGGATCACTTGAGGCCAGGAGTTCGAGGCCAACCTGGCCAACATGGTGAAACCCCATCTCTACTAAAAATACAAAAATTAGCTGGGTGTGGTGCCTCACACCTGTAATCCCAGCTACTTGGGAGGCTGAGGCAGGAGAATCGCTTGAACCCGGGGACAGAGGTTGAAGTGAGCCGGGATTGCGCCACTACATTCCAGCCTGGGCAATAGAGCAAGACTCTATCTCAAATAAACAAAAACAAACCATGTCACTCTCATTTGCTTTTTTTTTTTTTTTTTTTTTTTTGAGACAGGGTCTGACTCTATCATCCAGGCTGGAGTGCAGTGGAATGATCATAGCTCACTGCAGCCTTGAGCTCCCGGGCTTAAGCAAACCTCCTGCCTCAGCCTCTCGAGCAGACGAGACTACAGGTGTGTGCCACCACATGTGGTAAATTTTTTGTATTTCTTTGTAGAGATGCGGTTTTGCCACATTGCCAGGAACTGTAGTCGGAAGGCTGGGGAGGGAGGGGCCCGGCATAATGAGCTTTGTGAGGAACAAGGCGTTTTCTCCAGGTCAATGGTTTCAGCGGTTTAAGAGAGGAA